>NC_000019.10:55365874-55990874 GCF_000001405.40 Homo sapiens
CACGGAAGGACTGTCTCTAACTAGGGGGAGATAATGGCGGGGGGATCACCTGGCTGTTTCGCCCCCAGTACTGAAATAAATAAATAAATAAGATCTGGCTTTGGAAGGACGGTGGTGGCTTTGGGCCCCGGGTCACAGCCGAGTCTTCAGCAGCAGCAGTCCCCTCACGGCCCAGTCAAGTGTCAGGTGCAGCCCCCCCAGGATGGCGTGGGCGGCCCTGATGCCCCCCCAGGCTGAGGAGGGGGGCGCCAGCGGGGGCGCCGGCGGGTCCGGGGGTGGCTGGGGCAGGGCCAGGCGGGACATCTGTGGGGAGAGGAGAGAGGTGAGTCACAGGTAGGGGGTGCAGCGGGGGTGCAGGGCAGGGGTGCTGTGGAGCTGCAGCTGAATCGGGGCTGCATATTCACAGGGGGACTGTGGCGCGTGGGGTGAAGTGTTTAGGCCGGGAGCTCTTCAGGCTGTGGGGTTCCGAAAATGGAGGCTGGAGTCAGGACGGGCTTCCAGAGCTGAGTGTGGGGGTTGGGGGTGAAGTCTGTGGAGTCAGGGCTGGCATCTCGGTTCTAGGTGAGGGATCGGGCCTGGGACTGTTAGAGTCGCCGGGGCTGGAATCTCAGAGCTGGGTTTTTGTTGTTGTGGCTGCTGTTAGAACAATTAAGAAGCCAGGCGCGGGGGCTCACGCCTGTTATCCCAGCGCTTTGGGAGGCCGAGGCGGGCGGATGGCCTGAGCTCAGGAGTTTGTGACCAGCCTGGGCAACACGGTGAAACCCTGTGTCTACTAAAATACAAAAAAATTATCCGGGTGTGGCAGTGTGCACCTGAAGTCCCAGCTACTCAGGAGGCTGAGGCAGGAGAATCGCTTGAGCCCAGGAGGCGGAGGTTCCAGCGAGCCGAAATGGCACCATTGCACTCTAGCCTGGGCAACAGAGCGCGAGACTCTGTCTCCAAAAAATAATAATAATAATAATAATTAAGAAACAGAGTCTTGCTATGCTGCCCAGGCTGTCTCAAACTCATGGCCTCAAGAGGTCCTTCTGCCTTGGCCTCCCCTGCCTTGGGATTACAGGAGTGAGCCACTGCTCCCCACCAGAGCTGGGGTTTTACAGACAGTATCTGAGGTCTGTGGGCTCGAGTCTAGGGTCAGGCCCTGGATCTCAAGGCTGAAGTCTTAGAGATGGGGTCTCTGGGTTCAAGTTCAGGAACTCATGGGTGAGGGCTGGAGTCTCAGAGCTAGAAGTTGGAATTTGAGATCCAGGGTCTTTGGAGTTAGGCCCAAGAACCAGGGTTTGAAGTCTTCTGGTCTCAGGGCTTTGGGCCTGGCTTTGGAAGTGAGGGTCTTGGAGTCGTACAGGCGCAGGCTCAGGATCTGAGGTGTCAGGGTTTTCGATGTTGGGAGTGAGACATAGGGCCTCAGGGCTCGGGGTCTAGGTCCTGGAGGTCTTGGGTTTGTACAGCCAGGGTCCCAAGGCTGGCTTTGGGTCAAGGTCTTGTATCTTAGGGCCTGGGATCTTTAAGATGTCAGGATCTCAGGGCTGGGGCCTGGGGTCTCAGGGTCTGGAGGTCCATGGTTTTCTTTTCCTTCTTTTTTTTTTTTTTTTTTTTTTTGAGAGAGAGGGAGTTTTGCTCTTGTTGCCCAGGCTGGAGTGTAATGGTGCGATCTCGGCTCACTGCAACCTCCGCCTCCCAGGTTCAAGCGATTCTCCTGCCTCAGCCTCCCAAGTAGCTGGGATTACAGGCATGCACCACCACGCCTGGCTAATTTTGTATTTTTAGTAGAGACAGGGTTTCACCATGTTGGTCTGGCTGGTCTTGAACTCCCGACCTCAGGTGATCCACTTGCCTCGGCCTCCCAAAGTGCTGGGATTACAGGCGTGAGCCACCACGCCTGGCCAGGTCCATGGTTTTCAATGTCATGGGGCCAGGGTCTCCAAGTCTTGAGGTGAGGATTTGAATTCTCAAGGCTTTGGGCTTCAGGATGGGGTCTTGGGTCTTAGGGGCTGGGATCTGGGGACTTTGAGGTCATGGATGATGGAGTCTCAGGGTCTTGGGTGAGAATTTGAAGTTTCTGGGCAGGATTTGGGGGTCTAGGGCCTCAGGGTCTCAGGGCCACAGGATCTTGGGACTGCAGGGTCAGGGTCTCAGAGCAGGACTGTTAGGGTCAGGGTCTCAGAGCGGGGCTGTTACGGTGTCAGGGTCTCAGAGCGGGCTGTTAGGGTGTCAGGGTCTCAGAGCGGGGCTGTTGCACTCGGGTCTGGGGTCTCAGGCTTCAAGGACTCAGGCCACAGGATTTTGGGGCCAGGGGTGGGGGTCTGGGGTGTCAGGTCTTGGGGCCAGGACATACCAGGAGCTGCAGCCGGCGCAGCAGCCGGTCCAGTCGGGCCTGCAGGGTGCCCAGCTCGGGCTCCAGGGTCTTCAGGGAAGAGCCACCTGCCCGGCGCAGCCACTGCACGTGCCGCAGGTAGGACAGTAGGTCCGCTCGCAGCCTTGTCAGCACACCTGGGAGCTGGGGATAGAGCCGGGACATCAGAGAACACCCGACCAGTGCCCCTCATCCTCCCCGCCCCCTTCACTGCCTGCCTCCCACCTTGTCCCCAGCCCACTCCCTTGCCCTTACCTGTAGAGCTCCCAGTGCCCCCGCACTCATGGCCAGGGTGGGCAGGGAATCCAGGTTGTGGTCCCCGTCAGCTGGGAATTTGTCCCTCTGGCAGGGAAAAAAGCTGTGAGGTGGCCCCTGCCCAGCCTCGGGGCTCCCTCCATCCCCCACGCCAGGCCCCCAACTCTTCCCCTCCCTCACTCTGCCACCTGAGAGCCCAGAACCCCTCCAAGTGGCTGCCCGCAGACTCCTCTCCGTTCCTCTCTGCCTCTCACTCCTGTGCTGGCCCCAGCCCAGTCTCTCCTACCAGCTGTGCAGCCAGCTGCCGCGTGTCCGCCAGGAGAGAGCGGGTCAGGAGCACGGTGCTGTCCAGCTCGGCCCGAGGGTCTGGGGAAACTCGAGGGGGGCCAGGTGGTGGCCCAGGGGCGACAGCTGTATCTGGCCACAGGCTCAGCACGACCAGGACCAGGCGGCAAACACCTGGGGGCAGGATAAGGCAGAGAGCTCAGGCTGGACTCCGGGTCTGAGAGAGGAGGGCCTGGGCCTGGACTCCCGGGTCTGAGGGAGGAGGAACTGGGGTCTGGACTCCTCCTGGGTCTGAGGGAGGAGAGGCTGGGGGCCTGGACTCCTAGGTCTGAGGGAGGAAGGCCTGGGGTCTGGACTCCTGGGTCTCGGGGAGGAGGGTCTGGGGCCTGGACTCCCGGCCTTAGGGAGGATGGAGCTGGAGGTCTTAAGTCCCAGGGTGGAACGCCCGCGGGCAGGTCGCAGGGCCAGGCGGGCTTCCCTCTCCCTCCCTGGCTCTGGCTGCCCCGCCCGTCGGAGCAGACGCGGCCCGGGGCGGGTAGACGGGCCGGGCGTCTCCCGTCCGCCCCCGGACGCCGGAATCTGGGCCCCGGGGCGGGGCATGGTGGGGGAGGCACAGGCCAGAACCTGCCCCCTCCCCGGGCCGCGGGAGCCCGAGCTGGCTGGGAGCAGGGGAAGGAGCCAGAAGCCAGGACGGAGCCCGGGAGACACGGACCTCTCCCACGGGAGACCCCTTAGACGCCCTCCCAGGAGCCCCGCCGGGTGGGCGGCAGAAGCCCGGGCCGCAGCGCACCTGGGCGGAGAGGGGCAGAGCCATGGGCCCGGCCGGGCCGCGGGAGCGGGAGAGCTGGCGGCGGGGGGCGCGGGGGGCGCGGGGGGCGCGGGGGTCCGGAGCTCGCTCCCCGCAGCCCACCCCGGCCGCCCCGCCCACCCGGCCACCCGCCAGCCAATCAGCGCTCCCCGGCCGCCCGCGCCTCGCACACCCCCAGCCCGCCCCCCGGGCCCGCCAGCCGTCGGTCTGTCCGCGCCTCCGTCGGCCGCATCTGCCCGGCTCTCCCCGCTTTCCCCCCGCGCCCAGTCTCTCTCCTCCCCCCGGCTGGGGTCGCTACTCCCTGGCTTGCTCCGCTCTCCGCGGACCCTGCCTCAGTTTCCCTCCGGAGCCTCTCTGCCGGAATCCCAGGGAGTCTCCCGGTCCCCGCGGGCTCCCTGGGGCCTGGGTCGATGGGGGTCACCTCCCTCCCGGCACCAGTCCCTGCGTCCCTGCCCCTGCTCGGTCTCCGCGTCTCGCTCCCTCTCGGGGCCCTGTCTGGCCCGTCCCTCCTGCGGCGCCTCTGATTGGCTGCCTCCATCCGCTCCTGTCTGTGTCTCTCTCTGCCCATCTCCTCCGCCGCCTCCTGTCTCCGAAGCTGCTCTCCTCCCCGGCTGCCTGTCTCCGGGTCCCTCTCTGTGCGACTCAGCGGGGTCTGCTCCCACCCCCGCCGTGGGTCCCTCTCCTCCCTGCCTCCCTGTCCCCTCCACCCTCCCCATGAACCAACTTACAGTTCATGTCCCCACAGGGCCAGGGGTTCCCCAGGGCAGGGGGCAGGGAGCCGGGGGCCTTTAACCCTTCCCTGTCCGCTGCCGGGGGAGCCCCGAGGGTCAGCTGGGCCGCGGCCTGGGGAGGGGAGGCATGTGCCCTGAGCAGCAGGGCCGCGGCAGTGAGGGAGTGTGGACGCCTGGGGGGTTATATAGGGGGCTGGGGCGGGCGGGCGGGGGGCAGGCGGCAGGGGAGGGCGGCCTGACACATCCTGACTCACCCTCCCTGCCTGCCTTTTCCATTCAGACGGAGCGGCTGCCTTGCAGGGCTCACGCCGCCGCGCTCGGAGGAGGGCACGGAAGGAAAAGTTGGAAAAGTTGAAAAGGGAAAGGGGGGGGTGGTCGGAGAGGGGCTGGTGAGGTCATTGGCGTCCCCTCCCTCCACCTCCACGGGCCGGAGCAGACACTCAGGCTCAAGCGCTGGGGCCCGACTGTGGGTGGGGGTCCGGCTGGACCAGGACTAGCAGAGAGAGATGGGGAGGCAGGAGGACGGAAAGGCAGAGAAAGGCCGGACGGAGGGACAAGACAGGGGCCTGGAGAGGTGGAGGCAGGAGGAAGAGGGAGTGGAAGGGAAGGAGAGAGAGAGAGACACACACACACACAGAGTGAAGGACAGACTGAGACAGAGACAGGGAGATGGAGATCCACAGAGATGGAGGCAGCCAGAGAGACACACCAGAGAAGCAAAGAGGATCAGAGGGGCAGCCCTGGAGACAGAGGGAGAGGTTCTGGGAGTCAGAGATCAGAGAGCGGGAGGAAGACAGCAGGAGGGACTTGGGGAGACCCAGGGAGACCCCGAGGGGAAAGGAACAGAGACACCAAGACTCTGAGACAGAGGATGCCGCAGCTGAAGAAAGGCACCAGGCAAACAGAGACACGGGGCAGAGTGACAGGGACGGAGAGGCCCCAGGGACAGAAAAGGGGAGACAGAGATATTAGAAAGACAGAGACGCTGAGATGTTGGGGACTCAGCAATGGGGGCAGAGAGTAAAAGCCTTTCTCATTTTTTGTTTGTTTTTTGTTTGTTTGTTTTTTGGTACTGAGTCTCACTCTGTCACCCAGGCTGGAGTGCAATGGCGCGATCAATGGCACAATCTCAGCTCACTGCAACCTCCACCTCCCGGGTTCAAGCGATTCTCCTGCCTCAGCCTCCCAAGTAGCTGGGATTACAGGTGTGCGCCACCACACCCGGCTAATTTTGTATTTTTAGTAGAGACGGGGTCTTACCATGTTGGCCAGGCTGGTCTCGAACTCCTGACTTCGTGATCCGCCTGCCTCGGCCTCCCAAAGTGCTGGGATGACAGGTGTGAGCTACCGTGCCTGGCCTCGTTTTTGGTTTTTTTGAGACAGAGTCTCGCTGTGTCACCCAGGCTGGGGTGCAGTGGTGTGATCTCAGCTCACTGTAACCTCCGCCTCCCAGGTTCAAGTGATTCTCATGCCTCAGCCTCCTGAGTAGCTGGGATTACAGGCACCCGCCACCATGCCTGGCTATTTTTTGTATTTTTAGTAGAGATAGGGTTTTGCCATGTTGCCCAGGCTGGTCTCAAACTCCTGAGCTCAGGTCATCCTCCCGCCTCAGCCTCCCAAAGTGGTGGGAATACAGGTGTGAACCACCACGCCTGGCCTTTTGAAAAGCCTTTCTCAAAGAGGCAGGTGGAGACAGGAAGGAGGAGGAGAGACGGAGACTGAGGACCAAGAGGCGCTGAGACACTCCATAGAGGCAAGACCTCCATGTGCGACTCTCCCCCTCTGTGCCTCAGTTTCCTCATCTGTGAAGGGGGGTTAATGATGCACCCTCATCCGCCTAAATGCCACGATGAGGATAAAGCGAGCTCATTCACGTGAAGCACAAAGTCAGTGCTGACCATCCTTATTCCCCTCGTTAACTTTTCTGAACACATCAGGGACACAGAGAAAAAGATGTCGCCTTCGAGAGAGATGGGGCAGGAGCAAGATGGGGTGAAGACGGGACAGTGGGGACACGGAGACAGTGGCCAGAACCACCGGGGCCAGAGCCCTGGACGTCACCGCACAGAGGTGGAGGCAGGAGAGGAGTGCAGGGGGGAGGGGACCCACAGGCCAGGGGGGAGGCAGCGACGCCTACCCAGGCTCACAGTGGGCCAGCCCCAGGCATGGGGGCAGAGGAGACCCGGGATTCACCACAGAGCAAGCGAGGGGCAGAGGTACCAAGCCATGTCCCCGAGAGCCCCCAGACCTAGATGGCAGGGAAGGACAGGATGGGACTGAGAGCGCGGAGGTGGTGGGGGCTCTGAGGCTCTGTGCAGACCCCCTCGTGTCAGCCTCCGAGACTGCCGGGCTGGTTGGAGGCTTCCCCTTCCCAATCCAGCACCACTGGAAGGGCAACTGCTCAGGTCCCCAAGGAGGTGAGGTCACAGCCCCCCCACGGTGGGACATGACCTCATCGCCTCAGGTAAGAGCTCTCTCTCCCTCTCTCTGGTCTGTCACAGCCACCCCTTTCAGGGCCCCCCAGGGGCCTTCCCCAGCACCAGCTCCTGCTGGGACCCAGGCCTCTGACCACCGGGTCTCCGCCCCTCAGGGGGCCTGCTTCCGGCTGAGTCAGTGTGGGGGGCCCAAGGCTGCGTCAGTGAGGGGAGAGCTGACGTAGCCCCCCCCAGACCGGCGGGACCAGCCAAGGTGACTCAGGCCACCAGCTTGGGGGATGGACTAGCCCGAGGGTATGGGGGACTGGCCTGGGGCCAGCTGGGGAGCAAGAAAAGGGTTCTGGTAATGCCAGCCCCGTCCACCTACAGGGACCAGAGCCCAATCCCCCAGCCCCTCCTCCCTCAGACCCGGGAGTCCAGGCCCCCAACCCCTTCCCCTTCAGACCCAGGAGTCCAGGTCTCCAGCTCCTCCTCCCTCAGACCCAGGAGTCCAGGCCCCAGCCATTCCTCCCTCAGATCCAGGAGTCCAGGCCCCCAGGCCCTCCTCCCTCAGACCCAGGAGTCTAGACCCCCAGCTCCTCCTCCCTCAGACCCAAGAGTCTAGGCCCAGCCCCTCCTCCCTCAGACCCAGGAGTCCAGGCCCCCAACCCCTCCTCCTGCAGACCCGGGAGTCCAGGCCCCCAGCCCCTCCTCCCTCAGACCCGGGAGTCCAGGTCCCCAACCCCTCCTCCCTCACACCTGGGAGTCCAGGCCCAGCCCCTCCTCCCTCAGACCCGGGAGTCCAGGCCCAGCCCCTCCTCCTTCAGACACAGGAGTTCAGGCCCAGCCCCTCCTCCCTCACACCCAGGAGTCCAGGCCCCCAACCCCTCCTCCCTCAGACCCAGGAGTCCAGGCTCCCAGGCCTTCCTCCCTCAGACCCAGGAGTCCAGGCCCTAAATTCTAGTTCAAGAAAGGTAGAGGAGGATCTTGGGGCCCTTCTGCACTTTGGGGAGCATGTGTGGGGAAGGTAATGGGTCTGGGACAAATCTGGGGTCCCAGCCGCTGCCAGTTTCCTGTCTCGTCTGGGTCCCCAGCCCTGGGTTGTGGGCTCAGACTCCGTCCCCGCAGTGTGGCTGCAGGAGGTACAGGTAGATGGGGCGGGTGCAGAGTGACGGGGCTGGGAGTGACTGGCAACTCCTGGGTCTGCCCAGGCCAGGGTGGGACACATTGGGCTACTTCTGTGCAAACAAGAGAAAGAGAGAGAGAGAGAGACAGAGCAAGAGATGAAGATCGGAAAAGAAACCCAGAGGCAGGACTGGGGAGTCCCAAGAAAATGACAGATGACAGAGACAAACAGAGCTGGAGAGACAGGGGCAGCAAAGGCCCCAGGAGGCAGCCAGCGCCACGGAACCCAGTGGAAGCTAGAGACCAGCTTGGAGGCTCGGAAACAGACTGGGCAGCCAGGGCCCAGGCCCTGGGGTGGTCACAGACACTGAGGAGAAGCCTCGGGGACATGGGGGATGGCCAGGGAGTCCTGGCTCCCGCGCGGCCCCGGGGGGAAGCCGAGCCGGCAGGGTGTGAGGTCAGCAGGTCCCAGGCTGTGTGTGTGTCCGTCTGTCAGTCCCTGGGGGGTCCCGTCTGGCCTCTGGGGGGTGACGGGGCAGGCCGGCCACAGAGGCAGCCCAAACCTGTCATTAGCGGTGAGGGCCGTGACGGCGGGGCCCCCCCAGTCCCAAGCCGCGGTCCAAGGCCAGGCGGCCCCGCCCCCCACCCCCTCCTTGATCCCTGAGGAATCCCGGGAATTGGGAAGTGGGTCCAGATGATGTTGACACAGGAAACGGTCAGCAGCTGCCCGGCCTCAGCCCCACAACCCCTCTGACCCTCACCCCCGGCCCCCTGCAGAGCCCCCTCTAACCTGTGTCATCTCTGACGAAGGCAGCCCGGGGCCCACTCAGTACCCACCAGGATGTTTACAGGAGAGATGGGTAACACGGGGAGTCACCCCACGGGGCTTCCTGAGAAATGGGGTCTGGCTCCTAGACCATCCTCCCAGACTCACAAGTTCAGGCCCCCAGCCCCTCCTCCCTCAGACCCAGGAGTCCAGGTCCCCAGGCATTCCTCCCTCAGACCCAATTCTGGCTCCCAGCCCCATCCTTCAGACCTGGGAGTCCAGCCCTCAGACCTAGGAGTCTGGGACCCCCCAGCCCCTCCTCCCTCAGACCCAGGAGTCCAGGCCCCCAGCCCCTCCTCCCTCAGACCCAGGAGTCCGGGACCCCCCAGCTCCTCCTCCCTCAGACCCAGGAGTCCAGGCCCCCAGCCCCTCCTCCCTCAGACCCAGGAGTCCCGGACCCGGACCCCCCAGCTCCTCCTCCCTCAGACCCAGGAGTCCAGGCCCCCAGCCCCTCCTCCCTCAGACCCAGGAGTCCGGGACCCCCCAGCCCCTCCTCCCTCAGACCCAGGAGTCCAGGGCCCCAGCCCCTCCTCCCTCAGACCCAGGAGTCCAGGCTCCCGCCCCTTCTCCCTCAGACCCAGGAGTCTGGGAACCCCCAGCCCCTCCTCCCTCAGACCCAGGAGTCCAGGCCCCCAGCCCCTCCTCCCTCAGACCCAGGAGTCCAGGCTCTAGCCCCTCCTCCCTCAGACCCGGGAGTCCAGGCCCCCAGCCCCTCCTCCCTCAGACCCAGGAGTCCAGGCTCCAGCCCCTTCTCCCTCTAATGCAGGTGTCTGAGTTTACAACCCCCTTTTCCTTCAGATGCAGGACTTCTAGCCCAGAGACTGTCCCAGGGAGCTAAGACTCCCTCCTCACTGTGCTGCAAAGCTGAATGGATGAGTTGGGGTGCACTAGGGATTATGGTTCCAACCCAGCCCCCCATTCCGGTTTCCTCTTCTTGGAAGCCAAGTTTTCTCTCAGTCACTGGGGAGTGGTGGGGGGAATCAATGTGGAAGCTTCAGGATCTCCGTTTAGCCGACTCCCTCCCACCACTCCCTAACCTCTGTTCACAGATGGGGAAACAAATCCAGGAGGGAAATGTGGGCTCCCTGTCCAGGAGCCACCATTACAGTCTCCGAGCAGCTCTGGCCCACCAGGCCCTCAAACTCAGCAGGGGCCCACATGGCCTGTCCCCTTCCCTGTTTGTTTTTTTTTTCTTTTTTCTTTTTTTTTTTTGACACAGAGTCTCACTCCTTCACCCAGGCTAGAGTGCAGTGGCACGATCTCGACTCACTGTAACCTCCACTTTCTGGGTTCAAGCAACCTCCACCTCCTGGGTTCAAGCAATCCTCCTGCCTCAGCCTCCCGAGTAGCTGGGATTACAGGCAAGTAATCACCACGCCCAGCTGATTTTTGTATTTTTAGTAGGGACGGGGCTTCCCCATGTTGGCCAGTCTGGTCTCGAACTCCTGACCTCAGGTGACCCGCCTGCCTTGGCTTCCCAAAGTGCTGGGGTTATAGGCGTGAGCCACCGCGCCCAGCCCTATCACCTTCCCTGCTAAACATTCCCTAGACAGCAGGCCTGGCAGGGCTGAGATGAAAAGCCTTTCTCAAGACCCCTGGACCAGGAGACCCCCGGACTTAGGCTCCGGCCCCTTGTCTCATCCCCCTCCCAGGTCTTCTCATTGCGGGGGGGACTTTCCCTAACAATGGGGCTCAGTGAGGCCTCTGTGTCTCACAGCTCCCCTTCCCCTGGTTGTTAAGGCGAAAAACTCCCTAGCAACGGGGTTTCCTGAACCTTCGGGCCACCCGAATCCACCTTCTCAGGTATCAGTTTCCTTAGGAAAGAAACTCCCTAGCAAAGCCTCCCAGTTCCCCACCCCTCAGGGCGCCCCGGGTGATATGGAGACACGCCCCAGACTCCCACGCCCTTCCAGACTTCTCTTTCCCACCATAAGTGGCCAAAGAGGCTCTTCTAAACCTGAGACGCCCCCACTCTTCCACCAGGTCCCTAAAGAATCAACACCCTAGACCAGGCATGGCCAGGCTGGTGTGAAGCCCTTCCACGTCCGTAGCACACCCCTGACTCCCTAGCAACAGAACTCACAATCCTGGGGCCTGGCGGGCAGGCGGGCGGGGCCGGTTGCTGGGGTGATGTCCTGTAAGGCCTCTTCCCACAGTGGCCCCAGGGGTCTGGGGAGGTGACATGTTGGGCTGTGGGATCCCAGCGCTGGGCCTGCTCCTGCTGCTGCAGGGCTCGGCAGGTGAGGGGCTGGTGAGGCGGGGGAGCTGAGGAGGGACGCCCGGCTCCACACAGCCCTAACACTGCCCTTTCTCTCGCAGACGGAAATGGAATCCAGGGATTCTTCTACCCATGGAGTGAGCAGCCGCTGAAATACTGGGTCACCCAGGGAGGGGAGCCCAGATCAGACCCCTGAATCTGAGGGAGGAGGAGCTGGGGCCTGGACTCCTGGATCTGAGGGAGGACGGGGGGGTCTGGACTCCTGGGTCTGAGGGAGGAGGGGCTGGGGGCCTGGATCCCTGGATCTGAGGGAGGAGGGGCTGGGGTCCTGGATTCCTTGGTCTGAGGGAGGAGGGCTGGACCTGGACTCCTGGGTGTGAGGGAGGAGGGGCTGGGGCCTGGACTCCTGGGTCTGAGGGAGGAGGGGCTGGGCCTGGACTCCTGGGTCTGAAGGAGGGGGCTGGGGCCTGGACTCCTGGGTCTGAGGGAGGAGGGGCTGGGCCTGGACTCCTGGGTCTGAAGGAGGGGGCTGGGGCCTGGACTCCTGGGTCTGAGGGAGGAGGGGGTGGAGTCTGGACCCCTGGGGCCCTGCACAGAGTAAGCACCAGGAAGGCAGCCTGGGAGCATGGCCTTGGAATCTCGTGTATGAGGCCTTCGGAGCGGAGCGCTGTGATGAAGCAAGCCACTGGTGGTTGGTCCCCAGGCTGTGAGGGTGACATATGGGACCGGGAGAGCTGTGGGGGCCAGGCGGCCATCGATAGCCCCAACCTCTGCCTGCGTCTCCGGTGCTGCTACCGCAATGGGGTCTGCTACCACCAGCGTCCAGACGGTGAGGGCTCCTGGCCCCAGGTCCCTGGGGCGTGGGTCTGGCGGTCGGGAGCCCCGGGTCTTAACCCTGCCTCCCTTGTCCAGAAAACGTGCGGAGGAAGCACATGTGGGCGCTGGTCTGGACGTGCAGCGGCCTCCTCCTCCTGAGCTGCAGCATCTGCTTGTTCTGGCGAGTGGGCCTGGGATAGGGCGGGCGCCTGCACCCCCAGGGGGAGGGTCCGGCGGAGGGCGGGGGCTGAGCCGTCCGCTCCCTGCAGGTGGGCCAAGCGCCGGGACGTGCTGCATATGCCCGGTTTCCTGGCGGGTCCGTGTGACATGTCCAAGTCCGTCTCGCTGCTCTCCAAGCACCGAGGGACCAAGAAGACGCCGTCCACGGGCAGCGTGCCAGTCGCCCTGTCCAAAGAGTCCAGGGATGTGGAGGGAGGCACCGAGGGGGAAGGGACGGAGGAGGGTGAGGAGACAGAGGGCGAGGAAGAGGAGGATTAGGGGAGTCCCCGGGGGACTGCTCAATACAGATACGGTGGACGGACGTGTGTTCTCTTCTCTGAAAGCCGTGGGGAGCAGGGGGCATGGTGCACACAGAGGCTGGGGTAACAGGTGGGGGCTGGAGGGGGCTTGGGGATGGAGGCTTAGGGGGCGCCAGGCTGTGGTCGTGGGGGTGTGAGCTGAGGGGGAGCCTGGAATGAGAGAGATCTGGGAGGTAAGTGGGGAGGATCCGAGCTGAGGGGGATCTGCGCTCATGGGGGTGTCCTGGGCTGTGATCATGGGGACCCTGGACTGAGGGGATAGAGGTGTACGAGTGCTGGAGTGCGGGTCTGAAATGAGGGAGTTGGGGGTATGTGGGGGTGGTGGGGTCTGAGGGGTGCCTGGACTGGGTGGGGAGAGGGGCACGCCACAGCTGTGGAAACGTGCCCCTCAGTCTCCTACATGGAGTGCCAGTGACTGACAGTGCCCCCCGCCCCCACCCCAGATGCACCTAGATTACCATGGGTTGCTCTCCACCAATAACTGAGCATGGCGAGGCAAGGGGTGGGGGTTCCGGGTACAGGTGCCTTCTCGAAGGGCAGGGGCCTCCCTCATGGACGATGACTTCAGCTCCCAGCTCCCCAGGGGCCAGTGGCAATTTTCTTGGAGGTGCGGTACAGTCTAAGACTAGTCCTACCCATCCCTCCCTCCCTCTCCCTGCACCAAGCTACCCTACAAAAGTGTTTCCCCAAGACATATCTTGCAAGTCCAGTTTGTCTCTGTGTCTGCTTCTCAGTGAACCCAAACTCACACAGGGATGTTGGGGCTTAGAGTGGAGGGTCTGGGCTAAGATCCTTATCCCCCGCCCCCTCTCTGGCCCCCTCTGAGAAGGGGCCAGCATAAGGCTAGGCTCCTATATCCCCAGGGCTCCTGGTCTCCCCAGGGCAGGGGCAGCCTCACCTCAGGTGTGGCCAGGCCCACCTGGGTGCTAGAAGGAAGCAAGCCACCTCGTCTCCATTCCCACCCCAGCAGGGTCCCTCTCCCAGACAGACATGCAGCACTAAGGCAAATCTGCTTTTTATCCAAGTGAGGAGGGAGGGGGTACAGGGAGCGTCCGTCTGGCCACGGATGTAGGGGCAGCTGCACATCTCAGTCTGGTCCTGACAGCTGGAGCCAAGGGGTTGTCTGCAGGAGGGAGGGTGGAGTGAGCGACTGCTCAGGAACCCCTCCCATCCCTGTTCCGGGCTCTCTGCCTGCGGGGGCAGAGGCAGGGAGCCCCATCCGCCTGCCCTTGCCGCTCACATGGACTCACACACTTGCTCCTTCATCCCTGCATGCCCCCATTTGCTGAGTGTGTGCATGCGTGTGTACCTTTAACGCCCTGAAATCCAAGGGTAGAGGCCAGGGAATGCGAGCCAGGGAGAGGCAGAAAGGGGGAGACGAAGACATGCAGAAGGGGAAAGGCAGAAGCACAGGGACAAAGAAAGAGACCTGGGAGACAGAGACACAGAGACAAAGAGTGAGAGAGAGGGAGACAGGCAGACACAGTGAAGACAGAAGGAGGCCGGGCATCGTGGTCCTCATCTCAGACCCTCACCCCAGCATTTTGGCTGCAGGCAGGAGGATCACTTGAGCCCAGGAGTTTGACACCAGCCTGGGTAACATAGGAAGACCCCGTCTCTGGTACCTGTAGTCCCAGTTCCTTGGGAGGCTGAGGTGGGAGGATTGCTTGAGCCCAGGAGGTGGAGGCTGCAGTGAGCTGTGATTGCACCACTGCTCTCCAGCCTGAACAACAGAGTGATGGGGGTGGCTCTGCCCGGCTACTCATGGTGGTCTCGGAGGTTGTGGGGGTACCAGAGCCAGAACCTGTGGGTCCCTCTGCTAAAATTCAGGTTCTCTGTCTTTCATGCGCTGGAAGCTGCTCACTCTCCCCAGTAAACAAGAGTCCTGGGTTTGAACAGGCCCATTTTCCTCTAAGTGGGGCCTACGTTCGAGTCAGTGTGGTCTGAGTCTTTGGTGGAGGCTCCAAGAGTGGAGGCCTGTGCAGCTGTGTTAGACGTTTAAGCTACGTAAAGGATTCTCCTCTCCTCCCCTCCCCTCCCCTCCCCCCTTCCCCCCTCCCCTCCCCCCTTGCCCGTCCCCTCCCCCTTCCCCCTTCCCCCTCCCCTCCCTTCCCCCCTTCCCTCCCTGCTTCCCCCTCCCCTCCCCCTTCCCCCCTCCTCCCCTCCCCTCCCCTCCTCTCCTCTCCTTTTCTTTTTTTGAGATGGAGTCTTGCTCTGTTGCCCAAGCTGGAGTGCAGTGGCACGATCTTGGTTCACTGCAACCTCCGCCTCCCAGATTCAAGTGATTCTCCTGCCTCAGCCTCCCTAGTAGCTGGGATTACAGGCGTCCGCCACCATGCCTGGCTAATTTTTGTATTTTTAGTAGAGACAGGGTTTCACCATGGTTGCCAGGTTGGTCTCGAACTCCTGACCTCAGGTGATCCACCCGCCTCGGCCTCCCAAAGTGCTGGGATTACAGGCATGAGCCACCATGCCCAACCTCATAAAGGATGTTCTTTTCTTTCTTTTTTTGAGACGGGTTCTCACTCTGTCACTCAGGCTGGAGTGCAGTGGCGTGATCTTGGCTCACTGCAGCCTTTGCCTCCCAGGTTCAAGCAAGCAATTCTCCCACCTCGGCCTCCCAAAGTGCTGGGATTACAGGCATGAGCCACTGTGCTCAGCCAGGATTTCCAAAGGTAACAGTAACTACAGGTGCTTATGTTTGCATTCTATGCCAAGCTTCATGTTAGCTTACGCTTCACCCGTGCAAGCAGATGTTCATGCTTTCTTACCCCAGTTCCTTCACTGAATCACGGCACGTAGCATATGATTGGGGTGACTATTTCCCCAAATCTCACAAAGAATAATATATAACTGGTAGCATTCTGGATGCATAGGAGAAAAGTTAATTCCAGCCGGGCACGGTGGTTCACGCCTGTAATCCCAGCACTTTGGGTGGCCGAGGTGGGCGGATCACCCGAGATCGGGAGTTTGAGACCAGCCTGACCAACATGGAGAAACCCCGTCTCTACTAAAAATACAAAATTAGCCAGGTGTGGGGGTGCATGCCTGTAATCCCAGCTACTCGGGAAGCTGAGGCAAGAGAATTGCTTGAACGCGGGAGGCAGAGGTTGCAGTGAGCCGAGATTGCGCCACTGCACTCCAGCCTGGACAACAAGAGTGTAACTCCATCTCAAAAAAAAAAAAAAAAAAAAAAAAAGTTAATTATTTACCTACATAGAACGTCCTAGGATAATAGGGTTTAATTCTTTTACCAAAACCCTATTTGAGAGATGAATTCAGTCACCCAACCATCCATGTGCCATTAAATGCATTCATCCACTCATCTGTGTACTTATCATTCAGCCCCAACCATCTATTCAACTACCCATTCACCCATCTACCTATCTATCCAGAGAGCGCACAGAGGCTGGGCAAACTCTGACTGTCCTATGGATAGTCCTATGGACCAGCCGAGGCCCCTGCCCCAAGGAGTTCCCAGGTGTAACCGCAAGTTAAGGTGCCCTGGGGAGGTGACACAGGCACCCTCATTTCTTTTGTTCAGTAGGAGTCTCTGAGGCCTCCCCAGTACCATGCTGCATGGGTGAGGCCGAGGACACAGAGAAGTATCAGGAAAAGCTCTTGCCCCTTTATCAGGCAGGGCTCCCTCTCCAACCATATCCATTCATGGTTCATTGCCCAATTCACCACCTACCCATATCTACCCATTAAACAACCCATCCATCCGTCAATCCAACCACATCCCTGCATCAACCAACCCATGTATTCACCCATCCACCCACCCACCCATCTGTCCATTCACCCGTCCATCCACCCATCCATCTACCCATCCACCTATCCAACCACCCACCCATCTATGCATTCACCCATCCATCCATCAAACAACTCATCCATCCACGCACCCATCGATCTACCCATCCACCCACCCACCCATCTATCAATCTATCATCCATTCACCCATGCATCCATCAACCAACTCATCCATCCATCCACCCATCCATCTACCCATCCACCCATCCAGCCATCCGTTCTTCCATCCATCCTTCCACTTCCCTACCCAACCATCAACCTTTCCTGATTTCACACTTTTTGCTGGGCAATGCTAGGAACAAGGACGCTAGGGACCTAGGTCTTACCCTCAAGGCACTCCCTGTCAGGTGGGAGAGACAGTAACAACATAGACACAGCACATGGCCATATAAGCAGCAAGAGGGGTCGCTCAGACAATATGAAGACCCAGAGAAGACCCAGAGAAATTAAGTTAAATCTTAAACATGTGAGAAGTTTTCTGGGTGGAGTGGAGACAGCCAAGGGCACTCCTGGTGTAGAGAAGAGCAGGAACAGGGACCAACTGGCTATCTGTGGACTAAGAGACACCATTAGTGCAGAGAGGCAGGAGAAATGGGGCCAAAATATGGGGGGTCCACAGGCCAGTGAGTGCTTCAGTTTAACCAAAGGTGAAGAGGGAGCCACAGCAGGTCTTTGAGCAGAGGCAGGCTAGCTGGAAAGGTGTGTTTAGGAAAGAGATAGAAGGTAGAGGGGAAAGGGGAGTGAATGTGTGGTGGCTTCATTTCTCCTGCTGTTGGTCCTTCTTACTCCTCCTTTTCTAGGCCTACAGGTCAGGAAAATCCCAGCTCCTCCTTTCCTAGGCCTACAGGTCAGGAGAATCCCAGCTCCTCTTTTCCTAGGCCTACAGGTCAGGAGAATCCCAGCTCCTCCACCTACGTGTTGTGTGGCCTTGGGCAAATGTGGCGCCTTTCTGCGCTTCAGTTTCCTCCACTGCAGAATGGGGATGGTAATAGTAGTGACCTTGGAGACCAGTTACATGGAGAGGATTAAATGGGGCCTGGTCTGGGCTCAGTGGCTCACGCCTGTAATCCCAGCACTTTGGGAGGCTGAGGAGAGCAAATCGCATGAGCTCAGGAGGTGGGGACCAACCTGGCCCACATGGCAAAACCCCGTCTCTACTAAATATACAAAAATTAGCCCGGCAAGGTGGGGCGCACATGTATTCTCAGCTACTTGGGAGGCTCAGGTGGGAGGACTGCTTGAGCCTAGGAGGTCGAGGCTGCTGTGAGCTGAGATCACGCCACTGCACTCCAGCCTGGGTGACAGTGAGAGATCCTGTCTCAAAACAACCCCAAACGACAACAAAACAAAACAAAACAAAAAATGGGGCCTGGTGTACCTGGAAGCTGGGGCTCTCCCCGTGCGGGGGGCCTAACTGTGTGACTCGACCCCCACACTTCCCATCTCCAGGGGCAGGGTCTCACAGCCTCCCCCACGTATGCACCTGTGCTTGCTGTGTCTGCGGTTCTCCGCCAGAGCCTTCCCGTCCCTGTCTCCACCCCGCCCTGGGACTCTACCTCCCCATGGCCGCTCTCTGTCTCCATCTGTCCATCGCTCCCCCGTCTGTCTCCATTCCCGTCCCTCCCTCGGTCCCTCCGTCTCCCCGCCCTGCCCCGCCCGCCCCTCACCTGGGCCTCACTCGCTGCCCGCGCCCGCCGCCCCGGGCCCGGCCTCGAGCGTGGCGAGCTGCAGGCGCACGCGGCGGGAGCCGGCGGCGGGCGGCGGGGGCGCGCGGGCGGCTCGGCGCGCTCTCCGGGAGCCGGGCGCGGGGCGCTGGCCCGCGGCGGCGGGCGCCGACCAGCGGCGGGAGAGCTTGCGCGCCAGGCGGGCGAGCGCCGAGGGCCGCAGGCCGTAGTCGCGCTCCAGCTCCTGGCGCGAGATCTCGATGTTGCCGGTGTACCAGAGGATCCAGCCCAGCAGGCTCAGGAACACCAGCAGCGCGCCCGAGTAGATGAGCAGGTCCCCGAAGTCGCGGCCGCGCACCTGCAGCTGCGCGAACACGCCGGTCAGCAGCGCCGCCATGCCCGCCACATCCAGCGCCACGGCCAGCAGCAGCGCCATCCGGCAGCGGCCCAGGCCGGCCGCGGGTGCTGGCGCGGCCGCCGGCGCGGACGGTGCACCCGGCGGGCTCCCCTGCGAGGCGCACACCGCTGGCGCCGCCGCCATGGCCCTGCACCGCCGCCGCTGGCGCCCAGAGAGAGCGTTCCGGGGTGCGGCCCGGTCCGGGGCGGGGTCAGGGGACGGCGCCAGGTGTGCCAAGCTCCCGCCTGGTCACCTGAACCGGGCTGGGCGCGAACCGGCGCGGCCGGGGTTACCCTGGTCGTGGTTTCCGTGCAGGGGCTATTGCTCAGAGGCCTGAGCTGGTGGTAGCCAGGCGCACAGCCACGGGTGCCTAGGGCCCGTGCCACCCAGGGAGGTCACATATGGCCAAAAATCAGGGCATTTTAGTGGTGGCAGCATGGGACACTCGGAGCCGGGCGTGGCGTTGTTTCTGCTCAGTGTCCGCCTCCCGAAGCCTGTGCAGATCAGACAGTGCAGATCAGACAAGGCCTTTAGACACCAAGGAGCTCTGGGACGCGAGAACCAGTAGTCGGGGTGATCTAAGAGGGGAAGCTCCGGGTTCCGCGGAAGCTGAGTTTCCTTCACTCAGCGCGTGTCTTCTGGGGTCTCCTGTGTTCAGCGAATGAAGCCACGGGCACAAGGACGGACGAGACCCATCAGGTCCAGAGCGCACCCGTGGAGGAAGCTGGGCGAACCCCGACTGTCCTATGGAGGATAGTCCTATGGACCAGACGAAGCCCCTGCCCCAAGGAGTGCCCGGGTGTAACCGCAAGTTAAGGAGCCCTGGGGAGGTGACACAGGCACCCTCATTCCTTTTGTTCAGTAGGAGTCTCTGAGGCCTCCCCAGCACCATGCCGCGTGGGTGAGGCCGAGGACACAGAGAAATATCAGGCAAGGCTCCTGCCCCCTTAGGGTGGCCCTGACAACGGATCATAACCTCCCAGGGAGCTGATGGGGTGTGACAGGCACACCATAGGCTGGAGGCACAGGTGGAGGGCAGGGAAGAGGACCGGCAAATCTATAGAATCCTAAAGGGAGCCAAGAGAAGCCACATGCAAATCTCCCTCCCTCCAAACAATTCTCCCTTAGAGGGCATCCGCGCTCCCCTGGGGTGGCAGTCAGCGAGAAGTTTCCGTGTAGGTTCTCCCCAGGCTTAAACAGTTTAAGAGTTTTATTTCAAGAAAACCCTGGGGAGGGCGAACTGCAAGAGGGCTGCCAGGATTAGCCGAGGGATTCCGAATGAAGACGGAGTATTTCCGAACATACACACCTCTCCCAAGAGCGTTTCCGGAGGGTTCCGAAAATACCCGAGCGGGCCTCGGCGCCCTCATTGGCCATCACCGCGAGGGCTTACGAAGACCGGAAATATCCAAAGGTGCCGGGGCTAGGCTTATATAGTTCACGCATTCACCAGTTCATTCATAAAACAAATGTTTGTTGAGCGCCCATCATATGCCAATCACAGTGACAAGTGCTGGGTGAGCAATACTGGAGAGATAACGCTGAGGTATGGGTCCCAGGACCTCTCGAATTGGAGCCACTCGGAAATCCAGCGGTAGAGTTTCGAAAACTTCCGAACGGTTCCCGGAATACGCTCTCGGCCCTCTAACCGAAGAGTTCCGAATATTCCCGAGCGTTGAGCGAATTTTCGGCGGAAGCAGCCGAACATCATCGAGCCGCCTCGGAGGTGGGGACCGACAACTCCTGTCGTGCCCGCCCGGAGAGGAAGCGGAAATGCGTGTACGGTATTAAAGGCGTCGCCTCGCCCCTCGCCTTCCTCTTTCCGTCTCAGGTCGCCGCTGCGAAGGGAGGTGAGCGTTCGTCTTCCTCGCGTGGTCGCCATCTCCGGCCCGCCGCGCACTCCCTCTCAGTCCTCTGCCTGCCTTCTCCCCTTGCGCCTCAAGGGTCATTGGCGGACCCCAACCCCTCCCCGTGAAGTCGTTGTGAATTTTCAAGTTATTTTCCCCTCACTCTCATTCGCCGCAGCTAGTCTCGGCTGCCTGAATTCGGTCCCGCCGCCTTAGGTCACTCAGTCCCGCCTGACAAGAGTTCTAGGTCGCTGTCTGCCCTCAGGGGTCTCCCATTCACCCAAGTTCCCAGTCGCTCTCTTCCTCTGCTGTCCGAGCGTGGCCCGTGGCCTAACGCTGCTTTAGTTCTCTGTGTCTGACGCTTTCCCTGTGCCCGTTTCCCCGCAGCCGCCGCCATGTCTGCGCATCTGCAATGGATGGTCGTGCGGAACTGCTCCAGTTTCCTGATCAAGAGGAATAAGCAGACCTACAGCACTGTAAGTGGGGCCCGGATGCGTGGCTCCTGCGGGAGGAGGGTCCTGAGTCTCTTGACTCTGGGTCAGAGGGCGGGACCTTCGCATGTCTCCGGGTCCCTTATTCACGATGCCTTGTGCCGCCTCCTTCCCAGGAGCCCAATAACTTGAAGGCCCGCAATTCCTTCCGCTACAACGGACTGATTCACCGCAAGACTGTGGGCGTGGAGCCGGCAGCCGACGGCAAAGGTGTCGTGGTGGTCATTAAGCGGAGATCCGGTGAGTTTTGTCTGGTTTGGGCCAGAGAGCGGCCCCTTTCCCGGGTCTGGGAGCTGTGATTTTTTACTGTCAGGCAGGAAGAGCGGTAACTGCCATCGCGGCGGGCATCCCTGGCGCCAGGGTGTTGGTCTGGGTACCGGCTTCCCTCTCGGCCGACTTGTCAGCTCTGTGAGCCGCGCGCGTCTGAGCCCGTGTCCTCACCTGTAAAGTGGAGAAATGAAAAAGGACCTGAACTTCCTCGGTGGTTGTTGAGAGTTAAGGCACGGGGTTGATGTTTTCAGATGAAATTCTCAAAGCAAGTCAGGGTGGGGATGGATGGTTTCATCCCACAGGTGGGAAGATTGAGGCACAACAGGGGAGGGGCCCTCGCTACCACACTTAGGAGGGGACAGGCTGGGTTGGTTGCAGCCATTTGATTCCCATTTTGCCTGTGTAGGTTAGAGAAGAGGTCTTGGGGACCCCACTCCATACATTGTGCTGTCAGGTGCAGGCCTTTTTGGGGATTCCCTGAATGTTCGTGTGAGTCGGGGGTCTCTAATGGAGGAGTCCAGCTTCACATGTGTTCTTGACAGGGCTGTATTTTCTTTTTAGAGTGAGTTTTTCTCAGGTCCTTGATTGGAACTGCCTCAGAGCCAAGGGTCCTTTTACTCAGTGGCAGCAACAAACGCAGTCTGTTGGCTAGTGATCCTCCTGTCTCAGGGACACGTAGTCCAGGGAGCAGCCAATTGCTTGGCACTTGGGGACCCCGTTCTGGGGAGTCCTGAAAGCTTTCACCTCTTGGATTGCCGAATACATGGGTGGCCCTTCCTAGACTAAGGGACTGGCCTGAGTGAGGCTGGGCCTCTCAGCCAAGCTGATGTTGAACCACTGCTGTGGGGATGGGCCTGGGGTTCCTGGGAAGCTGTTCATACCCATTGCCAGGAGCGTGGGCTCTGGCTGGACCTGGATCAGATCCTAACTGAAGCGGCAGCTTTCTGGCATGAGAAAGGAGTGTTTTCATGGTGGACAGAATTGGGCTATGAGTGTGGCAGAAGCTGTGTCCTCAGTACTCCGTGATGACGAGTGAGCCTCTGTGAAATGGACAGGTGGGAAAACAGCTACCTGCTGGCCTGCCCAGGCACCCGCCACGGGCCCACGCTGCTCAGCTTCTCAATGTGAGACTGTCCACACCTGCGAGGTGTGCTAAAGGTGCAGGTTAGGTGGACTGACCCCAGGACCTCCCTGACCCCCAACCAGGCCAGCGGAAGCCTGCCACCTCCTATGTGCGGACCACCATCAACAAGAATGCTCGCGCCACGCTCAGCAGCATCAGACACATGATCCGCAAGAACAAGTACCGCCCCGACCTGCGCATGGTGAGCTGGGGTTTGGGGATCAGGCTTGGGGAGACTGGCCAGTGCTGTGGGGAAGGGCCTCCCACTACTGGTTGCAATATGGGCTGGAGAGGGATGGATTCTTGCTTTCAGCCTACTCCCCACACCCAGCATTGGCCTAGGGGGCGGCTTGTGGAGTGTATGGGCTGAGCCTTGCTCTGCTCCCCCGCCCCCAGGCAGCCATCCGCAGGGCCAGCGCCATCCTGCGCAGCCAGAAGCCTGTGATGGTGAAGAGGAAGCGGACCCGCCCCACCAAGAGCTCCTGAGCCCCCTGCCCCCAGAGCAATAAAGTCAGCTGGCTTTCTCACCTGCCTCGACTGGGCCTCCCTTTTTGAAACGCTCTGGGGAGCTCTGGCCCTGTGTGTTGTCATTCAGGCCATGTCATCAAAACTCTGCATGTCACCTTGTCCATCTGGAGGTGATGTCAATGGCTGGCCATGCAGGAGGGGTGGGGTAGCTGCCTTGTCCCTGGTGAGGGCAAGGGTCACTGTCTTCACAGAAAAAGTTTGCTGACTTGTGATTGAGACCTACTGTCCCATTGTGAGGTGGCCTGAAGAATCCCAGCTGGGGCAGTGGCTTCCATTCAGAAGAAGAAAGGCCTTTTCTAGCCCAGAAGGGTGCAGGCTGAGGGCTGGGCCCTGGGCCCTGGTGCTGTAGCACGGTTTGGGGACTTGGGGTGTTCCCAAGACCTGGGGGACGACAGACATCACGGGAGGAAGATGAGATGACTTTTGCATCCAGGGAGTGGGTGCAGCCACATTTGGAGGGGATGGGCTTTACTTGATGCAACCTCATCTCTGAGATGGGCAACTTGGTGGGTGGTGGCTTATAACTGTAAGGGAGATGGCAGCCCCAGGGTACAGCCAGCAGGCATTGAGCAGCCTTAGCATTGTCCCCCTACTCCCGTCCTCCAGGTGTCCCCATCCCTCCCCTGTCTCTTTGAGCTGGCTCTTGTCACTTAGGTCTCATCTCAGTGGCCGCTCCTGGGCCACCCTGTCACCCAAGCTTTCCTGATTGCCCAGCCCTCTTGTTTCCTTTGGCCTGTTTGCTCCCTAGTGTTTATTACAGCTTGTGAGGCCAGGAGTTTGAGACCATCCTAGGCAACATAATGAGACACCGTCTCTAAAATAAAATTAGCTGGGTGTGGTGGTGCACCGCCTGTGGTCCCAGCTCCTCAGAGGTTGAGTAGAGGCTGAGGTGAGCGGAGCACTTGAGCCAAGAGTATGAGGCTGCAGTGAGCCCATGAGCCCCACCACTACACTCCAGCCTGGAAGACACCATGACACACAGTGAGGCCTGGATGGGGAAAGAGTCCTGCTGTTGATCCTCACATGTTTCCTGGGCACCTAACTCTGTCAGCCACTGCCAGGGACCAAGGATCCAGCATCCATGGCACCCCTGGTTCCTGCCATCCTGGGGTACCCGATTCAAAGAAGGACTCTGCTCCCTGTCTGAGACCACCCCCGGCTCTGACTGAGAGTAAGGGGACTGTCAGGGCCTCGACTTGCCATTGGTTGGGGTCGTACGGGGCTGGGAGCCCTGCGTTTTGAGGCAGACCACTGCCCTTCCGACCTCAGTCCTGTCTGCTCCAGTCTTGCCCAGCTCGAAGGAGAGCAGATCTGACCACTTGCCAGCCCCTGTCTGCTGTGAATTACCATTTCCTTTGTCCTTCCCTTAGTTGGGTCTATTAGCTCAGATTGAGAGGTGTTGCCTTAAAACTGAGTTGGGTGACTTGGTACCTGCTCAGGACCCCCCGCACTGTCCCAATCCCACTCAGGCCCACCTCCAGCTGGCCTCACTCCGCTGGTGACTTCGTACCTGCTCAGGAGCCCCCACTGTCCCAGTCCCACTCAGGCCCATCTCTGGCTGGCCTCACTGCGCTGGGACTCCGCCTTCATAAGGAGAGCTCACTGCTCACGTTAGTAGATGGCCCCTTCTCGTGAGGCCTCTCCCCTGGCACCTGCTTCAGTTGTCCTCCACAGCACTGATTTGCAGCCCACAAGCTGGCAGGTTTATCTGTCTCATGTTTGTCTTGTGCTGGTGGGCAAGGGGTTTGTCTAGCACACCAGCATATAATGAGATGCTTGATGAATGGTGCATATTGAATGTATAAAGCCCACCGGTCCTGAGAGTTTGCTCACTGGAGACTTTCTGGAGATGGAGTCTCGCTCTGTTGCCCAGGCTGGCGAGTGCAATGGCGCGATCTTGGCTCACTGCAGCCTCCACCTCCTGGGTTCAAGCGATTCTCCTGCCTCAGCCTCCCGAGTAGCTGGGATTACAGGTGGGTGTCACCACACCCAGCTCAGTATTGTATTTTTAGCAGAGATGGGGTTTCACCATTTTGCCCAGGCTGGTTTGGAACTCCTGACTTCAAATTACCCACCTGCCTCAGCCTCCCAAAGTGCTGGCATTACAGGCGCTCGAGGCTTTCTGATGTGGCTGCTGCTGCTCAGAAGGCCTTGTCCTTAACCACCTCCTTGCCTGCCCTGGAGGCTTGTGCCTCTAGGCCCCACCCCCTGTGGAGTCCTGCTGGCTTTCTCCATCCCTATCTGAATCCTCCCTGCTGTGTGGCCTCCCCTGGTCTCATCCGTAACACAGCCCAGCTTAGTGGGCCTCTGTTCCTGCGGGTGGCCAGCCTGTCTGTGTGGCTGGGCTGGGGAGGCCACGTCTGGTATCTGAATGCTATCGGTGGGTTGGGGTGGAGGAACCAGGAGAGGGCTGGAGGGAGGGAGATGGTCTCAGCCCCACAGAGTTTGGAGTCCTCAGTGTGCTGAGCAAACGTGGAGACACCATTTCCCTCCTCTAGACCTCATCTTGGAGAGAGAGATGTTGGATGGGGCCATCTATTCCAGCTTTATTCACACAAATCATGTCTGTTGGCCTGGAAATTGGAAAACCAGTTAAACCAAAAACATGATATTAAGAAAACAGGCAGGCTCACCATAGTAAAAATGCTGAAAGCCAAAGACAAAATTGGGAGAACAAAAGAAAAGCGTCTTGTCACATACAGAAGGTCCCTGATAAAGTTAGTAGCTGCCCTCATCAGAAACCAGGCCCAGGCAGTGGGGACACATCCAGAGTGCTGAAAGAACCTCCCCCAGGTCATCCTATCCCCAAGAGTGATGCCCGGCAGCATTCCCAGCTCAGGGCTAATGGTTCACGGAAGCCAGGAATCAAACTGCCTGGGTTCCAGTCCCAGCTCTGCCAGTTATGCCCAGCTGTGGGGACTTGGGCAGCTCGTTTAGTAGCACCGTGCCTCAGTTTCCCATATGTAAAAGGCCATTTTGAGTGCCTTTCACAGCCCTGCATAAGGCAGGTGTCTCAGTGTTCACTGCTGTCTCTCCAGCTCTTAGTCCAGTAGCTGCATGGTGAGTGAGCGTAGGGCGCACCCTGGAAGGCTGCCAAGCCCAAAGTTGTGCAGAGCGCTGGGGACTCCAGACTCCCCACAGCAGCAGAGACTCGGGACTGAGGCATCCTCTGTTCACAGGACATGCTGGCATCTACTGGGTCAGGGCTCTGCTGCTCGGTGGCTGTGCAACCTTGGGCAAGTTCCTCAACCTCTCTGTGTCTTCGTACCCTCATCTGTAACATGCGTGTCGATAGACCCTACTACTCAGGGTTGATGAGAAGATTAAATGTGCAAAACCTGCTTGACTGTGCCCACAAATCCTGATTGTAGGAATAAATTAATGACTTTTTATAAATATTTTGATCAGATGGACTCATGATCACAGATGTCTTCACATGCCTATGACTAATTTGTACACAAACTAATGCTCGTGTTTCCCAAGCACCTGGAAGACATGCCAGATCCATGTGCAGTAATGCCTGGTGGCTCCAGGTCTGCCCCGCCGTCCTGTGGGGCTGTGAGCTTTCCCAGCCTCCTGCCCGTGTTTGTGAATATCATTCTGTCCTCAGCTGCATTTCCAGCCCAGGCTGTTTGGCGCTGCCCAGGAATGGTATCAATTCCCCTGTTTCTCTTGTAGCCAGTTACTAGAATAAAATCATCTACTTTAAAATCTTTCATTATGAAATATGCATGTGGTCTTGAAAAACTGCAAATGAAAGAAGAGTATGCAGGGGAAGAAAATCTCAGAATCCCAGCCCCTAAGTTAGCCACCTGTGCTTCTCCTTTTTGGAAACTTCACACATATGCATGCAGATCTCCTCTTTTTGTTTGTCTAAGAGACGGGGTCTCACTGTTGCCTGGGTTGGAGTGCAGTGGCGCAATCACGGCTCACTGCAGCCTCTAACTCCTGGGCACTCTCAATTGTCCCGCCTTAGCCCCTTGTGTAGCTGGGACTAAGGTGTGCAGCACCACGCCTGGCTAATTTAAAAAGATATTTTGTAGAGACAGGGTCTCACTGTGTTGCCCAGGCTGGTCCTGAAGTCCTGGGCACAAGCAATCCTCCTGACTTCGTCCCCCAAAGTGTTGGGATTACAAGCGTGAGCCACTGCACCCAGCCTCATCTTTTTTTTTTTTTGAGGCGGAGTCACGCTTTGTTACCCAGGCTGGAGTGCAGTGGCGCGACCTCGGGTGAGCTACGCCTCCCAGGTTCACGCCATTCTCCTGCCCCAGCCTCCCCAGGAGCTGGGACTACAGGCGCCCGCCACCACGCCCGGCTAAATGTTTTTTGTATTTTTAGTAGAGACGGGGTTTCACCGTGTTAGCCAGGATGGTCTCGATCTCCTGACCTCGTGATCCGTCCGCCTCGGTCCCCCAAAGTGCTGGGATTACAGGCGTGAGCCACCGCGTCCGGCCCCAGCCTCATCTTTTAATGTCTTACACAGATTGGATCATGGCAACAGGAACCTCCCCCTTGCTCCTTTTCCCTAATGCACTGGGCTGTCTCTCCATCAGCACACACAGGCTGCGGGCCCCTTTCGATGGCCATCAGCGCTGCATTGATGAAGCCACTCATTTAAACACACCCCTCAATGGCTAATCCCCCAGAGGCTCCCCAGCACCCCTCTCCTCTGTTCCTCTTGAACACCTGGCCCTCCCCCAGGCCCAGCCATCCCTAGCATGTCTGAATCACACCTCCAGCGGCCCCAGCTCCCACCGGCCTCCCACACCCGCCCGCTCCCCTGCTGTCCCTCCAGGCTGTTCTCTACACAGTAGCAAATTGATCTTTACAAATGATAAATGAGACCTGTCATCCTCCCTTGGCCGACGCACCCCCCCCCCCCCCCGACCCCCATGAGGAATAAAAGCCCAAACCTTTCTCTAGGGCCAGCAAGGCCCGGGATCTGGCCCTGTCCAGTCTCCCCAGCCTCCTTAGGCTGTAATCTCTGAGGCCTCTCTCCTCCCTGAAGCTCCTAGCTGGTCCCTAGGCTCAGATGAAGACTGTCTCCAAAAAAAGAAAAAGGTATAATTCACGTAACATAAAGTCCACGCTTTTAGAGTGCACAATTCAGTGATTTTTAGTCTTCACAAAGCTTTGCAACCACAACCCCTATCTTATTCCAGAACATTTCATCATCCTGAATGGACACCCAGTATCCATGAAGCAGCCACTCCCACTCATGTCCCCTCTAGCCCCTGCCCTGCCAATCACCAATTTGTTTTTTTTTTTTTTTTTTTGAGATGGAGTCTTGCTCTGTCGCCCTGGCTGGAGTGCAATGGCATGACCTTGGCTCACTGCGACCTCAGCTCACTGCAACCTCCACCTCCTGGGTTCAAGCGATTCTCCTGCCTCAGCCCCTCAAGTAGCTGGGATTACAGGGGCCCGCCACCACGCCTGGCTAATTTTTGTATTTTTAGTAGAGACGGGGGTGTCACCATGTTGGCCAGGCTGGTCTCGAACTCCTGACCTCAGGTGATCTGCCTGTGTTGGCCTCCCAAAGTGCTGGGATTACAGGTGTGAGCCACTGCACCCAGCTACAAGTCTTTTTTTTAAAGGGACAGGGTCTCAGCTGGGTACGGTGGCTCACTCCTGTAATCCCAGCACTTTGGGAGGCCCAGGCAGGCGGATCACAAGGTCAGGAGATCAAGACCATCCAGGCTAACACAGTGAAACCCTATCTATACTAAAAATACTAAAAACTGGCCAGATGTGGTGGTGTGCGCCTGTAGTCCCAGCTACTTGGCAGGCTGAGGCAGGAGAATCGCTTGAATCCAGGAGGCGGAGGTAGCAGTGAGCCAAGATCACGCCACTGCACTCCAGCCTGTGTGACAGAGCGAGACTCCGTCTCAAAAACAAACAAACAAACAAAAAGATAAAGGTCTGTTGCTCAGGCTGGAGTGCTGTGGCACAATCTCGGCTCACTGCAGCCTTGAACTCCTGGGCTCAAACAATCCTCCCACCTCAGTCTCCGAAGTAGCTGGCACCACCGGTGTGCTCCACCACACCCAGCTAAGTTTTAAATATTTTTGTAGAGACAAGGTCTCACTGTGTTACCCAGGTTGGGCTTGAATTCCTGACCTCAAGTGATCCTCCTGCCTTGGCCTCTAAAAGTGCTGGGATTACAGGTGTGAGCCACTGCACCTAGCCCAGAATTTCTATTTATTTATATATATTTTTAAAAAGAATCTCACTCTGTTTTCCAGGCTGGAGTGCTGTGGCAAGATCAAGGCTCTCTGTAGCCTTGAACTCCTGGGCTGAAACAGTCCTCCCACCTCAGTCTCCAGAGAGGCTGGGACCACAGGTGTGTGCTGCCACACCCAGCTAATTTTTAAAATTGTTTTGTAGAGACACGATCTCACTATGTTGTCCAGGCTGGTCTTGAACTCCTGGGCTCAATCCTCCCAAAGTGCTGGGATTATAGGCGTGAGCCACTGTGCCTGGCCCCACCCAGAATTTTTAAAACATGAAAAAGCTTATGTTTTGGGCCAATCTCTAAAATATATTAAGTGAAAAAAAGCAACCTGCAAATAGTGTAAATGATATGCCAACATTCCTGTTAAATATTTTTAAATATTTAAACAATAAGATGCATGTGTATTTGCTTGTATATGCATCGAATGCCTCTGGATAGTCACAATATGCAAACATTTGTCTCAAGGAAGGAGAGTTGGAATACCATGTGATGAATATTAGCCTTTCTTTTTTTTCCTTTTCTTATTTATTTATTTATTTATTTTTTTGAGACAGAGTTTCACTCTTGTCGCCCAGGCTGGAGTACAGTGGTGCGATCTCGGCTCACTACAACCTCTACCACCTGGGTTCAAGCGATTCTTCTGCCTCAGCCTCCCAAGTAGCTGGGATTACAGGCATGCGCCACCATGCCCAGCTAATTTTGTATTTTAAGTAGAAACAGGGTTTCACCATGTTGGCCAGGCTGGTCTTGAACTGACCTCAAGAGATCCACCCATCTTGGCCTCCCAAAGTGCTGGAATTACAGGCGTGAGCCACTGTGCCTGGCCTTCTTTTTCTCTTTTTTTTTTTTTTTTGAGACAGAGTCTCTTGCACTCTCCCCCAGTCTGGAGTGCAGTGGCGCCATCTCGGCTCACTGCAAGCTCCGCCTCCCGGGTTCACGCCATTCTCCTGCCTCAGCCTCCCTAGTAGCTGGGACTACAGGCGCCCACCACCACACCCGGCTAATTTTTTGTATTTTTAGTAGACATGGGGTTTCACTGTGTTAGCCAGGATGGTCTCAATCTCCTGACCTTGTGATCTGCCCACCTTGGCCTCCCAAAGTGCTGGGATTACAGGCATGAGCCACCGCGCCCAGCCTCTTTTTCTCATTTTAAAGATAAAAATTTCTATAATGAAATGGCTCCCTTTCATTCTTGTATCTGGGACAACCAGTTCCCTTGATCAGGGACAACCAATGTTACCAGGTTCTCGTGTATTTTTCTGGAGAAATTCTATGCAAATGCAAGGAAATTTATATATGTATTCTTTTGCCCCCGGCTTCCTTACATGACTGGTAGTGTCCCATACAAGGCATATTGCACCTTGCTTTTTTGACTTAACAGTAACCTTTGTCTGAGCGCGGTGGCACATGCCTGTTATCCTTGCACTTTGGGAGGCTGAGATGCGAGGATCCCTTGAGCCCAGGAGTTTGAGACCGGCCTGGGCAACACAGTGAAATTCCATCTGTACAAAAAAATTAGCTGGGCGTGGTAGTGTGCACCCGTAGTTCCAGTTCCTTGGGAGGCTGAGATTGGAGGATCACTTGAGCCCAGGAGTTTGAAGTTGCAGTGAGCTATGTTGGCACCACTGCACTCCAGCCTGAACAACAAGAATGTAAACTTGTAAAAAAAAAAAAACTTTAAAATTAAAAATTCTGAAATACAGCATACACACAGAAAAGTGCATAAAATGTATTTATACACTTAAAAAATCATAAAACACCTATGTAACCAATACCCAGGTCAGGAAATGGAAGACTACCAGACCCTCAAACCACCCAAGTATTCAACCCTGGCTGGAGGTAAACAGTATTCTCACTTTTAGGAAAGTTCTCCCCCCTCCCCTCCCCACCCCTCCCCTCCCCTCCCCTCCCCACCCCTCCCCTCCCCTCCCCTCCCCTCCCCTCCCCTCCCCTCCCCTCCCCTCCCCATCCCTCCCCTCCCCTCCACTCCCCTTGTTTTTTTTTGAGACGAGTCTCACTCTGTCACCCAGGCTGGAGTGCAGTGGCTCACTGCAAGTTCCACCTCCCGGGTTCACGCCATTCTCCTGCCTCAGCCTCCCGAGTAACTGGGACTACAGGTGCCCACCACCACGCCCGGCTAATTTTTTTGATTTTTAGTAGAGACAGGGTTTCACCGTGTTAGCCAGGATGTTCTCGATCTCCTGACCTTGTGATCCGCCCGCCTTGGCCTCCCAAAGTGCTGGGATTACAGGTGTGAGCCACGGTGCCTGGCCTCCCTTCCCTTTCTTTCTGAGGCAAGGTCTGGCTCTATCGTCCAGGCTAGAGTGCAGTGGCACAATCTTGGCTCACTGCAACCTCTGCCTGCCAGGCTCAAGCCATCCTCCCACCTCAGCCTCCTGAGTAGCTGGGACTACAGGTGCACACCACAGCGTCCAGAAAATTTTTGTGTTTTTTGTACAGACAGGGTTTCGCCATGTTGCCCAGGCTGGTCTCGAACTTGTGAGCTCAAGCCATCTGCCTGCCTCAGCCTCCCAAAGTGTTAGGATTACAGGCGTGAGCCACTACACCCGGCCTCCTTGTTTTCTTTTATAGTTTACCACCACCATATGTATGTTTAGCAGGAGAATTTATTTTTGCCTATTTTTGAATTGTGTATGAAGGCATTCAAGCTGTAGTATCTTTTGTGACTTGCTTAGTTTTGATTATGTTTGTGCTGTATGGTATTGTTTCTTAAATATACAAGCATGTTTCTGCTGTTTGTAATCGGGACAAATGTTTTTGTTTTTGTTTTGAGACGGAGTCTCGCTCTGTCTCCCAGGCTGGAGTGCAGTGGCGCGATCTCGGCTCACTGCAAGCTCCGCCTTCCGGGTTCACGCCATTCTCCTGCCTCAGCCTCCTGAGTAGCTGGGACTACAGGCGCCCGCCACCACGCCCGGCTAATTTTTTTGTATTTTTAGTAGAGACAGGGTTTCACCGTGTTAGCCAGGATAGTCTCGATCTCCTGATCTTGTGATCCACCCGCCTCGACCTCCCAAAGTGCTGGGATTATAGGTGAGCCACCGCGCCCGGCCAGGACAAATGTTTTAAACCTGTTGTGTATGTCCAAGTACATGAGAGCTGGGCATGGTGGTGCGTGCTTATAGTCCCAGCTACTAGGGAGGCTGAGGTGGGAGGTGGGAGGTGGGAGGTGGGAGGTGGGAGGATCAGTTGAGCCCGGGAGTTTGAGTCCATCTTGGACAACATAGTGATACCGCATCTTCTTAAAGAAAACAACCTGTGTCCTATAGAGTCAGAAATGGGAATGTGAGGTTGGGCGTGGTGGCTCATGCCTGTAATCCCAGCACTTTGGGAGGCCGAGGCAGGCGGATCACTTGAGACCAGGAGTTCAAGACCAGCCTGGCCAACATGGTGAAACCCTGTCTCTACTAAAAATACAAAAATTAGCCCAGCTTGGTGGCACACGCCTGTAATCCCAGCTACTCGGGAGTCTGAGGCATGAAATCGCTTGAAACCTGTGAGGCAGAGGTTGCAATGAGCTGAGATTGTGCCATTGCACCCCAGGCTGGGTGACACAGCGAAACTCTGTCTCAAAAAAACAAAAAGAAAGAAATGGGAATGTGAATTTCTAGAGTGGGATTTGGGCTTGAGACGCAGGAAGGAGTTACCCCGGCATGGATGGTTGTGAAGAAATAGAAACAAAGGGAACCTCGATGTAAATGAAAACCAAACCGAAACCAAAAAGGTTGTTGAGTAATAAGTTGAGTTCTTTTGACTTGACTACAAAGTTTCAAAATGGGCTTTACCATCTCACTGTTCCAACTGGAGTCTATAGGAGTTCCTAGTGCTCCGCCACCTTGCCAACACTTGGTATTCTCAGATTTAATTGTTGTTTTTCTAGGAGTATAATGGCATCAATCTTGGTTTACATTTGCATTTTTCCAGTTACTAATGATGTTGAGTACCTTTACATGTGTTGAGTAACCATTTGGATTTCCTGTGTTGTGAAGTGCTTGTTCAAGTGTTTTTGCCAATTTTTCATGTTTTTTTCTTATTCGTTTGTAGGAACTCTTTATACATTTTGTTGCGTGTGTTGAGGGGAGTGGCGGGGGTGTTGAGACAGAGTCTCACTCTGTTGCCCAGACTGGAGTGCGGTGGTGCAATCTCGGCTCACTGCAGTCTCTGCCTCCTGGGTTGAAGCAATTCTCCTGCCTCAGCCTCCTGAATAGCTGAGGCTATGGGCATGCACCACAATGCCTGGCTGATTTTTATATTTTTAGTTGAGATGAGGTTTCGCCACGTTGGGCAGGCTGCTCTTGAACTCCCAACGTGAAGTGGTCCACCAGCCTTGGCCTCCCAAAATGCTGGGATTACAGGTGAACCACCGTGCCCGGTTTGTTTTGAGGAAGGGTCTCCCTCTCTCACCCAGGCTGGAGTGCAGTGGTACGATCATAGCTCACTGCAGCGTCAACCTGCCCATCTCAAGTGACCCTCACACTTCCGCCTCCGAAGAGCTGAGATTACAGGCGCACACTACCATGCCTGGCTAATTTTTTTCTTTTCTTTTCTTTTCTTTTCTTTGAGACAGAGTCTCGCTCTGTCACCCAGGCTGGAGTGCAGTGGCAGGATCTCAGCTCACTGAAACCTCTGTGTCCCAGGTTCAAGAGATTCTCCTGCCTCAGCCTTCCAAGTAGCTGGGATTACAGACATGCACCACCACGTCCAGCTAATTTTTGTATTTTTAGTAGAGACAGGGTTTCACCATGTTGGCCAGGCTGGTCTTGAACTCCTGACCTCAGGTGACCTGCCCGCCTTGGCCTCCCAAAGTGCTAGGATTACAGGCGTGAGCCACCCCACCCAACCTTGTTTAGTGTTTTAACGGAGGTTTCATTACATGGGCATATTAGACAAATCATTGACCATTGGTCATTGACCTCAACCTTCAGCCCCTCTCTTCCCAGAGGTTGGTAGGTATGGGTGGGGCTGAAATTCCCAACTGTCTAATTCGGTCTTGGTATTTCTAGTGACCAACCCCCTTCCTGAAGCTACGCAGGGGCCCATCACAGATGGCTTCATTAGGACAAAGACTGCTCCTATTAATACCCAGGAGATTCCAAGGGATTGAGGAACTCTGTCAGGGCTAAGGGCAAATATTATTTTTATTATGCACTTCGCTAAATTATTTCAGTGGGTTCCGAGGCCCAGGATGCAGGCACCTTCCTTCAGCAAGGACTGTTTGCTTCCCTCATGCAGAAATGGTTGACGATAAACGCAGAGCTTAAGATTTCTTGGATGGCCAGTGATGTGAATTTGATCTGAAAATCTGAAGGGTTTCTTCCCTTGTCTTTCCTTCGCTCCCTGCACTGCTAGAGGTAGAGAGGAGTGCAGACTTTTGGTTCCTTTTCTCCCTTAGCTTGGGAGATTGTCACTGGAGGCAAGGGCTCAAGGAAGGGTCAGACCCCTTTCAGAGGCTGAGCCGTTTCAACCTCAGCTGTTTTATTAGAATAGGCAAATTCTTTCAGGACAAAAGCAGCCTTTGAGTTTTCCACTCTCCTATGGGTCAGAACTTGTAGATTTTTATTGTAAATGTATTTTACTTTTTGTAGAGATGGGATCTCACTGTGTTGCCCACGTTCGTCTTTAACTCCTGGCCTCAAGTGATCCTTTCACCTCCTAAAGTTGGGATTACAGGCGTGAGCCATTGCGCCTGGCCTATTTTTAATTTTTTTAAAATTAATGAGACATTGGTCTAAATAACCTAAACGCATTAATAGAATGGGAAGTTTCCCCACCCCCTGGTGTGCACACCCAGGTTAATCCCTTCCCCTTGAGGGCAGAAACTAAGACTAAGCTGGGATCTTACCCCTGTGATTTAGTCATTATCACTTAAGTATCTGGATGGGCCTGACCTAATCCGGTGAGCACCTCAAAGGGAATGGGCCCTTAAATCAGACCTGCCAGGGCCCAAGGAGGGGCAGCTTCTTGGAGCTAAGACCCTAGTTCTACGAGGACTGAAATCAGCCAACAACCATGAGCATGGAAGAGGACCCAGACTAAGGAACACCAACAACCAATACCTCAATTTTAGCCTGCAAAGCACTGAGCAGAGACTAGCTCAGCCGTGTCCAGACTTCCAACACAAAGTCTGAAGTGGGTGTTGTTTTAAGCCGCTGGCTTTGTGATCTGTTGTGCAGAAATACATGTGGGAACAGGCTTTGCTGCCCACAAGGGAAAAACCAATCTTTAGCACAAAGCAGGATCAGATGATTCAAGGGGACCGAACCTTGGCCCAGTCCAGAACCAGACAGACGAGGCGAGCCTCATGCCAGACTGCTGGCACCTGGCCGTCCTGAGCAGGAACACCACTGCCACACCAACGTGGCCATTATTCTAGAGGGAGAAGTATAGGGCAGTGCCGCTCAGGCCACCAGGAGCAGCTCCAGGTCCTCGCCCCATTTTAGATTGGAAATCTGACTCCAAAGAGGGGTTGTGACCGCTCTACCTCCACAGAACAAAGAGGTGGACCCAAACCTCAAACAGCAAGGCTGGTGAGCTAGATGGACCCACTGCTGCAGTCCATGAGGCTTTACAAGGACCCAGGGCCTGTGCAGGGGAGCCAAACTCCCAGAGCCACATGGCACCATGCAGCGGTCCTGGGGCATCTGTGAGACACAGAAGCTGCTTTTCCAACTTTATTTAGAAAAACAAATCCAGGTCCCAGTGCCCCCTGTACCCTCCCCGACCCCAGCCATAATTTAAATAACTTAGAGACAGAGTTGGAGGGAGGGGACAGGAGAGGTTGGGGTCACGGTGGAAGGAGGAAGAGAGCCCACTACAGCCGCCGCAGCGCCCGCTTCTTGTCCGTCTTTTTCTTGGCCGCCAGCTTCTTATCGCGCTCGCCAGCATGCTTCTTGGCCATGGGACCCTCAGCCCCTCCCGGGCCCCCTGGGGCCCCAGGGTCGGTGGAGGAAGCTTCAGTGCCACTGGCCAGGGCCCGACCGGCTTCGGCCCTGCCGCTGGGCCCGCCGGCGCCCCCGTGGATCTCTGTGAGCAGACGGGCCCGAGCCGCATACTCCTCGTAGTTCTCCAAGAGCAGGCGGCCCGCCTCCTCGTTGAGTGCAGACTCGGGGTTAGGGTGGATCAGCAGGCACTTGATGGTCTGTGGGAAGAGGCTCAGGGTCACAGTGGGTCGGGCAACCTACAGGGACCCCCAGGCCTCCACAAGAGGGTGGCCTCCGCACTGGCTGTTCCTTCTGCTCCCAACTCAGCTGCAGATCCAGGCCCCACCTATGCTGCATCCTCCCTCATCTTTGCTCCTGTCTCCCTCAGAGGCCACCTTCATGTGACCTGCCTCACAGCAGATGTTCCCAAAAGGACACGATGCCATAGGCCCAATGGTTTAAAATGTCCCTGGTCCTCCGTGGAACTTGCTGGGTAACGGGGGAAACGCCAAGGCCCCCTCTCAGGAGTCCATTACTTGCCTGAGCCCCAGACTTGAGTCCTATTATGGTTTTGAATTTGCCTCCATGCAGTTCAGCATGACCTTAGAGGCCCTCTGGTTCAACGAGTGAGGCCTGCAGCCTGGACAGAGAGAAGAGACTTCCCCAGGGCCTCAGGATTTGAGGAAATCACACCTGCGTGTTGGACTCTAAAGCTCCCCATCTTTCCAGATACAGCATAAATCCTGACCTCTGTCTTTTATCAGACATCCGAAGTTCACAGCCTAAGACTCTAGCTGGGTTGGACCACACACAAGAGGGCAAGACACCAGGACTGCTGGCTGAGGTGCACTTCGAGGGTGGTCCAGAGATTCCTCTCAACCCCCTTCACAGCCCGTCCTGAGGGGTAAATTGGAGTGCAGAGGTGTGACCTGCAGCCAGGCCTCCAGCAGCCCCAGCTGGATCCTCTGAAGTGGGTCTGGGCAAACTGGCCACAGCAGTTTGCTCCCTGGGGCCACTATGACACATACACAGTACCTGGCTCAGCAGATGCTCAGCAGATATCACTGATGGTGACCAGGACACAGGTTCCCACCCTAATTCTCATCACTGCACCCAAACTGCAGGTCTGGCTGCTCTTCTTGCTGGCTGAGCCCCTGACAGGCCCAGATGCTGACCTAGCAGCAAGTAGGCCTGGAGCTCGGTGCCAATGTCCCCAGCAGCCTCCAATGACACCCCAGGGGAAGGGAGGCGGTACATGTGGGAGGGAAGGGTTTGGGGTCTGTTTACCTTGGAGCTCAATCCTCTCCCTCCCCATGGCAGGAAACCCCAATTCCCCACCCTCTCTGCCATGTGCCCCAGGGACTCATTAGAAATTTGGTTAACTTTTTTTTTTTTCAGCTTGCGGGAAGGGTTGGGAGGCAGCAGGCTGTAAGCAGCCTGGAGCACCAGCCTAGACCAGGACGCCTCCACCTCAGCAACACCGCAGCCAGGTCATTCTGTGTCATGGAGCCATCTCGTACGCTGCAGGATTTGGGCAGCACCCTTGGCCTCCACCCACTAGATGCTAGTGGCACCCCCGAGTTGTGACAACCCTTTCTGGTCTCCTGACAATGCATAATACCCCTTGGGGGGCAAAATCACCTCTGGCTGAGAAACACTGGTTTATGAACCCTATCGCTATTAAAAAACCACTGAACTGTATACTTTGGAACTGAGTTTTACGGCATGTAAGCTCAGCTTTAGCAAAAAAGCCTCTAATGAGACCCCATCTCTGCAAACCATAAAAATATAAAAACTAGCTGGGTATGGTGGTGCATGCGTGTAATACCAGCCATTCAGGAAGCTGAGGCAGGAAGATCACCTGAGCCCAGGAGTTCAAGGCTACAGTGAGCTATGACTGCGCCACTGCACTCCAGCCTGGGCAACAAAGAGCCAGTATCTTTAAAACAAAAAGAAAGAAAGGAAAGAAAGGGAAGAAAGAAAAAGGAAAGAAAGAAGAAAGAAAAGAAAGAAAGAGCTTCTAACTAGACCCTTGACCTCCACCTGTCAGAAAACTGTCCTACAGGGTAGGCGCAGTGGCTGGCTCCTATAAGCCCAGCACTTTGGGAGGCCGAGGTGGGAGGATCACTTGAGTTCAGGAGTTTGACACCAGCCTGGGCAACAAATGAGACCCCATTCCTGTTTTATTTTTTATCTTATTTTTTTTTTTTTTTTGAGATAGAGTCTCACTCTGTCACCCAGGCTGGAGTGCAGTGGCGCGATCTCGGCTCACTGCAACCTCTGCCTCCCAGGCTCAAGCGATTCTCCTGCCTCAGCCTCCCAAGTAGCTGGGATTACAGGCATGTGCCACCATGCCCGGCTAATTTTTGCATTTTTAGTAGAGACAGGGTTTCACCATGTTGGCCAGGCTGGTCTCGAACTCCTGAGCTCAAGTGATCCACCACACCTGGCCTACCCTATCCTTGTTTTTTAAAAAAAAGGGAGAAGAGAAAAACCATCCTACAATACAAACTCACCACTCGTTGCATAGTAAGGTGCTCCTGGGCACTTCTCAACAGTACTTGGGTGTCCTGGGTCTGGCACTGTTTGTCTTTCCAGGAAAGCTAGCAACATGGATTTTTATGTGGAAACCTTCAACCACTTCAGAGTTGATTCAGAAAAACTAAACAAAGCGCTATGGCTCAGACACCAGCAGACCTCCAGAGGCAGGAGGCAGGAGGCCCAGCCCCAGCCCAGAACTCACCAGCAGTACGTGTCGGATGCCCAGCTCAGCCGTCCAGTCCCTCTTGAGCACGTTGACGCAGATCTCGCCATTGGCGCCCACGTTCGGGTGGAAGATCTTGGTCAGGAAGTAGCCCTTGGGTGGGGAGGCAGGGAAGTCCTTCCCCAGCAGGAGTTTCATGCGGAACAGACCTCCAGCATATGGGGTCCCCTCTGGAGTGGAGGGAGGGGTACAGGGTCAGGGCACTCAGGAGTCCCAAGGCACCTCAACACCCCAAAGTCCAGTCTCCACGGTCTGATTGTGATGCAGGTGGGTGCCCCGCCAACTCTGCCAACAGACTGGAGGATTCTTTTTTTCTTTTTTTGAAATAAGGTCTCTTGTGTCACCCAGGCTGGAGTGCAGTGGCACAATCTCAGTTCACTGCCGCCTGCAATTCCTGGGCTCAGGTGATCCCATCTCAGCCTGCCAAGTAGCTGGGATTACGGGCATGCCACCAGGTCTGGCTACTTTTTTATTTTAAGAGATAGGGTCTCACTATGTTGCCCAAGCTGGTCTTGCACTCCTAGGCTCAAGCAATTTGTTCACCTCAGCCTCCCAAAGTGCTGGGATTACAGGCGTGAACCACCATGCCCAGTCAGGCTGTAGAATTCTTAAGAGCAAGAGGCCAGGTGTGGTGGCTCACGCCTGTAATCCCAGCACTTTGGGAGGCTAAGGCGGGTGGATCACCTGAGGTCAGGAGTTCAAGACCAGCCAGACCAACATGGAGAAACCCCGTCTCTACTAAAAATACAATATTAGCCAGGCGTGGTGGTGCATGCCTGTAATCCCAGCTACTCGGAAGGCTGAGGCAGAAGAATCCCTTGAACCCGGGATGGGGAGGTTGCAGTGTGCGGAGATCGCGCCACTGCACTCCAGCCTGGGCAACAAGAGCGAAACTCTGTTTCCAAAAAAAAAAAAAAAAAGCCAAGCGCGGTGCCTCACACCTGTAATCCCAGCACTTTGGGAGGCTGAGGCGGGCGGATCACAAGGTCAGGAGTTCGAGACCAGCCTGGCCAACATGGTGAAACCCCATCTCTACTAAAAATACAAAAAATTAGCTGGGCATGGTGGTGCACGTCTGTAATCCCAGCTACTTGGGAGGCTGAGGCAGGAGAACTGCTTGAACCCAGGAGGCAGAGGTTGCAGTGAGCAGAGATTGTGCTATTGCACTCCAGCCTAGGCGACAGAGCAAGACTCCGTTTAGAGAGAGAAAAAAAAAAGAGCAAGAATGGCTGGGTTCCTAGGGGGCCACAGGACCTCCCCCAAAACCTCAGAGATGATGCCCATCTTGCAGCCCCCACCTGTGTCACTATCAAGCTCGTCTGCACCCTCCTGGATCCCCCGTCTCAGCCCAACTGACCACTCCAGTCACAGGCCCTTCCCAGGTGGCAGGGACCCAAGTACGCACTTTCCTATAAGATGCCCATTTATATGCCTTTCAGATCAAGGATCCAACTGTCTGTTAATTCCACAGCCTCCCAACCCAGTGAACGCCTCTCCCACTCACCCACTTGCTTGGGTCAAAATACTGTCCCTCCCCTAGCCCATCAGCAGCCTGAGCACCGGCCTGCTAGGTCCTCCCCTGAATCTCATCCCATCTCCAAGGCTAGCTTCCTGGCTGGCCTCTGGGTTCTTCCCCCTGCCAGGCCGGCTCTCCTCACTACAGTCAATAGGAACTTTGGAGGGATTTGTCACACCCCTGCTTTAAACCTTCCACCAGCTTCCTCTACAAACTCCTTGAAGAGGCCTAGAAGCCCTAAAAGAGCTTGGCAGCTTCATCATCAACTTTCTTCATGTGTTTTTACCAAGCGCCCAGCTCCACCTGCCCAAGGGCCTTTCTGGAGCCTTCCTATTGTCATGATCCCGCGCCCTCTGCAGCAAGGCATGAAGGACCTCAACTGTCACCGCTGCCAGGTCTTTCCTGACCACCTACCACCATCACCACCGTGGACTAGACCATTCCTTCACAGGCTCTGCTCAAATCCTGACTTTGTAGGAATTCTGGTGATAACAGAAATGTAGCCTGCATGAAACAGTATTCTAAATCACTCCGCAAATCATGTGACCCGCAAATCATTCATGACCCGTCTCCCCACGATCTGCATCTGGCTTGTTTCCTCATCCCTGACACTCACAGCAGGATGGAGTTTGAGATCACCTGGCCCACCCTCCCAGGCCCTTGCTGACACCATTCCCACCACCTGGAGCTCTCTTCCCATTCCTACTTAATTCCTACCCACCCTCAGGTCCAGGGAAGCCATGTCTGAAAGCCTTGCTTCAAATCTAGAGTACCGTCCCATGATATACTAACTCAATGACCAGATATTTCTCAACCCTTGTGGGAAAAGAGTACATAATTGTCATTTGTGGCGTCCTGCCCTGTCCACCAATGCATCCCAACACCTGACACGAGGCCAGCCTGTAATGGGTACTTCCCGCTAGGGTGATCTAGAGCAGGGTGATGGAGGATCTAAGCAGCAGCCCCTTCTCTTTTTCCTTCCAAACTCACCAGGGCCCTCGATGGTGACCTGGAGGTCGGTGAGGTCCTCCTCGTTGGGAAAGACCTTGATGCCATCGGGTGGGTCTGCGGTCAGTGTCGTCACCTCCTTGTACACCAGGCGGATGATGTGCGGGGGTAGGTTCTCCACGTTGGAGTTCTGGGCACGGATGGGAGAGCAGGGTGAGCGAGTGTTAAGAGCTGGGCTTCCCGCAGGGCCTAAAGATGCTGAGACTGCCCAAGTCTTGACTCAGTGGCCCCAGGCTGTCAATCACCCTTGAACTCCCAGACCCTCACCCAGGATGCTTCAGGCCATCAGCCCAGGCAGAGTTTCCAACAGAAATGGGGGCGGGTTCACGGGGGGGCTTGCAGATAACTCCACCCACCCCAGAACCCCCCCCCCAAAGCCCGCTCCTAACCCTGCTTGGTCCCCAGTGGTTCCACGTAGGCCAGAGATCTACTCTCTCCCCCTTCTCCACTAATTTTTGGTTAGAGCATCCTTGAAACCCCGGCTCAGGTCTGGAGATGGCGGCGGGGCGTCCTTGCTCCTGGTAACACCCATGGGCGGGCCGCAAAGCGCCCGGAGCCCTCGCCGCCAGGGAGACTGCGGGCCGCCCGAGCTCCTGCTCCGCCTGCGGGAAGGCCCTCGGGCCCATCCCGGGTCAGGGACCCCCAGGCTGGCCCTCAAACCCCTCAAGGCCGCCCGTCGGAGGCCCCTGAGACTCCACCTCCTCCCTCAGGGACACCCCCGACCACCTTCATGGGCCTCATCGCCCGTGCTCACCATGGCTGCGGCCGGCCGGGGGCGGGTCCCCCCGGCCCCCTTCCTGCGTTCTTCGGTCCGCCGGCCGGGGCGGGGGGCCCAACTGCTGCCGCTGCGGCCCTGGAGAGGCCCCGGCGGCCCCGCTCCGCTCCCCGCTGCCTCCGACGTCCGCCGCGCACAGCGTAGACCAACCCGCCGCCCCGGTGCCCGGCAGCACTGAGCCGGCCGCGCGCGCACCACTGCCTCTTTATAACCGCCCGCAGGCCACGCCCTCCGCGGCCCCTCAGCTCCGAGCCTCAACCGTGACGTCAGCGCGCACGTTCCTTGGTTTTCGACGCGCTCGCTCCCTTCCCCGCAAACTATGGTCAGAAGCGAGGGAAGTGGCGGAGAGGGCTGGGTAGCGGGCCGGCCAATGGGGGCCCGCGGGGGTCGGGAGGGTTCTCAAAGAACGGAGGGGCTGAAAAGGGGAAGAAGAGAGGAAGGGGGACGGGGAAGGCGACGCGGCCGCTGATTGGACCGTTTGAATGAGACGCCGCCACGGCCCGGCATACGCGCGGGCGCGCCCTGACGCTGAGGAAGTCGCGCACGCGACTAACGGTCTTCCTGGGGGCCGGAGCGTGGCGAGGGGAGGCGGGACTCGGGGTTTTAAACGCGTGATGGAAGGCGCTCGGGCCAATAGGGATGCGCTTTAGTGACTGGTGGGTCACGAGACTCGCATGGGCCAATGACTGATAGAGACCGGTCAGAGGGCGACCCAGTTTCGTGCAGATCAAACCGCTGCCAGCCAACGAAATCCGTTGATTTTTGTATATGCAAATGAAGTGTGCGCTGCCGCCCGCGCCCCCTCCTTTGAGCCGTGGTGGAGGTGGGCGCTGGAACTCCGACTACATTTTTCTATGAGGCGCCATTTTGTGCTGGAAATGCTCTTGGACCCACGTCCTGTATTGCTAAGGCTCAAAGATCAGTCAGAATGACCTTGAAGGCTTGGACAGCCTTGCACTCCGTGTGTGACCCCCACTCCTGCCAGGCTTCATCGAAGACGCCAGCCTCAGTTTCCTTATGTGACAAATGGGCACTGGGATCCGTTGTATTGCCAGGGAAAGAAGTCAGAGAGTGCCAAGACGGTTATTCACGGCATGGTTATGCCTATGACTGACCCATGGCCTCCAGCCACACCCGCCTTCTCTGGGACTCAGTTTCCCTCTCTAGGAAATGGACACATAGCTGCCTGGAAAAGGGACCATCTCCAGCCCTCAGTGTCAGTAAAAACGTCAGGCAATTGCTTGAGAACGGTGGCCAGAGCTCCCTGAGCAGGCCTTTTGGAGGGGCTTAGAGAGGAGGAGGGAATGCTGAAGTTGGCCTTCCTTTGCTCATCTGTGCAGTGCGGTCGCAGTGCCCTCTCGGTGTCTCTGCCAGTCTGTGCGTCCACAGCTCTTCTTAGTTTCTTGGCCTTTTTCAGCCATGGATGAGAGCATTAACATCTGGGCCTAATTTGGCCACAGGTACCTGAAAAGACCCCTGGCTACCAGCTTCCCCTCATGGGGCCTCAGCTTCTGAAGAAGGAATAAGGAAGGTGTGAAAGAAATCTACATGGCCAAGGCCAGGCGTGGTAGCTCACGCCTGTAATCCCAGCACTTTGGGAGGCTGAAGCTGGCAGATCACCTGAGGTCAGGAGTTTGAGACCAGCCTGGCCAACATGGTGAAACCCCATCTGTACTAAAAATACAAAAATTAGCCAGGTGTGTTGATGCAGCCCTGTAATCCCAGCTACTCGTGAGGCTGAGATGGGAGAATCGGTTAAAGCCGGGATGTGGAGGTTGCAGTGAACTGAGATCTCGCCACTGCACCCCAGCCTGGGCAACAGAGCAAGACCCTGTCTCAAAAAACAAAAAAGCAAAAAAAAAAAAAAAACCAAAAAACAAAACCTACATGGTCGGGTACAGTGACTACGCCCATAATCCCAGCACTTTGGGAGGCCAAGGTAGGTCGATCACTTGAGCCCAGGAGTTCAAGACCAGCCTGGGCAACATAGTGAGAGACCCCCACCAATATGTACAAAACAAACAAACCCAAAACAACTGAAGAAACAGCTACAGCATAAAAAGTCATCATCATAACTAGTTTGTGGAGAAATGGCTTCAGGTGATCCCTTCCTGCTCCCTCACCCCAGGTCCAATCTATACCAGTTCCTGTTGACGTCATCTACTGAATCTCATCACGTCCCCCCATCCGCTATGCCACCAGTCCTGCTTAGAGTCAACGTCATCCCATTTTGCCGATAAGCATTTTGCTGATCTTCAATTTTAGCCTGCTGGGTGTGGAGGATTCCAACCCAATTAACAGACAAGGAAGCTGAAGGAGCAGGAGGTAAAGTGACTTGCTCGGGGTTCCCCAGCTGGGACAAGGCAAAGCTAGTGGCTAAATTCGTCTTGATCTTAAAAATCCACCCAAAAGACATAACAATAATGATGATAATACTAATGGTTATTATGTATTATTTGCTGTGTGCCAGACCCTGTTCTAGTTTCTTTACATGCTTGATGTCATTTAATCCTTGTAACAACCATAATGGGTGGATATTATTAATTATTATGATCCCCTCTGGATACCTGCATTTATTCAATACATTTGTTCTTCTTTATTAGTGTCTACACTCTAGCTGTCAGGATGCTATGGGATACAGCAGAGAATAAAAGGGACAAAGCCTCGACTTTCATGGATCTTACATCCTGGTGCGGGAGCCAGATAGCAAGTAAGTCTATACCATCATGTCAGCAAGTGATAAAGACTGAAGAACAATCAGCAAGTGATAAAGACAGGAACAATTAGTGGGAGGGGGAGGTTTGAGAGGGAGGGATGGGGCTGCCATTTTACCTTGGCTGGGCAGGGAGAATCTGTCTGAGGAAAGGTCATTTGGGCTGTTGGAAGGTCTATGGGAAAAGCATTTTGAGCAAAGGGAACAGCAGGTGTCAAGAAGATTGTGCTTGGTGCTTTTAGGGAACATTAGGAGGCCAGCGAGGCTGGATTGGAGTGAGGCAGAGCAAGTAGAGGGCTCTGAGGTGGGAGAGGTGAGGGGCTGCTGGTGGGCCTCCTAGGCCATGGTGAAAAGTATGTCTGTTTTTTGAGCAATGGGGAGCCATTGGTGGCTTTGAGCAGAGAATGACTCCTTCAGACTTATGAACAGAAACAGGGAGGCCAATGAGGAGGTGATTACCTTTGTTCAGGTGGGATGATGGTGGCTCCAAGCAGGATTGGTGGCATTAGGAATGGGGGAAGTGATGAGATGATGTCAACAGCAACTGGTATAGATTGGACTTGGGGTGAGGGAGCGGGAGGGATCACCTGTACCCTAAATAATCACCTGAAAACCGGGAAGGCAGACCTTTTCCAAAAAGGTTTTCCAATGCTGTGGTCCATTGGTCTCTGGTCCAACTCACTAAACTCTGCCCTTGTAGCTCCTAAGAAAACTAATGGGTGTGTTTCCAAAAACAGGCAGTGGCCAAAGTAGGCCCCTGAGCTATAGTTTGCTCCCTGCTTTACACATATCCCACGTGCCCCACCCCAGCTGAAAACTCAAGAGTCCTCCTCCCCACTACATTTTGCATAAGCCCCAGACTCCCCAAAAACCCATAAGCCCTTGCACCATCTCCTGAGGCTTCCTTGCCTTTTTCTGTTTGTTCCTGGAATACGCCAAGCTTTTTACCCTGAGGACAGTTGGACAGGCAGTTCTCTGTGCCGGTCGTGCTTTTCCCCTTTCCTTCTTCTCATCTCCTAGGTTTACCCTAACTCGTCACCCCTTCACGGCAGCTTCTCTCCTCTTTCCTCCCCTCCCATGCTCTCTTTGCTTCATCCTCTTTGAACTTCATGATCTATCAGGATTTGCAATTATTTGCCTGATTGTGTGTTTGACTCTTCCCAACTAGAAGATTAGCCCCAGCAGAGCAGGGATCTTGTCCTCAGTCCCTAGCAGGGCGCCAGACAGACTGAAGATGTTATACATTCAACCAATATTTATTGAGCACCTACTATGTGCCAGGCACCAATCTGGGTGCTTGGGATTTATCAGAGATCAGATAGACAAAGATCTTTGTCCTTGGGATGCATCAGATAACAGATAGACAAAGGGCTTACTGTAGTTGAGGAAGACAGAACCAAAAATGAAACATAATAAATAAGGAAAACATGGTATTTTAGAAGGAACTACATGTTGTGGTAGGTAGGGAATACTCTCTGTTAACCATGTTTTTCCTCTGCTCTCATGCCACAATAATCAACTGATCTTCAACAAAGCATACAAAAACATAAAATGGGGAAAGGACACCCTACCCGATAAATGGTGCTGGGGAAACTGGCAAGCCACATGTAGAAAAATGAAACTGGATCCTCATCGCTCACCTTATATTAAGGTTGGTGCAAAATAAATCGAGGTTTTTGCCATTATTTTAATATTTGCAAGCTATACATCTGACAAAGGACTAATATCCAGAATTTACAAGGAGCTCTAACAAATCAGCAAGAAAAAAAATGATCCAATGAAAAAGTAGGCAAAGGACATGAATGGACAATTCTTTCAAAAGAAGATATTGCAAACAGCCAACAAACATATGAAAACTGCTCAGCATCACTCATTATCAGGGAAATGCAAATTAAAACCACAATGAGATAATACCTTACTCCTGCAAGAATGGCCATAATTAAAAAAAAAAAAAAATAGATGTTGGCATGGATGTGGTAAAAAGGGAACACTTTTACACTGTTGGTGGGAATGTAAACTAGTACAACCACTATGGAAACCAGTGTGGAGATTCCTTAAAGAACTGAAAGTAGATCTACCATTCGATCCAGCAATCCCACTACTGGGTATCTACCCAGAGGAAAAGAAATCATATGCAAAAGACACATACACATGCATGTTTATAGAAGCACAATTTGCAATTGCAAAAATACGGAACCAACCTAAATGCCCATCATCACCCAATGAGTGGATACAGAAAATATGGTATATATACACCATGGAATACTACTCAGCCATAAAACAGAAAACAGAATGAAATAATGGCATTCTCAGCAACTTGGATGGCCATTATTCTTTTTTTTTTTTTTAGACTGAATCTCGCACTGTCACCTGGGCTGGAGTGCAGTGGTGTGATCTCAGCTTACTGCAACCTCCGCCTCCTGGCTTCAAGCGATTCTCCTGCCTCAGCCTCCCGAGTAGCTGGGATTACAGGCGCCCAACACCAAGCCCAGCTAATTTTTTGCATTTTTAGTAGAGACGGGGTTTCACCATGTTCGCCAGGCTGGTCTCGAACTCCTGACCTCGTGATTCGCCCGCCTCGGCCTCCCAAAGTGCTGGGATTACAGGCGTGAGCCACTGCGCCCAGTCCTGAAGGCCATTATTTTAAGTGAATTAACTCAGGAATGGAAAATCAAATACCCTATGTTCTCACTTATAAGTGGGAGCTAAGCTATGAGGATGGAAAGACATAAGAATGGTACAATGGGGCCAGCCATTGTGGCTCACGCCTGTAGTAATCCCAACACTTTGGGAGGCCAAGGCAGGCAGATCACTTGTGGTCAAGAGTTTGAGACTGGCCTGGCCAACATGGTGAAACCCCATCTCTACTAAAAATACAAAAATTAGCCATACATGTTGGTGGGCACCTGTAATCCCAGCTACTCAGGAGGCTGAGGCAGGAGAATCACCTTAACTCGAGAGATGGAGGTTGCAGTGAGCCGAGATTGTGCCACTGCACTCCAGCCTGGGCCACAGAGCAAGATTCCATCTCAAAAAAAAAAAAAAAAAAAAAGATACAATGGACTTCGGGGACTGGAGGGTAAGATTGGGAGGGGGTGAGGGATAAAAGGCTACATACTGGATACAGTGTACACTGCTCAGGTGATGGAAGCACCAGAATGTCAAAAATCACCACCAAAGAACTTATCCATGTAACCAAACACCACCTGTACCCCCAAAACTATTGAAATATAAACAATTAAAATTGTGATGATGGTCGCAAAACTTTGTGGATATATACTAAAAACCATTGATTTATGTAGTTTATATGGGTGAATTCTATGATACATGAATTACATCTCAATTAAGCTTTTTATCTTTTTTTTTTTTTTTTTTTTTTGGAGACAGGGTCTTACTCTGTCACCCAGGCTGTAGTGCAGTGGCATGATCTCATCTCACTGCAGCCTCCACCTCCCAGGCTCAAGCAATCCTCACACCTCAGCCTCCCGAGTAGCTGGGACTACAAGGGTGCACCAACACACCAGGCTAATTTTTGTGCTTTTTATAGAGATTGGTTTTCTCCCTGCTGCCCACTCTGGTCTCAAACTCCTGGCCTCAAGCAATCCATCTGCCTCAGCCTCCCAAAGTGCTGGGATTACAGGTATGAGCCACTGCACCTGGCCTAAGCCTTTTTTTTTTTTTTTTTTGGTAAGAATTTAAAAAGTTACTGTGATGGGGGAAACTCAAAGAAAGTCATAGGGATGGGAGAAAGAGAGAGAGAGAGATCTGAGGGACAGTGTTCCAAGTTGGGAGAGGTGGCCGGGAAGGGCTAGGCTCTGCAGACTCCAGAAGGCCACCGTGAAGAGTGTGCGTGAGCTCTAGGGAGCTATTGAAGAGGTTTTTTTTTTTTTCTTTTTTTTTCTTTTTTTTTTTTGAGATGGAGTCTCGCTCTGTCGCCCAGGCTAGAGTGCAGTGGCGTGATCTCGGCTCACTGCCAGCTCTGCCTCCCGGGTTCACGCCATTCTCCTGCCTCAGCCTCCTGAGTAGTTGGAACTACAGGCGCCCACCACCACGCCCGGCTAATTTTTTGTATTTTTAGTAGAGACGCGGTTTCACCATGTTAGCCAGGATGGTCTCGATCTCCTGACCTCGTGATCCGCCTGCCTCAGTCTCCCACAGTGCTGGGATTACAGGCATGAGCCACCGCGCCTGGCCTATTGAAGAGTTTTGGGCAGAGGGGTGACTGGATTTGGTGCTCATATTGGGACTGTAGCTCAGGGCTGCTGGTAGAGACTGGACTGGAGGGTCCAGATTGGAAGCAGAAAATCCAGCAGCAAGTGGACTGTGGCTTGGCGAGGGTGGCGACCGTCTGGGAAAGGGGTGGAGGGAAGGGAGCAGATGTGAGAACTAATCAGAAGGTGGTCTAGTGATAGGCAGCCTTCCAAATCCTTTGGGAGACAGGAATTGTCAGAGGATGGGATTGGGAAGGGGCACCCTTTCTTTGCTAAGTACTAGTAACCCATGAACTCGCTTTTGTTCAGGGCCGGGCGTGGTGGCTCATGCCTGTAATCCCAGCACTTTGGGAGGCCTAGGCGGGTGGATCACCTGAGGTCAGGAGTTCAAGACCAGCCTGGCCAACAAGGTGAAACCGCATTTCTACCAAAAATACAAAAATTAGCCGGGCACGGTGGTGCATGCCTGTGATCCCAGCTATTCAGGAGGCTGAGGCAGGAGACTTGCTTTAATCTGGGAGGCGGAGGTTGCAGTGAGCCGAGATCACGCCACTGCACTCCAGCCTGGGCAGCAGAGTGAGACTCTATCTCAAAAGAATTTACTTTTGTTCAGTGAAACCTAAATTGTCCCTTTGGCTTGAATTCTGGTTTCAGAAATTAATCTTCATTTCTGTCCATCTGTATTAAATTACAAAAGAAATAGGTGTTTGGAGGGAAATCCACAGTTACTGAGGCATGGGAAATGAAGGCTGGAGGTGCTGCTCTAGCCCTCCTTCCCCTCCTACCCTCCACATCCACACTTCTCTCCGCAGCCCTTCCCGTCCACATCGATCAGTAGCCTTCAATTAAACTGCTGCACAGCAAGTGTCACTCAATACAATCACAGTATAGAGCAGGTGCAGTGGCTCATGCTTGTAATCCTAGTACTTTGGGAGGCCTCAGAGAGAAGATCATTTGAACCCAAGAGTTCAAGACCAGCCTGGGCAACATAGGGCAACCCTGTCTCTATAAAAAAATAAGAAATTAATTTTTTTTGAGAGAGAGAGTCTCACCCTGTTGCCCAGGCTGGAGGGCAATGGCGTGATCTCGGTTCACTGCAACCTCCACCTCCCAGGTTCAAGCACTTCTCCTGCCTCAGCCTCCCAAGTAACAGGGATTATAGGCACGCGCCACCACGCCCAGCTAATTTTTGTATTTTTAGTAGAGACAGTGTTTCACCATGTTGGCCAGGCTGGTCTCAAACTCCTGACCTCAGATGGTCCGCCTGCCTCGGCCTCCCAAAGTGCTGGGATTATAAGCGTGAGCCACCGCACCCAGCCAAAATAAAAATAATAAAAAAAAAAGTTAGCCAGGCTTGGTGGTGTATACCTGTAGTCCCAGCTCCTCGGGAGGCTGACGTGGGAGAAACACTTGAGCTGAGGAGGTTGAGGCTGCGGTGAGCTGTGTTCACACCACTGCACTCCAACCTGGGTGACACAGGAAGACCCTGTCGCAAAACAAAAACAAAAACTCTCAAAAAACAACAGAAAAGGTCAAAGATCCCACTGTAGTTTCATCGTACTCTCTGACTGATGGGCATCAAGGCTGAGCCCAGCGCATGGCTAGACACTGCTGTGAGCATCCTCCTTCATCTGTTCATCTTTGGGTACAGCCGTGAACATTTCCGAAGGACAAAGTCTTAGGGGAACTTTCAAGATCAAAGAGAATGCGTGCTTGCCATTCTGCCCAGTGGCCCTTGGCAGGGTTCTCCTTATTTGGATTCCCAAGATGTGACTTACTCGTTTAACCCGTATTTCTTTAGCACCAGATATACACCGGGCACTGTTCTGGGTGCTTGGGACACATCCGAGAACAAGATAGGAAACAAAATCCCTGCCCTCCTGGGGCTTCCATTCCAGCGGGGAGACTAAAAGTCTTCCTGGGACTGAGTGGCAGCCCAGGATGCAGGCCTTTGCATGCTCACACTGGGGAAGTCCTGGGCTAATAGGTAAGTCAAGTTGGTAGTATTAAAAGATATTGGCAATGCACAGTGGCTCATGCCTGCAGTCCTAGCACTTTGGGAGGCTAAGGCAGGAGGATCACTTGAGCTCAAGAGTTTGAGATCAGCCTGGGCAACATAGTGGGACCCTGTCTCTACAAAAAAATTAAAAATTAGCCAGGAGTGGTGGCACATGCCTATAGTCCTAGCTACTTAGGAGGGTTGAGGCAGAAGGATTGCTTGAGCCCAGGAGGTTGAGGCTGCAGTGAGCCATGATCACGCCATGGCACTCCAGCCTGGGTAGCATAGTGAGACCCTGTCTGAAAAATAGAATAAAGATATTAATTGCTGTAAATATTAGTGTAGGCTAAGGAGGTTCAGGAATGTTGTGAGGGGGACAGTTTTTTTTTTTTTTTTTTTTGACGGAGTCTTGCTCTGTTGCCCAGGCTGGAGTGCAGTGGCGCCATCTCGGCTCACTGCAACCTCTGCTTCCCAGGCAGAGATTCTCCCAGGAGAATCAAGCAGTTCTCCTGTCTCAGCCTCCCAAGTAGCTGGGACTACAGGTGCGCACCACCATGCCCAGCTAATTTCTGTATTTTTAGTAGAGATGGGGTTTTACTATGTTGGCCAGGCTGGTCTTGACCTCCTGACCTCGAGATCCTCCCACCTCGGCCTCCCAAAGTGCTGGGATTACAGGCGTGAGCCACCATACCTGGTGTGGGGGTAGAGTTTTCTTTTTTTGAGACAGAGTCTCACCCTGTTGCCCAGGCTGGGGTGCAATGGCGTGATCTCGGCTCACTGCAACCTCTGCCTCCCAGGTTCAAGCAGTTCTCCTGCCTCAGCCTCCCAAGTAGCTGGGATTACAGGTGTACGCCACCACACCTGGCTAATTTTTTGTGTGGTTAGTAGAGACGGGCTTTCACCATCTTGTCCAGGCTGGTCTCGAACTCCTGACCTCGTGATCCGCCTGCCTTGGCCTCCCAAAGTACTGGGATTACAGGTGTGAGCCACTGCGCCTGGCCAAGGGGGACAGTTTTAAATATGGTAGAACTAATTGAGAAGGTAACATCTGAATAAAGATTCAAATGAAGCGGCCGGGCACAGTGGCTCATGCCTGTAAACCCAGATCCCAGCACTTTGGGGAGCTGAAGTGGGTGGATCACTTGAAGTCAGGAGTTTGAGACCAGCCTGGCCAACATGGTGAAACCTCGTCTTTAATAAAAATACAAAAATCAGTAGGGTGTGGTGATTCGTGCCTGTAGTCCCAGCTACTTGGGAGGCTGAGGCAGGAGAATCACTTGAACCCAGGAAGCGGAGGTGGAGGTGGTGGTGAGCCGAGATCATGACACTGCACTTTAGCCTGGGTGACAGAGCGAGACTTTGTTTAAAAAAAAAAAAAAATTAAAGGAAGTAAGAGAGCAAGTTTTGTGGGAATCCAGAGAAAAGCCATTCCAGGCAGAGGAAACTGCCAGTGTCAAAGTCCCCTCACAGGAGTGAGCCTGACGATGAGCAGTCTTCAAAAGATTCCACATCATGGGCAAGTCAAGGTGTCCCATCTTTTATTTGCATCTCCTTTCTTCCCAGTGAGGTTGAGCATCCTTTCCTGAGTTTCTGTGTCTGCTAGTCTGTGGTTGGTAGCAGGTTCTCTGCTCCTTAGTTCCTGAGTACTTCTGAGCAGACACTTGTGACCTTCCCAGCTTGAGGGGTCTGCACACGCTGGGGTAGGTAATTGACAAAAACTACTTTCCTCTGTGCCTCTGGAGCTGAACTTGGAACTCTCCTGGGTGGGAGAGGCCCTGATCAATGCAAAAATAGGCCCTTAAGTGGATCGGGTGCTCCCTCTAGTGACAGACACAGCAGTAATTAAATGCATTACCCGGGGCCAATCCTGCTTCGCAAATCCCTGAGCACAAGGCAGAGACTTCTTGAGTGCACTAGGAATTTCTTGTAATGACTGTACAACCAACACTGGTGACGCACACCAAGCTTAAACAGAAAAATGCCCAGTGCTGGGGAGGGTGGGAGCACACGGACATTTTCACATACATGGACTTGGCACAGGCCCTCTGAGTCGTAGTTGGCATTGTCTAGCAAAAGTCTTCAAAATACACCTGCCACTCATCTCCTGAGAGCTCATCCTAAAGAAAATGGAGGGAGTGGCCGGGCGCGGTGGCTCACACCTGTAATCCCAGCACTGTGGGAGGCCAAGGCGGGTTGAGGGAGTGGCCAGGCGCGGTGGCTCACACCTGTAATCTCAGCACTTCGGGAGGCCAAGGTGGATTGAGGGAGTGGCCAGGCGCGGTGGCTCACACCTGTAATCCCAGCACTTCGGGAGGCCAAGGCGGGCAGATCACAAGGTCAGGGGATTGAGAGCAGCCTGGCCAACATGGCGAAACCCTGTCTCTACCAAAAGTACAAAAATTAGCTGGATGTGGTGGCAGTGCCTGTAGTCCCAGCTACTTGGGAGGCTGAGGCAGGAGAATCGCTTGAACCAGGGAGTCGGAGGTTGCAGTGAGCCAAGATTGCACCACTGCACTCCAGCCTGGGCGACAGAGCAAGACTCCATCTCAAAAAAAAAAAAAAAAAGAAAAAAGAAAAAAGAAAAAATTAAAGGAATGCACCAAGTGTTGTGCAAAAAGATGTTCCTCAAGTATTGTTTAGAGTAGTAAAAACTAGGGAAAACCCAAACATCTATTGGTAGTGATGGCAGGGGCTGCTGCTATCATGCTGGCTGCAGCAGGGAGGTGCAGCTGGGGCTGCACGTTTCATGGAGCCGGGGGAGCCCCGCCCCTTCTGAGTTGGGGCAGAGCTCCCCAGGTGTCACTGCAGTCACCCAAACTGTGGCTGTGGATCTGAGCCTCCCTGTGCTCTTGGGGGTGAGGGGGGTGGTGCCAGGAACGGGCAGGATCTGTCCTCCTGGGTGCAGCTGCAGCCACCAGACCCGGTACTGCAAATCTGGGCCTCCAGCTCCACAGAGCAGGCAGGAGCTGGGACAAGTGGGAGCCCTGCCCCTTCTGAATTGGTGGGGTGGGAGCTTCTGGGTGCAGTGGCAACTGCCCTCCCAGGCATGGGACTCAAGAGTCTCTGCAGCCTGCACCCTTGGGGGCCCCAGGAAGGGCCCCCCATCCCTTCAGTCTCAGGGGTGCCTGTTCCCACTGCCTGGCTTCTCACCGCTCCTGGCTCCTGCTCCCATCTCAGATCAGTGGTTAGGGCAGAGCCCCGGGGCTGTGAATGGCAGTAGGAGGCCTGGGCAGAAGGGGGCAGTCCTAAGGAGGGCCTGAAGGCTGGGGGCTGGGCTATCAGTCCTGAGGACCAGAGTGGGGACACGCGGTGCCTCTTCTGGGCTGCCCATGGCTACCCATGGACCAATCAGCATGGACTTCCTTCCCTCTGAGGCCCATAAAAGCTCTGGGCTCAGCCAGAGCAGGGCAGGGGACAGCCAGAGAAGGAAGAGGGAGGAGAGAGGATTGGACTACCAGTGGCAGAGAAGAGCTACCTGCAGACTACCTGCTGGCAGAGAGGAGCCACCCCCACCAGGGCCTCCTCTCTGCTAAGAATTGCAGACATTAGGATGACCAGTTGTAGGGAGGAGCTACCCTCTCCAGAACCTCCTGTCTGCTGATAACTGAACACTCAACAGATGACCTGCCTACAGAGAGGAGCTACCCACTGTGGGTCCTCTGAGCGGTTGTAACACTAAATCAAGCTCATCCTTGTCTTCTTCACCCTTCACTTGTCTGCGTACCTCATTCTTCCTGGACTCAGGACAAGAACTCAGGCAAAGGCATCATTGGCAACAGAGGTTTCCAGCGGGGAAGAAAATCTACACCCCAAAGATCCTGTAGCAGTAGGAACTGGGAAAAAATTATGCTGCATCCATACAACAGAATATGCTATAGCCACTGAAAATGAGGGAGGTTTTGTTGTTTTTTGAATCACTGGTGTCTCGAAGAATCTGATGAAAGTACTGGATCCATTTCCCTGAAAAAAGCAAGTACAAATGCTAACGAATACATGTGAGAAGAATAATGAGTTTGGAAAATTATCATCTGAAGATTGCTGTTCAACTTTTGGAGAGTGATATTCAGATGCTTTGAAGACTTCCAATATTCAAACATCGTTGTAATGCCTGATTCAGCCAAGGCCGGGCATGGTGGCTCACACCTGTAATCCTAGCACTTTGGGAGGCTGAAGTGGGCAGATCATGAGGCCAGGAGTTTGAGAGCAGCCTGACTAACATGGTGAAACCCCGTCTCTACTAAAAATACAAAAATTAGCTGGGCATGGTGGCACATAATCCCAGCTACTCGGGAGGCTGAGGCAGGAGAATCGCTTGACTCCGCAAGGTAGAGGTTGCAGTGAGCCGAGATCACACTGCTGTACTCCAGGCTGAATGACAGAGCAAGGCTCCATCTCGAAAAAAAAATAAAAAAAAATTGATTCAGCCAAGAGAATCATCAGTGGAGGCCAAAGCAGCATGTGAAAGTTTGAGGAGAAAAAAGATAACTACATAGCATCAGGCTAAGTGTGGTGGCTCATGCCTGTAATCCAAGCACTTTGGGTAGTTGATACCTTGATCTTGGACTTCCAGCCTCCAGAACTGTGAAGAAATAGACTTCTGTTGTTGGCCAGGTGCAGTGGCTCCCACCTGTAATCCCAGCACTTTGGGAGGCTGAGGCAGGAGGATGGCTTGAGCCCAGGAGTTTAAGACCAGCCTGGGCAACACAATGAGACCCCCATCTCTATTAAAAAAAAAGCTTAAAAATTAGCCAGGCATGTTGGTGTGCACCTGTAATCCCAGCTATTCAGGAGGCTGAGGTGAGAGGATCCCTTGTGCTCAGAAGGCCAAGGCTGCAGTGAGTCTCGTTGGTGCCACTGCACTCCAGCCTTGGTGGAGTGCACTCAGAGCATATGAGCTCTGAGCACATGAACTTCAGGAAGCATGAGAGCATGGGCTTCCTTCAGCCAAAGCGCTGAGACTCTGGCATCCCTTCTGTGGTTTTCCTGTCTCACACATGTAACCCAGATCTAATCATGAGGAAACATCAGATGCGCCTAAATGCAAGGCATATTCTATAAAATGGCCTACCTGGATTCTTTAAAAAATCAGCATTAAAAAAGGCAAAGACTGGGCTGGGCGTGGTGGCTGCCACCTGTAATCCCAGCACTTTGGGAGGCTGAGGCAGGAGGATCACTTGAGCCCAGGAGTTCTAGCCTGGGCAACATAGTGAGACCCCTTCTCTTAAAAAAAACATCTCCTTAATCTCTGCGTGAATTGTGTGCAATAATAAAAAATAAAAATAGAAAAGAAAGACAAAGACTGAGTAACTGTTTCAGAGTGAAGCCACCTCAGCCGGGCGCAGTGGCTCATGCCTGTAATCCCAGCACTTTGGGAGGCCGAGGCGGGCGGATCACAAGGTCAGGAGATCGAGACCATCCTGGCTAACATGGGGAAACCCCGTCTCTACTGAAAATAGAAAAAAATCAGCCAGGCTTGGTGGCGGGCACGTGTAGTCCCAGCTACTTGGAAGGCTGAGGCAGGAGAATGGCGTGAACCCAGGAGGCGGAGCTTGCAGTGAGCTGAGATCGCACCACTGCACTCCAGCCTGGGCAACAGAGCGAGACTCTGTCTCAAAAAAAAAAAAAAAAAAAAGAAGCCACCTCAAGAAGCACAATAGCTGCATGCAACACCCAATCCTGGAGTGTCACAAACTGAAAGCTGCTCTGAAAGACAGTAGCAGGACGCTTGATGCAATTCAAACATGGACTTGGTCAATGCTAAATTCTTGAGTGTGATAATTATGCTGTGGATGTGTAAGAGAGTGGCCTTGTTCTTCAGAATGGCCTCTAGGGGTAAAGGGATGTGATAGGTGCAACTTACTCCCAAATATCTCCAAAAAAAAAAAACACGATTTTTTTCTTTTTTTTAGAAGGTGTCTCGCTCTGTAACCCAGGCTGGAGTGCAATGGCACGATCTCGGCTCACTGCAACTTCCGCCTCCCAGGTTCAAGCGATTCTCCCGCCTCAGCCTCCTGAGTAGCTGGGATTACAGGCACCCACCACCACGCCTGGCTAATTTTTGTATTTTTAGTAGAGACGGGGTTTCACCATGTTAACCGGGATGGTCTTGATCTCCTGACCTCGTGATCTGCCCGCCTCGGCCTCCCAAAATGCTGGGATTACAGGGGTGAGCCACTGCACCTGGCTTTTTTTTTTCTTTCTTTTTTTTGATGGAGTTTTGCTCTTGTTGCCCAGGCTGTGGTGCAATGGCACGATCTTGGCTCACTGCAACCTCTGCCTCCTGGGTTCAAGCAAGTCTCCTGCCTCAGCCTACCGAGTAGCTGGGATTACAGGCGCCTGCCACCACGCCCAGCTAATTTTTTGTATTTTTAGTGGAGACGGGGTTTCATTATGTTGGCCAGGCTGGTCTCAAACTCCTGACCTTAGGTGATCCACCTGCCTCAGCCTCCCAAAGTGCTGGGATTACAGACATGAGCCACCATGTCCGGCATTTTTTTTTTTTTTTTTTTTATGAGACAGGTTCTGGCTTTGTGGCCCAGGCTGGAGTGCAGTGGTGTGATCTTGGCTGACTGCAACCTCTACCTCCTGGGCTCAAGCGATCCTCCCGCCTCAGCCTCCTGAGTAGCTGGAACTACAGGTGCATGCCAGCATGCCCAGCTAATTTTTTGTGTGCATATATATATATATATATTTTGTTGTTGTTGTTGTTGTTTTGTTGTTGTTGTTGTTGTTTTGGTAGAGATGAGGTTTCACCATGTTGCCCAGGCTGATGTCAAACTCCTGAGCTTAAGCAATCCACCCATCTCGGCCTCTCAAAGTGTTGGGATTACAGGTATGAGCCACCGTGCCCAGCCGAGATGAATATTTATATGGAAAGAAAACCATACAATGATGTCATATAATGGTAACAAATGGTGAGTTGGTGAAAATGACACAGAAGTTCTTTGACTTATTCTTGTAACTGTTCTGTACATTTGAAATTATTTCAAAATATAAAGTCAAGAAAAGTGAAATGAAAAAGCATGCACACAACATCTGGCATAGATTTGAGACATTCACAAGCCCACCCTTCAAATGCGGGTTAAGAATAGCTGCTGAGAGGCTGCATTTATTGGCACAGTCGGGTTGCCAGTTGAGCGAGTGTTAGGTGACAAAGGCGAACACTGAAGGCAGAATGCTCATGTCAGATCTTATCCTTGACTTGCCCGCCCTGCACACAGTGGGTGTGGAGCAGATTGCTCTTCTCTTGTTGAACACAAATGAATCCGTTGGCTGGCATGTGGCATCCATGAGGAATGAAAATACATACACTGAAGCACTGGAGTTCCGATTCAGAGTGGGAAGCTAATCACCCTCTGAGGGAGAGGAATGAGACTCCAGTCGCCCATCTCTCTCACGTGTCTTGGCATATGCTTAGTGAGGGGAATGGCAGGCAAAGTCTGCACCATTTGCATTTAAATCTACGCTGTGGGAGGCTGAGGTGGGAGGATCGCTCGAGGTCAGGAGTTCAAGACTAGCCTGGTCAGCATAGCCAGATTCCCATCTCTACATTTATATTTTTTTAAATTCTTTTTTCTTTCTTTTCTGTTAATTAATTAATTAATTAATTTATTTATTTATTAGGCAGAGTCTCACTCTGCCAGCCAGGCTGGAGTGCAGTGGCACGATCTTGGCGATCTCAGCGATCTTGGCTCACTGCAACCTCCTCCTCCTGAGTTCAAGCGATTCTCCTGCTGCAGAATTTAAAAATTCTATTAAAAAAAAAAAGTAGGGCCAGGCATGGTGGCTCATGCCTGTAATCCCAGCACTTTGGGAGGCCGAGGTGGGCAGATTATCTGAGGTCAGGAGTTCGAGACCAGCCTGGCCAATGTGGCGAAACCCCGTCTCTAGTAAAAATACAAAAATTAGCTGGGGGCCTGGTGGTGGGCACCTGTAATCCCAGCTAGTCAGGAGGCTGAGGATCACTTGGGGAATCAAGGCTGCAGTGAGCTGAGATTGCACCACTGCACTCCAGCCTCTGCAATAGAGCAACACCCTGTCTAAAAAACAAAACAAAACAGTAGAGAGTACACTTGCCGATACAAAAATCCAGAAGTGCAAAAGGGCATTTAGAAGTAAAAAGCCCCAGCCATCCAGTTCCCCTCTCCATAAGCAACCCTGTCAGCCAGAATGGGCTATGCTAGGCTGCAGTAACAAGTAGCCCCAAAGCCCTGGTTGTTAAAGCAACAAGAGTTTATTTCTCATTCGTGCTACATGTGCATCTGCGGCTGGTGGAGCCCCTATTTGGCATCATCCTTACTCTGGGGCCCTGGCTGATCTGCCTGGGACTCAGGCCAGCAGAGCAGCTATGACCTGAAATATGCCAGTGCCCATGGAGGAGGGAAAAGACAGAGCATGGGAGAACCACACCCTGTCTCTCACAAGCTTCTGCCTGGAAAGATACTTCTGCCCGCACTTCATAGGCCAAGGCAAGTCGCACGGGCACAGCTAACTTCGGGGGCAGGGAAATAGAATCCTACCATGTGCCCAGGAGGAGAATTGGAAATATTTGGTGCAGCAAATTTATATACAGATTCTGTTCCCCGCTCCTTTTACACAAATGGTAGCATTCATGCACACTATTCTATATCTTGCTTTCTTACTTAACAATAAACCTTGGAGACTATTTCACACTGGGTGATGTGGGCAACATCCAAGGCATCCTCATTCTCTTTTATACAGCTTACTTGCACTATTAAATTTCTGTTTCTCTTTCTATATATACAGTTGGGTGCAGATAAGTTAACTATACTTATGGCATAATGTCCTTCTATTATTAGATGAAAAAAGCAGGGGCCAGGTGCGCTGGCTGATGCCTATAATCCCAGTACTTCGGGAGGCCAAGGCAGGAGAATTACCTGAAGTCAGGAGTTCGAGACCAGCCTGGTGAACGTGATGAAACCTGGTCTCTACTAAAAATTCAAAAATTAGCTGGGCGTGGTGGCGCATGCCTGTAGTTCCAGCTACTCAGGAGGCTGAGGCACGAGAATTGCTTGAACCTGAGAGGCAGAGGTGGCAGTGAGCAGAGATCGCGCCATTGCATTCCAGCCTGGGAGACAGGGTGAGACTTTGTCTCAAAAAAAAAAAAAAAAAAAAAAAAAAAATGGGCCAGGCACGGTGGCTCACGCCTGTAATCCCAGCACTTTGGGAGGCTGAGGCGGGTGGATCACAAGGTCAGGAGTTCGAGACCAGCCTGATCAGTATGGTGAAACCCCATCTCTACTAAAAATACAAAAATTAGCAAGGCATGGTGGTGCGCACCTGTAGTACCAGCTACTAGGGAGGCTGAGGCAGGAGAATTGCTTGAACCTGGGAGGCGGGGGTTGCAGTGAGCCGAGATTGTGCCACTGCACTCCCGCCTGGGTGACAGAGCAAGACTCCATCTCAAAAAACAAAACAAAATAAAAAAAGAAGTAAAAGAAAAAAGAAGTTACAGAGCAGTCTATATATAGGAAGGCTGATTTGTAAAAAAAAAAAAATTGTTTTCATGTGGAAATTTCTAGAAGAAAACATAGCTAATGTAAACAGCATTTGACTCTAAGCAGTGAGAAATCAGGAGATCTCCATTTTGTTATCTCCTTCTCTGGATTTTCTAATTTTTTTTTCCCCTATAACAATCACTGTCATTGTGACAGTGCACTTGGTTGCCAGGAACAGAAGCCAAGAGAGGTTTGTGGGAGAACTGAGGGACTTCCATGGGTTCACTTGTTCCTCAAGAACAAGGACCTTGTTTGTGCCGTTCACTGTATTTTGTTGACTGAATTAGTGAACTGGCATAGCAGAAAATAAAATTCAACCGTGCCCCTTGGAGTCTCAAACTGGGGATGGGTAGTTGCTGCCTCATGGTATTTTTCTACCTCTCTTTTATCTGTGTCTCTCCAGTTCTCTTTCCAGAGTGATGCGCAAACAAACCCTCAGATGCAAGGTGAAAGCCTGAAGCTTAGAGACAAATATTTAGTTGCATCTAGGGAGAATTTTCCTAAAGTTCGTAAAATTGGTACATAGAGGAACCTCCCCTCCTGGCCAGAGTCTGCATCTGAGCACTAAGGTAAGGAGGCAACTCTCGTCAGCACTGTGCAAATGTTTTAATGCACTGGGTGGGAAAGGGAAGCAGGCAGGGAGAATGCTTCCTTTTTGTATTTTTTATTTTTGAGACAAAGTCTTGCTCTGTTGCCCAGGCTGGAATGCAGTGGTGCGATCTCAGCTCACTGCAACCTCTGCCTCCCGGGTTCAAGTGATTCTCCTGCCTCAGCCTCCCGAGTAGCTGGGACTACAGGTGCGCACCACCACATCCAGCTGATTTTTGTGTTTTTAGTAGAGACATGGTTTCACCACATTGGCCAGGCTCGTCTCAAACTCCTGACCTCAAGTAATCCTCCCACCTCAGCCTCCCACAGTGCTGGGATTACAGGCGTGAGCCACCACACCTGGCTATTTTTTACTTTTGAGACAGGGTCTCACTCTGCCCAGGCTGGAGTGTAGTGATGCAGTGATAGCTCACTGTAGCCTTGAACTCCTGACCTCAGGCGATCCACCTGCCTCGGCCTCCCAAAGTGCTGGAATTACAGGCATGAGCCACCACACCTGGCCTATTTTTAAATTTTTAGTAGAGATGAGGCCTTGCTATGTTGCCCAGGCTGGTCTTGAACTCCTGGCCTCAAGCAATCCTCATACCTCAGCCTCCCAAAGTGCTAGGATTATGGTTGTGGGCCACCATGTCCAGTTGGAAAATGCTTCCTAATTGTCATAAAAATGGACACTTCAGTGGACATCACCATGCCATGCCTCCTCTTATGGGTCGAATTATGTCTCTCAAAAAAGACGTTTGAGTCCTAACTACCCAGTCCCTGTGACTGTGACCTTATTTGGAGAGAGGGTCTTTGCAGACGAGCAAGTTAAAATGACGTTATCTGGGAGGCTCCTAATCTAACGTCATCAGTGTCATCATAAAAGGGGGGAGTTTGGGCTGGGTGTGGTGGCTCATGCCTGTAATCCCAGCACTTTGGGAGGCCGCTGAGGGCGGATCACGAGGTCAGGAGTTCAAGACCAGCCTGACCAATATGGTGAATCCCTGTCTCTACTAAAAATACAAAAATTAGCTGGGCGTGGTGGTGCACGCCTGTAGTCCCAGCTACTTGGGAGGCTGAGGCAGGAGACTCGCTTGAACCCGGGAGGCGGAGGTTGCAGTGAGCTGAGATCGTGCCACTGCACTCCAGCCTGAGTGACAGAGAGAGACTCTGTCTCAAAAAAATAAAAAAAAAGTGTGGGGCGGCATTTGGATACAGAGACAGACAGACACAGAGGGAAGACTATGTGAAGACAGGGAGAACCGCAGCTACAAACCAAGGAATGCCTAAGATACCAACCAAGCACCAGGCCTGAGAGAGGCCTGAGCAGATCCCCTCTTGAGAAAGAATAAACCAGCCCTGCCACCTCCTTTTTACCTTTTTTGTTTTTTGAGGCAGAGTCTCACTCTGTTGCCCAGGCTGGAGTGCAGTGGTAGGATTTCGGCTCACTGCAACCTCCGCTTCCCAAGCTCAAGCAATTCTCCTGCTTCAGCCTCCTGGTTAGCTGGAATTACAGGTGCCTGCCACCACATCCGGCTAATTTTTTTTTTTTGTATTTTTAGTCGAGACAGCGTTTCAACATGTTGGCCAGGCTGATCTCAAACTCTTGACCTCAGGTGATCCTCCTGCCTTGGCCTCCCAAAGTGCTGGGATTATAGGCATGAGCCCCTGCACCTGGCCGGCCTGCCACCTCCTTGATCTTGGACTTCCAGCCTCCGGAACTGTGAGCCATGAAGTTTTGCAAAACTAGTACACCCCACCCACACCCCTACGCTTTAATGCTATTCGGCCAAATAATTTGAATATAAGGAGGTGACCTCTAGAATCTACAAACAAATGCTCACATGCTCAGAGGACAGAGGGCTTTGTTAGGACAAAACCCAGAACTTAGAAGCACCTTACAGTGCACCCCCACATCCATCCCCTGACCCCTCAGCTAGGTGGTGGGCCCTGGCCTGGGAACAAATGCTTCAAGCCCAACCTTTGGCAAATTGCCCACCTACTACACCCAGCTACACGTTTGAGGCCAGGGGGCCTCCCCTGTGACCCATAAACGTGGGTGGAAATCCATCCTTTCTCCACAGTAAGCCTTGAGACCTTCGATCAGGAAAATGTCTATTTATTCCAAAAAATACCAAGTCGCAGCTCCTCTGGCTGTCCTCACCAGGGAATTAATTAGGGGAAGGGGCCAGTGTTGGAGAGGGGGTGGAGAGAGGAAGTGATGAGGAGGGAGGCAGAAGCTGTTGGAGGGTCTTCAGGTGTGGAACTATTTATCTTCTCCCTGTGAAGTGCCCCCTCCCATGCTCCCCCAACCAGACGGGGAGATGCCTGTGTGTGTGTGCTTGTGTATGCATGGGTTTGTGTGCATTTGCATTTGTTGGGGCATGGGGAAGTCTCAGATGACGAGGTCCCAGCTCAAGACATGTGGAGGGGAATTGTCAGTACACACCTGCTCCCACCCCTCAAGACCTCTCTCCTCTATGGCTTATTTGAGATCAAATCAAGGCCCCAGGGTCAGGCAGCCTGTGCCAACTGAATAGGGACAGGGCTAGGGGTGGGATCCCTGGAATCCAGGCTGGGCTAGAGCTAGTGGAGGGGGGATAAAAAAGCTGAAAGGCCCAGACCCCCAAATCCCGGCAGCTGGAGAAAGCTGAGTGTTCCGCGGAGGTGTTGAGCAGAGGGGAGGGGGCTGGGAGGGGGTGGGTGCTCAAGCTGGCTCCTTTCTGGGGAAGTCACAGTTGGCCTGAGCAGTGCGGGGCTGGGGAGGCCCTGGAAGGGATGGGAGGAGCCCCTCAGAGCAGCTAGAAGCCGTGGGGTTGAAAAACTGGCACCAGGGCCCAGGTGGATTTGGGTAACCCCCATTTCCTCAGTGTGGTGGGAACCAAGGGCCAGTTGTCTGCCCCAAGCTCCTGACAAGAAGGAGTGTGAGGTGCCAGTGTTTGCGGGGAGACATAAGAGGGAGGGGGACGGCCCAGGGGAGGAAGAAGAGGCCCCCCCCACCTCGCCCTAGGGGCTGGGGGAGGGGCGTGTAGCCCTTTAAGAGTGGGGGAATGGCCGCCCCCGCAACATGGCTATGTACAAAGAGAATTGAGGGAAGATTGTGCATTGGGTGCTGGGGACTTCCTGCCACCCCCGGAGGCTCCCCGGGTGTTAAGGTGTTAGGGAGGGAGGTGAAGGAGCACCCCTGGTCCCGCAGATGTGCTGGCAGGGACCATTGCTCTCCAGTGTCCCTGCTGCAGGATGAGGCCAGCAGAAGACAGCACTGAAGGCCCCAGTCGGTCACCAGCTTTGACCTATCCCGCGGGGGTCAGGGATCTCTGAGGAGAATTTGGCCGGGGCCAGTGGAGTGCTGATCCTGGTAGGGGCCCAAGTGACAGGGATTGGGCAGGGGGCAGTGGCGTCACCTGAGGGTTGAAATGCTTCCTCTCTGGTGATAATGAGAGGTTGCTGGGTTGACCCTGTCACCAATCAGATGGCTGGGTGAGGGACAGCGCTGCTGTCAGGAGGGGCCTGGGTGCCTCACCGGGGGGTAAGGTGAGGTTGGCTGAGGCCACATCTGTGGTGGGATTGATGCAGGCATCATCCTCGGTCAGGAGTGAGGCAGTGACATAAGGAGGGCCAGAGTAGGGGTGAAGTCTTCAGAGGGGGACAGCTGGCCCCACCCCTGTCCTTTTAGTGGAAACGGGAATATGGCCTGTTGTGCTGGTTCCCCTTAAGTGAACAACTGTAAGTACCATGCGGCCCCAGAGGACAACTGAAATACAGCCCGTCACGGTACTTGGCTCCTAAGATGATGGCTCTTGGGGGATGATGGCACATGGTTGCAGTGGACTCTGGGATGACACCAGGGTTATGGTGGATCCTAGTGGGTGGTGACAGCACTGGACCTCATGGATCCTGGGAGATGATAACACCAGGGTCATGGTGGATCCTAATAGATGGTGACAACACTGGACCTCATGGATCCTGGGAGATGATAACACCAGGGTCATGGTGGATCCTAGTAGATGGTGACAACACTGGACCTCATGGATCCTGGGAGATGATGACACCAGGGTTATGGTGGATCCTAGTGGATGGTGACAGCACTGGACCTCATGGATCACGGATGATGACACCAGGGTTATGGCGGATCCTAGTGGATGGTGACAGCACTGGACCTCATGGATCCTGGGAGAAGATGACACCAGGGTTATGGTGGATACTAGTGGATGGTGACAGACAGCACTGGACCTCATGGATCCTGGGAGATGATGACACCAGGGTTATGGTGGATCCTAGTGGATGGTGACAGCACTGGACCTCATGGATCACAGGAGATGATGACACCAGGGTCATGGTGGATCCTAGTGGATGGTGACAGCACTGGACCTCATGGATCACAGGAGATGATGACACCAGGGTTATGGTGGATCCTAGTGGATGGTGACAGCATTGGCTCTCGTGGATCCTGGCAGGTGATAACACCATAGTTGAAGTGGATACTGGGAGGTAGTGGCACATGTTTGAATGAAATCCTGGGAGGTGGTGGCACATGGTTGAAGTGGATCCCTGGAGATGATGACACCATGCATCCCTGCAAATGATGATGACACTATTGGGCATCATGGGTCTTGGGAGGTGATGACACCAAAATCATGAGGGATTATGGGAAATGGTGGAATCATCAGTCCTAGTGGATTTCAGTAGAGGATGTCTCTGTCAGGTGTAGTGGATTCTGGAAGGTAATGTCATCACTGGTCATGGTGGAATCTAGGAGATGATGACACCGTCAGCTGTGGTGGCTCCTGAAAGATGATGACACCATGGTTGTGAGGAATCATGGAGGATGGTGACACCATTGGCTATGGGGAGTCTTGGCAGATGGTGACACCATTAGTCATGGTAAATCCTGGAAGAAGATGATACCATAGTTGTGGGTCATAGGTAATCCTGGGGAAGGATTCCATCCTCAGACATGGGTAACACTTGACCCCGGGTGTGGTGCCATCATGAGTGGCGGGTGTTGTGTGATGCTGACAGTGTCAGTGAGGGCAAGAGTAGGTGTACCCCAAGCACCTCCCCCCAGTAGAAGGCTAGGACTTTGTTGACAGAGGTGATTGTCTCTAGATATGGCAGAAAGAAAAGTGAGGCCAGGCTATGGGACACCTATGAGTGCCAGAACTCCAGGATCCTGGTGATCCAGAGTGGCCTCCTGGGAGCAGAAGGCCATCTGGAGGTCCTGTCTCCCAGGAGTCATGGCACAGATGTGGGATCCAAGGCCCCATTTCCCCTCAGAGGGTCTGGCAGAGATCCTGCTGGACATGTCCCTGGAGTCTGGGGAGGGAGCAACCAAGCTAAGTCATGGTGGGACAAGGCAGTAACTCTGGTGACACCACCAATACCGATGGCCTTCCAGAGTGGGCAGTGCCTCTGAGGAGGAAGCTCTGGTGATGCCATCACAGCATTGGGGGTAGGGGTGTCACTGCCAACAGCCTACACAGACCATCATCTCTGGAGGAGGCCCTCCACATGGGCGGCTCCCCAGCGATGCTTCCTTCAGACAACATCTCAGGACAGGGCCCCTCTCTGCTCTCTGGCATCTTCCCTGGGGTGGTCCTGGACTCTGGGCCTGCCCTGCCTTCTACAACATGGTGGCAGCAGTGGAGGCATCTCTTTGTGCCATCTCAGAGCACATAGCATCTGGGCGACATCACAGAAGGGACCTCCTCCTGGAGAGGTCCCAGAGTGGGTGGTCATCTCTGGTGATGACATCACAGGAAGAGGCACGGTCCCTCTGATGACGTCATAGGGCAAGGCACCTTCTCTGGTGATGGCATCACAGGAAGGAGGCAGGGTCCCTGTGATGATGTTGTGAAAAGGGGACCTTATGTCTAGTGAGGACACAATCGGTGAGGCATTTTCCCCTGCGACGTGTCCCAGGAAGATGGCTTTGTCTGTAATGATGACATCATAGGACAGAGGCATCTTCTCTGCTGCAAAGACACAGGGAGAAAATATCTTCCCCATGGCGATGATGCCAAAAGAGGCCTTGGAGTTAGAGATGACATCATCCAGGTGAGATTGTCTCTGCAGTGACACCACAGGAAGGAATGTCATGGAACAAGGCGTCGTCTCTGTTATTATACCACAAGAAGGAAGCCTCTGAGGACACCATAGAACATGGACATGGCCTCCAGCGCTGACCTCACGGGCCGGCCTCTTCCTCTGTGATGACCTCATGGGAACGAGGCTTTGTCCCTGTGATGACATCACAGAACACAGACATTTTTGCTAGTGATGACCTCATGAGCCGGCCTCTTCCTCTGGGATGACATCATGGGAAGGAGGCCTTGGCTCAAGCAGTGAAGTAATAGGAGGAGGAATCTTGTCTGCCAGGACATCCCAGAAGGAGGCTTTCACTCCTGTCCAAGGGCCGATCTGGGCCCCAGGCCCCTGGCATGTGTGCGCCTGTGTCGGGGGATCCAGGCTGGGACGGGGGGCCCGGGAGGCCGCAGCCCCCCAGACCCGGCCCTGGCCTCAGACAGTCACCTCGTTCTTGCTGGCCGTGCGCAGGTGCTGGGGCAGGTGGTGGCCCGGGATGAACTGCAGCTGCTCCAGCGTGCCCTGGCGCTGGAAGGGCGGCCTGCGGGCCAGTGTGCCCCCGCCCCCGCCGGCGTCGGACATCCAGGCCGGCTGCGGCGAGCCGTGCAGGGCGTGGTGGTGGTGGGCGTGCAGGCTGGACGGTGGCGGCAGCCCGCGCAGCGGTGTTGGGGGCCCCCCGGGCCCCAGCAGCAGGTTGGAGTGCGAGGCGGCCAGGCTGGCCCGGGCGGTGGGGTCGGGGGGCAGCGCGGGGCTGCGCGGGGGCGACAGCAGGTGCTCGCGACTCTGGCGCAGGGCCTCGGGCGAGGACAGCAGCAGGTGCTCCTGCGACACCAGGCGCGCGCGCGGCAGCGTGAACTCGTAGCGCGAACGGCCACCATCGCCCAGCAGGTGCTCCTGGGACATGACCCGCCGGGGGTTGGGCGCGGGCGCCAGGCCCAGCTCCTCTGGGCCGCCCCAGGCCTCCATGCGATAGCCGCCCCCCGTGCCCGGCCGCCGCAGCGCGTGCAGGGGCAGCGTGCCGCGGGGCAATTCCAGGGGCCGGCGCTTCAGGTAGGCCTCGTCCAGATCCTTCTCGGCTGCGGGGAGAGGGGGAAAAGCCACAGCCGTGGGTCCCCTGCGCATCTAGAGCCCTCCCCCTCCCACCTCGTCACATCCCGCTCCTATGCTCCTTGTGCCCCCACAAGGATCCTGGGCATCAGGCTAGCTGTGAGGCCAAAATGCAGATTCCCAGGCCCAGCCCACAATGCTGGGTCAGTAGATGTGGAGGACTTCCTCTTCTTCCCCCCCGCGCCGCCTATCCCTTCTTTTGGGAGTAGAACCCAACTCTTGCTTTTGGGGAACCACTGACCCCCTCTCATCCTGTAGCAATGTGATTCACACTTGGAGTTGTGACCTGTTAGGTTGTGAAGTTGATTTTGCGGGTAGTGAGCAGCATTTTGAAAAATGAAATCAAATAGAACAGAAGAGAAAACTATCAGAAAGTGTTTATGTAATAAGGGAATCAGGGGTAAGTGTTGGTTCATAAAATTCTTACTGCAGACGCGTGTGTGTGTGTGTGGTGGGTGTGTGGTGTATATGTGGTGTGTGTGTGGTGTGTGTGTGTGGTGTGTGGTGTGTGTGCGTGTGTGGTGTATATGTGGTGTGTGTGTGTGGTGTGTATGTGGGTGTGTGGTTTGTGTGTGGTGTGTGTGGTGTGTGTGTATGGTGTGTGTGTGGTGTGTGTGTGTGGGTGTGTGGTTGTGTGGTGTGTGTGTATGGTGTGTGTGTGGTGTATATGTGGTGTGTATGTGGTGTGTGTGTGGTTGTGTGGTGTGTGTGTGGTTGTGTGTGTATGGTGTGTGTGGTGTGTGTGTATGGTGTGTGTGTGGTGTGTGTGTGGTGTGGGTGTGTGGTATGGCGTGTGTGTGTGGTGTGTGTGGTTGTGTGTATGGTGTGTGTGGTGTGTGTGTATGGTGTGTGGTGTGTGTGTATGGTGCGTGTGTGTGGTGTGGGTGTGTGGTTGTGTGGTGTGTGTGGTGTATATGTGGTGTGTGTGGTGTGTGTGGTGTGTGGTGTGTGTATGGTGTGTGTGGTGTGTGTGTGCGTGTGTGCATGGTGTGTATGTGTGTGTGGTGTGTGGTGTGTGTGTGCGTGTGTGTATATGTGGTGTGTGTGGTGTGTGTGTATATGTGGTGTGTGTGGTGTGTGTGTATATGTGGTGTGTGTGTATATGTGGTGTGTGTATGGTGTGTGGTGTGTGGGTGTGTGTGGTGTGTGTGGATGGTGTGTATGGTGTGTGTGTGGTGTATATGTGGTGTGTGTGTGGGTGTGTGGCTGTGTGGTGTGTGTGTGGTGTGTGTGTAGTGTGTATGGTGTGTGTGGTGTGTGTGGTGTGTGTGTATGGTGTGTGTGTGGTGTGTGTGGTGTGTGTGGTGTATGTGTATGGTGTGTGTGTGTGGTGTGTGTGTATGGTGTGTGTGGTTGTGTGGTGTGTATGTGTGTGTGGTGTGTGTATGGTGTGTGTGTATGTGTGTGTGCGTGTGTGCGTGTGTGTGGTGTGTATGTGTGTGCGTGTGTGCGTGTGTGTATATGTGGTGTGTGTGTATATGTGGTGTGTGTGTGGGTGTGTGTGGTGTGTGTGTATGGTGTGTATGGTGTGTGTGTGGTGTGTGTGTGGTGTATATGTGGTGTGTGTGTGTGGGTGTGTGTTGTGTGTGTGTGTGTGTGATTGAAATATTAAAGGATGAGATTTAGTTTAAAAGAATCCATCAAGGTCAGATGAGGTGGCTCACTCCTGTAATCCCAGCACTTTGGGTGATTGAACAGGAGGGTCCCTTGAGCCCAGGAGTTCAAGACCGACCTGGGCAATATAGTGAGACTCCATCTCTACAAAAAAAAAAAAAAAAAAAAAAAAATTAGCTAAGCATGGTGGCTCATGCTTATAGTCCCAGTTACTCGGGAGGCTGACGTCGGAGGATTGCTTGAGTCCAGAAAGTTGAGCCTGCAGTGAGCCATGATTACACCACTGCACTCCAGCCTGGGCAAAAGAGTGAGACCTTGTCTCGTTAAAAAAAAAAAAAAGGATCCACCAAAAAGTGGGGTGGAGGGAGGATAGATTAACAAAATGTGGCTAATTATTAAGGCTGAGTGATGGGAACATGGGACTCATTTTATAATTTTCTCTACTCGCATGTATGTTTGCAAATGTCCGTAATAAAAAGTTTCAAAGATTTCCTGTAATTAAAAATATACACATGTGTGTGTGTGTGTGTGTCTCACGGGTCACAATATGAAAATCGTTTCTGGGCCGAGCACGGTGGCTCACACCTGTAATCCCAGCACTTTGGGAGGCCGAGGCAGGTGAGTCATCTGAGGTCAGGAGTTCGAGACCAGCCTGACCAACATGGTGAAACCCCGTCTCTATTAAAAATACAAAAATTAGCCAGGAGTGGTGGCATGTGCCTGTAATCCCAGCTACTCTGGAGACTGAGGCAGGAGAATCGCTTGAGCCCAGGAGGCAGAGGTTGCAGTGAGCCGAGATGGTGCCATTGCACTCCAGCCTGGGCAACAACAGTGAAACTCTGTCTCAAAAAAACAAAAAACAAAATGAAACAAAACAAAAAACGCCGGGCATAGTGGCTCACGCCTTAATCCCAGCACTTTGGGAGGCCGATGTGGGTGGATCACAAGGTCAGGAGTTTGAGACCAGCCTCACCAACATGGTGAAACCCCGTCTCTACTAAAAATACAAAAATTAGCCAGGTGTGGTGGCATGCGCCTGTAATCCCAGCTACTCAGGGGGCTAAGGCAGGAGAATCACTTGAACTCGGCAGGCGGAGATTGCAGTGAGCCAAGATCATGCCACTGCTCTCCAGCCTGAGCGACAAGAGTGAGACTCTGTCTCAAAAAAAAAAAAAAAAAGTTTCTGGCTGGGTATGGTGGGTCACTCCTGTAATCTCAGCACTTTGAGAGGACGAGGTGGGTGGCTTTCTTGAGCCCAGGAGTTTGAGGCCAGCCTGGGCAACACAGTGAAACCCCGTCTCTACAAAAAATACAAAAATTAGCCAGGCATGGCAGCACGAGCTCTTAGTTCCAGCTAGCCAGGAGGCTGACGTGGGAGGATCATGCTTGAGCCTGGGGAGGTAGAGGCTGCAGTGAATGATGATCATGCCACTACATCCCAGCCTGGGTGACAGAGTGAGACCCTGTCTTGAAAACATAGTGGTAATAAAGAAGAAAAAGTGTTTCCTAGTGAAGCTCTCAGTTTAAGATGTTTGAAGGCTGCTCCACTGTCAGCAATGGGCCACGGACTGCAGAATGTCCAATGAGAGTCACAGGAATGGGTTCAGGGATGGGCATGTGACCCAGCTTGCACCAATGGCATCCAGGCCTGGGATTTTTTGCCGGAATTGTTGGGAGAGACTCTTTTCTGCCAGGGTCCCTGAGCTGGTAGAACGGCAGCCTGAACATCTGCAGGGTGGTCGTTGCCACCACGAGGGGAGACTCTCTGAAAATGAGGCCCGCCGGTGGCGTAGAGAGCTAAGAGACAGCTCTTGAGCCCCCAAAACAGCCACATCGCAATCTGGTGACCTGTAGATTTTCCATGATCAAGTCAACATGTTTTTTTCCTTTAGCTGAAGTAGTATTTCTATTAATTGCAAGTCCAAGTCCTGATGAACACCATAATATGTCCTGGGAGGGGAGACCAGAAGGTTGCATTAAAAAAAAATCAGAAGTGATTCTGATACAAAAGTACCACAGGTAATTCCAGAACGAACTTGGAGTAAAACCTGGGAGAGAAGCTAAACCATTGGAAGGCTCTTGGGCCACTGTCCACGGTCCTGAACCCAGGCTCTGGCCCCGCCCCCTCCCCTTCACCGCCGCGCTGCCCTTGCCAGGACTCACCCAGCCTCTTGAGGGAAGAGTAGCGGTTCAGCTCGGATTTCACGGCAGCCTCGTAGGACGGGGGCAGATGCGAGAGGTTGTGGAAGGACCGAGAGCAGGACAGCGTGGAGTAGTGCAAGGAGGGGCTGGGCGGCGGCAAGGCTCGCCAGTCTGGGTTAGAGGGGGCAGGGCCAGGGTCAGTCAGCTTCCTCCCTCAGACCCAGGAGTCCAGGCCCCCAGCCCCTGCTCCATCAGACCCAGGAGTCCAGAAACCCAGCCCCTCTTCCTTCAGACCCAGGAGTGCAGGCCCCCAGCCCCTCCACCTCAGACCCAGGAATTCAGGCCTCAGCCCCGCCTCCCTCAGACCCAGGAGTCCAGGCCCCCAGCCCCTCCTCCCTCAGACCCAGGCGTCCAGGCCTGCAGCCCCTCCTCCCTCAGACCCAGGCGTCCAGGCCCCCAGCCCCTCCTCCCTCAGACCCAGGCGTCCAGGCCCCCAGCCCCTCCTCCCTCAGACCCAGGATCCAGGCTCAGCCCTCCTCCCTCAGACCCAGGCGTCCAGGCCCCCAGCCCCTCCTCCCTCAGACCCAGCAGTTCTTTGGGGAGTTAGAAATCTGAGATTGTAGCCCATCAGTTCCAGCAGTTCAGGCTCCCTCTTCTCACCCCAGCCCCTCTGCTCAGGAGACGGGCTTGATGCTGGGGAAGAGGGCCCCAAGAGGGGGGTACTGGGCATTTGTCAGCACCCACTGAGTGCCTGGCCCCAGGCTCCATCAACAATGTGGGAGAGAGATGACCACTTTTGGCATCCACACGAGGAAACAGGCTCACTTGGTGACCTGGCCAGACCATGAGCGCCATGAGGACTGGGCTCACAGGGGTCTCACTCCTGCTCTATACTGGGCACCTGGCATGGCTGGCCCAACACAAAGGGGGAAGGGAAGGAGGCCTGCTCTTTTCCGCAGCCGGGCCCTCTTCCGCACCCAGTGTGGCGGCGTGGTGCTTGGGGCTGTTGACGTTGAGGTGCAGGTAGCTGTGGTGCAGATTATCTGGGGGGACCGAGAAGGGAGATGATGTCACTGCCATCACTGACTCCCAGCTGGCACCGTGGCCCTGATCTCTGGGAAGGACTCTGGCCCCAAGGTCGGCCCCACATGCAGGACCTCGTTAGAGCTCCACAGATCAACCCATGCCATTGGCCACATGGGGGAAACTGAGGCTGGGGGTCTTGAAGGTGGAAAGTGTGGGCACAGGCTCAGGGCTGGGTAAGTGGTCTGTCCCAAGTTCTTAGCACCCCCCCCCCTGGTGCCCAGGCTAGAGATCTGAGGGGGTCGCCTTGCTACCTCCCTCCACCTCCCACTCATGTCCACTTGGTTCCTTCTGACATCTGAATCTCTGCCCTGATGTGTCCTCTCCCTCCTGGATCACCAAAGCAGCCTCTGGCCATCCAGCCCATCCATCTCCATGATCAGCCTCACCGAGGTAACTGCCCTTCCACTGCTCAACAGCCTTCCCATTGGCTCACCATCACCCACGGGACAAAGTTGAACCCAGGAATGGTGTTTGAGGCTTCAAAACCTGGACCCACTGGATGTCTGCAGCCCCATCTCCCATCCCTTCCCTCAAGCCGCACTGCTCTCTCCAGTGAGCCCAGCGTGGTCCTGCCACAGGGCCTTTGCACATGCCACCATGCTGTTCTCACTGCCTTGAAGCCCTTCTTCCCATCTGCCTCAAGATCCAGCTCAGATGTCTCTTCTCCTCTCCACCCCTGATCCCAGCTCCGTCCTTGTCCTCTTGCTGCCTGGACCATCATCCCAGCCTCCTCCTGGGCCTCTTTCCTCTCATCTCTGCCCTTTGCATGGGTTCCAGAGGACCGGTTCTACCACCCACTGCTGGCTGTGTTGCTCCTCTGCTGGAACTCCTCCGCAGCTCTCCATCACCCTCAGGACGGAGGCGGAGTTCCTCAGCCCAGCCTGGCGCTCAAGGCCCTCTCTGAGGTCACCAACCACCCTCTCCCTGGCCTCAAGTCTGGTCACCTCACAAGCTCTGCCACCTGGAGCTTCCCAGCCCCAGTAACTCCTCTCCTCCTCCAGGCCTTTGCTCAAATACCTCTCCCTCGGAGAAGCCCTTCTGACGCCTCTCCTCCTCCAGGCCTTTGCTCAAATACCTCTCCCTCGGAGAAGCCCTTCTAATGCCTCTCCTCCTCCAGGCCTTTGCTCAAATACCTCTCCCTTGGAGAAGCCCTTCTAACGCCTCTCCTCCTCCAGGCCTTTGCTCAAATACCTCCCCCTCGGAGAAGCCCTTCTGCCCCCAAACCAGACCACATCTTCTCAGTTCCCCTGACAGCTCCTTGGACCTCTCCACTGATGCATTCATCATAAATTATAATAATATAGATCATATTTAAATGATATACAATATTAAATATGATATATCATATTTTAAATATATAATTATATATATTTAACAATAGCAACAGCCCACACTTACATAGTATTTTTTTCTGTGTTACACATTATTCTAATCACCTGCCTCACCAATTCATTTGCTCTTCACCATAACCCCATGAAGTGAGTATTGTTATGTTTCTTATTTTATGGATGGAGAAACTGAGGCCCACAGAGGTGAGGTCACTTGCCCCAGGTCACACAATGGCAGAGTCAGGATTCAAACCCAGTCGGTCTGGCTCCTGACAAATTCGAATTTGGTAGTTGTGCCCTTGTGTGTAGTTGGCTGTTAGGTGGTCTGACACCGAGCGCAGGGGCTTGAGAATGTCTAAACCTACATCACCAAGGTGCCCATGGAGCCCCACCCAGGGGGGTCCACAGGAGGGCAAGGAGAGGGTCTGGCTCTCTACGGAGTTCCTAGCCCCCGTCCGCCTTTCGCAGGGCAGGACCCGGCAGTGCAAGGCGGGCGTAGGGGGTGAGGGCGGGTCCTGGGCGATGGGGGTGGAGCCGCCATGGAGGGCGGGGCTACATGATGAAGGGGCGTGGCCAGAGACGGAGGCTGCGCCGGATCCCACGTTCCACTCACCGAGGTTGGGGGTCTTCACGGTGTTGTAGAGGTTCTTGGGCGTCCTGGGGGGCATGCTGTCGGGACCGCCGATCCCCGGGGTCAGGGAGCTGCTTCGGGCCCGGTCCGGGCGGGTCCCAGGCCCCGCCTGATGTCTCAGAATGTCCACCAGAGCTCTAAAGGTGGCAGAGAGGTGGTCAAAGGCCTGGGGGCTGAGGGTGGCAGGGGTACCAGGAAGGCTTCTTTCCGCTCCCTGCTCTCGCCCTTGGGTAATCTGTCACTCAGCCTGCCTTTTTCGCCATTGGCCACGCCCCTTTCTCGTTGGCCACGCCCCCTAGAATGACCCCCTTTCTCAGGCCACACTTCCTGCTTGAAGCGCTGCTGCCTTAACTCGTGTGGAAGCCATCGCTTCTGTGGTCCCTCTCACTTCCCTGTGGGCTCGCCCCACCCTGAATCTGGGACCCCATTCCCGTTCCTTTTGCAGCCTTCCCCATGGCAACAAAGGGTGCTCCATTTACCCAGTGATGCGGACCTCAAACATTAAATCACCTTGACTCTTCTTTCCCCCACCTTCATACCTTTCAGCAATCCTACGGATCGAACCTCCAAAACATATCCCAAATCAGACCACTACTCACCACCTCTGCAATCTCTCACCTGGATCATTGCAACAGCCCCCTCACGGGTCTCCCCACTCCCACCCTAGCCCCGTACACTCCAGTCTCACGCGCAGCCCGCATAATTTAAAAAATGGACAGATGGCATCACGCCCGAGCTCAGGACCCTGCAGTGGCCCCATCACACTTAGGATAAACCCGGGCCCGCCTACTTCTCCTCACCTCCTGCTGCCCACCGCCGCCAGCTGCACGGGCGCTTCCCTGCCCTGCAGGCCACCGAGGGCCTTTGCACGCGGTTCCCCTGCCCAAAACCTCTCGCCCACAGATCTCTGCGTGGTTCGCTCCCTCCCTTCGGGTCTCCGTTCAGAGGCCTTTTCGGATCACTTCCTCTAATCCAGCGCCCTCTCTCTCAACACTTTCCGCTGATTTTCTTCACAGCAGTCATCTAAAATTACACTGCACATGCTTACGGACTGGGCCACTGATAGTTAATGAGCCCTTACCGTGTGCCAGGACCCTGCACGAATCAACTCAGTTAATTACAATCCGAATAGGTGGGGACGATGATTAGTCTCATTGTGCGGACAGGAAACTGAGGAACAGAGACGTTAAGCAACTCATCCACTGTCACATAGCCTGTAGGCTGTGAACTTGGATTTGGAAGTCAGGCTTTTCCACCAGGGCAGAGACCTTGTTTTGTTCACTGGTGTATCCCCAGCTCCTGGCCCACAGAAGGTGCTCAAGAAATATGTGTCGAATGAATGAGAGTCTGGGCTTCTCCCTCTCCCTGCATCACTCCGCAACAGCCGGGCCGGCTCTGGCGCGACTTTCTCAGCCCCTGCCCACCTTCAGCTACGCCGGCGGCCGCCACCTGGGTCTCTGACCACCACGCCCTATCCCTGCAGCCCCTCCTCCTCGGATGGCTCCACCTCCCTTGCTGGGCCCCGCCCCAGGCTCGCAGTCCTCCCGCCCGAGAGCACACGCACCTGGGCACGTTGATATCCCGGTGCGCCCGGGGCGCACGGGACGCCTTGCTGAAGGCCACTTTGGCGCCGACGCCCACGGCCAGGGCGAAGCTGATGACCCCGCACACGACGTAGGCTGTGCTGCCCCCGGGGCCCTCGCCCCCGCGGCCCCCGGCACCCCCAGTCCGGCCCCCTTCCAACCACCCGGCCTGGCCGGGCCCTGGCCCCCCGCCCGCACCCCCAGCGCCCCCGGCGCCCCCAGCTAGCGGCGGCGGCGTGGTGGCCCAGCGCGGCGTGTCGTAGTTGGAGCAGGAGGCCTGCGCCAGGCGCATGTGACGGTGCTCACAGCAGAAGCGGTAGTGGCAGGTGCCACAGCAGAAGCGGTAGGAGCCGGTGCTGCAGTTGAAGGTGGCGTCGTACTGGCCCATGACATCGTAGTAGCCGTGGCAGAGCTCGGCGGGAGGGGGCGCCCGGGCCGCCGCGCCCGCCCCGCCCGCGGGGCCGGTCCTGGTGCCGTTGGCGCCTGGGCTCGCCGCGCCCCCGCCGCCCGTCAGCGCCCCGGTCAGGCGCCGCAGGTGCGCCAGCAGGGCGGGCAGCGGGCCCGCGGGCTCGGCGCTCGTGGCGTTGGACGGGCGCGCCCTGGCCTGGCCGGCGCTAGAGGCCAGGAGTACGAGGAGCAGGAGGGCCGGCATGGGGCTTGCAGGGGGTCGCACTGGGCCGCCAGGCTGCGGGGAGAACGAGAGCAGAGGTTGGAGCGCTGGGCGGGAGAGAAACGGTCAGAGGGTGAGAAACGTAGAGATGGGTGGGCAGAGAGGCTGGGGAGGGCGGGCGGGGGGCGGCAGAGTGTGGGGAGCAACAGGCGCCAGGAGGCAGGAAGGGCGGAGGGAGCTGAGCTGCGTGGGCCCAAGTTGGCCGCCCCACGCGCGGTGGGCGACGATGGGAGAGTAATGGAAACGCGCCCGGGCACGGCTGGGGGAGAGAAATGAGCATGGGCGGACAGAACCGGGATCAGGCGAGAGATGAATGCGGGAGAAGCGATTGGGAGGGTCGACAGACACCAGAGGGGTGTGCAGACATTAGGACGAGGAGCGAGGCGAGGCGCGATGTAAGGAGAAGAAACGGGGGCGGCGAAGAGGAGAGGGCAGGGGAGGCAGCTGGAGGGAGGCGCGCGAAGGGGAGGGGAGGGTGGCGAGGGGAGTGGGGACCGCGGAGGGAGGGAAGGAAGCGAGACAGATGAGGGGTGGGTGGGAAAGGAGGAGTCAGGGAGACGGGGAAGGAGGGAGAAAAGAAGGGGAGGAGGAGGAGGGGGAGGAGAGGGAGGGAGGAGGAGAGAGAGAAGTTGAGAATTTGAGTTTATAGACCAGGCAAGTGGGAAGAGGCAGTGCACGGTTTTTCAACACTGACATTCGGGGACCGATGCTGCTTTGTGGTGAGCGCCTGTCCTGAGCGCTGTAGGATGTTTAGCAGCGCCCTCTCCATGCCAGCAGCACCACATTCCCCCGAGTTGTGACAATGTAAGATGTTTCCAGGCATTGCCAAATGTTCCCCTGGTGGGAGGAGGCCACAGCTGCCCCCGTGGAGAACCACTGACTTACACCCCTATGGTCCTCAGTGCCCCGAAATGCCAATTTCTCTCCCTTAGTTAGATCTGATAATCAAGGGATCTTAGGTGCCCTCCCTCCCTCCCTCTCTCTCCCTCTCTCTCTCTCTCTCCCTGGCATGCACACGCACACACACACCACTGTTACGGCGTCGGGTTTGAAGGGTCTCTGTCCACAGCTGAACCACAACCACAGCAGGGTGGTTCCCCTGCCGACTGGACCTCCTGCCAGCTGCCTGACACTGACAGGCTCTTATCTAAGCTCCCTGTGCCCCAAGTCCCCCATCTGTAAAATGGGGATAAGGATGGTTATCTCTGAGTGGTCAGGAGGATGAACTGAGGGAATATGTGTAAAGAGCTTAGAACAGTGCCTGGCATATTGCAGGTGAAATATGAAAGTGTTTGCTGCTGCTGCTATTTCAGAAGGGAGATACAGGCTGAGAAAGGGTCGTCCGGGTGCGGCGGCTCACGCCTGTAAATCCCAGCACTCTGGGAGGCCAAGGTGGGCAAATTGCTCAAGCAGGAGACCAGCCAGCCTCGCCAACACAGCAAAACCGTGTCTTTACAAAAAAAAAAAAAAAAAAAATTAGCCCGGCGTGGTCGTGCGCACCTATAGTCCCAGGTACTCAGGACGCTGAGGTGGGAGGATAACTTGAGTCCCAGAGATCAAGGCTGCTGGGAGCTGTGATTTCACCACCGCACTCCAGCCTGAGTTGACAGAGTGAGACCCTGTCTCAAAAGAGAGAGAAAAGGTGATGCAGAAGAGAGGTGGGAGTTGGTGGTGGTGGTGGTGGGCACGTCTTCCAGCTGTTTCTATGGCAACAGTCCAGCCAAGTCCCAGACACGCCCACCCCCGTGGACCTAGAGGGATGATAGAGGTGGGAAGGATGCCTGGCCTCGGGTTCCGGGAGAAGGAAACGTCTGAGCTCTACCTGCAGGAGGAACCCCCCAGGGGTCTGGGGTGACTGCCCACGGAGTCTTACATTTCCTCTCTGCAAGAACCTGATCTGAACAGCCCCTGCCCTGAGCTAGCTGCCGAGAGGCTGCCATAGAGCTTCCCAGGAGCAGGCATGATGCGCGGGGTGTGCATTCGTTCTGCAAATCTTCATTCAATAAATGTCTCCTGAGCAGCCTCCCTGGGCTGAGGATGCAGCAGTGAGTAAGCCCACAGGGTTCCTGCCTTTACGGGGGTTTACGTGCTAGTGAGGGGGGACAGTCAGCAGATGGACACAAATGAATGGGACACATGTTGACGCCAATTGTGAAGAAATAAAAAGGAATGATGAAGGAAGCCGTGAAGAAATGAAAGCAGCATAAAGGGATGGAGGGGGTGGATGGGATTGAGTCAATAAATATCACTCGGTGTTATTTTCTATTATATGCCACCATCCATCGTGTGTGTGTCTAGGGACCACACCACTGTCAACAACATTGCTGCTGGTGGGGATGGGCAGAGGGTTGGAAGGTGAACCTTCCAGAGCCTCAGTGAGCTCCATCGCCCTCCTGCTTGGGGCCTCACCTTTCCTTTTCAGCTCCAGCTTGGACCCCTCCCCTGACTCGGTGCTAGAATACCCCACTGCCCACTGGACACTTCCTCCTGGGTGTTTAATGGGAGTCTTAGAAGTGGCTTGACCCCACACTGTGGAAGAGAGTTTGGCGGTTCCTTAAAAAGTTAACTAGAATTGGTCCAGGCGCGGTGGCTCACGCCTGTAATCCCAGCACTTTCGGAGGCCAAGGTGGGCGGATCACTTGCGGTCAGCCTGGCCAATATGATCACTTGCAAGACCAGCTTGGCCAATATGACGAAACCCCGTCTCTACTAAAAATACAAAAATAACTAGCCGGGCATGGTGGCGTGCGCCTGTAGTCCCAGCTACTCAGGAGGCTGAAGCAGGAGAATCGCTTGAACTCCGGAAGTGGAGGTTGCAGTGAGCCGAGATTATGTCATTGCACTCACTGTACTCCAGCCTGGGCAACAGAGTGAGACTCCGTCTCAAAAAAAAAAAAAAAAGTTGGCCGGGTGCGGTGGCTCATGCCTGTAATCCCAGCACTTTGGGAAGCTGAGGCGGGTGGATCACGAGGTCAGGAGATCGAGACCATCCTGGCTAACACGGTGAAACCCCGTCTCTACTAAAATTACAAAAAATTAGCCGGGCGTGGTGGCGGGCGCCTGTAGTCCCAGCTACTCGGGAGGCTGAGGCAGAAGAATGGCGTGAACCCCGGAGGTGGAGCTTGCAGTGAGCAGAGATCGTGCCACTGCACTCCAGCCTGGGCTGACAGAGTGAGACGTCGTCTCAAAAAAAAAAAAAAAAAAAAGAAGTTAACTAGGATTACCATGCACTTCCACTCTGCAGTGTCTACCCCAAAGAATTCAAAACATGTGTCCACACAAAACCTTATCCTTGAATGTTCATAACAGCACCTTGCACAACAGCCAAATACTGCAAACAATGCAATCACCCATTATGGAGGAACGGACAAACCAACGACGGCCTACCCATGCCACAGAATATTACTCAACCGTGACAGGTACCAAGGGCTGAGATACAAGCCACAGCATGCACGAACCTTGAAGACATGACGTTCAGTGGAAAAGTCCAGCCATAAATCTCATGTAGTGTATGATTTCATTAATATGAAATATCACAATAGTCAAATCCACAGAGACTGAAAGCCGATTAATAATTGCCCGGAGCTGGGGACAGGAGGATGGGGGGTGACCGCTAAAGGGTGGCCAGGCTTCCTTGTGTGGTGAGGAAAATACCCTGGAACTAAATAGTGGTGATGGCTCCACAACCTGATGGATACGCTAATGCCACCGAATCAAACACTTTGAGAATGGTTAAATGGTGTATTTCCCCACAATTAAAAAGGTAACAGGGACTGGCATGGTTGCTCACGCCTGTAATCCCAGCACTTTGGGAGGCCGAGGCAGGCGGATCACTTGAGGTCAGGAGTTTGAGACCAGCCTGGCAAACATGGTGAAACACTGTCACTACTAAAAGTACAAAAATGAGCCCGGCGCAGTGGCGGGCGCCTTTAATTCCAGCTACTCGGGAAGCTGAGGAAGGAGAATCGCTTGAACCCCGGAGGCTCAGGTTGCAGTGAGCTGAGATCACACCACTGCACTCCAGCCAGGGTGACAGCGTGAGACTCCATCTCAAAAAAAAAAAAAAAAAAAAAAAAAAGGAAACACGTCAAATGGCATCAACCACTCCCCTGTCCGCATTCTGGTTCCCTGTCACACCTGGAATAAAACCCCAACTCTGCCAGTAGCTCCTCTTCTCATCCTTTCCTTTTCCCTTCATACCTTCCAAGTTCATGCTCAAGACGCTCCACCTTCCTGCCTGTGCACGTGCTGTTTCCTTCGTCTGGGAGCCCCTTCCTTTCCACAGATCCTGCTCTGACCTGCCTCCTTTCTCCCTTCCTTCAGGGTGTCCCTAGCATGTCATTTCAGCCAGCCTTCCTGTCCTAGCGGTAACAGCAGCCCCAGACATGCTCCCAATTCCTCACTTGCTTTGCAACTTTCATAGCTGTCATCTCTGCTGGCCACATGTGTGTGTACTGACACACTCATTTCAGATGAGGACGCTGAGGTTCCGAGAGGTCACATCATTTGCCTGAGACCCAAGGTGCCCAAAGAGTGGGGCTGGGCTTTGAACTCAGGTCTCTGAGCACTGTGACCTGTACAGCATGGATGCCTTTTTCCCCCACACAGAGACACATCCCTTCCAGAAGTGGCACATGCATGCAGCACTGCAGATTCCTTCATTCATTGAGGGCTACCATGTAGGGTTGGGCAGGTCGTGCACTGCACAAGGGGGTCTGGCTGAGAGGCTGAAATCCTGCTGGGCTCTGCTTCCCAGGGCGTGTGCCAGTGGGGCTGCATCCATTTGGGGTAAGGAGTGCCCCTTCCAAGCTCACACAAGGGTGCCATCTGCGTGCCAAACCACAGACCTGGGAGAGCGGATTGGGCAAGGTGGGGGGTGCCTTTGTCTCATCTGCACAGAGGCTGCTGTATGGGCTGGCAGTTCTGCTCACTCCGCATTCCGTGCCAAGCCTCCGCCAGGCTCCATGGACACGATTTCTCCCTCTGCTGACAGAGTCCCACTGGCTGCTCCAACTGCACGCACGTGGTGCACACACCCAAGGAGACACAGCTCTAGGCCATTGACAACTCCAGCAGGGGGACAGGGAGGGAGAGCAGGAGCAGTGGCGCACCTCCCCTCAAACTCAGCGATACACGCAGACGCACCACACACAGACCACACATACACACACACACACACCACACACACCACACATACACATACACCACACACTGACCCTCCACACCACACACGCCGCACAGACCACACATACACACACACACCACACACACACCACACACACCACACATACACACACACACCACACACTGACCCTCCACACCACACACACGCCACACAGACCACACATTACACACACACGCCACACACACACACCACACACTGACCCCCCCACACCACACACACGCCACACAGGCCACACATACACACACACACCACCCACAGACCACACAAACACACACACCACACATACACACACCACACACACACACACCACACACACCACACATACACATACACCACACACTGACCCTCCACACCACACACGCCGCAGAGACCACACATACACACACACACCACACACACACACCACACACTGACCCTCCACACCACACACACGCCACACAGACCACACATACACACACACGCCACACACACACACCACACACTGACCCCCCCACAACACACACACGCCACACAGACCACACATACACACACACACCACACACACACACCACACACACCACACATACACATACACCACACACTGACCCTCCACACCACACACGCCGCACAGACAACACATACACACACACCACACACACACACCACACACACACCACACATACACACACACCACACACTGACCCTCCACACCACACACACGCCACACAGACCACACATACACACACACACCACACACACACCACACATACACACACACACCACACACACACACCACACACTGACACACGCACACAGGCCACACATACACACACCACACACACACACACACCACACACCACACACACACACCACACACTGACCCTCCACACCACACACACGCCACACAGACCACACACACACACACACACACCACACACTGACCCCCCCACACCACACACATGCCACACAGGCCACACATACACACACACACACCACACACAGGCCACACAAACACACACCACACACACACACACACACACCACACTGACCCCCCACACCACACACACGCCACACAGACCACACACACACACCACACGCACACACACCACACACAGCTTCTCTACCCCTCCTGGTCAGGGCAGCACCTATAGGTGGGTGGAGAGAGGACGTGCACCTGCAGACACAGCGGCCCCATCCAGACACTGGATGAATTCTTCCCTGACCTCACACAAAGCTGCGCAGAGACACTGCCGAACACGCTGACACAGAGCACAGGGCACCCAGATAGTCCCAGACACAACACGAAAGGACCTGGTGGCACTCCTGTGGCCTCCTCCCGGCACACGGACGCACATACACACCACTCCACGTGGACACACAACACAAACATGGGCTTCTGCACATTTCAACCCCTACACACTGGGACCACTTACAGCTCTGGGACAGGACCAGGGACCTGCCCCACCTGGCTCCACGTGGGCCCGCGACCACACACATCACAGCTCACAGCCACGCAACCTCAGGGGCGCACACACGTGTGCAAATACACCCTCACCAGCAATGGAGAGTGTGGAAGGCGCCATGTGACACCTCCGCCCCACACCCGCCCCCACCTCGGCTCTCACGCACACAACGGCGCTCTCCTCCTCCACAGCTGAGGGGGAAGGGGCCCGGGACCCCAGGCTTCACGTCTGCATCTTGCATGCCCCGCTGAACCCCAGCTCAGGACCTGACAGACACAGATGTGGGGACACAGGTCAGAGAGCCAGCCTGGGCAGGGTCCCTGGGCTTCTGGGAGCTCCTCCCCCACCCCCCACCAGCCCCCTGCCCAGCTCTGTGCTGCACACTCCACCTGCTGCGTCCCCTCCCAACCCTCTTGGCTGGGGGCTGGGGGCCAGGATCCCAGAAGCTCAGAGAAAGGGACAGGGATACTGAAGGGGAAACAGAGGTCCTGGGAGAGGGGACAGAGAGCCAAAGGCAGGGCAGATTGTGTGTGTTTGAGAGAGAAGGGGGTACAGAGACCCAGAGAGAGGGGGACAGAGACCCAGATAGAGGGACAGGGACCCAGAGAGATGGGGGACAGAGACCCAGAGAGAGGGGGACAGAGACCCAGAGACGGGGACAGAGACCCAGAGAGAGGGGACAGAGACTCAGAGAGACAGGGGGACAGGGACCCAGAGAGATGGGGGACAGAGACCCAGAGAGAGGGGGACAGAGACCCAGAGACGGGGACAGAGACCCAGAGAGAGGGGACAGAGACTCAGAGAGACAGGGGGACAGGGACCCAGAGAGATGGGGGACAGAGACCCAGAGAGAGGGGGACAGAGACCCAGAGACGGGGACAGAGACCCAGAGAGAGGGGACAGAGACTCAGAGAGACAGGGGGACAGGGACCCAGAGAGATGGGGGACAGAGACCCAGAGAGAGGGGGACAGAGACCCAGAGACGGGGACAGAGACCCAGAAAGACAGGGGACAGAGACCCAGAGAGAGAGGGGACAGAGACCCAGAGAGAGAGGGGGACAGAGACCCAGAGAGAGAGGGGGACAGAGACCCAGAGAGAGAAGGGGACAGAGACCCAGAGACAGGGGGACAGAGACCCAGAAAGACAGGGGGACAGAGACTCAGAGAGAGAGGGAACAGAGACCCAGAGAGAGAGGGTACAGAGACCCAGAGAGAGAGGGGGACAGAGACCCAGAGAGAGAGGGGGACAGAGACCCAGAGACAGGGGGACAAAGACCCAGAGAGAGAGAGGGACACAGACCCAGAGACAGGGGGACACAGACCCAGAGACAGGGGGACAGAGACCCAGAGAGAGAGGGGGGACAGAGACCCAGAGAGGGGACAGAGACCCAGAGACAAGGGGACAGAGACCCAGAGACAGGGGGACAGAGACCCAGAGAGAGAGGGGGGACAGAGACCCAGAGAGGGGACAGAGACCCAGAGAGAGACGCAAAAGAGACGGGCGGGGGGCGGGAGACAAATGCTCAGAGGGGACGCAGCGTCCTAGAGAAGTGGGGTTCAGAGACCCTGAGAGGAGAGAGAGCCAGAGAGGGGAGGACCTGACCTACCGAGGGGACAGACGCCCGAGAGAGTCGGCGCCTCTGGGGTCTCGGGAGCTGGGCTGGAGTGGGGTCCGCAGGGGGTGGGTGGGGGGCTGAGGGGCGCAGTGGGTATGGAGAGAGAGGCCAGGGCTGGGCCGGGCGGGCGCCGGTCCGAGTGCGAACGGTGGAGCTCCTCTGGGGTTGACGGGTCGGTTTGGGGTAGGGGTGTGCGTTCAAGAGGAGGCGGGCCCGGGCGGGTGGGGAAAGCCCAGAGGGAAGGGGCGGGCTCTTGCTGGAGGGCGCGGGGACCCCAGTTCCGGGCGCCAGGGGCGGCGGGGCGGGGAGACCCTGGGGGCTGCACGGGGGCGCCGTGCCTCGCGGGCCGCGGGGAAGGCAGGGACCGAGCGAGGGAGGAGGACCCTCCCCCGACCCGCAGCCCAGGCGGCGGCCGGTCCCGGCGCCCCCGCCCAGATCCCTGCGCCGCCCGGCCCGCGTGCTTGTCTCTGGGTCTCTGCATCTTCGCGTCCCGGGGCGCCCCGTCCACGCCTCCTCCCGGACCCCCGCCTCCCCCGCCCGTCTCTGTCTCTAGCGGGGGTCTCAGCCCTCGTCTGTCGCTGCGGGTCTCCTCGCATCTCGGCGTCTCTCTCCGCGTCTCTCTCCGTCCCGGCGCCTGTGTCCCGGGCTGTCCCCAGCTCCGAGCCTCAGTTCCCTGCGCGCCTCCATTTCCCTCCTTCCCCCGCCCGGTCTCCGTCACCCCTCTGTCTCCACATCCCGCTTGTCTCTCCTTCCTGGCTCCACGTCTCTTTCTCTGTCCCAGGTTTGCTGTCGTCTGATCTCTGTCTGAGTGTCTGTGTCTCCACTCGCCCCCGACCCGGCCCCCCGAGCCCCCTCCCGGGTCCCCCACTCCCATTCAGGCCCGGGTTGGTGGGGTGGGGGGGCGCTGCGGCGGGAGCTGTGTGTTCCCAGCGCAAAATAGACTCTCGTTGCCATGGCGACGCGCGCGGGGCCTCGGAGACGCGAGGCTTCGGGCTTGGGGGGTGAGGAGGGGGGACACCTGGATCCGGAAGGCGGGGGCCGGGGGCGCCGCCGCCCGGTCCCAGGGGCTCCTCCTAGATCCCTGGGGAGAGGGATGCTGGGCGCTCCGACGCTGGGGGCCAGGGGACCGGACCTTCTGGGAGGGGTCTGGGCTCCCAGGGTCGGCGGTGGGGGCTCCGATTGCCCAACGCGGGGCGGGCTGACTGACAGCTCTGACGCCGGTGTCTCTGAGGACTCAGGGGTGGCCTCTCAGGTCTCCAAGGTTGGGGAAGAGGCAAGGGCTGCAAATCTGGAACGGAGGAGCTCTCCCTGGGGGTCTGCAGATTCCAACTCCTAGATCTGCAGAATTCTGGGAGCCCCCATGTGGGTCCCGGAACTCCTGCGTCTGGGGGAGCCGGGACTACAATGCTTTCAGCCCTTCCTTCCATCCGTCCATCCATCCTTCCATCCATCCATCCACCCATCCACATGGCTGTGTCTTCCTTCCTCCCGTCTCCATGTCCCCTTGCCTCAGTTTCCCTTCCGCACCTGGGTGCGGTCTCGCTCACCTCGCTTTCCGGATGCGGGACCCTTGGGGAGCCGGGGGTGGCGGCGTGGGGGGCGGCCGGAGGCGGCGGCGGAGCGCGTGTCTGCCGGCAGCTGGGCTGGGCGTGCGCGCGCCGGCTGGGGGCGACCCCGGCCGCAGTTCTCCTCCGAGCAGATGCGCCGCGTCCGTGCAGATGTGTCAGCCGCCAGCCCTCGCCTTTGCCTCGCGCCGAGAAGAGGCACCTCCCCCCCCCCACCTGCTGGGGACCCCGCTTTCTCCCTCCTGCAGCCCCCAGTCGCCCCCGGGATCCCCCCCAACCCAAGAATGGTTTGGTCCACAGCCACATATATGTTTATTCTGCGAGTCCGTGTCCCACAGTCTGAGACTCTTCTTCCCCTCCCCTTCCCGCCCCGTGAAGTGGCCCGGGGCCGAGCCCCGCCTCCATCTTGGCTCAGCCAATTCCCACCCAGTTTCCAGGAGTCTCATTTGCATTTCCGGGAGCAGCTGTCCAATGGGAAGGCAGCACCCTGCCCCCCCCACAAGGGGGCGGCACTCCTGGTGGATCGCACCACTCTTGGGATCCAGGGATGGGGGGAACGGGCTTCCACTGAGGTCCGGGTGACAGGAGGGTGGTCTTCCCTCAAGGCAGGGTTGGAGTTCAGTGGAGGAGGGAGTTCTGGCCTTGGAAGAGGCCCAGCAGTCCGCTGTCTGGGGCGGGCTCCTTGATGAGTTTCTGGATCTGTAAGGGCAGGGGGCGATGGGTCAGGAAGCGTCTAGGGTCCCGATCTCCATGGATGACAAATCTGAGGGACACCTCTCCGTCTTCATCTCTCGGACCTTCTGGCTAGCAGCTGCCCAAGACAACACTCCCTCTTCTCAAGACTTTTCCTGGGGCCTCCCTTTCATTACACGTGACTGGTTGAGCTCCTCACTGCCTGCCATCTTGGTGTGCTTTGCGGGCTTGGACCACTAAGGGTGGACAGCTCTGTGCTGGGGCTTCCTGTCTACACCTTCCTCTTCTTAAGTAACCTCATTTCTCCCATCCCTCTTCTGGGCCCTCAGCTCACAAATCCAGCCTGGACTTTGCCCCTGAACTCGACTCATCTATCTAACTGCCTCTTAGATAGACATGAGCAACCAACCGCATTTCATCCATCAGCAAGTCCCAGCAAGTTTATCTCCAGAAAATAAAATAAATAAATAAATAAATAAACAACAACAACAACAAAAAAGCCTGCATCCCCCCTGCCTCATCACCGCTTGCCTGGGCGCCCAAATTAACCTCCTTACTGACAGGTCTCCCTCCTCCCCTCTATGCCACACTCCCTAATCCACTGGTCACACAGGGCCAGAAAGAACTTTGTAAACTGCCGATCTGATATGGCCAGCTCCCCTGCATCAAACCCTGATGGCTGCCCGTGGCTGAAATCTCAAACCTCTGGGCTCTGACTCCTGCGTGAAGACAGGCTGCTGGCTCCTCCCGCGTGGTGCTCACCCTGGCCTGCTACAGCTCCTCAAAGAAAGCTCAGTCCCCCTCCCCTGGGAACACTGTGAGTGCCTGATGCCCCCTTCCCCGGCAGCTCAGAATTCAGGGCCACCTCTGCCACTCTTGCTCATCCCTCTGCAACTCCTGCCCCAGCTGGGGGTCACAATGTGTCACTGAACATGGATTGCTGCAGACTCCAGGGCTCACCACAGTGGCTGGCACAGAGTGGGTGCTCGGTGAATGTCCCACAGAGCTGAACTAGAAGGAAGGTAAGGAGCAGACCTGGGAGGGCCTGGGAATGTCAAGGTCTGGGGCCTCTCCAGCATCCTGAGGGCCAATGGCTTGAAGCAGGGGGGCCCAGTACCTGGCTGACCCCGGTAGCAGGGTGGCCAGTGGAGTCTGAGAAACTGGAGGAGGGGCACCCGGGCCGGAAGGGGCAGAGGCGGAGGAGATGGAGAGTTGGAGATGGGTGTGGACGGGTCAAGGGGCTTCTATCTAGAGGGTCTCTGCTGACCTGTTCTTCCCCAGTGTCCGCCTGGTCACTCCCTCCTTCAGTTCATTCTAAAGTCACCTGCTCCAGGATGCCCCCCAGACCCTCCAATACAAACCCCCTCCTCTGTGCCCTGACCCTCTGGATTGCCTCCCCCATTTTATTGTTCTCTGTGGCCCTTATGGTCCATCTGTGGGCTCCTTTCATGGATTTATGGCAGTGACAGTGACCAGCAGCCTCCCCTCCAAGAACCTGGCTCCCCCTGGAGGCGGCAGCCTGCTGGTGCCGAGATGTATTCTCAGAGCCCAAAGACAAGACCTTTGACAGATGCAGGGGAGGTGGGGGCGGCCAGGCGGGCATTACCTCCTTGAACTGGGGGTGGACGGCATCGCCCACAAGCTGCAGAATGAGCCCTTCGCTGGTGGAGAGGAAGGCACCACTCTGTCTCATGCGGGCCAGAGCCACCAGCCGGTCCACCTGGCTGTGAGTGGGAGGGAGGGAGGGAAGGTTGGTGTGGACGCCGCAGTCTGGACACCCAGACACGCAGGCACCCTGGTGGGAATGCCGCCTGTGGCCCTTCCTGGGAGCCCCTGATGGCCCCCACGTGCACCCACCCAGGCAGGGGCCCTCTCACCTGCGTGAGGAGCAGGCGTCCACCACCACATGGACCTGCAGCCCCCGGTCTAGGAGGTCCAGGGTCGTGTTCTGTGGGTAGAGAGAGGTCAGGGCCAACCCCGGATAAGAACGGGGGTCCTGGGTAAGGAATTGGGGATGGTGAGTCAGAATTAGGGGCCCAGAATGGGGAGGAGGGAGGCTCGGATCAGAGGAAGGGGCCCCCAGGTCAGGAGGGGATCCAAGATAGGATGGGGCCCACAGGTGAGGAGAGAGGGCCCAGGTCAGGATGGGGGTCCTGCAGGGAAGTGGAGGTTTCTGGTCAGGGAAGGAGGTTCTATTTAGGATGGGGGTCCCAGGTTAGAACGAGGGACCCCTGGGGTCAGTCAGCATCTCACCAAGATGCAGGCCTGTGCCTCAATGCCACAGAGCAGCACAGAGCGCAGCTGGGGCCGACTGTCCAGCTCCTGCTGCAGGGCAGGCACCATGCTGAAGCAGGTCTTGGCCAGCGGCCGAAGGCCCTCAGTCCCCAGCTCGGGCACCGTGGGGCCCAGGCCTTGTGGGTACTGCTCCGTCAGCATGACTGGCACCTCAAGCAGCCGGGCCACCTGTGCCAGTGATGGGGAAGAAAGGTCAGGGTCTGAGGGAGGAGGGGCTGGGCCTGGACTCCTGGGTCTGAGGGAGGAGGGGCTGGGCCTGGACTCCTGGGTCTGAGGGAGGAGGGGCTGGGGGTCTGGACTCCTGGGTGTGAGGGAGGAGGGGCTATGCCTGGACTCCTGAGTCTGAGGGAGGAGGAGCTGGGCCTGGACTCCTGCGTCTGAGGGAAGAGGAAGTGGGCCTGGATCCCTGGGTCTGAAGGAAGAGGAGTTGGGCCTGGACGCCTGGGTCTGAGGGTGGAGGGCTGAGCCTGGATCCTGGGTCTGAGGGTGGAGGGCTGAGCCTGGATCCTGGATCTGAGGGTGGAGGGCTGAGCCTGGATCCTGGGTCTGAGGGTGGAGGGCTGAGCCTGGATCCTGGGTCTGAGGGTGGAGGGCTGAGCCTGGATCCTGGGTCTGAGGGTGGAGGGCTGAGCCTGGATCCTGGGTCTGAGGGTGGGGGGCTGAGGTCATACCTTGAGCATGCGGGCAGCCACTGAGACGATCTGTGGGAAGTAGGCGATGTTGTGGCGGAACTTCTCCTGCATGTCACACAGGAACAGGACAGAGGATCCTGGGAGGACTCGGCCCAGGCTGGGCCTGGCAGCCGCCATTTTCTGGGGGTGGGCAGAGGGACGGTGGGTCAGGCCCGAGGGCTCCTCTCAGTGTCTCCAGCTGGCGTCCAGGTCCTCACACTCAGAGCCTGGCAGGGCCCGGGGCACCTTGCCAACCTTCTTCCCACCTCAAGGTCTCTGTGTCTGCTGTTCCCCGGGCCTAGAATGGGCTTCTTTCTTATTTCTGTCCTATTCGGCAGGGAGGTGACTTCCTTGGGAAGCCTTCTGGGCCACATCCACACGTGGCTCCGGGTGTCCCTCTCCTGGTCCCTGTGTTCTCCTTGCTGAGGACTGTGCACAACGTCAAGGAGTGCTTCATGATCCCGGTTACCATCCGCCCCGGTTACCATCCACCCCAGTTACTATCAGTCCCGGTTACCATCAGCCTCAGTTACCATCTGCCCTGGTTACCATCCACCCCAGTCACCATCCGCCCTGGTCACCATCAGCCCCGGTTACTATCAGATCCCGGTTACATCAGCCCCGGTTACTGTCAGCCCTGGTTACCATCAGCCCCAAAACGGAGGCTCTGCTGGGCGTCCTCCTGTGTTGGGCCAGCCCACTCCCCAGGGCCTCCTGAATGAAGGGTCCACCCTGATCCTCACCCTGCTCCAAGAGGAAACTGAGGCCATATTCTTCAGCCATAGGAAAGAAGGGGGACCCTGCACAGGCCACAACCTGGATAGATCTCAACACAAAGACCACGGAGCGTGCGATCCCGTTTTCCTGAAATGCCCAGAACAGGCAAATCCACAGACAGAAAGCAGATGGGGCCGGGCGCAGTGGCTCACGCCTATAATCCCAGCACTTTGGGAGGCTGAGGTGGGCGGATCAGCTGAGGTCAGTTCAAGACCAGCCTGGCTAACATGGCGAAACCCTGTCTCTACTAAAAATACAAAAATTAGCCAGGCAGTGGCGGGTGCCTGTAACCCAGCTGCTCGGGAGGCTGAGGCAGGAGAATCGCTTGAAGCCCAGGAGGCAGAGGTTGTAGTGAGCCGAGATCACACCACTGCACTCCAGCCTGGGTGACTGAGCAAGACTCTGTCTCAAAAAAAAAAGAGACTGGGCTTGGTGGCACACGCCTGTAATCCCAGGACTTTGGGAGGCCGAGGCGGGCGGATCATCTGAGGCCAGGGGTTTGAGACCAGCCTGGCCAACATGGTGAAACCCCATATCTACTAAAAATACCAAAAATCAGCCAGGCACGGTGGCACGCACCTGTTGTCCCAGCTACTTGGGAGGCTGAGGCAGGAGAATCACTTGAACCTGGGAGGCGGAGGTTGCAGTGAGCAGAGATAGCACCACTGCCAGTCCAGCCTGGACAATAAGAGCAAAACTCCATCTCAAAAAAAAAAAAAAAAGAGAAAGAAAGCAGATGATTGGCTGCCAGGGGCTGTGGCCGGGAGGAATTCAGGTTGACTGCTGGGGGGTGTAGTTTTCAGTTTGGGATGGTGAAAATGCTCTGGGACTTGGTGGTGGCGGCTGCAGAACAGCATGACTATGAATGCCACTCCACTGCATTTTCAAATGGCTGAAAGGGTAAGTTTTATGTTAAGTGCATTTTACCACAATTAAAAAAAAAAAAGAAAAGAAAGAAAAGAAGAGAAAGAAAAAAAGGACAGGCTGGTGAAGCCACCTGGCCAGCAATTCTTTTGCAGGGGAGGAAACCTCGACCCAGAGGGCCCGTTAACCTGCCCTAAGTCCTGCAGCCATACAGGGCACACCTGACTTCCACTCGGTCAGAGCGTCTACGCTGTCAGAGCGTCTACACCGCAGGGGCCCTGAATCAGCACGTCTTGGCCTACGTCCCTGGGAGGCTTGTGCTTTTGGGTCTCCGAGTTTGCTGCACAAGTGAGGGTTTGGGCTGGGCTTTTGTCTGCAGCTCTCTCCCCGTCTGTGTGTACAATTTGTTTGTACTTAACTCATTTATTCATTAATTCACCAGGGAAATGGGAGACCCTGGAGGCTCATTGGAGGCAAGACAGAAGGTGTTCTGGGAAGCTGAGGGAGGCAGGGCACTCAACAAGAAGCTGCTATTTTCTTTTCTTTTTTTTTTTTTTGAGATGGAGTCTTGCTCTGTCACCCAGGCTGGAGTGTAGTGGCGCGATCTTGGCTCACTGCAAGCTCTGCCTCCCAGGTTCAAGGATTCTCCTGCCTCAGTCTCCCAAGTAGCTGGGATTACAGGCTTGTGCCACCATGCCTGGCTAATTTTTGTATTTTTAGTAGAGATGGGGTTTCACCATGTTGGCCAGGCTGGTCTTGAACTCCTGACCTCGTGATCCACCCGCCTCAGTCTCCCAAAGTGCTGGTGATTACAGGTGTGAGCCACCGCACCTGGCCTTGAGCTGCTATTTTCAAAGCTGGGTAGTTAGGACACTGTTGTTCCTTGTCTTTCTTTCTCTCTCTCGTCCTGGCCTCAAGCAACCCTCCTGCCTTGGCCTCCCTGTACTATTTTTTCTTTTTGAGACAGGGTCTCATAGTGTCACCCAGGTTGGAGTACAGTGGCGCAATCATAGCTCACTGCATCCTTAACCTCCTGGGCTCAAGTGATCATCCCACCTCAGCCTCCCAAGTAGCTAGAGCTACAGGTGTATGCCACCACACCTGGCTAATTTTTGTATTTTTATATTTTTAGAGACAGGGTCTTCCTATGTTGCCCAGGCTGGTCTCGAACTCCTGGGTTCAAGCGAACCTCCCGCCTCAGCCTTGCAACATGCTGGGATTACAAGCGTGAGCCACCGCGCCTGGCCTATTATTCTTTGAACATAATCCATCTACCATAGCAAATGTTTTCTATGTGCACCATATCTCAAGTTTAAAAACGAATAAATGGTTAAAATGGTCAATTTTATGTTGTGCAAATTTTATCTCATTAAATAAAATTGAATGGAAACTCCCTCTGAAACAAAACCACAGTGAATTAATCCCATAATTACAACTGTGATAAGTGGGATTTGGAGGGAGTCAGATACAGCTTGGCAGGGGCTGCAGTGTTCTCCTAGAGAAACTGACGACAGAAAAATGATCTTTTCACAAAACACAAAGCTATTACTCCCCTGTCTCAAACTGTCCCCTGACCCCCGTGGATTCTCTCTGTCCTCAGGACTAAGATGCAGGCGCCCCTTTCCCCCCCGCCCCGCACTGCTCTGAAGACCCTCCAGCCTCAGCCCAGCCACTCCCTCCTCTCAAACAGCCCTTGCGGTTTCCTCCCCATGGAGTGACCCTCTCACGGCCACTCATGTGCTAACTCTTCCTCCCCTGTGCAGGAGGCGGGACCTGGACACCCGGGCCCCAAGGGATGGTTCTGAGGGAACCAGGAGCTGGAGAGCTGACAGGTGGGTCACAAGGGCCCTGGAGTCTCTCTGCTGAGGGCAGTGAGGAGCCATGGAGGGGCAGATCTGGGGGCCAGCATGTCCAAAAGCCTAGGACAGGCATGTGGAGCACCCAGGAACTCCCCTCTGGCCTGGTAGGAGTGTGGGTCACAACAACTCCTAGGGACAGCCGAGCAGCTGCATTTCTCAAAATGATGGATACACAAACCCTCTGACCTCAAAAGCTGCTCCTAAGCATTTATCCTACAGACATTCATGTGAAACGACACAGGATTATTCATTACAGGACTCTTCCCCAGAGCAAAGGAGCAGAAGTTAAGTATCAATGTCCACAATGAGGGTACTGGTTACGTAAGTCATGCCATAACTATACTCTGTTATTCCTCGCAGCCAGAAAAAATTACGAGGAAGCTCTTTAAGTAACAATACGAAAACATGTTTGAGAGAAGTGAAAAAGAAGCAGAACAGTGTGTATGGAATGCTCCTTTTTGTGCCAAAGAAAAAAGGGAGAGGAAAATGTGTCTGTGTTGCCTATATCTATATCTGCTATCTCTGGCAAACAAGCAAGAAACGGGAGACTCAGGCGGGTGAACCAGGCACCGGGGAAGTCTGTAGGAGCCTTTTCACTGGGTCCTATTCTGTTTCTTCTGAATTCTGGACAATGTGCAACAAGTTGTCTAGTCAATACTATATACAATAAAGGGTTGGCATAAAGCCAAAACCCGGCAAAACTGATCTATGGCGTCAGAAGCCAGGACAGTGACTGCCCTTGGACCACAGTGATGGAAACGACGACGGCGGGAGATCCTGGGATGTGGCGCATGTTTGACTTTTTTCTTTGGATACTTGTTTACACCAGGGTGCTCCCTTTATAAATATTTATTTAAGCTGTGTATTTGCAAACCGTTCGATTTTCTGCGTTTGTGGTATTATTCCAGAAAAAGTGTTCAAAATGCAAAATACAAAGATGGCTTCAGGCCCCCGCCGTGCGGTTGAACTGGAGGCAAAAGGCCAGAGAGCAGGAGGTCGGCGCTGGGGCCCAGTGGGACAGGGGAGAGTCAGGAAGGGGCAGCTGGGACGGTGGGGAAAGTCGGGGAGAAAGGCCCCCAGTTTCTGGTCGAGCGAGGGGCATGATCTGAAGATTCATAGGGGATCCCGGGGAGGGGAACTGGTTTTTGGGAGATGAAAAATTGGGGTGAGGGTGGGTGTGTGAGAGAGAGAGATGTGAAGGGGAGGTCTGGGCTGGAGAGGGTTGGGCGTGTCCTGCGGAACGAGGAGAGATTCAGCCTGGGTGGAGGGTACCCAAGGCCAAAGGGGGCGTGGCTGGAGGTGGGCGGCAACAGGGGGCGGGGTAGGGCCGTTGATTTCCCCACCCGGTCTCGGAAACCCGGCCTTGGAGCCCGGACTTCCTGGCTGTGTGACCTTGGGCAAGTTTCTCTTTGTCTTAGCCTCAGTTTTCTCGTCGGAGAAATGGGGATTAAACCTGCCCACCCCCCAGCGCTGTTACAGAGGCGGCAGGCGCGACCCGGGGACGCTTCCAATCTCTGGCCAGCCAATTCTGGCGGGGCCAGGTGGAGTCCTCCTTCTGGTCCTGTGACCTTGGCCCGGGACGCCCAGGCAGAGCCTCAGTTTCCCCATCTGCTAGGCGGTAAGGTCGGTCTCCAAATAGCGCCAGCAGCGAGAGAGGACTTACCCGGAAGGTGCCGGGTTCGAGCCCGGAACGGCCCCTCTGCAGGTGAGGCGGGGGCACCCTCACCTCTCGGCTCTCGGACGGCCACCGCTGAGGCCTCTTGCGGGCTTCCCAGGGCTGGTTACCGTTTCGTTAGGGCTGGACACGTGGCCCACCCCCTGCACCGTCCGTTTTCCGCCCACTTGGGCCCAGCCGTCCAATCGACACTCATCATGCTCTGCCTCGCCGCTCTCTCCGGCCAATCCGCATGTGCCACTGCCTCTGCCCGCAATCGGCGCTCACCAACTCACCCCGCCCCCTGCCTCTCAACCAATCCGCATATGCAGCTGCTTTGCTCCCGCCCCAGGGGGGGCGGTGCCGGCAAGGCTGTCAGTCTCAAGAAAATGATTAGCTCGCAAAGGCGCCGTGGGGGCGGGGCAGCAGGTCGTTCTGCCAATGGAGAGCCGTAGAGGGCGTGAGTGGCGGCCGACGGGGCGGAGTCGCGCGGTGGTCTCCGAAGGCTCAGACTCTGGCTGGAGAGAGGGCGTCTCGGCCGGCCCCATTGCACAGAGCAGACCGCCGAGGCCGGGAGAGAGAGAGAGGGGTCTTACCTAGAGTAGAGGCATGTCTGCGGTTCGAAACCTGGCCCTCTCTCAAGAAACGGAGGCTTACAAAGATACCCAAGCACTTTCCAGGAAGGGGCTGGCTGAGGGAGCGATCAAGTGAGGAATTTGACGCCCCCCTGTCCTTTGCGCTCTGTGCTGCCTCAGTTTCCCCATCTGTACAGCACCTGCCTCCTCGGGTGGTGTTTAGAATAATTTAGACTCTGTGCTTGGAAATGGAGGTTGAGAGAAAGAGAGAATTTCCTATCTGTCTTGGAATAAATCCAAACTCCTCCCAATTCATGGTCGGCCTTCCTGGTCCGTGCAGACCTCGCCTCTCACCACTCCCCCTGCTCACTCCGCTCCAGCCACAGGGGTCTCCTCTTGCTCTTCCCTCAATGTCCCACCGCAGGGCCTTTGCACGTGTGCTGCCTCAGCCTGGAATCCTAGGACTCCCCATGGCCCAACCTTCCAGGCTTTCAAAGCCTTTCCTGACCACCTGGTGTCAGGTAGCCCTTCCATCAGGTCGCTGTTTTTAATTTTTTTGAAACATCAAAAAAAAGAAAAAAATTGCTCTATCACCCAGGCTGGAGTACCATGGTACGATCACAGCTTGCTGCAGCCTCAACCTCCCGGGCTCAAGCGATCCTCCCACCTCAGCCTCCTGAGTAGCTGGGACCACAGGTATGCGCCACCACACCTGACTAATTTTTTAATTTTTTTGTAAAGATGGAGGTCTCACTCTGTTGCCCAGGCTGGTTTTGAACTCCTGGGCTCAAGTGATCCGCCTGCCTTGGCCTCCCAGAGTGCTGCGATTACAGGTGTGAGCCGCCGCACCCGGCCTTGTGTTTTATTTTCTTTTCAGCACTAACTCCAATCTGAATTGGAAATGAATCTTGCTTTTTGAAAAATGCATGGATATACTCTTTTATTGTCTGTTCCCCGCCAAAACACACACATGCACACAGAACAGGGAGCTCCCTGAGGCAGGGGTCCCGTCTGCCTCGTTCACAGCTGAATCCTCAAGTCCTAGACCTGGGCCTGGCCCATAGTAGGCGCTCGATACATCTTTGGGAATAAATGACAGGAGAGCAGACATTAGGCAGAGGTGAGCCTGGGTGAGAGTGAGGGGTGGATGCCCAGATGGGGCTAGGCAGAAGGAAGGGGGAAGGCAGGAAAGCAAGAAGAGGTGGAGGTGGGGCCCCTGGGCCCAGGAGGAGACCCCTGAGGCAGTGGTCTGAAGTGGGGGTCTGGGTTGGTTTATTTTCCCAGGGGCTGCCAGGAAGGGAGTGGACAGGTTGGGGGCTCCTGGAGAGGGCTGTAGAGCCGTCGTGGAGGGGCCTCTGGCTTGTCCTGGGTTCTGGGCTGGGTTGTGATTGGCCTCATGGGGAGCTGGTCCCCCAACCCTCGGGGATCCCCTGAGAATCCCAGGCACGAGGCACCTCCCAGCAGTCCACCCAACCCCAGTCGGGAGCCACGAGATCAGCCTCTTCCCCCAGGGCATGCTGGGGAAGGGGCAGGGGGCCGCAGAAATGTGGGACCTGCCTCAGGTCCAGCTGGCCCAGGTCGCGATGGGACAGACCCGGCGCTGGCAGGGGAGCATCAGAACCAGAGGAGGGGTCCCATGGCATTGAGGCACACTCTGGGGTGAGCGCAATGTTGTCAAAGAGGTCGAGGGTAGAGGTGTCCAGGGCAGCGAGACTCAGGCTGGCGCTGGCATGGGGAGCCTCAGTGGGGGCCACAGCACAGGCCACTCCCAGGAAGGGGGATGGAGGCGGTGGGGGTGGCTTTTGGAGCGAGGGTCTCTGGGGAGGTGCCTCCTGGGACAGGATGGAGAGGGCCAGGCGCTGGGTGGCAGCCTCAATCTTGGTGAACTGCCTGTAAAGACAGATGTGAGCAGGCTGGTCTCTAACGCCTGAACTCAAGCGATCCTCCTGCCTCGGCCTTTCAAGGTGCTGGGATTGCAGGCTTGAGCCACCACCCCCGGCCAGCATATTTGCAAGGGTCACCTATGTGGTCGCATCACACCGTGCTAGTTATTTATTTTGGTGATTCCTGACCGTCCGCCACCCCCATGAAAACACAACCTCCACGACAGCAAGGAACTTTATCTGCTTTGCTAACTGGCCTGGCACACAGTAGGCACTCAATAAATGCACGTTGACTGTTGCTGGCATCCAGCCCTGGGGGCTGCTCCTCTCTGTCTGTACCTGGTCTCCCCCAGCCAAGGGTGCTGGTTGCTCCTTCCCCTCTTCCCCGTCCCGTGCCCACCTTCCCCACCAGCCCCCTCACCTGCAGATCTGGTTGTGCAGAAACCTTCTGTGGTTGGGCCGCCTCTTGGGGGGCCGGGTGCGCCGGGGCTGCAGGGCCCGCAGCATGTGGGCGGCCGCCCCGCTCACAAAGGCACACAGCTCCCGGGGGCCGGGCTCGGAGACCCCAGGGCCTTCGGGGACCCCGGGGTGCATGGCCAGGGTGGTCTGGAGTAACTCCCCACAATATTGCTGACCAAAGCACCCCCCAAATCTGTGAGCAGGGAGGGGCAGGGGACTCTGGAGGCCCAGGCACCCCGGGCTGGGGAGGAGGCAGGGCTGGGAATTGGGCCAAGGCCTCCCCACTGTGCCCTAACCCTGTCCCCACCTCCCAGGAGCCCGACCTGAAGTCTGAGGGAGCGGCAGGTGGGGGCTAATATAGGAAGGCAGGGAACAGGGAGGGGAGGGGGCTTTCTGGGGCCCTCTAAGTGCCCAATTAGCGCATAGTTGGACCTGGGATATGGACCTGGCGTGCGTCGGCGGGGGGCAGAGAATGGTGCCTGGAGATGGCCAATTAAGGGAACAAAGGCCTCGTTCGGGAGGCGAGGCCGCCAGTAAGTCAAATGCAGCGATTGAGCGTGGAGGACCCTTAATTGGAGCCGTGGGGAGGGGGCTGGGAGGGAGGGGAGCTGGGCTGCATCTGCCCACCCACCCTCAGACACACCTGTGCCTCCCTCCCTCTGCTCAGCCCAGCACCTTAGGAGGGGAAACCGAGGCTCCCAAAGGGGCTGGTGCGGGCCGAGGTCTCCAGCCAGCAGGAGGGGTTGGCTCCTGGAGGGTCACCCCCGAAATCCTGGGGCTCATAGAATCCTGAGCAGCAGAGTGAGGGAGGAGAGGGGGAAGGGTGTGGCAGGACGGGAGGGGACGGGAGAACAGGGCGCAGTCTCCCCCAGGGTGTTTTATTGAGGCACTGGGACCCCTGGTGTCTGTGGGAGGCAGAGGTTGGGCCGGGTCCCCTTGTTTCTGGAAGGGTGTTGGCCGGAGCGGGGACCCTGGGTCTCAGGTTGGGTAGGGGAGCACCGGGTGTGACAGCCTCAGTCTCTGCTTGGACCCCCACCCTCGGGGGTCTGCTCTGGGAAGCCAGGATGTTTCCCGAAATTGATGTAACAAATGACCACGGCTCAGTACCTAGAACCGCACGCGCTGATTCTCCTGCCTGAAGCAGGGATTTAAACCTGACATCATGAGTTTGCTTCCCAGGCCCGCTCACTGGCCAGCAGCACTATGGGCAAGGTCAGCAGTTGAGGTCCTACCAGGCCTAGGGTGGGGGCCAGCAGGCAGGTGGGGGCATATTGGGAGCTGGGGCTGAGTGCAGCCAGTGATGTTGCCAGAGGTCCAGTTTCCTGTCAGCAGGACATGGTGAGACCAGCTGCAGTAGGACAGACAGACACCCAGTGCCCTCACCAGCCATGGCACGTACACGTTGACTGCTACCCCTGCCATGCTCAACACTACCACTGTGCTGAACCACTGCACAGGTGGGGCTGCTGGGCCTGGTGTGGCTGGTGTCTGTGTTGGGGACACCATTGGCCTCCCATGTTTCTCTCGGGTGTCTCCAAGGGTCTCCAGCCTCCTAGACAGCCTCTTGTACTCTGCCCCTTGGTCCCTCTGCCTGCCAGCTGTCTGTGACTCACACTAGCCCCATTGCTATCTCTCCATCTCGCCCACCCTTGCTCGTTCCTCTTCTGCTCCTCCTGGCTTTCTGTCCATCCCTGGGTTATCCACAATTCTCTCAACTATCATCTATCTATCACCTGCCTATCTATGGATCTATCATCTATGTATGTGTGTATGTATGTATATATCTATTTTTAGAGACAGAGTCTGGCTCTGCCACCCAGGATGCACTGCAGTGGTGTGATCCTGGCTCACTGCAGCCTTGACCTCTTGGGCTCAAGGGGTCTTTCCACCTCAGCCTCCTGAGAAGCTAGGATTACAGGCACCTGCCACCATGCTTGGCTAATTTTTTTCTTTTGTAGAGATGGGGTCTCACTATGTTGCCCAGGCTGGTCTCAAACTTCTGGGTTCAAGTGATTCTCCTGCCTTGACCTCCCAAAGTGCTGCGGTCACAGGCGAGAGCCACCGTGCCCAGCCTCTCTCCTCTGTATTGTCTCTCTGACTTCATCTCTCCCATTTGTGTTCCGGTTCCTCTCCCTGTCTCTGTCTCTTTCACTGTCTCTGGAGTTTCTCTCAGTGTTTATGTTTTAGACTCTGAATGCTCTTCACTGCCTGTCTCTCAGCTTTTCTGTTTCTGTCTCTCTGTCTTCCCCAGGGCATGGTGTGTGTGTGTGTGTGTGTGTGTGTTTGTGCACGTGTGTGATTGTTACTGGATGGTACTGTGCAGTTCCAGTCTCCTGGTGTCCAAAACAAAGAATTGGATGAGACGCGCACAGACAGCAAAGGAAAGGAGCAAACGTTTATGAAGCACAGTATTCCACTCTCAGAGGGGAGAGCGGACTGAGCTCTCCGAGATGAGATCAGCCCCAGTTTGTTACATTTCATGGCCTTTTTTTTTTAAAGGACTCTTTTTAAATTTTTTTTTTATTTTTTATTTTTGAGATGGAGTCTTGCTCTGTCGCCCAGGCTGGAGTGCAGTGGTGCGATCTCAGCTCACTGCAACCTCCGCCTCCCGGGTTCAAGTGATTCTCCTGCTTCTACCTCTAGAGTAGCTGGGATCACAGGCGTGTACCACCATGCCCGGCGAACTTTTGTGTGTTTTTAGTAGAGGTGGGGTTTCACCATGTTGGCCAGGCTGGTCTCGAACTCCTGACCTCAAATGATCCGCCCGCCTCGGCCTCCCAAAGTGCCGGGATTACAGGCGTGAGCCACCGCGCCCGGCCGTACATTTCATGGCCTTTTATATGTTTTTCATCACTTCCTTAACCTCACTTTATCTCTTGTAAGTTAGTTGCTCATCCTTGCCTAATCTTTCTTTATCTCTTTTGACCAAATTGCTCATCTTTAGCTTTATTTTTCGTGGCCAAACTGCTACTGCAAGTCCTTCTGGCTTATTTTCCTTATCCTGCATGTTCCAACTCACTGCTTCCTCCCTTATTTCGCATGTCCTGCTTCTGCCATTTGACACGTTTTGCTTCTGCTTAAGCTAACCTATGTCCAACGGTCCCCTTCGCCCCCCGAATTTCTCTGCTATTCTCCTGCCTCAAGATGTCCGTGAGTCTGGTTCACGCCTGTGGTATTGGGGGTGGCCTGAAGGTGAAGGTTTCCTGTCCTGTTCTGCTCCAGGTCTCAGGTACAGAGGGAAGGGTCCAGGGTCCCTTGGCAAGAGGCCGAAGGGAGAAGACCCCTGGGTCTCTGGAGGATGGGAAGGGAAGGATTGGCTCTGAGGGCCGGGAAGGGGCCCGCCGCCACGTGGCTGGGGTATGACCTTTGCTACCTTGATACACACTTTATCGTGTGTATTCACATCTGGTAGCTCTTATTTCAAAATTTGCATTCCACAGTCCAGGGGCCAAGAGCAACATCCGCCGGCCAGCTCTGTCCCACTCAGGCCGGCCAGCAATGCACAGGGCGGCCGCCTGCAGGCTGCGGCCTCGGGACTGTCCACCAGGGGGCGCCCACCCGGCCGGTGCTGGGCGGCCCGGCTCAAGGGGTGCGGCCCGAGAACTTGGGGCCCTCTCCTGTCTCCTGTCATTGAGAACAATCAACCACAGCAGGGAGCTGGCTTCATGGGGTCTTTGTTGAGGACCTGCACTTCCAGGTGCTGGAAGGTCTTCCCCAGCCTCCTCTCCCCTATCCCAGCCCTTGAAATTCTGTGTGTGTTGGGGGTGGATTTAGTCATTCAACAAACATTTATTGAGCACCTTGCTTTACTGAGCAGTGGAGGAGGTGAAGTCAGAGAAGCCGAGGGGGCGCGGGGAGCAGACCTGCCGGGCTTTGTGAGCCAGGCAAGGGTTGGGCTATGAGGGTAAGCATGATGGAGAACCATAGAGGGTTTGGGGCAGGGTCTAACCCAACCTTCTTTGCAGGCCTTGCTACAGCTGGAATGTGGAGACCCCACCCTCCAATCCCCCTACAATCTGGATGGGGGTGTCAGGGCCAGGCCAGGAAGCCAGGGACAACCCAGGGTGTGTCCTTCCCTGTCCCCACCTGCTCATCTGCTATCTGCTCCCTCTCATCCAGTCATTGTGGGACCTTGTTTCCCTTAATTTTTTTTTTTTTTTCTGAGATGGAGTCTCGCTCTGTCGCCCAGGCTGGAGTGCAGTGGCGCGATCTCGGCTCACTGCAAGCTCCGCCTCCCAGGTTCACGCCATTCTCCTGCCTCAGCCTCCCAAGTAGCTGGGACTACAGGTGCCCGCCACCACGCCCGGCTAATTTTTTGTATTTTTAGTAGAGATGGGGTTTCACCGTGTTAGCCAGGATGGTCTCAATCTCCTGACCTCTTGATCCACCCGCCTCGGCCTCTCAATGTGCTGGGATTACAGGTATGAGCCACTGCATGCCTAGTCTTTTTTTTTTTTTTTTTGAGACAGAATCTCTCTCTGTCACCCAGGCTGGAGTGCAGTGGTGCAATCCTGGCTCACTGCAACTTCTGCCTCCTGGGTTCAAGAGAGTCTCCTGCCTCAGCCTCCCAAGTAGCTGGAATTACGGGCGTGCACCACCACGCCCAGCTAACTTTTGAATTTTTAGTAGAGACAGGGTTTCACCATGTTGGCCAGGCTGGTCTCGAACTCCTGACCTCAGGTGATCCGCCTGCCTTGGCCTCCCAAAGTGCTGGGATTATAGGCGTGAGCCGCCGCCCCTGGACCCCTTAAAATTTATTATAAAAATGTACAGATGGCAGAGTCACAATGCATCACCCTGGTGTTCCCAACCCAGACGCAGAGGGGCCAACCCTGTCGTATTTGGTTCACAACTCTTCTTCTGAGAGAAGGCAGGCCTTGGCTGCCTGTGTCCCCCCAGATTCAGATGTTGAAGTTGTAACCCCCATGCTCCAGAGTGAGACAGTATTAGGAGAAAGTCTTTAAAGAGGCAATTAATCTGAGTCTCTGTGGCTCACACCTGTAATCCCAGCACTTTGGGAGGCCGAGGCAGGTGGATCACCTGAGGTCGGGAGTTCGAGACCAGCCTGACCAACATGGAGAAACCCCGTCTCTACTAAAAATACAAAATTAGCCGGATGTGGTGGTTCATGCCTGTAATCCCAGCTTCTCCGGAAGCTGAGGCAGGAGAATCACTTGAACCTGGGAGATGGAGGTTTCAGTGAGCCGAGAGCACACCATTGCACTCCAGCCTGAGCAACAAAAGTGAAACTCCGTCTCGATGAAAGAAAAGAAAAGGGGCCGGACGCGGTGGCTCAGCCTGTAATCCCAGCACTTTGGGAGGCTGAGGCGGGCGGATCACAAGGTCAGGAGATCGAGACCATCCTGGCTAACACAGTGAAACCCCATCTCTACTAAAAATACAAAAAATTAGCCGGGCTTGGTGGCGGGCGCCTGTAGTCCCAGCTACTTGGGAGGCTGAGGCAGGAGAATGGCGTGAACCCAGGAGGCGGAGCTTGCAGTGAGCCGAGATCGGGCCACTGCACTCCAGCCTGGGCGACAGAGCGAGACTCCGTCTCAAAAAAAAAAAGAAAGAAAAGAAAAGAAAAGAGAGGAGAGGAAAGGAGAAGGGAGGGGAGGGGAGGCAATTAAGTTAAACAAGGCCATTAGGGTGGGCCCTAATGCAATCTGACTGGTGTCCTTACAGAAGAGATTAGGACACAGACACACACAGAGGGGCCACCATGGAGGCTCCACAAGGAAGACAAGCGTCTGCAAGCCAAGGGGAGAGGCCTCGGGGGAAAGCAACCCTCCCGACACCTTGACCGCGGACTTCTGTATCCAGAACCGGGAGAAAATAAGTTTCTGTTGTTGGGGCCACTCAGTGTGGGACTTTGCTATGGGGGTCCCAGCAGACTCATATATATAATGAGTGTATTCGCTCTCTACGCTGTGTAAGAAATAGCCACTGATGCAATGGCTTTAAACAACGTACATTCATTATCTCACAGTTCCGTGGCCAGGAGTCCAGCACCGTGGTTTATCTTGGTCCTCTGGTCAGGATCGCTGCAATCCTCGAGTGACCCAGGGCTGTGGTCTCATCTGAGGTTGGGGTCCGCTCCCAGGTTTACATAGCAGCATCCATTTCCGTGCTTCTTTTTTTTTTTTTGAGACGGAGTCTCACTCTGTCGCCCAGGCTGGAGTGCAGTGGCGCGATCTCGGCTCACTGCAAGCTCCGCCTTCTGGGTTCATGCCATTCTCCTGCCTCAGACCCCCGAGTAGCTGGGACTACAGGCGCCCGCCACCACGCCCGGCTAATTTTTTGTATTTTTAGTAGAGACGGGGCTTCACCGTGTTAGCCAGGATGGTCTCGATCTCCTGACCTCGTGATCCGCCCGCCTCGGCCTCCCAAAGTGCTAGGACTACAGGCGTGAGCCACCGCGCCCGGCCTCATTTCCGTGCTTCTGAGGAAGGCATGGAGCCCTGGGTTCACGGCCAGCAGGAGAACCTCAGTGCTTCCCATCTTTGATCTCTAGGTCCAGCTTTAAAGAGCTCCACTGACTAGGTCAGATCCACCCAGGGTAATCTTCCTGTATTAGTCAGGGTTCTCCAGAGAAACAGAATCAATAGGCTATGTCTGTCTATCCACCCATCAATCAACCTATACATCCATCTATTTATCCATAGATTGATCTATGAGGATAGCGATAGATATGAATAGCTACAACAATATAGATACATCTCTCCAGAAAGAGAGTGATTAGAAGGTATTGGTTCATGTGATTATGGAGGCCAAGAAGCCCCATGTTTGCTGTCTGCAAACTGGAGAACCAGAAAAGCCAGTGGTGTAGTTGGAGGGCCTGAGAACCAGGAGCTGATGGAGTAGATTCCAGTGTGAGTCTGAAGGCTGGAGGACCAGGAGGCCCGAGGGCAGGAGAAGATTGATGCTACAGCTCAAGCCTGAGGGCAGGGATGGAGTTCCACCTTCCCCTGAGGCTGAGGCCCACCCACCCTGCGGGAGGCTGCCTGCTTGGCTCACGCTACCAATTAATCTCTTCCGGAAACACTGTCACGGACACACCCAGAATCACGTTTAACCAGGTACCCGCGCATCCCGCGGCCCAGTTCAGTACATGCATAAAATTTAACCGTCACTTTTCCCCTTGATGAACTCAAAGTCCACTAATCAGGATCCTATTTTTTTTTTTTTTAATGAGACAGAGTTTCGCTCTTGTTGCCCAGCCTGGAGTGCAGTGGTGCGATCTCAGCTCATTGCAACCTCCGCCTCCCGGGTTCAAGCGATTCTCTTGCCTCAGCCTCCCAAGTAGCTGGGATTACAGGTGCCCTGCCACCATGCCCTGCTGATTTTTTGTATTTTTAGTAGAAATGGGGTTTCACCATGTTGGCCAGGCTGGTCTCAAACTCCTGACCTCAGGTCATCCACCCGCCTTGGCCTCCCAAAGTGCTGGGATTACAGATGTAAGCCACCGCGCCTGGCCTCAGGATCCTTGATTGCATCTGCCAAGACCCCCCTTGCCTTCACCATATCACATAACCATCACATCCACATGATGCAAAGGCACTCACACAAGGGCACGGGTCCCTGGGGGTCATCGTAGAAGGTAGCAGCCACTCTTAGGGAGGAAATTTAGCATGCATCTGTCCCTGTCCGTTTTTGCACTTAAAATGGAGGAAGGTTTTACCTGTACAGATGGAACCCTGTATATTGTTGCTTCCTCCAGGGAGTCTGCCCTGGTTTCCCCCAGGCTGCGTGAGGAAGGTTTTACCTGTACAGATGGAACCCTGTATATTGTTGCTTCCTCCAGGGAGTCTGCCCTGGTTTCCCCCAGGCTGCGTCAGGAAGGTTTTACCTGTACAGATGGAACCCTGTATATTGTTGCTTCCTCCAGGGAGTCTGCCCTGGTTTCCCCCAGGCTGCGTCAGGAAGGTTTTACCTGTACAGATGGAACCCTGTATATTGTTGCTTCCTCCAGGGAGTCTGCCCTGGTTTCCCCCAGGCTGCGTGAGGAAGGTTTTACCTGTACAGATGGAACCCTGTATATTGTTGCTTCCTCCAGGGAGTCTGCCCTGGTTTCCCCCAGGCTGCACGAGGAGTCTCCCCTGGCTCCCATGTCCTGGGCAGCCTCCATGAGTGCCTGACCGTGCATGTGAGACCTGCTCGATAGGCCTTGGAAGTGGGTGGACTCTGGGGTTGGGCACATTCCTGGTCCAACCACTTCTGGGCTGTAGGAATTCCTTCCTGGTTACAGGACACTACATCACTTCCTGGTTCTGTGGCTTGGCCATGAGACTTCAGAGGGCCTTGCCTTACCCCACTGTGAAATGGGGATCACACCCCTTCTGAGTGGAGAGGCCCGTTAGCTTGGGGCCGGCTGGGGCTGCCACGGGGGCCTTAAGAGATGTCAGAAGGGAGCATCCTGGCCAGGTGCGGTGGATCCCGCCTGTAATCTGAACACTTTGGGAGACCGAGGCGGGTGGATCATCTGAGGTCAGGAGTTCAAGACCAGCCAAATTAGCTGGGCATAGTGGCAAATGCCTGTAATCTCAGCTACTCAGGAGGCTGAGGCAGGAGAATCATTTGAACCCGGGAGGCCGAGGTTGCAGTGAGCCAAGATTGTGCCATTGTACTCCAGCCTGGGCAATAGAATGGGACTCTGTTTCCAAAAAAAAGAAGGAAGCATCCTGAGTCTGTGGGAGGCAAGGGCCTGCCCCCTGGGTCCCCTGTTCCGGGGGATGGCCGGCAACCGGTGACTCCCTTTGCCCGTCCCCTCCGCCTTCAACCTAAAATGCATCTCTGGTTCCTTACCCGACTTGTTTGGAAAAGGACGTTTTATTTTTCATCGCTGGCCCTGGGAATCCAGTCATTACTCCAGATCCCTCCTTCACTCCCTGACCCCACTTTCTGGAGAGGGAGGGAAAGGGAGTGGCAGGTCCCTTCTAAAGCCTTCGGCTGATCCTCCTGGGATGGGGGTGGATGGAGAAGAATCTCCCAAGTGCGTGCAGGGCCTCTGGGCGGAAGTGACAGCACAGTCCCCAGGAAAGGGTGGGTACCTAGAGGGGCTGAATGGTTTACCTGGCTGGCAGGGGGCAGGGCTCAGAGTCTGAGGCTGGGCAAGGAGGCTGATCTAGTTGGGGTGGGGGGAACCGTGCCCCCAAAACACCTGGTGCGGGGTGTTGTTGGCCAGAAACAGAAACGTCTGGGGCCTGCAGGGGTGCAGGGGTGTGCATCCGCGCGTCTGCTTGGTCCTGCGTTTGAGGCTCTGGAGGTCCCCTTGCTGCCCTGGAGCTTTATCCCCCGCTGGGCTTTTCCCTGCAGCACTGAGCAGCGGGTAGTCTGTCTTCTTTGTTACCACTGCATGCCCTGGGAGGTTTTGTGAGCTCACTGGGATGGTGAGTTTTTTATTGGTTTTCCCCCTCCACATTGCTATGACCCAGCTCCCAGGGCAGGACCTGGGGTGGAGCCCTGGTCTGGACTGTGGGTGGGAGCGCTGCTGGGCCTGGAACAGCTGCAGCTGAGGATTCTGTGTGATCTTATCCATGTTTTTGGCTATTTGATTCTGTTTTTGTCTGTTTGTTTGTTTGAGATGGAGTCTTGCTCTGTCGCCCAGGCTGGAGTGCTGTGGCACGATCTCGGCTCACTGCAAACCTCTGCCTCCTGGGTTCAAGCAATTCTCCTGCCTCAGCCTCCTGAGTAGCTGGGACTACAGGCACGCGCCACCATGCCTGGCTGATTTTTGTATTTTTAGTAGAGTTGGGGGGGGGTTTCACCACGCTGGCCAAGCTGGTCTCGAACTCCTGACCTTGTGATCCGCCTGCTTCAGCCTCCCAAAGGCCTGGGATTACAGGCATGAGCCACTGCACCCAGCTGATTCTGTTTACTTGTCAGCATGAGGGACCTGACAACATCCCTTGAAGGGCTACACAGATGTTCCGGGGGGTTAGGAGACAACCCCACCTCCCCATCTGGGTCCCTGAGACTCCTCCTTGGCCTGGAAAGTGCTGGACACAAGGCTGGCCTGAGTTTCCTCCGGTCACTGTCTCCAAGGGGCTGCGAGGCTGTTCTGAAAACAAACCTGTTGAATCCACACCACCTTTTCAGAGACAGCAGGTTGCCCAAGGCCATTGACTTCAAAACCTTTGTTCACCTTCTGGCTGCAAAGTGGGGAATGTTAAGGAGAGTAAGAGCCAGTCTTAGCCATGCCAATCTCTCTTTCTTTTTTTTTGAGAGGGTCTCGCTCTCTTGTCCAGGCTGGAGTGCAGTGGTACAATCTCGGTTCACTGCAGACTTAACCTCCCAGGCTCAAGCGATCCCCTCACCTCAGCTTCCTGAGTAGCTGGGACTACAGGTATGTACACCACAGGAAGCTTATTTTTTGTAGAAATGAGGTCTTGCTGTACTGCCCAGGCTGGGTGTCCCATCCCTTTTGTAATGCCTCTGCGTGGGCAGGTAAATGAGGGGGGCTGAGCTGAGGGCCCCTTTCACTACTGCAGAGACCAAAATGGCCCGAGGCAAGGGGGACGGAAGTGGGATCCGCACCTCTGGGCTTTCCTAGCCTGGCAGCCAGCTGGGCAGTGCATTCCCATCCACGTCTCCACCCTGCATGGCAGCCGCTTTGTGTGGTTAATGCTGACGTGAAAGGAATGTTGGGCTGAGCTGGATGCCAAGGGTTTTTACACGCACGAATGCACGGAGACATCAGCACCAAGACCCTGTAAGGTAGGGGTGGGTCCACACCACCGCAGATCAGCCCTGAGTTCCAGCCTGCTTGTGGACTTGGGAAACGGTGTGGGAGGCTGGAAAAATCCACTCATTCAACAAACAAGTACCGTCTGCTTCTCCATCAGGGCCCATGCTGGTTGTTTGGAATACCTGGGCAGCAAAGACACGAAAGGTCCTCGCTGTCATGGGACATAGATAAATGTCGCTGAGCATGTAAGAGGGACACCACCTAGCACAGGAGGCTTTCCAGTGGGATCTTGCTGGGCAGGGATGGGTTAAGGGTAGAAGGGCCTTCTGGCCTGAGAAACAGCATGCAGAATGGTCTTCAAGCTGAGGGTACTGCCTTTGAGCAGTGGCTCTCAACTAGTGAACATGTGGCAATGTCTGGAGATATTCTTTTTGTTGTTGTTGTTTTTTTTTTTTAACACAGAGTCTCACTCTGTCACCCTGGCTGGAGTGCAGTGGCACGATCTTGGCTCACTGCAACCTCCGACTCCTGGGCTCAAGCGATCCTCTTGCCTCAGCCTCCTGAGTAGCTGGGGTTACAGGTGCCTGCCACCATGCCCGGCTAATTTTTGTATTTTTAGTAGAGACGGGGTTTCACCATGTTGGCCAGGCTGGTCTTGAACTCTTGACCTCAAGTGATCTGCCTGCCTCAGCCTCCCAAAGTGCTGGGATTACAGGTGTGAGCCACCGCGAAAATCTCTATCTGGAGATATTCTGAGCTCTCCTACGGGGTGTGTGGAGCGGGGCTGGGGATGCTACCTGCATCTAGTGAGTGGGGGCCCTAGAGTGTGTAGGACAGTCCCCGCTGCAATGAATCCATCCCAAATGGCACTAGTGCTCTGGTTGAGAAACTGCGTTTAATGACCCTCAGAAAAGCCAGTGTGGCTGGAACGCTGGGTTGGGCGGGGGTTGAGCGTGGAGAGGGGCTTTGGAGCAGCTCGGTCTCCCACTAAAACCCTAGGCCCCACAAGGAGTCTGTGGATTCCAGCCTCCCAGAACAGACCTTTGCCCAGCAGGAACCAGGTTTCTGCAGCGTCTGGATGAGCGTGCACGAAGCACACGCCCGAAAATCCTGAGCACGTGGCTCTACCGAGGGACTGGAAGCGCTCCAGGCCTCGTTTTCCCGCTGGAGCGATTACACCCTGGGGGCGGGGCCCGCTTCACGGGAGGGATTTTTGTACAACCGTGGTGCATGGAAGGATTTTTTTGCAGATGAGAGGGAATCGGGATTAATAAGGGGAACTTGCGACCCCGCGTCTCGAGCTGGCCGTCCCTGGCCTTGGGCTCACCGGGGCCTCGGCCCCCAAGACCTGACAACTGGAGTCCGCGACCACAACTGGGAGAACTACAACTCCCAGGATGCCGCGCACCGCCTGCGCCCGAGCTCGACGAGGCCTCGCACAGCCAATGGGAGGGTCCGGGGGCGGGAACTCGGAGTACGTGCGTTGTGACGCACCGACGGCGACGTCGGGGTTTGTGTGCGCGAGAGGCCGCCGATAAAGGTTGGGTGCCTCGCGCCGGGGGCCGTTGGGAGGGAGTGCGCCCCTGCCCCCCCTCCCCGGTCCCCACAGCTGCACCGCCGCTGCCGGGGCCCCACCTTCCCGTCGACCCCCGCGGGAAGGTCCTGGGGCTGCCACCCTCGTTCCCCCGATTGGGGCCGCAGGTGAGAGACCGGAGGGGGTGGGGGTGGGGGGAGGGACCGGAGGGCGGAGAAGTTGCAGGGGGTGGGGCGGGGGGGGGGGCGTGAAACCGGAAGGGGTACCTTAAAGGGGAGTCACTATTTCACCTCCGACATTTGCCAGCTAGGCCGGGTCCGCCCTCTTAAAGGGCAAGGGGCCACATTGAGAGGGCGGGTCAGGCTTTGCATTTTTACAGAAGCTTTCTGACTTAAAACAATGTTTTTCCCCTAAAAGGCGGTTATCTCATTAAAGGCCAGTGACCGTTTCCCAGACATTGAAGCAAAAACTCCTGAGTCCTGGTTGCTTCAAAGCGATCCCTGGTTTAGCTCAACAAAAGTGGAGATGGGGCTCCAGTGGCAGCATCCCCTTAAAGGGGAGGTCCAGCCTGCTGAACGGGTGTGGCGCGGCCTTTTAAAGGGGATGTCTTCTTGTTAAATGGGACCCCGCTCTTTCAGGGCACGGATATCTCTTTTAAGGAGATGCTGGGGCTTCTCAAAGGCACGTGCAGCTTCTTAGCATCAGTAGGTTTGTTTTTTTTTTTTTTTTTTTTTTCTGGAGACGGAGTCTTGCTCCGTTGCCCAGGCTGGAGTGCAGTGGCGCGATCTAACCTGCTTACATATTAAAGGGTACACTTATCTTTTAAAAAGGAAGTTCTTGGCTAGGCGCGGTGGCTCACGCCTGTAATCCCAGCACTTTGGGAGGCCGAGGCGGGCGGATCACTTGAGGCCAGGAGTTCAAGACCAGCCCAGGCAATATGGTGAAACCCCGTCTCTACTAAAAATACAAAAATTAGCCGGGCGCGGTGGCGTGCACCTGTAATCCCAGCTACTCGGGAGGCTGAGGCAGGAGAATCGCTTGAAGCCGGGAGGCGAAGGTTGCAGTGAGCCGAGATCGCGCCACTGCACTCCAGCCTCGGTGACAGAGTGAGACCCTGTCTCCAAAAAAAAACAAAAAAAACACACAAGTTCTTGTAGCTTGTCCGACGGGGATGCCTAGCCTTCATTCATTTAAAATTTGTTTACTGCGCACACACTCTGCCAGACATTATTGTAGGCACTGGGATGGCATACAACAGTGAACCAGACAGAAGCCCCTATTTTCCCGGCGTTGACATTCTAGCATGGGGAGGCAGAATAAAACAGAAAGCACACTGGTTATATAGTAGCGGTTCTCATCTGGGGGCAACGGTGCTCCCCAGGGGCGACACTGCGGCTAAGACTCGGAGGTGCAGGAGTGAGCTTTGTGGACAGCGTAGAGGAGGGCTTCATAGGCCAATGTCAGGCGTCCAGTGGGTCGAGGCCGGGGGCCAGGGCTGCTGCTCGACACCCTGCAGTGCACAGGACAGCCCTCAACAGAGAATGGTCTGGCCCCACATCTCAGCACTGCTGAGGCTGAGAATCCTGGTACATTAGAAGGTGATAATTGCTGCGGGGGAAAAATAAGGCAGGAAAAGGGAATGGGGAGTTGGAAGGGATTGTAGATTTAAATAGGGCTGTCAGGGAAGCTCTTGCAGAGGGGATTTCAGCGAAGACTCGGAGGTGAAAGAGCGAGTGGCGGGCACAGGTGGAAAGGAAGGGGGTGGTTCTAGGCAGGTGCCCTGAGGTGGGAGCAGGCGTGCCTGGCCATCCTGGGTGACCAGAGTGACCAGGGGCAGGTGGCCAGTGAGGATAGCAGTAGGACAAGTCAGGGAGGGGACAGGCTGCAGGAAGTCGGCAGGCTCGAAGACCAGAACTGTGGCAGATTTCTGAGTACAGGAATGCAATGCCCAGCCCTCCCTGTTGACGGGTTCGCTTCAGTTGCTGTATTGGGAACAGACGGGTGGGCAGGGCACGGGTGGAAACACGGCGATCCGTGGGGAGGCTGTTGCAGCTGCCTGGGAGAGAGACAGTGGTGCCTCAGATCAAGGTGGAGGCCTGTGAGAAGTGGCCAGATCTTGGATATGTTCCGCCTGGAAGGGGAATCTGCGGACAGGGGCAATCGAGAGAGAGGAGGCGAGGAGCCTTTGGCCTGAGGAAGAAGACGGCTGCCATTTTCAGAGATGGAGAAGCTATGGGTGGAGTAGAAGTTGGGGGCGAGGAGCAGAAGACCATAGTTAGATTTTGGGCATGTTAAGTTGGAGGTGTCTAATGAGGCATCCAGGTGGAACAGTCTAGCAGGTGGTGTGGCATTCAGAGGGTAGGTCTTATAGAGCTGGAGGCCTGGAGTCATTGTTCATAGACAGTGGAGTCCTGAGAGTGGGTGGGGGCTCCCAGGGAGAGAGGACAGACAGAGGACAAAGTGGTGCCGGAGCCCCGGGCGCTCCCACATCTAGAGGTCAGGGAGGTGAGAAGGAACCAAGCTGGGGACTGAGATGGGGTGACAGGTGACGGAGGGCAGTGAGGGAGCGAGGTATCCCGGAGGCCAGGGGGAGGCGGGCCACGGACCCAGTGACAAGTGGGCCATTGCGGGCCACGCGCCGCCCAGGCCATGGAGTGGGGGCACCCGCGTGGGACTGAAGGGGTTTGCGCTGGGAAAGAGCGGGCTGACACTTGAGCTGCTCTGCTGTGAAGGAATGGAGAAACGAGTCTGCAGCTGGACAGGGAAGTGGAGTGAAGAGCTTTTTGGTTTTTAAAGATGGGAGACATAGATTGTTGGTTCTGCAGATGGGAACGTCCAGGAGAGGAGGAAAAGTGGAGGATGTGGGTGGGAAGGCACAGTCCACGGGCACTGGGTCAGGCCTGTGGGGAAGGATTGCGCAGGGTTTCTGGACCTCGCACTGCTGACATTGTGGATGGGATTGTTCTCCGCTGTGGGGCCGTCCTGTGAATTGTAGGATGTTGGGCAGCATCCCTGGCCTCCACCCACTAGATGCCAGGAGCACTTGCCTCTCTAGTTAACAGATAACCCCAAATGCCTCCAGGCATTGCGGGATGTCCCCTGGGTTGAAGGCACAGTTTGTCCCAGTTGAGAACCACTAGTATCGTGGTCAGAATGTGAGAAACTTCGCGTCTGATTGCTTTTATTTTCACAGAGGCATGATCAAGGACAGGGTTGCCTGCCAAGAACAGGAGGGGAGAGGAGGGGCTGGAGGTTTCAGGAGAAAGAAGCATGTCAGGTAGTCACCTGGGGAGTGCATGGGCCAGAGACATGTAGTGTGAGCCAGGGAGGGTGATGGTGAGGGGGCCGCAGATTTTGTGGGCTTGAAGGGAAAGTGAGACTGAGGCCAGGCAAGGGGGTGCCTGTCATGGCCACCTGCAGCGTTTGTGCAGGGTCGGGCAGGAGTGAGGATGTGGGTTGGCTGGAGGTGAAAGGGCGCGCTGGATGGTAGATGGGCTGGAGTCTAAGGATTTGGGGAGTTGGAGCACCAAGCTAGAGTGACCTAGAAGGCTTTGTGGTGTTGGGAAGTAGGTTGTTCCAGGCTCAACCATGAGGACACTTTTTTTTTCCTTTTTTTTTTTTTTGAGATGGAGTCTCTCTCTATGGCCCAGGCTGGAGTACAGTGGTGTGATCTCGGCTTACTGCAACCTCCACCTCCCAGGCTCAAGTGATTCTCCTGCCTCAGCCTCCCAAGTAGCTGGGATTACAGGTGCCTGCCACCACGTCCAGCTAATTATTTATTTATTTAATTATTTTTTGAGATGGAGTTTCACTCTTGTCACCCAGGCTGGAGTGCAGTGGCACGATCTTGGCTCACTGAAACCTCCACCTCCTGTGTTCAAGCAATTCTCCCGCCTCAGCCTCCTGAGTAGCTGGGATTACAGGCGCCCACCACCATGCCGGGCTAATTTTTGTATTTTTAATAGAGACAGGGTTTGACCATGTTGGCCAGGCTGGTTTCAAATTCCTGATCGCAGGTGATCTGCCTGCCTCAGCCTCTCAAAGTGCTGGGATTACAGGCGTGAGCCACAGTGCCTGGCCCCATGAGGAGGCTTTAGTTAAAATGAAAAGGCTTAGGGTATGGCAGTGGGAGGAGTGTTGAGGCCGAGATGGAGGATAAGGTCTTAGAGGGAGAGCAGCAAGGAGGAGCCAGGAGAGCCTCTCTGCGTGTGGTCTTCAGGGACCCTGCCTGTCTGGAGAGGGAGGGAGCAGACTCCTACAGGCAGTGCTTGCTCTCTTGAAGGCGGGCCCCAGCCTTCTCAGACCTGGCTAGCCTCCTAAGGAGGGTGGCCACAGTTTGCTGGGGAGTTTCCATTTCAGCACTGAAAGTGCAGCATCGCTGGCACCTGCTCAAGTCCCAAGCAAACTGGGACCATTGGAGACCCTCATCCTAAGGAAGGTCCCCTGCAAAGTGGGTGACCTGGGGAGGTAGTCCCTGTCCCTTAAAGAGCCCGTGTGTGGGTTTGGGGTTGAGATGATCCAGTGCGGGGGTGAGCCGCTGACCCAGAATCCCTCCCCCAGGTGTGATGGTCGGCTCCCACGCGGACATGGCGCCGGCCTCTACTGCGGAGGGGGCCGGGGAGAAGCCAGGCCCTGCGGCCCCTGCCCCGGCGGCCCAGTACGAATGTGGGGAGTGTGGCAAGTCATTCCGGTGGTCGTCCCGGCTCCTGCACCACCAGCGCACGCACACAGGCGAGCGGCCCTACAAGTGCCCAGACTGCCCCAAGGCTTTCAAAGGCTCCTCGGCCCTGCTCTACCACCAGCGAGGCCACACGGGCGAGCGGCCCTACCAGTGCCCCGACTGTCCCAAGGCCTTCAAGCGCTCCTCTCTGCTGCAGATCCACCGTAGCGTGCACACCGGCCTGCGGGCCTTCATCTGCGGCCAGTGCGGCCTGGCCTTCAAGTGGTCGTCCCACTACCAGTACCACTTAAGGCAGCACACAGGCGAGCGCCCCTACCCGTGCCCGGACTGCCCCAAGGCCTTCAAGAACTCGTCCAGCCTGCGGCGCCACCGCCACGTGCACACCGGCGAGCGGCCCTACACCTGTGGAGTCTGCGGGAAGAGCTTCACGCAGAGCACCAACCTGCGGCAGCACCAGCGCGTGCACACGGGCGAGCGGCCCTTCCGCTGCCCGCTCTGCCCCAAGACCTTCACCCACTCCTCCAACCTGCTGCTGCACCAGCGCACGCACGGCGCCGCCCCCGCCCCGGGTACCGCCTCCGCGGCCCCGCCCCCCCAGTCCCGGGAGCCCGGCAAGGTCTTCGTGTGCGACGCCTACCTGCAGCGGCACCTCCAGCCCCACAGCCCGCCCGCGCCTCCCGCCCCGCCGCCCCCGCCCCCGCCCGTGGTGCCTGAGCTCTTTTTGGCGGCGGCGGAGACCACGGTGGAGCTGGTGTACCGCTGCGATGGCTGCGAGCAGGGATTCAGCAGCGAGGAGCTGCTCCTGGAGCACCAGCCGTGCCCCGGGCCCGATGCGGCGCCCCAGCCCCAGGAGGCACCCGCCGAGGCGCCCAAGGCCGACCAGCCACCGTCCCCTCTGCCGCAGCCCCCTCCTCCCGCCGCCGCCCCCGCGCCTGGCTTTGCCTGTCTGCCCTGCGGCAAGTCCTTCCGGACGGTGGCTGGGCTCTCCCGCCACCAGCACAGCCACGGGGCTGCCGGCGGGCAAGCGTTCCGCTGCGGCAGCTGCGACGGCTCCTTCCCGCAGCTGGCCAGCCTCCTGGCGCATCAGCAGTGCCACGTGGAAGAGGCCGCGGCCGGGCGCCCGCCCCCGCAGGCTGAGGCTGCGGAGGTGACCTGCCCCCAGGAACCGCTGGCGCCTGCCGCCCCCGTCCCGCCGCCACCCCCGTCCGCCCCCGCTTCTGCGGAGCGGCCCTACAAATGTGCCGAGTGCGGCAAGTCCTTCAAGGGCTCCTCCGGGCTGCGCTACCACCTGCGGGACCACACGGGCGAGCGGCCCTACCAGTGTGGCGAGTGCGGCAAGGCCTTCAAGCGCTCCTCCCTGCTGGCCATCCACCAGCGGGTGCACACGGGCCTGCGGGCCTTCACCTGTGGCCAGTGCGGCCTCACCTTCAAGTGGTCGTCCCACTACCAGTACCACCTGCGGCTGCACTCTGGCGAGCGGCCCTACGCCTGCGGGGAGTGTGGCAAGGCCTTCCGCAACACGTCGTGCCTGCGTCGCCACCGCCACGTGCACACTGGCGAGAGGCCCCACGCCTGCGGTGTCTGCGGCAAGAGCTTCGCGCAGACCTCCAACCTGCGGCAGCACCAGCGCGTGCACACGGGCGAGCGGCCCTTCCGCTGCCCGCTCTGCCCCAAGACCTTCACCCACTCCTCCAACCTGCTGCTGCACCAGCGCACGCACTCGGCGGAGCGCCCCTTCACCTGCCCCATCTGCGGTCGCGGCTTCGTTATGGCCGCCTATCTGCAGCGGCACCTGAGGACGCACGCCCCGGCCAACACGCCTCCCAGCACCACAGCCCCTGCCGCCGGCCCCCAGCCCCCTGCTCCACTGGCTGCTGCGCGGGCCCCGCCAGCCACCCAAGATGTCCACGTCCTGCCCCACCTCCAGGCCACGCTCTCCCTCGAGGTGGCGGGGGGCACGGCCCAGGCCCCGAGCTTGGGGCCAGCAGCGCCCAACTCTCAGACGTTCCTCCTGGTGCAAACTGCCCAGGGCCTCCAGCTGATCCCCAGCAGCGTGCAGCCCCCTACACCTCCGCCCCCTCCCGCACCTCCCAAGCTCATCCTGCTGCCCTCCTCCAGTGCTGGGGCTGGGGGCGGCCGTGCAAGGCAGGGCCCGCGGGCAGTGGGGAAAGCGGGCCAGGGGGCGGGAGTGGTCTGGCTGCCAGGCCCTGGGGGTCTAGGGGTGCAGGGAGCGGCCAGCGCTGGGGCCAGCGGGACAGGGCAGAGCCTCATCGTTCTGCAGAATGTGGGGGGTGGGGAGGCAGGGCCACAGGAAATGAGTGGGGTGCAGCTCCAGCCCCTCCGACCAGCCCCAGAAGTAACCACGGTCCAGCTCCAGCCAGCGCAGGAGGTGACCACAGTCCAGCTCCAGCCAGCACAGGAAGTAACCACGGTCCAGCTCCAGCCAGCACAGGAGGTGACCACGGTCCAGCTCCAGCCCGTGGCCGGCCAGCTCTCCAATTCCAGTGGGGGAGCTGTGGCTACTGAGGCACCCAACCTGCTGGTTGTTCAGAGCGGGGCAGCTGAGGAGTTGCTCACTGGCCCGGGCCCCGGGGAGGCGGGGGATGGCGAGGCCAGCACTGGTGTGGTCCAGGATGTCCTCTTTGAGACACTCCAGACGGACGAGGGCTTGCAGAGCGTGCTGGTGCTGAGCGGGGCCGATGGCGAACAGACTCGACTCTGCGTACAGGAGGTAGAAACACTTCCTCCTGGGCTGACGGAGCCGCCTGCCACCGGCCCACCCGGACAGAAACTCCTCATCATCCGCAGCGCCCCAGCCACTGAGCTGCTGGACAGCAGCAACACTGGAGGAGGCACCGCCACGCTGCAGCTCCTGGCCCCACCGCCGTCAGGCCCAGCCTCGGGCCCCGCGGGGCTCCCCGGGGCTCCAGCCTCCCAGATGGTGCAAGTGGTCCCCGCAGGAGCTGGGCCTGGTGTTATGACCCCTCAGGGCCTGCCCTCCATCCAGATTGTCCAGACTCTACCCGCAGTCCAGCTGGTGCACACGTTTTGAGGAGAGGCAGTGATTCCCCTCCCGCCCCGCACAGAGACCCCGACTCACTGCCAGCCGGGGCGGGGCAGGGTGCCGCAGGCTGGGCTTGCTAATAAAGACCCGAGTCTCCCCGCCTGTGTTTTGTTTTCCTGGGGGGAGGGAAGGGGGCAAAGTCATGGTCCTAGCCCCCGCCTGGGAGCGTGGAGTCTTAAGTCTTGCGTCCTGGGTCGCAGATGGCTTGTTCTGCATCCTGGGGCCAGCCACTACGTAGGGCTCAGTTCCCCTGTCCTGAAACCAAAAAAGGCCGCAGGGGTCATTATAGTGGGGAGGTGGTGACATCAGACTCCAGGGAGTGCTACTTGTTCACTGTAGGTCGCCCCGCTGCCCCCCTCGTGTGAGAAGTAGGGGGATCCTTATGCGGAAGGGTTCTGCGACCCCGGGCGCCCCGTGGGTGGAGTGGGGTCCCTGGGGATGGGGGAGTCGGGCGCCAGGATGCTGAGCGTGGCCGGCTCCTCCCGCGAAGGCCCCGGCACGGATGAGAATCCACGCGCTGGCGTCGCCGCCCGGCGCTCAGGTTGCTCAGCAACGAGGGAACGTGGGGCGGGAGCTCGCGCTGGTCCCCAGCCCGCCGCCCGTCTCCTGCCGGCTTCCGCTCCCGTTCTTCCCCAGGTCCCCTTTCCCCGTTGCTCCTTCTCTAGGGATAGGAGAGGTCGCTTCCCGGCCCTCCGCAGGGTCACAGCTCGGTTCCTCCCAGCCCGCCCTCCGGGGAGCTTAGCAACGGTTGCTACGGCCCGGAGCGGGCGCCGCCCCGCCCCACCGCGCGCGGTCTGACGTCACTTCCGCCCGCGACCCCCTTCCAGACCCGCTCCCGAAACCTTGTCGAAGGACCAAAGGCGACCGGTGCAGGTGCTTGCTGGTCCTTGTTCTTGTGGCGCGGGACGGGGACGACTGTGGGGGAGGGGGCGCTGGGGACCGGGGTGGAGCGAGCGTGGTCCGTTCTCTGGCATGTGGGGAGGGTGTTCGTGGACCCCAGTGCCTGGGAGGGAGCCCCGTGCTGCAGTGTTGGCGTCCGCAGCGCGTTTGGGAGTGTAGATCGCTGAATAATACGGGGGAGGGGGGATCCCGGGAGACTTTAGCAAGGTCGCTGAGTATTGTGGGGGGCGCCTGTCCTGCCGAGATCCTCGCTTGGGGGCCCCGAGGGTTCTCAGTGTCCTGATCTGGGAAGTGCCGTTGCTGCTCCCTACCCCTCGGGGGAGCTTTGGGGACAGAGGTGCCCCCCTGACGCTGACCTACTTATGTTCTCACCAGGTGCACGACGCCAGCTCCCTTCTGGGGGGCCGGGGCCTGGGGGTTGCCATGGCCCCCAGCCACCTGTCAGTGCGGGAGATGAGGGAAGATGAGAAGCCCCTGGTGCTGGAGATGCTGAAGGTGAGAGGCAGGGGCCCCAGGGGGCCTGGGAGTGGCTGCAGTGGGGGAATTGCAAGTGGATTCAGCCACCCCCTCCCACCCACCTGAGCCAGCCTGGACCCCTGGAGCGGGATCTTTTCCTCCTGAGCCTCAGCCGCCCTGCTGCTGAAAACCACAGCAGGTGTGGCAGGTGGGGGCTCACCCCCCCAGCCCTACTGGGACCCCAGCACCAACGCCCTCCCTGGTCTCCCATCTCCAGTCGGCTGTGCACGCCAGCACAACAGCCAGCTCTGTGCCTCGGACCCCAACTCTTCAAAGCACAGCCCAGCACCCCAACCTAGCCCAGCAGCCTCCCTCCAGCCTCCACTCCAGCCTGAGGCAACCTCCCTGTCCTTACTTCCCTGGGGCCTCACTGCGGCATTGCTACTGAATTGAGTGCCCCCACAGCTCCTAATTCACTCATCCATCCATCATTCGCTCTCGTTCATTCATTCACTCCATACCCAGTGTGCCACACTGAACATCGGACTGTGCTGCCTTCCCTTCCCATTTGGGAGCTCTCACCCCGCCCCGGGCAGGGTCTACCTCCTCTCTTTGTCCAGGAGGCCCTAGCGTTTCGGATGGCTGAGCCACCCCTCCTGCCCACAGGCCGGCGTGAAGGACACGGAAAACCGCGTGGCCCTCCATGCCTTGACACGGCCGCCGGCCCTGCTCCTCCTGGCGGCGGCCAGCAGCGGCCTGCGCTTTGTCCTGGCTTCCTTCGCCCTGGCCCTCCTCCTGCCGGTGTTCCTGGCTGTGGCCGCCGTGAAGCTGGGCCTGCGGGCCCGATGGGGCTCGCTGCCTCCGCCGGGTGGCCTGGGGGGCCCCTGGGTGGCCGTGCGGGGCTCCGGTGACGTGTGTGGGGTCCTGGCTCTGGCCCCTGGCACAAATGCAGGGGACGGGGCCCGGGTCACCCGCCTGTCTGTCTCTCGCTGGCACCGCCGCCGGGGCGTGGGCAGGAGGCTGCTGGCCTTCGCGGAGGCCCGGGCTCGGGCCTGGGCTGGGGGCATGGGGGAGCCCCGGGCCCGGCTCGTGGTCCCCGTGGCTGTGGCCGCCTGGGGGGTGGGAGGGATGCTGGAGGGCTGTGGCTACCAGGCCGAGGGGGGCTGGGGCTGCCTGGGCTACACGCTGGTGAGGGAATTCAGCAAAGACCTGTGAAGCTACAGACTGACAGCCAGGGCAGGGGAGGAGGGAGGGGCGCCAGCACCTGATGATCGCCTACTGTCTGCGGGTTCTTTTACCTGCTCTCCCTCAGTGAGTCCTCAACCACCCTGGGCCCAGAAACAGAGGCCTGCCGAGGGGAGGAGCCTGGCCTCTGTCCACCCGTCAGCAGTGTGAAGTCTGTTGTGTTTGAGCTTCTCAGAGTGGAATGACTCCTTTTCCTTCCTGGCCCTCGGGGGCCTCTCGAGGTCAGCCTCTCCAACCCCTACCTCAGCTCCTGTCTGCACTGAGAAACCTCCCCGGGTGATGTCTGCAAAGTCTGTGCTGTCCGTGCCCCAGGCTGGGAGAGCTATCTGGGGAGGGGGAGAGGAGGCCGAGCAGAATACACCCCAGAGTTAGGGTTTGCGACTCCGCCTCCCTGGGACCTGGATTGGGTCAGATGCCTGTCCTTGGAGGGGACAAGGTTGACTGCTTAGGAGGCGCGACGCACAGGGCTGCCAGGCCTGGCCCCTCTCTGGGAAGGTTGAGAGCTGAGACGGGCAGCCCTGTCCCTTCCTCCAGATCCGTCTGGTTTTTTACACCGTTTGTTAATAAAGCCTGAAACCGCTGTGTGCCTGTCTCTTCTCTGATGGCTTTCCCAGTCTGTCTCCGGACACCCCCGCCCATTTCTGTCTGGCTTCTCCTTTCCCCAGTTAACATTAATTGTTGGGGGACGGTGCTGGACTGGGAGAAGGGGAGGCTGTGAGCTCAGGGGCAGCCCGAGGCCCTGCCAGCCCTTCTGAGTCACGCTCCCCATTACCGAATTTTTTCCGCCTCACAGCTGCCTGGTGTGCAGGCAGTGGGGTGTGTGTGTGTGTGTGTGAGTGTGTGGAAGAGTGTGTGGAGCCCCTCCCCTTCCCAAGCCTTGACCCTTGTGCTGCTTATCCCCCGACCCCAGCTCCCTCTGGGACAGTGAAGTTCAACCTCTCCTCTCTCAGCTGGGGACTGGGGGCTTCACACTCAGATCCACCAGTGAGTGGGAGGACTGGAGGGCCGGGTCTTTCAGTCTCTTTTCCTAACCCAGGAAGTCCCTCCTGGTGTCTGGCTGCAAATCTTCTTGCTGCTGCACCAAGAACCCCAGGTCTGCCCAGCCCCCAACCCTAGCAGTGGTCTCACTGGATTTCCCTGACCAGACAAGAGGGGAGACAGCAGGTGGGCGCCCCTCCCGCTCATGCTGCGCCCCCCCCGCACACGTCCCCCAACCCCTGTCCTGTGCCTTCCTGCAGCCGGCCACCCCCTAAGCATCTCTGGGCACAGCACTTTGCTGGCTGGAGCCTGCCTGGCCGTCGTCTCCATCTCCCGTGTGGGTGTCTGCAGTTGGACACCCTCCCTCCCGCCCGCCACCCCCCTCCCCCCCATGCCTCAGCAGACGGCCAGCCCCCTCCCGCCCCCCCTCCCCCCCACCGTCCCCTGCCGCCTCCCTGCAGCCTCTTTCTTCCTCCTGGCAAAGCGTCCAGCCCTGCCTGCTCCTCCTCGGGCCTGGGCGCCTCCAGCAGGCACTTCCCTCCCTCCCTCTCTCCCCAGCTGCCTCCTCCTCTTCTCTCCCCGCTCTCCTTCCCCTTTCACCCCATCCCCTGCCCTGGCTGCAACCATGAGGGTCTTGGCCTGCCTCCTTGGTGAGTGATCCATTCTCCTTGGGGACTCGGGGGGCCTAGGCCCCCACCTCTGACCCCTTAGCTTGTCCAGTTTAGGGACTCAAACTTCCGGGACTGGTCGCTGGTGCTCCTGCATACCCTGACATCCCTTCTGAGGATCCCTGCTCAATCTGCCCAGCCTTCTGCCAGCCCAGAAGCCCAAGGGACCTGCCCCCTGCCCGCCCCCCAGCCCTGACCCTGCGGGGGATCTCCCAGACATCTGACCTTTAGCCAAGCCCATGTGTGTGTGTGTGTGTGTGTGTGTGTGTGTGTGTGTGTGTGTTGGGGTATTCAAGATGAGGGGCCTGCGCTGGAGAAAGGGCCACCCCCGGCCTGCCCCTCACACTGCCCCACCCTCCGCCCTCCCTTCCAGCGGCCCTGGTGGGGATCCAGGCTGTTGGTAAGTGCCCAGACTCCTCCCATCTGCCCGCCCCCCCCCCCAGGCCTCCCCCTTCTGCCCATCCAGGCCTGGCCTCACCCCCACTGGGTCCCCGGCCCATCCGAATTCCACTGTGACCTTGGCCCCAGCTCCGCAAGGGAATCCCCCAGGTGTCTGGCCGCATCTCTCTGAGCACCCAGGAGTCTGGGCCCAGGGGCCAGTGAGCAGGGCCACTGGCCTACAGACAGTACCTGCAGGACAGCCACCTGCCCCTACAGTTGCCCTGGCCTTGGGGCCCCCAGGATGCCCCTCCCCAGTCACAGCCATTCCTCCAACCCTCAGAGCGCCTGCGCCTGGCCGATGGCCCCCATGGGTGCGCTGGCCGCCTGGAGGTCTGGCATGGCGGGCGCTGGGGCACCGTGTGTGATGACGGCTGGGACCTGCGCGATGCCGCCGTGGCCTGCCGGCAGCTGGGCTGCGGAGGGGCACTGGCCGCCCCGGGAGGCGCCTTCTTCGGGGAGGGGGCAGGGCCTGTGTGGCTCAGCGAGCTGGCTTGCCGGGGCAACGAGGGGCAGCTGGGCCTCTGCCACCACCGGGGCTGGAAGGCCCACATCTGCTCCCACGAGGAGGACGCGGGCGTCGTCTGCGCAGGTGAGGACACCCTGGCTGCTCCTTCAGGGGGAGCTCCTTTGGAGATGACCCAGGAACCCCAAGTCCTTAGCCCCAGCAAGTCTGAGTGTTCAGCAGTTCAGAGACACCCAACCTCCCATCCCCTCCAAAGCCAGGTGGCTAACTCCCTCTTCCAGGGACCCAAATGGCCTGGATTCCCCTCCTCTCCTCATAGCTTCTGTCCCTGCCCCCCCGCCGCAGGTCAGCGTGTGGCTAACTCCAGGGACGACTCAACATCTCCCCTGGATGGGGCTCCCTGGCCAGGGCTGTTGCTGGAGCTGAGCCCCAGCACGGAGGAGCCCCTGGTGACACATGGTGAGCCCAGGGGACTGCCCTGCCAACCCCCACCCAGCGTGCCCTCCTGCCCCCCCCGAGGGGAGAGGGACTGCCCTGCCAACCCCCACCCAGCGTGCCCTCCTGCCCCCACCGAGGGGAGAGGGACCTCTGCAGTATGAACTCCCAGGGGACACACAGCCCGCCCCCTGCCCCGCCCCGTCTCCTTCATAGCCTAGGGAGTCCTCCATCACTTCAGACCCTCAGAGACGGAGGCCTGGGCCCCCAGGTGGGAGGAAGGATGAGGGGCTCAGCTCCTGACCCCTGGCTGTCTCCACTCCCAGCCCCCCGCCCAGCTGGGAACCCCCAGAACGCCTCCCGGAAGAAGAGCCCCCGGCCCAAGCAGGCCAAGTCCACCCGGGCCCCTCTGCTGACGACAGGAGCCCCCCGCCAAGGTAAGCTCCCTGCAGGCTCCCCCGACCCCAAGGCTGGTTGCTGTGAGGCCCAGGGCCCAGAAAAACTGAGGACCTGCGGGCGCCCTCTCCTTAGCCGGGGCCCTGGAGGGATCCCAGTGTTCCCCGCGTCCCTCCCCCGGGGATTTAGACGGCCAGGCCTGGTCTCCCCTCTTCTTCCTGCCCTGTCAGGAGGCCCAGGTGTCCTGGCCCGCTCAGGTCGTGGACTCACCTCTTCACGGGCTGCCGGCGGACAGATCTCAGGCCACCGCTCCCTCAGGCCTGTTTCCCCAGGTGGAAATCGAGGAAGGGGTGTTTGAATCATTTCTCACTGGCCACACCGTCCCCTCCCTGCTCACCCCACAGAGCGGCTGCGCCTGGTCTCTGGCCCCCACAGGTGCGCCGGACGCCTGGAGGTCTGGCACGGCGGGCGCTGGGGCACCGTATGTGACGATGGCTGGGACCTGCGCGACGCTGCTGTAGCCTGCCGGGAACTGGGCTGTGGGGGGGCGCTGGCTGCCCCCGGCGGTGCCAGATTCGGGCCTGGTGCAGGGCCCGTGTGGATGGACGATGTGGGGTGTGGAGGAGGAGAACAGGCCCTCCGAGACTGCCCCCGAAGCCCCTGGGGCCGGAGCAACTGTGACCACAGCGAGGATGCGGGGCTGGTCTGCACCGGTACGTCGGGCTGGGGCCTGGCCCCCTCCTGTCTTCCTCAGACCCCAGCTCCCTCTTGCCCCTCCAGGAAGCTGCAGCGGGCCTGCTCCCAGCTCTGCCTCCTGCCCGCCTGCTCTCTGCATGCCCAGCGCCCACTCACCACGCTCTCCAGCCCCTCCTTCCACAGCTCCTGCCGTTCTCCTTGCCAGGAATGGGAGGAGCAGGCTTGAGGCTTGGGCTAGTGCTCAGCCCTGTCCCGGGGCCTAGGCCAGTGACCGTTTGTTTAAGCCTCAGTTTTCCTGAAGGAGCGATGGAGCTAAGAATGCCTGCCTCAGGCTTGAGCCAAGTCCTGGAACGCAAGAAGCCCTGCCTGCCCTCTGCCACCGGGCTGGCCATGGCAGGGGACCGTCTCGGAGACCTCTTGTCTCTGTGGCCAACCTCTGCTCCTTCCCCATCCTCAAGGGAGCTGGTGGGAAGGAGGGAGGGAGGGCGGTGACTTGGGGGCATGGAGGGAGACTGAGGCAGGGTGGGGACACCCACGGGTGAGCCTCCATCTCCCCTCATTCACGCCCCCTCAGCGCGGGGTCTCCTCCCCTCATGTCTCCCAGGGGGTCCCTCCCCTCTCCTGTACCCCTTGGACCTGGGATAGAACCCAGCAAACAGCGGTTGGGGGGTGTTAGGTGAGAGCTCAGGGGCTCCCTCCCTCCTTCTCTCCTTCCTTCCTTCCTCCCTCTTTCCCTTTCTCTTTCCTTTCTTTCCTTCCACAAATCTTTACACACCACCACGGCAGGCCCCACCCTGCTGGACTGCCCGATCCATTGACTGTAGGAGGCCGGCAGGCAGAGGGCACCCACCTGGCATTTCATCAGCGTTGGGGTGGGGACAGTACACGGGCTGCAGGCAAAGCTGGGTGCCTGCCCAGGATGGGTAGGAAATGCTGACATCAGTGGGTATCCAGGGGGGAGAGAAGAGAGAAAGAGGCTGACCCTAGTCTCTGCTGTATGCTGGGCCCTGCGCTGTGCACGTTACCTGGGGCCGCTCTGAGCCTCCCGCAGCCCGGACGGGGTGGATCCTCATCCCTCTCTTCACAGATGTGGGGCCGAGGCTCAGAGAGGTGACGTAAATGGCCCAAGACCCAGGTGCCTAGCAAGCTCCAGCCCCAGCCGCTGACCCCTCTGGGTCTGTATAGACCCACGCTCCATGCCTGTCCCACTGCACAGTCGGCCATAGGGACGTGGTGGGGACACGGAGGTCAGAGTGGGAGTGAGCAGCAGAGAAGGCTTGTATGGGGTGGGGGTGGTGCCTTCGTGTGCCTAGTGTACAAGCTGTGGGGGAAGAAGTGGGACCTTCGGAGCAGAGTTCATTGGAGGGAAGTTGAGGCTCTGGAGAGGAGAGGGTGAAGGTGCCAAGAAAGGAAACAAATGAACTAAGGCGCCCGGTGAAGCTGGGAGCTTCGCCAGCATCTGATTTAATTCTCATGGCAACCCCGGGAGGGAGACGCTCCCCTCCCCTGTCTGCAGATGAGGAAAAGCAGACAGGTGTGTTAGACTCCTCCCTAGTTCTGTGCTCTTCTCTAGAACAGTGATTGGGGGCAATTCTGCACCTGCCTCGTTGGGGGACAGAGAGAGGGACTCCAGAGTCCTCCAATGATGAGTCAACTCTTACCCCAACAGAAATGTACCCGAAGAGCCAGGCATGGTTACAGGCTAACACCTGTAGCCCACGTGCTTTGGGAGGATTTCTTGAGGCCAGGAGTTCAAGACCAGTCTGGGCAACATAGTGAGACCCTTTCCCTACAAAATATAAAATAAAAAAAAAATAGCAGGGCATGGTGGCGCATGCCTGTAGTCCCAGCTACTTGGGAGAGGCTGAGGCGGGGAGGATTCCTTGGGTCCAGGAGGTCGAGACTGCAGTGAGCCAAGATTGCACCATTGCACTCCAGCCTGGGTGACATAGTGAGATCCCCTCCCCCCAAAAATAAAAAAATGAAATGTACCCTATGTATCCTAAGGCCAGCGAGAGGTTAATATCTAGACTAGTGGCTCTCAGCTGGCAAGGGAGTGAGGGCTTTCTCATCCCCTTCCTCCCCAAAGGACATCAGGCAATGTCTGGAGACGTTTTTGGTTGTCGCAGCTAGGGGGAGGGGTTGCCACTGGCATGTGGTGGGTAGAGGATGCAGTGCAGGACAGTTGCCACGATAAAGGAGGATGCCCAATGCCAGTGGTGCTGAGACTTGGAAATCCGGCTCTCTAGGATCCGAGGGGCCAGGCATGGGAGGTGGATCCAGGGGACCAGAGCCAGAGCTCCCAGCGTCCCCAGCCCCCACCGCCCCAAGGCAAGGGATATGGGGGATGCGCCAGAGTTGGACTCCGGGCCAGTGACTTCCTGTCTTGGAACCTTTTCCTCATTTGGATAGTGAAGATGGAATATTTGCTTCCCAGAGTCATCTTGGGGTTGCAGCCTGCCTGAGCATAGCTTAGTCCCCGCTCATCCACCCTCGTTTCCTGGCCCTGTGCTCCCTCTCCCACTATCCAGGCCCAGCACCTCGGCTGCGCCTGGCCGATGGCCCCCACGGGTGCGCCGGCCGCCTGGAGGTCTGGCACGGGGGTCGCTGGGGGTCGGTGTGTGACGACGCCTGGGACCTGCGAGACGCCGCTGTGGCCTGCCGAGAGCTGGGCTGCGGAGGGGCGCTGGCCGCCCCCGGGGGCGCCTTCTTTGGGGAGGGGTCTGGACCCATCATCCTGGACGACCTTCGGTGTCGGGGAAACGAGACGGCCTTACGATTCTGCCCAGCTCGGCCCTGGGGCCAGCATGACTGTCACCACCGCGAGGACGCCGGGGCCGTGTGTGACGGTGAGGGGGTTGTGGTGGAGGACCGGGAGGTGGGCGTGGTGGTGCTTGGAGCGGAGGGGCAAGTTCGGCGGGGGCGGGGGGGTCCCTACGCGCCCTTCCTGCCCTCTCTCCGGACTTTCCACTCCCCCATCTTATTCCCCTCTGAATCCTCACCCTGCGTCACTGGTTCTCAGCTGGGGGTGGCTTTGCCCCCAAGGGGACATTGGACAGTGTTTGGAAACATTTTTGATGGTCACAGCTGGGGGTGGGGGTGCTCCTGGCACCCAGGGGTTAGAGGCCAGGGGTGTTGCTTAGGATCCTGCAGTGCACAGGCCGCCTCCACAGCTGAGAACAGTCCAGCCCCAAATGGAAACAGAGGCGAGGATGAGCCTCAGCCCCGTGGCAGCCCTGGCTGGCCCTGCCTCCTGGCCCCCGGCGGAAGCCAGCCTTCTCCTCTGCATAAGGTCACCCCCCGCTTCTCTGCCACCCCTAAGCTACCATGCCCTCTGCTCTCTCTGTTCCCGTGCTCCGCATTCACACCCCTCTCCCCAGGTCAGGGATGTGGAAAGCGTGGGCTGTGTCTAGGGAGGAGGTTCGGCAGGAAGAGATCTCTGCGTGCAGCTGAGAGGACTGAGGAAGGATGACGCAGGAGGTGGGGGTGCCGGCTCCGGGATGGAGGGTGTGTGTGGGTGGCAATCACTTACCCCCTGCTCCACAGGCATGCCCCTGGGCTACGTCCCTCCCACGGCCCCCACGGACAGCAACAACTCCACGCCCAGGGAGGCTGCCTCCAGGCCCCCGTCCACCATGACGAGCCAGGCTCCAGGGACGGCAGGCGTTTCACCTCCTCCAGCCTCCCCTACTGTCCTTTGGGAGCCTGGACCGGAAGCCGGTGAGTCCCTCCATGCTCCCCAAGAAAACAGGGTCCTTCCTTCTGTTTCCTTCCCTCAGCTCTGAGACTGTCTCATGGGGGGCCTCTTGCAAAGAGAAAGGTGGAGAAGAGGAGCACAGGGGCCTCGCCCAGGACACTGAGCTGGGTTCAATGCTCTGCTGTTGCGTCTGGGAGCGTGTGATAATTCTTGAACAAGGGGTCCTAACTTTCGTCATTTACCAAGCCCCCAAAATTCTGTAGCCAGTCCTGGATAAGAGAAAGGATGCTGGGCTGAGAGTCTGCTCTATTCCCAAGCTGCACGGTGTGGCTGTAGGATCCATCATGGGGTACTCAGGCCAGCTTCAAGGAACAGCCCTGCTCAAACATTACCTTTACTTTCCAGAGTCTCTGGTTCTTTAGCAAATGTGATCAATGGTTCTGCCTGCCTCCTTTCATATATATATATATATATTTTTTTTTTTTTTTTTTTTTTTTTTTGAGAGTGGATTTAATTCTGTCACTCAGGCTGGAATGCAGTGGTGTGATCATGGCTCACTGAAGCCTCAACCTCTCAACCTGCAGGCTCAAGTGATCCTCCCACCTCAGCTTCCCAAGTAGCTGGGACTACTAATTTTTTGTATTTTTTTTTTTTGCAGAGATGGGGTTTGCCATGTTGCCTAGGCTGGTCTTGAACTCCTGATCCCAAACCATCTGCCTGCCTCGGCCTCCCAAAGTGCTGGGATTAGAGGCGTGAGCCACCGTGCCTGGTCTCTTTCATGAGTATTGAAAGGACTGTTGTTTTAAAATATAGGTGTTATTATTACTGAGGTATGGTGAGGCCAGGATCTCAGGAGATGACAGCCACTAAAAAGATTGTGACTGACGGTTCTCAAGAGGATGGCGTGCCACACGGGGCCACACAGGGAAGCACCAGGGCCAGGCAGGAGGTAGACGGAGTGAGGGGGAAGCATGGCAGGAATCTTTTATACATTTATTTAGAGACAGGGTCTCACTTGGTTGCCCAGGCTGGAGTGCAGTGGTGTAATCACAGCTCCCTGCAGTCTCAAACTGCTGGGCTCAAGTGATCCTCCCACCTCCGCCTCCTGGGTAACACAGCTGCATGCCACCGAGCCTGGCTATTTTTTTTTTTTTTTTTTTTTTGTAGAGACAGGGCCTCACTATTGTCCAGGTTGGTCTCAAACTCCTGGCCTTAGGTGATCCTCCTGTCTTGGCCTCCCTAAGTGCTGGGATTATAGGCGTGAGCCACCCGGCCAGGTGCAGGGGTCTTTCTTGTGTTTTTTGCAGGAAGGAATAGGTGAGACAGGTTGAGCAGGCTTAGAACTGGCTGGTTTGAAGAATTTCAGTGGGGCCGGTGGGGAGGGTGGCGACTCAGAGGGTTGTCCTTAGTCATCTGGTACTTGGCCCTGGGGCAATGAGGACAGGTGCAGAATGGCCCAGGGTGTGAGAGCCCAGTGGAGAGGGTGGTTTGCACACGAAAGGCATGCTCAAGCCATTTACCATCTCTAGGAATTAGCTAACCCTGGGAGGGGCAGTCCCTCAGGATCAGGAATGCTCCAAGATGTCAAAGCATCAGAAATACAGAAAATAAAAAGGCGTGGTTAACACAGCTGTCTCCTCAAGATGGGAAAAGGCCGAACAAAAGCAGCAACTTATTTTCACCATGATCACCATTCCCAGAGGTCTCGTTCCCCTTTTCCTGAATAATAATATCAGCTAACACTGAACGAGCATGCACTGGCTCCTGGTGACTGATGCTGTTCCCAGTTCTCTCCGTGTCTCAGTCCAGGTGATGCTTACAGCCACTGTGGTGTGGATACTGATAGGTCTCCATGTTACAGATGAGGCAGCACCGCTGAGAAATGGGAGAGCCAGGATTCAAGCAAAAACACTTGTTCCAGGGCGCACGTTCTTTAAAAAACAATTGTGATAAAACATACATGACATAAAGTTTACCATTTTTACCAGTCTTTTTTTTTTTTTTTTTTTAAACAGGGTCTCGCTCTGTCACCCAGGCTGGAGTGCAGTGGCACGATCTTGGCTCACTGCAACCTCCGCCTCCCGGTTCAAGCGATTCTCCTGCCTCAGCCTCCGGAGTAGCTGGGATTACAGGCTGAGCCACTGCACCTGGCCCATGCCTGGCTAATTTTTGTATTTTTAGTAGAGACAGAGTTTCTCCACGTTGGCCAGGCTGGTCTCAAACTCCTGACCTCAGGTGATCTGCCCGCCTGGGCCTCCCACAGTGCTGGAATTAACAGGTGGGAGCCACCGTGCCGGGCCTGCTGCTCCCTGTCTTTTAAAGGACTTCCTCTGAGAAGCCTTCTCCAGCTTCCTCAGGCAGAATTTTTCTCACCTTCTCCTCGTTGTGTGTCTGCCTTGCCCTTTGGGTACTTCCACTACTCCCTTTAGCTCGCTGAGCTGTAATGAAGTGTGTGCATGCTACTTTCCCTGAAGACCGAGAGCTTTTCAAAGCAGAGGCTGTGCCTGACTCATAAACAACAACAAAACACCTTATTATCCCTGGTGGTCTAGTGGTTAGGAAAATAAAATCTAAGAAAGAAGAAAAAAACCCTTATTAAACCAATAATAATGAGAGAAAATTAAGGGTGGTGAACAACTGCATGGAAAAAGACTTATTTTAATTGAGGTGACATTCATGTAACATAAAGTTAACCAGTTTAAGTATACAACTTAAGTGGTATTTATACATTCAAAATGCTGTACAACCACTACTATTTGGCTACTGTGAATGGTGCTGCTATGAACATTCACATACTGGTATCTGTGTGAATACCTGTTTTCAGTTTATTCTGGGTATATCCCTAGTAGCAGACTTTCTAGATTATATGGTAATTTGATGTGTAGCTTTTTGAGGATCCTCCAAACTCTGCCTGACTCATTATCCCTCATGCCTAATGCAGAAAATGGCACAAAAAAGGCCTCATGAAATACTTGCTGCCTGGAGGAAAGGATGGATGAATGGAGGGAAGGCCTAGATGGATGAGTGGAAAGGAAGATGGGGGGAGGGAAAGGTGGATGAAGAGTCAGGAGGCTGGGCGGCTTCCCCGACTCTAATTCTTTGGGTCTCTTCTACCCCAGGGTCCCCCCAGCTGCGCCTGGTGGCTGGGCCCAGCAAGTGCTCAGGTCGACTGGAGGTGTGGCATGACCAGCGCTGGGGGACCGTGTGTGACGATAGCTGGGACATGCGGGATTCAGCTGTGGTCTGCCGGGAGCTGGGCTGTGGTGGACCTCAGCAGCCAGACCCTGCTGCTGGCCGCTTTGGCTGGGGTGCGGGCCCCATCTGGCTAGATGATGTGGGCTGTGTGGGGACCGAGGCTTCACTGTCCGACTGCCCTGCTGCTCCCTGGGGAAAGCACAACTGCGCTCACAATGAGGATGTTGGGGTCACCTGCACTGGTAAGGAGGCCCTAGCTATCTGTTGACTCCAGGAGGGCTTCCTGGAGGGGAACAGTAACTAACATGGGCACTAACATTGATTGAGTGCTTCCTAAGCCCCAGCCCTGTGCTGGGTGTTTTTGCACATATAACCACATTGAAATCACATAATAAGTCTAGGGTGGTGTGTGTTATGCCCATTTTACTGATAAAGAAGCTGAGGCACAGAGAGGTTGGGTAACTTGCTCAAGATCACACAGCAACAACTAACTGGCAGATCTGGGATTCCCACTCAGAGAAGCTTCTGCTTCCTCTTCCTTCCAGGAATCAAGGAAATTTCCCACTAAGAAAGGAGCTTTAGCTTTCCTACGATGAAAGGAAGCAGGCAGGGCACTGGGAGATGGAAAGAAGCCAAAGTGAGAGCCAGTTAACATAAACTCAGGCAATGCCTGTTATTAAATTGCAGAGGCTGAGCCAGGTGCAGGGTCCTCATGCTGGGCTCATGAATGGAATGAACATGGTCTTGGTCTTTGAATAGCTCACAGCTCATGTAGAGAAATACTCTAACAAATCATTGCAAACCTGTGTGACTCGTTATAGTTTGAGGTTACCAAGACCACTGTCAGACTCAATAATTTGCTAGAAGAACTCTTAGAATCAAAGAATCTGTTACACTCAGCGTTATCGTTTATCACAGTGAAAGGATACAGATTAAAATCAGCCAAGGGAAGAGGCGCCTGAGGCAGGGCTCAGGAGACAGTAGGTGTGAGCTTCCAACTGTCCTGTCCCAGTGGAGTTATGCAGACAGCACTTCATTATCCCAGCAACGAAGTGGGACAACACACATGAGGAACTGCCAACTAGGGAAGTTCCCCCAAGCCTTGGCATCCAGAGTGTTCGTGGGGACTTGGCCACGTACATGTGGCTGACCATAAATCACACTGTTAGCATAGGCGATCTGGCATGGCCCAAGTGCCCCAGGGAAAAAAATCTCTTATCAGGCAAGGTGTTCCAAAGGCTTCGAAGTCATCTCCCAGGAGCCGGGGAAAAGGCGAAACCTTTCTTTGGGCAGGGTTAATCCTTTACTGCACACGTGTGCTAATCAGAAAGATGGAAGATGGAGAGTGGTGTCTCAAAGGATGGAGGCATCACCTCTGCTGGAAGCTACGGCTCTTCCCTCTGTCCCCGTCTTCCTGAGGGCCACGGGGGCACCACAGAAGGATTCTGAGTTCGGGAGTGGCCTGTCGGACCTGGGTACCCCACTGGTGGTCAGTAAGAATTGACAGGGAGGTAGGGAGACCTGTCAGAAGGTATAGGAAATGAGGCCCTGACTCAGAGCAGAAGCTGAGGAGATGGAGAGGAGAGGTCAGGTGTGAAAGGGTGAGGGGGTCAGTTATGTCCAGATTGTAAATGCCAAGAAGGCGGGGGCAGTGTCGGGTTTGGCTTGCCATAGGCTACCCGAGGGTCTAATATGGTGTGTGGCTCATAGGAGGTGCTCAATAAATATTTGTGACAATAAATGAATGAATGATGAATGAATGGGAACTGGGTGAGTGACTGGAGAGAAGGAGGGGCCTGGGTAGATGATCTTGTCATCATGGTGTCTCTGTCTTCTCTTCCTGCCCCACTCACCTTCCAGGGCCCCCAGGCCTGGACTCCATCTCAGACCCCTTCAGCTGGAGCTGGATTCCTGGACTGGGGAGAGATCGGGATGCCTGGCTCCCGGGAGAGCTGGCCACCAAGCCCTCTGCAAGTGTGACTGCCAGTGTTCTGGAGAAAACAACCACGAAGGCCCCAGGGAAAATGCCTAAGAGTACTAAGAAGTGGGTGACAAAAAATGCAAAGAGACCAACCACTCAACCCCCAGTGATGCCAACCACGAAACACTCCAGGGCCCAAAGCCCCCCAGACCTAACCTCACAGACCACTGCAGCACTGACCACTGAGGCCTCCCGAAGACCTACCTCTGAGTTTACCAGAAGGCCGACCACGGAGGCCCCCCAGAGATGGACCTCTCACACCACTGCCACGCTGACCCCTCAGGCCCCCCGAGAACGGACCACTAAGACCATGGCAATGCTGACCACTCAAGGCCCCCAAGAAATGACCTCTGAGTCCACTATCAAGAGTATCCCTCAGGCCTCCCTGGAGCCATCTGCTGAGATCCCAGAAGGGTCTCCAGAGTCACCCAAAGACCCGGCCCCCTCTCCCAGTGTTAGCACCACTGGGGAATCAGGTGAGTGGCCGTGAGGGGTGTGGGGAGAGAATGGGAGAGGCTGACCCTCCCTCCTGACCTAAGGGCCTTCCACGCAGGCCTGTTCCGGGTTCGTCTGGCCGATGGGCCCAACCGCTGTGCTGGCCGGCTGGAAGTGTGGCATGCCGGACGCTGGGGAACAGTGTGTGATGACAACTGGGACCTGCGGGACGCCACTGTGGCCTGCTGGGAACTGGGCTGTGGAAAGGTCCGGCCTCGAGTAGGCAAAACCCATTACGGCCCTGGGACTGGGCCCATCTGGCTGGATGACATGGGCTGTAAGGGAAGCGAGGCCTCACTGAGCGACTGCCCCTCGGGGGCTTGGGGGAAGCACAACTGTGACCACGAGGAAGACGTGGGGCTCACCTGCACTGGTACCAGGGCATGGCGGCGGTGGTGGGGTTGTCGGGGGTGGCCAGGAGAATGGAGTCAGGGTGGGGCCAGGTGACGGCACCATGGTCGACTCTAAAGAACTGGGTATGAGGGGTCGGGGTGGGGAGATCCCAGAGTTGCTCCAGAAGATTCCAAAAGGGGAGGGAAGAGCAGCAGCAAGGACCTCTGAGAAAGAGGATGGGGTCAACCATTACCCCAATTTCTCCAAAGGCTACACAGACTATGACGATTATCCCCCCTGGACCTGGGACCCCACCTCAAGAGAGGACCTGGCCAAGGGGACTACCACAGCGGGGGTACCTGGACACACTCTCCCCTGGAGGACCACCCGGCGCCCGGGTAGCTCCTCCCCAGCAATAAGGCGCCTGCCGGACACAGGTGAGAGGCCTGATTGGGGTGGCCATGGAGGGCCTCCATAAACCTCCATTCGCTTCCCTGCAGGGTTTCCAGAAAGACCCTTCTCAATGAGCTGGCTGAGGCCTCGGGGCACCCTGGAAAGGTTTTCCTTGGCTCCTGAGACCCTAAACGCATTACCTCCTTGGGCTCAATGGTGACACTTCTTCAGAGCCAAGGACACCATCTAAGAGATCAGGCTAAGCTCAGCAATCCTGAGCCCATGGCCCTCCTGTAAGCCACACAATATGCAAGCCTGGGGCCCTCAGTCAAACCCACAACCAAGGGCCATTCTGTCATCACATCATCGTCCCCACCCCAGCTCCCCCAGAGCAAGCGAAACCTCACCCATTCTTGAAGCTCACGCTCTGGTCCGGGCCTGGTATGGCTCAGAGGTGGGGACTCCTGGAGTGCAGCTTCTCTCCTTACCCTGGCCATCCCCTCCCTCTGGCCAGCAGAATCAGCCTCCAGGGCCACAGCTCCATCCCCCTCTGCTCTATGGCCTCTGTCTTGCTGCTGCAGCTCCTTCCACACCTGGGACCACGCCCCGCTTTGGCCCCCACATCACTGTCACCACATTCTTCTGCCTTTTTCTTTGCCTGTCTTCCTTGTATCCCCATCTCTCAGGATCCCTGCGAATCCATCTCTGCTCCTGTTTCTCACTTGCTGTTGGTCTCTTTTTTTCATTATCCATTTCTCACCCTCATCATCTCTATCTCTGTATTGCCCAGGATGGAGTGCAGTGGTGTGATCTCAGCTCACTGCAGCCTTGACTGCCCGGGCCCAAGCGATCCTCCTGCCTCAGCTTCCTGAAAAGGTGGGACTACAGATGTGCGCCACCACACCCGGCTCATTTTTAATTTTTGTAGAGACGGGCTCACTATGTTGCCCAGGCTGGTCTCAAACTCCTGAGCTCAGGCGATCCTCCTGTCTCACTCTCTCAAAGTGCTGGGCTTATGTCTGGGTTTATAAGTGTGAGCCACCATGCCTGGCCTCACTTCATTTTCCATGATCAAATTCTCTATCTTTTCTTCTCTGTGCCAATCTCTTTTTGCCTTTCATTTTCAATTTCTCACACTCGTCTTTATGCCGTATTTTTTTCATGGTAATTTCTTTTGCTCTCTCTCACCATCTTTCTCATTTTTTTTCTTTCGTTGTCAGTTTCATATTCCCATCATTTCTTTTTCCCTGTCTTTCTTTTTCAATTTCTCACCCTCATTACATCTATTTCTCACTCCAGTTTTCGTGGTCAGTTTCTCTTTATTTTTTTCTCCCTTGTCCTTCTGTCTTTTTGTTTCATTATCAGTCTCACACTCTCATCTCTGTTTCTCACCTAGTTTTTCCTGGTCAATTTATCTGTCTTTCCCCCTCAGTCTTTCACTTTTCTTTCAGATCTCACCTTCACCACCTCTGTTTCTCACTCCATTTTTCATGGTAAATTTCTCTCTCTCTTTTTTGAGACAGGATCTTGCTCTGTTGCCCAGGCTGAAGTGCAGTGGTGCGATCTCAGTTCACTGCAGCCTTGAACTCCCAGGCTCAGGTGATCCTCCGACCTCAGCCTCCTGAATAGCTGGGATTACAGATGCACACCACCATGCCTGGCTAATTTTTTTTTTTGAGACAGAGTCTTGCTGTGTTGCCCAGGCTGGAGTGCAGTGGCGTGGTCTCGGCTCACTGCAACCTCCACCTCCCGGGTTCAAGTGATTCTCCTGCCTCAGCCTCCTGAATAGCTGGGATTACAGGCGTGTGCCACCACTCCCGGCTAATTTTTGTATTTTTAGTAGAGACGGGTTTCACCATGTTGGCCAGGCTGGTCTCAAATTCCTGACCTCGTGATCCGCCTGCCTCGGCCTCCCAAAGTGCTGGGATTACAGGGGTGAGCCACTGCTCCCGGCCTGATTTTTTGTCGAGATGGGTTCTCACTATGTTGCCCAGGCTGGTCTCAAACTCTTGGGCTCAAGTCATCGGCTTGCTGCGGCCTCCCAAAGTGCTGGAATTGCAGGCGGGAGCCACTGGGCCCAAACTGTTTCTGTATCTTCCGTCCTCTTGTCTTTCACTTTCAGTTCTCAGCTTCGCCACCTGCTTCTCACTCGATTTTTCACGGTCGGTTTTGCTATATCACCTCATACTCTCATCGTCTCCATTTCTCACTGCGTTCTCTCCCCAGGCCCAGCGCTGTGGTATCTTTTCCTTTGTCTCTTACGGTTGTTTTCTGAGTCTCCATCTCCCGCGCCTTCCCTGCAGTCTCCCGCGTGCTCTCTTCTCTCTCCCCCTCGTTTCTCTCATGGTCAGCCCCCTTCCCTCCGTTTCTGTCTCCCGCGGGCTCCTCTGTCCGTTTCTCACCGTCCCCGCCGCCCTCGCCGCTCCCTCACGGGAGGTTTCACTCCCCACCTAAGGGGCAGCGTTTCTGTCCTCCCTCTGTGCCCGTCGCAGTCGCTGTTTCTCCGTCTTCTCCCTCCCTTCCACTCTCCCGCCCTGCTCGCCGTCTGGGGCTGCCTGGGTTTCTGCCTCTGTCGCCCCGCGCCCCGTACCTGTGCCCTCCTGAGAGGCCCAAGCCTCCCGCTCCCGCAGGAGAGTCTCGCCGCAAGCGTCCTTTCCCGCCTTTTTTTTTTCTGGCGCTCAGCACGCATGCGCAGGCGCGGTGGGCCCGGGAATGGAGGGACGGGATGGGGCAGGCGTTCATCTGCCTCGCACCTCGTGACGTCACAGGCGCGCTGCGCCTCCTGATTGGCCAGCCGGCGCATCGCCCGCAGTAATAATAGCTGGGCGAAGGGCAACCAGGCCCCAAGAAGCGGGCCTTGAGGTGGGGAAAGGGAGGGAGGAAGCAGGCCCTAGAGGCGCCGTGACTTGGGGGTGGGTGGGCTCCAGCTGTGAGTTAGAGCTATCATTCCGTTTCCAGAGCCGGAAGCGGGAGCTCCGAGAGGTGATGCTCCTCGTTCAAGGACTGCCAGGGTTGCAGCGCCTCCCTAGCCCATAGCGCCCCCTCGTGGTGGAGGCGGGCACGTGCCGGGCACAGCGGCTGCGGAGACAGCGGGTCCGGCCTCGGGACCCCTCCCGTAGGGTAGGGAGGCAGCCAATGAGCAGAAATAAATGCAGAATCACAAACTGCGCCGGTGAAATGAAAAGACAGCCATGTGTGCCACCTTATCAATAGGAAGACTTGGAGGCGTATGCGGGGTGGAGTGGGAGACGAGGCAGGCATGCATTCTTAGCTTCAGGAGCAATGTAACCTTGAAAAAGTGACTTGGTCTCTTTGAGTCCCCGTTTCTTATTTATATTGTTTTATTTATTTATTATTTATTGAGACGGAGTCTCGCTCTGTCACCCACGCTGGAGTGCAGTGGCGCTATCTCAGCTCACTGCAACCTCTGCCTCCCAGGTTTAAACGATTCTCCTGCTGCAGCCTCCTGTGTAGCTGGGATTACAGGCGCACGCCACCACACCGGGCTAATTTTTGTATTTTTAGTAGAGACGGGGTTTCACCATGTTGGCCAGGCTGGTCTCAAAGCCGACCTCGTGATCCACTCGCCTTGGCCTCCCGAAGTGCTGAGATTACAGGTGTGAGCCACCGCGCCCGGCCACCTGTTTCTTTCTCTGGAAAAAAAATGGGGCGCCAGGGTTGTTGGAAAGGTGGAACGAGAGCTCACCTAGTCTGTGCTGGGCATGCATGACCCCAACTTCAGGCCATAGAAACTGTTGCTACACCTGTGTTTCAGATGGGGTAAAAAGTGAGGCTCAGAGAAGTTTAACTTAGGAGCCACGATTATAACCTGTTTTAAGTGATTTCACACGTTTTGCTCCTTGGATTGGGAACCATATGCTAAAATAGAAGCACGAGTCTGGAGTCCGACTCTCCTACCAGGTTCCAATCGTGGTTCCAACCCGGATTAGAACTAGTTGGGTGACTGCAGGCCCCAATTCAATGAACAAAATGTGTGTGAAATCGTTTAAAACCGCAGAATATTGTTTGTTAGGGTTATTTGCTGAAAACGAACAACAGCTGCAGGATTTCAGGGAACGAGCGATTATTTGTAGTAGAGAAATCAAGGAAACCTCACAGGGGAGATGATATTATTTCATCAGCAGGCCACAAGGAGAAATGAATTCTCAGAGAAGCAAAGGGTGGGAGAAATTTGCATTGCCAGAAATTTTCATCGGTGTTATCCATCTCTGCTAGACTTTAAGCTCTGTGAAAGATCTGTATCTATTTCAATTGCTGCCATAATACATCGCCACAAATTTAGTGGTTTAAAACAACGCAGACTTATTATTTTGCAGTTTTGTAGGTCAGAAGTCAGACTTGCTTAGTGGGCTAAGATCAAGGCGCCAGCAGGGTGGTTCCCTTTGGAAGGCTCTAGGGGAGAATCCATTTCCCTGCCTTTTCCAGCTTCTAGAGGCCACCTACATTCCTTGGCTTGTGGCTCCATCCCCCATCATCAAAGCCAGCAACATTGCATCTCTCTGACCTTTCCTCTGCCTTCGTATTTTTCTCTCTCACTGTGGCTTGAAAGGTTCTCTGATTTTATTTATTTATTTATGAGACAGAGTCTCACTCTGTCGCCCAGGCTGGAGTGCAGTGGTATGATCTCGGCTCACTGCAGCCTCTGCTGCCCAGGTTCAAGCAATTCTTATGCCTCAGCCTCCTGAGTAGCTGGGATTACAGGCGTGTGCCACCACTCCCGGCTAATTTTTGTATTTTTAGTAGAGATGGGGTTTCACCATGTTGGCCAGGCTGGTCTTGAACTCCTGACCTCAGGTGATCCACCCGCCTTGGTCACCCAAAGTGGTGGGATTACAGGCGTGAGCCACGGCACCCAGCCAGTTCTCTGAGTTTAAGGACTTAGATTGGGGCCACTTGGCTAATCAGGATAATTTCTCCATTTCAAGGTCTGGACCCTTAATTACATCCACAAGTCCCCTTTTGCCACGTAAAGTAACATATTCACAGTTTCTGTGGATTGGGGCACACACATCTTTGGGCGAGGGGCATATTATCTTGTCTATCATGGATCTATCTGGAATCCCTAGTGTCTAGGGCAGTGCTTGAAACTCAGTAGTTAATTTTTATGTTATTTGTTAAATGAATGAACAAATGAGAGATGACATTGTAAGTCTAAGAGACACTGGAGATGAGATTGGAGGCCTGTGGAATTTGGATTTTTTTTTTTTTTTTTTTTTTTTTTTTTTTTTTTTTTTGAGACGGAGTCTCGCTCTGTCGCCCAGGCTGGAGTGCAGTGGCGTGATCTTGTCTCACTGCCAGCTCTGCCTCCCGGGTTCACACCATTCTCCTGCCTCAGCTTCCCGAGTAGCTGGGACTACAGGCGCCCACCACTATGCCCGGCTAATTTTTTGTATTTTTAGTAGAGACGGGGTTTCACTGTGTTAGCCAGGATGGTCTCGATCTCCTGACCTCGTGATCTGCCTGCCTCGGCCTCCCAAAGTGCTGGGATTACAGGCGTGAGCCACCGCGCCCGGCCGGAGTTTGGATTTTTATGGAGCAGCATTTCTTCAGGCTTCCTGGATGATGGAGTTTGGAGATACAAACGTCAGTTCATGTGTCAAATGCCTACTGTGTGACAGAGCATGTACTAACTACTGGGAGGTAGTGTTAGGGAGCAAAGCAGGGGAAGGGGCAGGGGAGACTGAGGGTTGCAGTTTAAAATAGGATGGCCAGGTGTGGTGGCTCATGTCTGTAATCCCAGCACTTAGGGAGGCTGAGGCAGAGGGATCGCTTGAACCCAGGAGTTCAAGACCAGCCTGGCCAACATGGCGAAACCCTGTCTCTACTAAAAATACAAAAAAATTAGCCTGGTGTGGCGGTGCATGCCTATAATCCCAGCTCCTCGGGAGGCTGAGGCAGGAGAATCGCTTGAACCTGGGAGGCGGAGGCCACAGCGAGCCAAGATTGTGCCACTGTACTCCAGCCTGGGTGACAGAGACTGTCTCGAAAAAAATAAATAAATAAAAATAAAATAAAAAATTCACCAAGCAGGGGCGTGCTCCTGTAGTTCCAGCTACCCGGGAGGTTGAGGCAGAAGAATCACTTGGGCCCTGGAGGTTGAGGCTGTAGTAAGCCATGGTCAAGCCACTGCACTGCAGCCTGGATGAGTGAGACCCCGTCTCAAAAAAAAAAAAAAAAAAAAAAAGGATGGTTAAGAGACATTTTACGGGCCGGGCGCGGTGCCTCACTCTAGTCCCAGCACTTTGGCAGGCTGAGGCAGGTGGATCACCTGAGGTCAGGAGTTCCAGACCAGCCTGGCCAACATGGTGAAATCCCGTCTCTACTAAAAATGCAAACAATTAGCCGGGTGTGGTGGTGCATGCCTATAATCCCAGCTACTCGGGAGGCTGAGGCAGGAGAATCCTTTAAACCCAGGAGGCGGAGGTTGCAGTGAGCCGAGATCCCGCCACTGCACTCCAGCCTGGGTGACAGAGCGAGACTCCGTCTCAAAAAAAAAAAAAAAAAAAAAAAGAAAAAAAGAGACATCTTACTAAGAAGGTGCCATTTAAGTGAGAAGGCCCTGAGGCCCTGAGGTGGGTGCATGCTCTGCTGGTTCAAGAAATAGCAACAAGGTGGATGGGACTAGAGCGGAGTGTTGGGTGGAAACGGTGGCAGCGGGGGAGATGGGGAATGGACTGTAGGGGCCAGCGTGGATGCAGGGAGCCCGGGAGGTCCAGGGGAGAGTGACAATGGCTCTGATCAGGGTGGCAGTGGAGACCAAGGGAGATGTGGATGTATTCAAGCCATATTCTGGGGTTTGAGCTGATGGAGCTGAGTGATGGGTTGGGGACAGTGAGGAGAGGGAGGCAGGGAACGGGTACCTTTTACCAGGTCGGGGAGCTCTGTGAGGTGGGGGCACAGCAGCCAGAGTGGGGATATCAGGAGATATTAGCTGTGCATCCTGGAGGTCCAGGGAGCGCCTGGGCTGAGGATATAACTTAGCGAGATGGAATTTGAAGCTGTGGGAGTGGATGTGACTGCACAGATAGACAGCTGTGTCTAATGTAGTTCCCGCCACTGCCAGCTGGGAAGCCGGGGAGACCCGTGCTTGGGGTATCGCCGGAGGTTTATCACCCTATGAGGTCATGCAGGGAGAAGAGGATCCAGGACTAAATATGAGATTAACTTTAGAGGTTGGATGATGATGAGGATAATGGTAGCTGCTATTTTATCGCGTGCTCTCCATGGGCCAGGCGCTGTTCAAAGTGCATCCTGTGGTTACACTCCCTTCCTCCCCATGCAGCCTTGTGAGGTGAGTCCTATCCTTAGCTTGATTTTACAGATAAGGAAACTGAGGTAGGGAGAGGTCAGGATTGCAAAAGGCTGAACTTGGATTCAGACTCCAGATTCCACACCCTTGCTGGCTCTAGCCTTGGAGAGTGGGAAGGACAGAATTAGGTCTGTAGAATCCAGGGCGCATGCAGCAGGGATGGCCTCATCCACAGGGGATGGGGGGAGGCCTCCTGAGGGCATGGCCTGTGGACTAACTCCTATACAGCAGGGATGGCCTCATCCACAGGGGATGGGGGGAGGCCTCCTGAGGGCATGGCCTGTGGACTAACTCCTATACAGCAGGGATGGCCTCATCCACAGGGGATGGGGGAGGCCTCCTGAGGGCATGGCCTGTGGACTAACTCCTATACAGCAGGGATGGCCTCATCCACAGGGGATGGGGGGAGGCCTCCTGAGGGCATGGCCTGTGGACTAACTCCTATACAGCAGGGATGGCCTCATCCACAGGGGATGGGGGAGGCCTCCTGAGGGCATGGCCTGTGGACTAACTCCTAAAGGATGAATAAAGGCTTGCCAGGGAAGGAAGGGGTGAGACTTGGGAGATATGTACCCAGAGGGAAAGAGAACCATTTAGAACCAGGTAGATCTGCTGGGGTCTGGAGCTGGATGCTGTCCCTTAGCTGTGTTACCCCAAGAAAGTTTCTTGCCCTCTCTGGGCATCAGTTTGGCCATCTTTGTGAATCAGCAGCCTCCCCAGCCACCCTCTCCCCATAAGACCAGCAAAAATGACACCGTCTGGCAGCATGAAGGCTGTAGGATAAAGGTGTGAGTGAGGATCCCCATGCACTTAGTGGGGCAGGTTCGCAGTATCTAAGGAGATACATCTGCTTCCATACAGCAATTCCACAACGAGGCGTCGAGAAATTCTCGCCCATGAGCCTAAGGACATGGGCACAAAGAGTTCACTGAAGCCATATTTGTGACAGCAAAACACTGGGAGTAACCGAAATGCCCATCAACAGGAGCATAGATTAATACCCAGCTGTATATCCATGCAATCGAGTAGTACGTAGAGGTTCACAGAATGAGCCAGAGTTATGTGTATCTTTTTATTCTTTTTTTTTTTTCCAAGACGGAGTCTCACGCCTGTAATCCCAGCACTTTGAGAGGCTGAGGCAGGCAGATCACCTGAAGCCAGGAGTTCGAGACCAGCCTGGCCAACATGGTTAAACACTGTCTCTACTTAAAATACAAAAAAATTAGCTGGGCATGGTGGCAGGCGCCTGTAATCCCAGCTACTAGGGAGGCCAAGGCAGGAGAATGGCTTGAAACTGGGAGGCGGAGGCTGCAGTGAGCCGAGATCTTGCCATTGCACTGCAACAAGAGCGAAACTCTGTCTCAAAAAAAAAAAAAAAAAAAAAAGAGAAAAAGAAAAAAAAAAGAAAGAAATACGCGTATGAGAATGAGAAACCAGATTTCCGACAGTGCATTCTGAGAGTACACAGGAGGCTGCCATTTTAAAAGGAAGACGGCTTCAATTTGTGTTCTTTTTTTTTTGTTTTTTTGTGACAGGGTCTTGCTCTGTCACCCAGGCTGGGGTGCAGTGGCATGATCACAGCTCACTGCAACCTCCGCCTCCAAGGCTCAAGTGATTCTCATGCCTCAGCCCCCCAGTTAACTGGGACTACTGGTGTGCCCCACCACACCTGGCTAATTTTTGTAATTTTTAGTAGAGACGGGGTTTCAACATGTTGGCCAGGCTGGTTCTGAACTCCTGGGCTCAACTGATCCACCTGCCTTGGCCTCCCAAAGTGCTGGGATTACAGGCGTGAGCCGCCGTGCCCAGCTTGATTTGTGTTCTTCATGGAGTCTTCCTAAAACCCAACATCTTGAAAATACATCTTTTTGGTTTTTTTAGATGGAATTTTGCTCTTGTTGCCCAGGCTTGAGTGCAGTGACATGATCTTGGCTCACTGCAACTTCCGCCTCCCAGGTTCAAGTGATTTTCCTGCCTCAGCTTCCTGAGTAGCTGGGATTACAGGCATGTTCCACCACGCCTGGCTAATTTTTGTATTTTTAGTAGAGATGGGGTTTCACCATGTTGGTCAGGCTAGTCTCAAACTCCTGACCTCGTGATCCGCCCACCTCAGCCTCCTAAAATGCTGGGATTACAGGCGTGAGCCACCATGCCCAGCTGAAAATATATCTTTAGTGATTCACTGCTAATGGGTTTTTTTCCCTGGACTATTTTTTCTTTTTTCTTTTTTAATTAATAGTACCACTAATGGTGGTGTTTTTGTTTTTGTTTCTTGGTTTGCTTTTATGTTTGTTTGCTTGTTTGTTTTTGAGAAGGAGTCTCACTCTATGGTCCAGGCTGGAGTACAGTGGTGTGAGCTCAGCTCACTGCAACCTCTCCTTCATGGGTTCAGGCGATTCTCCCGCCTCAGCCTCCTGAGTAGCTGGGATTACAGGTGCCCGCCACCATGCCCAGCTAATTTTTGTATTTTTCGTAGAGACAGGGTTTCACCATGTTGGCCAGGCTGGTCTTGAACTCCTGACCTCAGGTGATCTGCCTGCCTCGGCCTCTCAAAGTGCTGGGATTACAGGCGTGAGCCACCACACCCGGCCATTACCACTAATGGTTTTTCAGGTTTCCTAATGGGTATGGATATCTGGTAGGATTTTATAGCTACCCTTTTAAGGTGTCTAATAGAAATGGAAAGGTATTTGATTAAGAATGGTTAATAATACGAAGGCATGACGGAGGTGTCTGCTGTGCCTGGCATCAGGGTGAAATTTGACCCTTGTTCTATCAGCGTGCAGTGTCTTAGCAGGTAACGGAGCAAGGGATTTCTGTAATTGGGACCACTAGCCACAGAGCTTAAGGCGACATCGGTCAACTTGCCCAAGGTCTTGGACACTGCCCTTCTGCCTGGTTTTGCGTTTGGAATGAGAAAACATCCTAACGGGCTCAGTTGGGTAGGAAATGAAGAGGAAGGGAATTCGGGGTGGGGGCGGCAGCGTGGGCAGAGGCTGGGAGGTGTGAAAAGCCTGCGCGTTGTGGTTGTTCCCAGTGTTTTGCTGTCACAAATATGGCTGCTATGAACTCCTTGTACCCATGAATCCCTGGGCTCATGGGTAAGGATTTCTCAGCACCTCCTTGTGGAATTGCTTGTGGAAGCAGGCATGTCTCCCTAAACACTGCAAACCTGCCCTCCTAACTCAAGGTCAGGGTCCAGCGTGAGCAGAGCATCGTGTAGGACGAGACGATGCTGGAGAAGCTGGCAGGGGCTGGTTATGAAGGAAGATGGTGTCTGTGGGCCGTGGGGACTCATGGAAGGGTTTAGGGTGGAAAGGGGCAGGTGTCTGCCAGTTTTTAAGAGGCCTCCAGGATCAGTGTGGGGGGCCAGGGTCTCAGGGGAAGTTGGTTTGATGATTCGGATAGGCAATGAGTATGGAGTGTTTTGTTCGGGTGATGAAAGTGTTCTCAATTTTGATTGTGGCGATGGTCACGCAAGCTTGTGAGTGGGTAAACCCCCTCAGTTGCAATTTCAAGCTGATGAATTGCATGATACGTGACCTGTATCTCAAGGAAGCTGTTGTTGAGGCCGGGCACGGTGGCTCACACCTGTAGCTCACTTTGGGAGGCTGAGGCAGGAGAATCACTTGACCCCGGGAGGCAGAGCTTGCAGTGAGCCGATATTGCGCCACTGTACTCCATCCTGGGTGGCAGAGTGAGACTTGGTCTCAAAAAAAAAAAAAAAGAAAAGAAAAGAAAGCTGTTGTTTGTATAAAGCTAGGACTGAATTATCATTCTATTCTCCCTAAATAAAATGGCATACATATATGTATATATATTATACATTTATATGTTATATAAAATTGCTATTATATAGAGATTAAGTGCATTTGGCCAAAAAAAAAAAAAAGGAAAAATAGTATTATAGAGATGTTCCAGGCAGTGAATTAATAAAGATGTTATGGTTTTTCCCCCGCTAGGGCAGGAGCCTTGAGGAATTAAAATAATAAATTCCTTTTTTTTTTTTTTTGAGGCGGTGTCTCGCTCTGTCACCCAGGCAGGAGTGCAGTGGCACAGTCTTGGCTCACTGCAACCTCTGTCTCCCAGGTTCAAGTGATTCTCCTGTCTCAGCCTCCCGAGTAGCTGGGATTATAGGCGTGTGCCACCATACCCAGCTAATTTTTTGTATATTTAGTGCAGATGGGGTTTCTCCATGTTGGCCAGGCTGGTCTTGAGCTCCTGACCTCAAGTGATCTGCCTGCCTCAGCCTCCCAAAGTGCTGGGATTACAAGCTTGAGCCACGGCGCCAGGCCCAAATGCCCTTCATTTTATGTGCTAGTTTAGTGACCGTTTCCGTCGTTGGTAGCCAAAAACATCCCAGCTGAATGGAGAAGGTCTCCACGAGGTCAGGTAGGGCTGCAGTGGCGGTGCAGTTGAGACGGGATGATGCCTGAACTGGGGCTGGCCCAGGAGGAGAGAGACGGGGAGTCAAACTCAAAGGGAAGTTGGAAGACTCAATCCTCTTCCCCATATCTCTCTAGGCAGCAAAGATGGTTACAAGCTTCCCTGGACGTGGGACACACCATCAGGAAGGGGCCTGGCTGAGGGGACCCCTACCGCAGGCAAACTAGGACCAACTCTTGGGGCTGGCACCACCAGGAGCCCAGGCAGTCCTCCAACTCTGAGAGTCCATGGAGACACAGGTGAGACACGTGGCTGGGGTGAGGAGACTGGGACGGTATTTGTCCTGGGGTAAAGAGACAGATTCCAGACTCCCCACTGGAACCCTTACCCCAGAAAGACTCAGCAGAAATATACCCTAAAACAAAGGGTTATCGGCTGAGCATGGTGGCTCATGCCTGTAATCACAGCACTTTGGGAGGCCGAGTTGGGAGGATTGCTTAAGCTCGGGAGTTTGAGAGCAGCCTGGGCAACATGGTGAGCCCCCCAAGATATGAACATTAGCTGGGTGTGGTGGTACGCACGTGTGGTCCCAGCTGCTTGGGAGGCTGAGGCAGGAGGATCCCTTGAGCCTGGGTGCTCGAGGCTGTGGTTGTGCCACTGTATTCCAGCCTGGGTGCCAGAGCGAGACCTTGTCTCAAATAAAGACAAAAACAGAACCAAGAGGTTATTATCTAGACCGCTGGTCATCAACTAGGGTCGATTTTGCCCCCAAGGGGAATTTGGCAATATCTGAAGATATTTTGGATTGTCATGGCAGGAAGTGAGAGGCTACCCATTGGCACCTGATCGGTAGAGGCCGGGGTGGTGATAAACATTCACAATGCACACGACATTCCCCATAACAAAGAACCACCCAGCCCTAAATTACAATAGTACCGAGGTTGAGAAACCCCAGCCTAGATGGCATAAGTCACTGTGACAAATAGGAAAATGATAGGAAACCCTAGATGAGAAAGAGGAAAACAGGTGATTCCCAGAAAAGGAAGCCCAAATGGCTGAGTGTATTTAGAAATGCCCACGCTCATCAGGAACCAGAAAATACAAATTAAAACAATGGCAAGTACAGAGGAGAATGAGAAAGGTGGGTATTATCCAGTGTGAGTGAGGATGTGGGAAGACAGGCAACCCCACTGGACAGAGCTGTTTGATAAAGACAATCCAGCAGTATTTAGTAAAGTTAAGCATGATTAGGCTGGCTGCAATGGCTGACGCCTGTAATCCCAGCACTTTGGGAGGCTGAGGCGGGCAGATCACGAGGTCAGGAGATCGAGACCATCCTGGCTAACACGGTGAAACCCTGTCTTTACTAACAATACAAAAAATTAGCCAGGCGTGGTGGTAGGCACCTATGGTCCCAGCTACTCGGGAGGCTGAGGCAGGAGAATGGCGTGAACCCAGGAGGCAGAGCTTGCAGTGAGCCGAGATTGCGCCACTGCACTCCAGCCTGGGCAACAGAGTGAGACTCTGTCTCAAAATAATAATAATAATAATAATAATAATAATAATAATAATAATAATAATAATAGGTGTGGTGGCAGGCGCCTGTAATCCCAGCTACTCGGGAGGCTGAGGCAGGAGAACTGCTTGAACCTGGGAGGCGGAGGTTGCAGTGAGCTGAGATCGCACCACTGCACTCCAGCCTGGGCAACAGAGAAAGACTCTGTTAAAAAAAAAAAAAAAAGAGAGAGAGAGAAGAAGGGAGGAAGGGAGAAAGGAGGGAAGGAAATCTGCATGAGCTCCATGACGTAGATCTATAATTTTGCCCATTTCTCAGATGAGTGAAATTGAGGCACAGACATCAGTGACTCTGACATCAATAATTATTAGAGTGCTTATTCCATGCTAGACATTACACTAAGTGCTTTGCACAACCATGGTCTCCCTGAGTCCTTTTGACAGCTCTGCAAGGGAGATACGCGGATCATCCACAGTCTATAGCTGAGGAAGAAACTGAGATTCAAGCAGTGAAGTAACTTGGCCGTGGTCACCCCGCTAGGAAGCCATGCAGCTGGGGTTTAAACTCGGACAGCCTGCCTTGAGCACAAGCCCTTTACTTAACCGCTTCTCCAATCCTGCAAACAAAGGACAAGGTGGGGAAGGGATGCGCCTGAAAGACCCTGCCCTGCAGGAACAAGTGGAAATCTGTAGATCTGTGTGGTTCAATACGGTAGCTAAGAGCACCGGGCATGGTGGCTCACGCCTGAAATTCCAGCACTTTGGGAGGCTGAGGCAGGCAGATCACCTGAGGTCGGGGGTTCAAGACTAGCCTGAACAACATAGTGAAACCCCATCTCTACTAAAAATACAAAAAAATTAGCTGGGCATGGTGGCACATGCCTGTCATCCCAGCTACTCAGGAAGTGGACACAGGAGAATCACTTGAACCCAGGAGGCGGAGATTGCAGCGAGCCAAGATCGCGCCACTGCACTCCAGCCTGGGCAACAGGAGTGAAACTCCGTCTCAAAAAAAAAAAAAAAAAAAAAGTTAAATGAATTAACACTTTGAAAATGAAACATTTGCCGGGCGCAGTGGCCACGCCTGTAATCCCAGCACTTTGGGAGGCCGAAGCGGGCGGATCACGAGGTCAGGAGATCGCGACCGTCCTGGCTAACACAGTGAAACCCCATCTCTACTAAAAATACAAAAAATTAGCAGGACATGGTGGCGAGCGCCTGTAGTCCCAGCTTCTCGGGAGGCTGAGGCAGGAGAATGGCATGAACCTGGGAGGCAAAGCTGGCAGTGAGGCGAGATCGTGCCACTGCACTCTAACCTGGGCGACAGAGTGAGACTCCGTCTCAAAAAAAAAAATAAAATAAAATAAAAGAAAATGAAACATTTAGTTTCTCATTCACACTGGCCGCATTTCAAGGGCTTGGTAGCCACATGTGGCCAGTGGCTACTGTATTGGCACGGTAGATCACAGCGCATTCCCATCACTGCAGATGTGAGATTTCATTGCCTAGACTCTATGTGCAAACAACTTGGGTTCAAGTCTTAGCCCTGCAACTTGCAAACTATGTCTGTGTGACCTTGGGCGAGTCACCTGCCCTCTTGCCCTAATTTCCCCCTTCTGTAAAATGGGGATAAAATTGGCACTCACTTGGAAGACAGCCCCAGAAGAGGGTCAGGCTCCTCCTGCTACTCAGGCCCAAAATTTAAGGGGGTGCCCAAAACGCCAAAATCAAGATACATAATATCATAATACAGTATTTTTTAAAATGAAAATTAATGCCAAAAAAAAAAAAACCCATGATGAACTCGGTATCAAAAATGTAACTGAAGGCCGGGCGCGATGGCTCATGCCTGTAATCCCAGCACTTTGGGAGGCCCAGGCGGGCGGATCACGAGGTCAGGAGATCGAGACCATCCTGGCCAACACGGTGAAACCCCGTCTCTACTAAAAATACAAAAAATTAGCCTGGTGTGGTGGCGGGCGCCTGTAGTCCCAGCTACTCGGGAGGCTGAGGCAGGAGAATGGTGTGAACCCGGGAGGCGGAGCTTGCAGTGAGCCGAGATCACGCCACTGCACTCCAGCCTGGGCGACAGAGCGAGACTCCATCTCAAAAAAAAAAAAAAAGTCACTGAAGACAGGATCCTATCCGCCTCGCTGGGCTCCCCCTAATCCTGGCCCTGTTGGATCCCGTCTTTGGTTAAAATGTTAACTTTGGTTAACTGTGGATCTTTTGGATTAATTTTGATTGTTTAAAAATATTGCATAAAAACGCTTGAGCCCAGGAGTTCGAGGTTACAGTGAGCTATGATCTTGCCACCGCACTCCAGCTTGGGCGACACAGCCAGACTTTATCTTAAAAAATAAAAAAATCCATAAAAGTATTTATTTTGATTACTAACATTACCCTTCGGAGCCCTCTTTGGTCTCCCTGCCTCCCCTGGCTCCGCACATCTCCCAGTCCCCCGCTGGCTCAGAATCCTCCCGTATGCTGCACGCTTCTGAGCACTCCCGCCCCCTCCCGCACCCCAGCACCCCACGCATCCCTCCCTCACCTCACCCTCCTGCACCCGCTCCCGCAACCCGCGTGCCCCTCGGCATCCCCGAGTCCGGAGCATCCCCGCATCCTCCCGCAGTGGAGGACGCCAGGTGGCGCCTGGAGCCATCGGAGGACGTAGGGAGGAGGGGCCCTAGGGCCGGGTGAAGTCTGCCGGTGACCCATGACGTCTCGAGGCTCTGTGCCTTTCCATTGGTCGGCTCCTCGAGGGGCGGGGCGGGACGCGTGGTGGGCGGAGCCGGTTGACCTCAGACCGTCCGTCTGTCTTTCCTCCTCCTCCAGGTTCCCCGAGGAAACCGTGGCCCGAGCGCCGGCCACCGCGGCCCGCTGCGACCAGGACAGCGCCCCCAACCCCGTCCCCAGGTCCCTCCGCCTCTCCGGGACCCCCAGGCCCAGCGCTGACCTCTGACTCCAGTCGAGAGCTCACTCCCCACTCAGCCTTGACGTCCGAGGCGACCTCTGACGCTCCGGACACTTCACCACCCACCCCAGACCCGGCCTCCCGGACGAACCCCGACCTCATCTTGACAAGCCCTGACTTTGCTTTGTCCACCCCTGACTCCAGTGTGGTTCCCGCGTTGACCCCGGAGCCCTCACCCACGCCCTTACCCACCTTGCCCAAAGAGCTGACCTCTGACCCTTCTACACCGTCGGAGGTGACCAGCCTTTCCCCTACCTCAGAGCAGGTCCCAGAATCTGACACAACCCCAGATTTGGACACAACTCCATACTCCAGTACAGTCTCAGAATATTCTAGATCCCCAGACCCCTCCCCAAGCCCTCACCCCACTACTACCCCTGATCCCACCATGGCCCCTGACCCCATCACAACCCTTAACCCTACTGTGACCCCTCACTTCCCTACCACCCCTCACCCCACCACGACCCCTCACCCCACCACCATCACTCACTCCACCATGATTCCTGACCCCACCACAACCCCTCAACCCTTCACCACCATCACTCACTCCACCATGATTCCTGACCCCACCACAACCCCTCAACCCTTCACCACCATGCAGCCCACCACAACCCCTCACTCCACAACCCCTCACCCCACCACGACCCCTCATCCCACCACCATCACTCACTCCACCATGATTCCTGACCCCACCACAACCCCTCAACCCTTCACCACCATGCAGCCCACCACGATGCCTCATCCCACCACGACCCCTCACCCCACCACGACTCCTCACCCCACCACAACCCCTCACCCCACCACAACCCCTCACCCCACCATGACTCCTGACCCCACCACGACCCCTTACCCCACCACTACTCCTGATCCCACCACGACCCCTCACCCCACAACTCCTGACCCTTCCTCAACCCCTGTCATCACTACTGTGTCCCTTCCAACCTCCTTGGGGACAGAACTCTCCTCTCCCACTCTAGCACCAACAGTCAAGCCCAGTCTGCACCCCCAGTTGACCTTCACAGCACCTGCCCCTCACACCTCCACATCCCAGATACCCACCTTAGAGCCCTCTCCAGCCTTGGAGTCCAGCCCCTCCAGGTCCTCCACAGCCACAAGCATGGACCCACTGTCCACTGAGGACTTCAAGCCACCCAGAAGCCAGAGCCCCAACCTAACCCCTCCACCCACCCATACCCCACACTCAGCCTCTGACCTTACTGTGTCCCCTGACCCCCTCCTTTCCCCCACAGCCCACCCCTTGGATCATCCTCCCCTTGACCCCCTCACCCTAGGGCCAACTCCTGGTCAGAGCCCAGGCCCCCATGGTCCATGTGTGGCCCCAACACCACCTGTAAGGGTCATGGCTTGTGAGCCACCTGCCCTGGTGGAGCTGGTGGCTGCTGTGAGGGATGTGGGTGGTCAGCTGCAGAGACTGACCCAGGTCGTGGAACAGGAGCGGCAGGAGCGCCAAGCCCTGCTGCTGGGGCTGACGCAGCTGGTAGAAGCTGCCCGGGGTCTGGGGCAGCTGGGTGAGGCTGTGAAGAGACTGGCAGAGATGGCCTGGACCACCAGCATGCCTGCACCAACCACCACTACCCCAGAGGAAGAAGAAAGACCCCTGAGGGGAGACGTGTGACCCTCTCCAGGATTTGAGGGGCTTAAGACACCCCCAACCAAAAAAAACAAAAACAAAAAAAACCCCCAAAGTATCTAATTAAAAACAAGGTGTGAATGGTATTTTTGGGGAATCCTAGAAAGACAGAATCACAAGACTGATTTTGATATGTGAATAGCCCAGGTGCCATGCCAGGCGGTGTTGATGATGGAGATGATTATGAGGGTGGTGATGATGGTGATGATCGTGATGGTGATGGCGACGGAGATCATGATAGGGTGATGATCATTGTGGTGAGGGTCATGGTGATAATGGTAAGATGGTGGTGGTGATGAAGATGGTGAAATAATGCTGATGATCATGAGGGAATGGTCATGGTGATGAGGCGGTGAACATGATGATGATGATTATCATGATGATGATGATGGTCCTGGTCATGAGGGAATGGTCATGGTGATGAGGCGGTGGACATGATGATGATGATGATGGTGGTGGTGATGATGATGATTATCATGATGATGATGATGGTCCTGGTCATGAGGGAATGGTCATGGTGATGAGGCAATGACCATCATGATGATAGTGGTGGTGGTGATGGTGGTAATTATGATGATGATGATGAAGATGGTGAAATGAAGGTGATGGTGATAGTGATGATTGTGAGGGAATGGTCATGGTGATGAGGCAGTGACCATCACGATGATGGTGGTGGTGGTGATGGTGATGATGGTGGTGCTGGTCATGAGGGAGTGGTCATGGTGATGAGGGAATGATGGTAATGATGATGATGATGGTGGTGCCGGTGGTGATCATGGTGATGATGGTCACATTGATGGTGACGGTGATGGTGGTAGTGGAGGTGATAATGATGGTGTGAAAGGTGATCATGGTGGTGATGACTGTGAAGGAACAGTCTTGGTGATGAGGCAATGATGGTAATGATGGTGATGGTGATGATGTTGGTGATTATGGTGGTAAAGATGATCTTGGTGACGATCATAGTGATGGTCGTGACAATGATGAAGCTTCGTGTGAGCAAAAACGGCCTTGTTCATGGATGTAAGCCCAGTTTCTAGGACAGAAGCTGATGCAGAGTACACACTCAGTAATAAATATCTTTTGAATGAAAGAGTGCATCATCATCGTCATCATCATGACTAATATTTGTTGGGCGCTTCCTATGTGTCAGGCTCTGTTTTAAGAGCTTTGCATGGATGATGATGTCATTTTGTCTTAACGAGTGCCTGCTGAGGAAGGTAGTGTTACCACAGCTCAGCAGATGAGGAGGTGAGCTTTGCAGCCTGGATTCCTGAGTTTGAGTCCTTGCTGGGAGTAAACATAAGCCAGTTACTTAACCTCTGGGTCTGAGCTTCTCCAACTATAAAACAGGGATAATAATAGTACACATACCTCATGGGGTTGCTATAATGATTGAATAAGTTAATACCTAGGAGAGTGCTTATGATGGCTCTTGATAAGCGCCCGTCATGTGAGAGCAATTATTGTATTTATCCCCATTCTGCAGATCTGGGCTTCGAGGCACAGAGAGGTTTGGTCGTGCACCCCAGATCACTCAGGGAACACGTGGTGGGCCATGCTTGGCACTCAGGGCCCTTGCTCTTAAAATAATATTTTGGCTGGCCATAGTGGCTCATGTCTGTAATCCCAGCACTTTGGGAGGCCGAGATGGGAGGATGGCTTGAGGCCTGGAGTTCCAGACCAGAAATATAGTGAGACCCCCATCTTTATTAAAAAAGAAAGAAAGAAAATATTCCACGGCTGTGTCAGACTGACCTGGGTTCAAGTCCTGGATTAACCATGTCCCGGCTGTGGAACTCTGGCAGTTTCCCTCCCTTCTCTGAGCCTCAGTTTTTTCACCTGTAAAATGGGTAGAGCAATAGCACCTGCCTCATGGGGTTGTGAGGATTAAATGTGGCAGTGCAGATAAGGACAACGTGGCATGTAGGATGTGCTCAGTTAATGACAGTGCTTGCGACCACGCCTGCCTGTACTTTTCTGTGCTAACGCTGCATGGACTGTTAATCCACGTACATCCAGTCCTCACCACAGCCCTTTGAGGGAGAAACTTTGATCCCCGTTTCAGAAAGGACTCTGAGGCTCAGAGAGGGCAGGCCCGTTGCCAAAGGGCACACGGCAGAGCCAGGGACTCAAACCCTGAATACTGTGATGTGAATTTCCGTGCTTTGACCATGGCCTGCGTTTCCAGATTGGGGCTTCCATGACTGCCCCACTCCAAGCGACCGTGGGTGGGCTCCTTCCCATCTCTGTGCCTCAGCTTGCTGGTTTGTAAATTGGGGGCCGTCTCGGAAGACCCCACTACTCTGATTCTGGGTCCTGCAGCCTCAAGCAGGAAACCATTTCCTCCTCCTCCTCCTCTCTCGGCTTAGAGGTCGTGGAAGGTGATGAAGGCTGGCGCCCCCACAGTCCTGCAAAGGCCAACAGGGTCCAGTTACTTGGGCGGGGGGGTGGCGGGGTGCGGATAACGTCTGGGGGTCCTGATAGATGGACGGTCTGCTCCTGCCAGCGGGCGAAGGAGCATGCTGAGAATTCTGTTCCCCAGATCTCATTAAGCCCTGAGACTTAAATAACTGCTGACTGGTTCCCTGGAGAGGCTGAGGGGAGAGCTTCTGCCCTGGGGAGATGGGGGGTCACAGGGCAGCACCCCAACATGGAAGAAAACGGCTCCTTTTCCAGGTCCAGGTGGGAGCAGATGAACGCTGGCCCTGGGTCACCCCCCACCAAAAGTAACAGAGGGCCCAGCCTGGGGTTCGGGCTCCCAGCCCCTCTCTGCAGGCCAGAGGTGGAGGGGGGGCTGTTGGGCACTCTGGCCTTAGGCCCCTCCGCCCCCTGCCACCTTCTGCCAGCTCTGTAGAAGGGAGTGCTTAATTACCCAGTCACTCTATCCCTGCTTGGCCAGGCACTTAAGCCCAAACATCTGGCCCCAGGGCCCACGGCCAGAATAGGTGGCCAGCCCCCGCCCAGTGCTGGCCCTGGCTCTGGACACCTCCCATGGGACAGCTGAGCTCGATCCTCTGCCTGCCAGCTTGCAACTAGCCCAAAACAGTAGCTGCATAGGCCCAGCAAGCTCAATTGACGCAGAAAAAAACATTTGATGAAATTCAACAGCCATTATGGTACACACACACACACACACACACACACACACACACAGAACAAAGTTGGAGCAGAGAGGACTTCTTCATCAGATAAGGGGTACGAAGGAAGACACGTATCTTTGATTTTCCCTGGGCAATGGATGTGATCTCCTATGAGCGCTGACACAGGAGGCCCCGAAGAACGCAGCAGGTAAGCGGTTTGCGTGAGTGAGAGCTGGGCCCGATGCTGGATCCATACTCTAAAGTCATCTCACATTCCTTGCACCTCAAAATGTGACCCACGGGCCTGCAGCATTGGACTCATGTGGAAGCTGTTTACAAACACGGAATCTCATGCTCTGCCTAGAGCCACCAAAGCAAATTCTGCCTTTTTTTTTTCTTAACTTTTTTTTTTTTTGAGACAAAGTCTGGCTCTGTCGCCCAGGCTGGAGTGCAGTGGTGCGATCTCAGCTCACTACAACCTCCCCCTCCCAGGTTCAAGTGATTCTCCTGCCTCAGCCTCCCAAGTAGCTGGGATTACAGGCGTACGCCACCATGCCCGGCTAATTTTTGTTTTTGTTTTTGTTTTCTTTTTTTTGAGATGGAGTCTCGCTCTGTTGCCCAGGCTGGAGTGCAGTGGCGCGATCTCGGCTCACTGCAAGCTCCGCCTCCCGGGTTCACGCCATTCTTCTGCCTCAGCCTCCGGAGTAGCTGGGATTAACAGGCGCCCGCCACCACGCCCGGCTAATTTTTTGTATTTTTTAGTAGAGACGGGGTTTCACCATGTTGACCAGGCTGATCTTGAACTCCTGACCTCAAATGATCCACCCACCTCCACCTCCCAAAGTGCTGGGATTACAGGTGTGAGCCACCACACCTGGCCTTTTTGTTTTCTTTTCTTTTGTTTTTCTTTTGAGACAGGGTCTCACTATGTTGCCCAGCCTGGAGTGCAGTGGTATAATCACAGCTGACTGCAGCCTTGACCTCCAGGGCTCAAGCGATCCTCCCACCTCAGCCTCCTGAGTAGCTGGGACTACAGATGCACACCACCACACCCGGCTAATTTTTGTAATTTTGTAGAGATGGGGTTTCACCATGTTGGCTAGGCTGGTCTCAAATTCCCCACCTCAGGTGATCTGCCTGCCTCGGCTTCCCAAGGTCCTGGGATTACAGGCATAAGCCACCGCCCCAGCCCATATGGTAGACTATTCAGTGTACAATAGCATCATGTCTAAAAAAAAGTATTTAATCTGGGCATGGTGGCACGTGCCTGTAATCCCAGATACTTGGGAGGCTGAGGCAGGAGAATCGCTTGAACCCAGGAGGCAGAGGTTGCAGTGAGCCGAGCTCATGCCATTGCACTCCAGCCTGTGTGACAGGGCGAGACTCTATCTCGAAAAGAAAAAGGTATTTAATTACATACTTTAATTAAAAATACTTTATTGCTAAACATGCTAATGACCACCGGAGTCTTCAGCAAGTCATAGTCGTTTTGCTGGTGGAGGATCTTGCCTCGACGTTGATGGCTGCTGACTGATCAGGGTGATGGTTACTGAAGCCTGGGGAGGCTGTGGCAATGTCTTAAAATAAGACAGTAATGGAGTTTGCTGCGTCAATTGACTCTTTCTTTCATGAAAGATTTCTCTGTAGCATGCAATGCTATTTGATAGTATTTACTCCACAGTAAAAATTTCTTTCAAAATTGGAGTAAGGTCGGGCATAGTGGCTCACGCCTGTAATCCCAGCACTTTGGGAGGCTGAGGCAGGAGGATTACTTGAGCCCAGGAGTTTGAGACCAGTCTGGGCAACATAGAAAGACCCTGTGTGTACGAAGAAAATAAAAATTAGCCGGCCGGGCGCGGTGGCTCACGCCTGTAATCCCAGCACTTTGGGCGGATCACGAGGTCAGGAGATCGAGACCATCCTGGTTAACGCGGTGAAACCCCGTCTCTACTAAAAATACAACAAAATTAGTCAGGCGTGGTGGCGGGTGTCTGTAGTCCCAGCTACTCGGGAGGCTGAGGCAGGAGAATGGCATGAACCCGGAAGGTGGAGCTCGCAGTGAGCCGACATCACACCATTGCACTCCAGCCTGGGTGACAGAGCGAGACTTCGTCTAAAAAAAAAAAAAAAAATTAACCAGGTGTGGTGGTGTGCACCTGTAGTCCCACCTACTTGGGAAGCTGAGATGGAAGGATCACTTAGCCCAGGAGATGGAGGCAGCAGTGAGCTATGATTGTGCCACTGCACTCCAGCCTGGGTGACAGAGCGAGACCCTGACTCTAAAAAATTTTTAAAAATTGAGTTAATCTTCTCCAACCCGGCTGCTACTTTATTAACTAAGTTTATTAACATTCTAAATCATTTATTGTCGTTTCAACAACATTCACAGTATCTTCACCAGAAGTACTTTCCATCTCAAGAAACCACTTTTTTTGGTGCTCATTCATAAGAAGCAACTCGTCTGTTCAAGTGTTATCATGAGATGGCAGCAATTTAATCACATCTTCAGGCTCCGCTTCTAATTCTAGTTTCATTGCTATTTGTACCACATCCGCGGTGACTCCTCCACTGAAGTCTTGAACCCCTCAAAGTCATCCATAAGGGTTGAAATCAACTTCTTCCTAACTCCTGTTAATGTTGACATTTTGACTTCCTTCTCTGAGTCACGAATGTTCTTAATGACATCTAGAATGGTGAATCCTTTCCAGGAGGTTTTCAATTGACTTTGTCCAGATCCATCAGAGGAATCACTATATATGACAGCTATAGCCTTACAAAATGTATTTCTTAAATAATGATACTTGAAAGCAAAATTACTAAGGCCAGGTACGGTGGCTCACACCTGTAATACCAGCACTTTGGGAGGCCAAGGAAGGAGGATCACTTGACGTCAGGAGTTTGAGACCAGCCTGGCCAACATGGTGAAACCCTGTCTCTACTAAAAATGCAAAAATTAGCCAGGCGTGGTAGCGGGTGCCTGTAGTCCCAGTTACTCTGGAGGCTGAGGCAGGAGAATCACTTGAACCCAGGAGGCGGAGGTTGAAGTGAGCCGAGATCGTGCCACTGCACTCCAGCCGGGGTGACGAAAACAAAACTCTGTCTCAAACAAACAAAAAACAAAAACAAAACAAAACAAGAAAGAAAGAAAGAAGCAAAAAAGATAATACAAACTCTCAATAAACTAGTTGCCCAGGCTAGTCTCAAACTCCTGGCCTCAAGTGATCGTCCCACCTCAGCCTCCCAAAGTGCTGGGATTCAAGGCATGAGCCACCGCGCCCGCCCATGCTTTTATATTCTTTCACACACGTGCATGCTTTCTCATACAGTGTCTTGATCTCTCACACATAGTCTCATAATCTCACACTCATCCTTACACTCACATCTACACCTGTACTCAATCAAACGTTTATGTTCACCCCCACACATACAGCTCGCTCACGCTCACAAGCTTACTCCCTCATGCACACTCACAATCACCCGCACACACACCCTCACCCCCACCCGCCCACTCACCCACACCCCCGTGCCCCCAAGCCCCTCCTCCCGCTGAGCACGGCAGGACATCCCTGCAGGTTAACAGCAGGGACCATGTGCTGGAGCCCAGCTGGGTTCGACTCCAGGCTTTGCCCCCCGGCCCGGTGTGTGGGCACGGCGGGAACCTGGCTGCCCCGTGCGTGAGATGGGCAGAGCCCAGGGACCCCCGCCACCATCTTGGGGACAGGTCGGGGAGCAGACGTGGCCTCTGAGATCCCTGGTTGGGGTTCAGCCTCCGGCCAGCACTAAGCATTACTTAATTAGTGTCGTCCCTGCCTGCCTGCCTGCCGGGGTCAGGCCATTCCTGGGAAGTTTATGTCCTCCCCTGTGCTTCACCCATGACAGGCTGGTCATTATCACCTTTCAGATAATCCTCAGCTGCCGCCAGCAATCAACACCTCGTGCCCCCCTGCCCCCTGCCCAGTCTCCACTCCCACCCAGCATGCCGCATCCCAGCCACCTCCAGCTTTTTGGGACACATTCTTGGCCTAACAGCTCAGGCTATTTCAGATTCACAGATAAAGGGGCAGGAAGTCTTGATATATTCCACCCCCACCCCCCACCCCCCGCGTTGTTGACTCCCCTCTTCTCCCCAATGATCCCTACTCCAGGAAGCTCACCCGGATTGTCCAGGTCAGAGGCCCCAACTCTATGGCTTGAACCTGGATTCGAAGGCTCCTTGGGGTCACTCCACAGGAGCACACCTGCTGTCAGCCCCGCTCCAGGCAACACCTCGGTGGCCACAGCAGGCGCCCTGCGGGGTATGCAGGGGCCAGGGAGTGCGTGACACACGATCCAGCTCCGAGTTGTAGCCTTGCTCTGGGCCTGAGGCCAAGGAGGGCGCGGAGAGGAAGAGACAGTGTTTGCAAACAGGGCAGCTGCCAAGCAGGGGCGGGGGAGAGAGGAGGAAGGTGCGAAGGAGAGAAGGCCCAGGCGGCGCCCGCCCGCGGCGCCTGCGTGACCTTCCCACCCTGGCTACACATTGACAGGCATATGCGCGCACACACACGGATCCGATGTCCACACATAGCAAGTCACATTCACTCCCCATACACACAAGTACGTCAGCACACACAAGCTCAGATGCTCATGCAGACACAGCAGGCACAAAGCTGTATTATCATCCACGTGCAGTGAGACACACAACGCCATCCTCCCTCCTTTCCATGCATATGCATTCACACACGTGCACACACATGCTCACACATGCACACTCACACTGGCGTACACATACTCATGCTCACACATGACATTCACACTTGCACACACGTGCACACACACTTATGCTTACACATGTACACTCACTGGCGTACACACTCATGCTCACCCACGAATTTACATGTGCACACATGTGCACACTCATACATGCACACACATTCACACTTGCACACATGCACACACACATACTCGTGGACACATGAATACTCACTGGCACACATACTCATGCTCACACATGACACACACTTGCACACATGTGCACACTTGTACTCACTTATGCATATGCATACTCAATCGCACACACACGCACACACTCACACACACTCATGCACAGGACAGTCACACTTGCACATATGTGCACACTTGTACTCACACGCACGCACACACATTCATACTTGCACACATGTGCACACACACGCAAGTCATGGACACACACGCACAGTCACTGGCGTACACACTCATGCTCACCCACGAATTTACATGTGCACACATGTGCACACTCGTTCACACTTGCACACACATGCACACACATACTCGTGGACACAGATGAACACTGGCACATGCTCACGTATGACATTCACACTTGCACACATGTGCACACTTGTACTCACATATGCATATGTATACACTCAATCGCACACACACTCATGCACACAGGACATTCACACTTGCACATATGTGCACACTTGCACACACACATTCACACACATTCACACACATGTGCACACTCACGCACACACACATACTCATGGACACACATGCACACTCACACTCATGGACACACATGCACACTGGCACACATACGCATACTCATGGACACATGCACACTCACACTCATGGACACACATGCACACTGGCACACATACGCATACTCATGGACACATGCACACTCACACTCATGGACACACGCACACTGGCACACATACTCATGCTCACACATTACTGACTTGCACACATTTGCACACACATGCACACACTCACAATTGCACACACGCGCACACACTCGCACAATGTGCACACTCGCATGCACGCACACTCACACTCAGACACGTGCACACTCACTGGCACACACTCATGCTCACGACATTCACACTTGCACAGATGTGCACTCTCACACTCATATGCACACGCATACACTCACACACATGCACACTCACACACACTCATGCACACATGCATATAGAGTTCCTTGATGGAAGCTTTGAGAACCATATCTTTCATTCCATTGTTAGCACACAAACTTTGGTTTGGTAAAGGAGAGGGATTCTTAGAAGCAGGTGGCTCACTCCCTCCTGCCCACAGCTCTGCCATCAGGACCCCCTGCAGGACAGCAGGGAGGCTCAGGCAGCACCATGAGCTCAGGCAGCTCATCCTCGCCCCTCCGTCTCTCTCTCTCCCTTCCTCTCTGTCTCTTTTCTGTCTGTGTCTCTCTTCCTGTGTTTGTCTCTCTCCATCTCTGTTTCTCTCTCTGTCTCTGTCTGTTTCTCTTTCTATCTCTGTATGTGTCTGTGTCTGTTTCTCTCTCTCTCTTCCTCCACCTGTTTCTTTTTGTGTGTCTGTTTTTCTATCTGCATCTCTCCTTCTTTTTCTCTCCCCCGTCTCTGTTTCTCTGTGTGTGTGTCTCTGTCTCTCTCCATCTCTCCCTGCTGTTTCTCTGTGTCTCTGTCTCTCTACCTCTGCACCCCCCTCCCTCCTCCACACGTCCTCTGATGCACACTCCCCTTCTCGTTCCCGAGCAGACAGACTCGCAGCAGCACTGGGATCTGAGCGCCAGATGGAGTTTATTTGCAGAGTGGCTGGGGCGAGAGAAGGCAAAACACATCACAGAGAGGGTGGTGCCAGGTGGGAGGGAGACCCGGCCGGAGAGAAGGAGAGAGGACGGCGGGAGGACAGGGACGGAGGGGAGGCTGCGCCACACCAGACAGGCTAATTTATTTAACAGACATTTCCTGATCCCTGCTGCAGGCCATCGCTGAGTACATGGGGTCTGTCAGCAGACGGAAGGCGGCAAAGACCCCCGACTCCAGGAGCTCACAAAATAACCACAAAAAATAAGCCATGCAGTTAGAAGAGGATACACGTCCTAGAGCAACAGCAGAGTGGGGGGATGAGGAGGCAGACAGTAAGCATTTACAACGCGCAGCTGTAATCCCAGCACTGCGGGAGGCCGAGGTGGGAGACTCGCTCCAGGCCAGGAATTTGAGACTAGCCTGAGCAACACAGCAAGACCCGCCCCCAACCATCTTTTTAAAAAGTTAAAAATTAGCCTAGCGTGGTGGCGCATGCCTGTAGTCCCAGCTACTCAGGAGGCTGAGGCAGGAGGATTGTTTGAGGCCAGGAGTTGACACCCACCTGGGCAACATAGCAAGACCCCTCCATCTCTAAAAAAAGTTAAAAATTAGCCTAGCGTGGTGGCGCATGCCTGTAGTCCCAGCTACTCAGGAGGCTGAGGCAGGAAGATTGCTTGAGCTGTGGATTTTGAGACTGCAGTGAGCAGAGATAGCACCACTGCACTCCAGCCTGGGAGACAGAGCGAGACCCTGTCTCAAAAAAAATAAAAATGCGAGGGGTGAGGGGATGAGCCTAAAGTGCCCTGAGCAAACAGCAAGTGCAGAGGCCCTGGGGAAGGTGGCGGCAGGTACCGAGAGCCACGCGGAGGTCTGAGACCCTGGGGAAGGTGGCGGCAGGTATGGAGGGACATGCAGAGGTCTGAGGCCCTCATGGACCAAGGGAGGAATGCAGCCTGCAGAGAGGAGAGAGGAGGAGGACGCCGAGGGGAATCCCAAGCCCCATGGATGAAAACACACCGAGGAGACACCAAAAGCCGTTGGCCTTGGGGGCCTCGGGTGGGGCGGCTTCCCTTTCTGCATCCCCCGGGGCCTCCTCACTGCCCAGCCTCCTCTTCCACCGCTCCCACTGCCTCCGCCTCGCCCTCCCGCTGCCTCCAGGGGCGCCCCAGGTGCTCCCTGATGGCGATCACAGCGCTCCTCCTTCGGGGGTGAGGGTCCAGCAGCCCCCGCAGAAGCGCGTCGGCCGCGGCGGCCAGGCCGAACCAGGGCTGAGGGCGGTCCCGGGGCTGGCCCGACGCCTGCCAGATGAGGAAGTCCTCGTAGAAGGGGTCGGCCTCGGCCAGGGGCCGGTCCCAGGGGAAGTAGCCCGTGAGGAGGCAGAAGAGCAGGACGCCCAGCGCCCAGGCGTCCAGGGCGGGCTGAATGGGCAGGCCCTCGGGGAGCGGCGGGGGCGCGCAGAGCTCGGGGGCCGTGTAGGGGATGGGCGGCCCGGCCAGGCGCAGCAGCGTCCCGCGAGGCCTCGTGTGGCCGAAGTCGGTCAGCTTGAAGCGCCGGCAGGCCGGGTCGCACACCAGGACGTTCTCCGGCTTCAGGTCCCGGTACACCAGGCCGCGGGCGTGGATGTACTCCAGGGCGGAGGCCAGCTGGGCGGCGCAGCGGTGCACCGCGGGCTGCGGGAGGCCCACCTGCGGGGAGAGGGGTCAGGGCCCAGTGCCCCGGGGCCACGGAAGGCAACCGAGACCCAGGAAGCAGGCCCAGGACGCCAAGGAGGCCGGTAAGGAAGACGGTGAATAGTTGGCCCTGTGAGGCCTAGTGTGACCTGTGAGGCCTGCGGGTTTAGTGTGGCCTAGGGTGACCCCGTGAGGCCTAGTGTGACCTGTGAGGCCTGTGGGTTTAGTGGGGCCTAGTGTGACCTGTGAGGCCTGTGGGTTTAGTGTGGCTTAGTGTGACCCGTGAGGCCTGTGGGTTTAGTGTGGCCTAGTGTGACCCGTGAGGCCTGTGGGTTTAGTGTGGCCTAGGGTGACCCCGTGAGGCCTAGTGTGACCTGTGAGGCCTGTGGGTTTAGTGGGGCCTAGTGTGACCTGTGAGGCCTGTGGGTTTAGTGTGGCTTAGTGTGACCCGTGAGGCCTGTGGGTTTAGTGTGGCCTAGTGTGACCTGTGAGGCCTGTGGGTTTAGTGGGGTCTGGGGTGACCCTGTAGGACCTGTAGGTTAAGCGGGGCCTCGGGTGACCCTGTAGGGCCTGTGACTTGATTGGGGTCCAGTGTGACCTGGGGCTGCCTGGTGAGTCTCCATGGTGTATCGTGTGAGTTCTGTGATGTCTATGAACTCCAAAGAGGCCTAACAACTCCACGAGTCCTGTGGGCCCCACGAGGGGCCTCCGGGGGGTAGGGGAGGCCCAGGGAGGCCCAACGCAGTGGCTGTGGCTCCTGCGGCCCAGGCTGCTCAGGACGTTCCTGGGAGGCCGGTGAGGCACTCGGAGGCGGCCTGGGGTCTGCCTACGCACCTTGGGCTGGATGAAGGCCATGAGGTCCCCGTGCAGGACGGGCTCCGTCAGGAAGCTGTAGGAGTGTGCCGACTCGATGCCAATGCCGTAGGCCGTCACGATGGCTGAGTGCGCGCCCAGCGAGAGCCCCACACAGAACTCGTACAGGAAGCCACGGAGGGACGTGCGGGGTTTCGGGAGCTGCTTCAGTGCCAGGGGTGTGCCTGGGGCAGCAGGGACAGGTATGGGAGGCGTGCAGCAGCCAAGGGCCACCTGGGCCAGCTGCTCTGTTCCCCTGTGGTCCCCTCAATGGCCCCTCAGCTTGGACTCTTTCCCATAGACCATCTCCACCTCCTCCAACTCCCACCTCCCTCCTGAGCCCATCCTAACAGCATGGCCACCCAAGCATCACCAGCGGTACCAATAGTTATAGCACGCTGGGGACCAGCTGGGGGCTCAGGCCTGCGATCCCAGCGCTTTCAGAGACCGAGGTGGGAGGATCCGTTGAGGCCAGGAGTTTGAGACCAGCTCGGACAACACAGTGAGACCCTACCTCTAAAAAAAGTTTTAAAAAGGCCGGGCACTGTGGCTCACGCCTGTAATCCCAGTACTTTGGGAGACCGAGGCGGGTGGATTGCTTGATGTCAGGAGTTCAAGACCAGCCTGGTCAATATGGTGAAACCTCTTCTCTACTAAAAACATAAAAATCTAGTTGGGTGTGGTGGCGCATGCGTGTAATCCCAGCTACTTGGCCGGCTGAGGCAGGAGAATTGCTTGAACCCAGGAGGCAGAGGTTGCAGTGAGCCGAGATTGCGCCACTGCACTCCAGCCTGGGGGACAGAGTGAAAAAAAAATTAAAAAAATAATTAGCTGGGCATGGTGGCATCTGTAAAAAATTAAATAAAATAATAACAGTACGTGGTGAATTTCTACCTTGCTTTCTTACAAGTCTATAGCCATGGAGATGGAGGGATACCATGAAATTTCTCCAATGACCTCGTTTGGCTTCTCATGACAGCAAACTCGTGTTTGAGGCAAAAAGGTATTTTTGAGACACCTGGGGAAAAGGTAACCCACACTGGGTAAGAAAGCCAATTAGGAATTGTGGATTTTGTCACGTGTGGAAACGACTTCCTAGAAGCTAAACTCCCCGAAGGAACTTCTGATGTCTTCCTTTTTTTTTTTTTTTTTTTTTTTTGAGATGCAGTTTCACGCTTGTTGTCCAGACTGGAGTGCAGTGGCGTCATCTCGGCTCACTGCAACCTCTGCCTCCTGGGTTCAAGCGATTCTCCTGCCTCAGCCTCCCGAGTAGCTGGGATTACGGGCACCTGCCACCATACCTAGCTAATTTTTGTATTTTTAGTAGAGATGGGGTTTCACCATGTTGGTCAGGCTAGTCTTGAACTCCTGGCCTCAGGTGATGACCCACCTCAGCCTCCTGAAGCATTGGGATTACAGGTGTGAGCCACTACACCCGCCCTTTTTTTTTTTTTTTTTAAGACAGGGTCTTTCTCTGTCGTCCAGGCTGGAGTGCAGCAGCACAATCATGGCTCACTGCAACCTCCGCCTCCCGGGCTCAAGCGATTCTCCTGCCCAAGCTCCCTGAGTAGCTGGGACTACAGTTGTGCACCGCCACTGGGCTAATTGCACACCAAGCTGATTTTTTTCCCTGACACCAGAAATTCCTGCTAACTGGCTAAGTTTTTTAAAAAAAATTTGTAGAGACGGTCTCGCTATGTTGCCCAGGCTGGTCTCAAACTCCTAGGCTCTAAGCAATCCTCCTGCCTTGGCCTCCCAAAGTGCTGGGATTACAGGTGTGAGCCACCATGCCCGGCTTGGTTTCTTTGATTTCTGAGCCATCAGCTGCCAGGGTGCAACCTTCCCCCTCACAAGGCCGTGTGTAACTGGGATAAATTCCCTCCTTATTGGCCCAGCGCAGTGGCTGATGCCTATAATCCCAGCACTTTGGGAAGCCAAGGTGGGCGGATCACTTGAGGTCAGGAGTTCGAGATCAGCCTGGCAAACATGGCGAAACCCCATCTCTACTAAAAAATACAAAAATTAGCCGGTGTGGTTGCACATGCCTGTAATCCCAGCTACTCGGAAGGCTGAGGCAGGAGAATTGCTTGAACCCAGGAGGCGGAGGTTGTAGTGAGCCAAGATTGTACCACTCCACTCACTGCAGCCTGGGTGACAGAGCAAGACTCCATCTTCAAAAAAGAAAAAAAAGGAAAAGAAAAGAAAGGCCGAGTGCAGTGGCTCACACCTGTAATCCCAGCACTTTGGGAGGCCCAGGTGGGTGGATCACTTGAGGTCAGGAGTTCAAGACCAGCGTGGCCAAAATGGTGAAATCCCATCTCTAGTAAAAATACAAAAATCAGCCAGGTGTGGTGGTGCATGCCTTGCCTGTAGTCCCAGCTATTCGGGAGGCTGAGGCAGGAGAATGGCGTGAACCCGGGAGGCGGAGCTTGCAGTGAGCTGAGATTGCGCCACTGCAGTCCACAGTCCGGCCTGGGCGACAGAGCGAGACTCCGTCTCAAAAAAAAAAAAAAAAAAAAAAAAAAAAAAAAAAAAAAAGAAAAAGTTCCTTCCTTATCAAAAACACCAGCCATCCCCGCCCACTCTGCAGCCAGATGCAGTGGGGTCTCTTCTGCGTGTTCACAGCGCTCCTGATCACTGCCGCCACGGCCACGCCACCCGGTGTTGGCGATCCCTGCCCATCTATGCTCCCCACGGTGCCCTGAGCTTCTTAACGACAGTGACATGTTCAGGGCCCCAGCATCATGCAGCCCAGGGGCAGGTGTGCTGGAGGCCTCCAGATACAGGTTCAGTGAAATGGCCATGGAGGGGCCTCATTGGCAATGCCCCCGCCTGTTACTGCTCATGCCTCCGGCTTTGTGAGCACCCAGGGCTGGATCTCTGCATCCGTGGCTCTTCCTGAGGTGTGCTGTTGTGTGGCTGTGTTATTGCCCTCTGTGTTATTACTGAATTGTGTATCCCCAAAACTCGTATGTGGGAGTCCTAACCCCCCCAGTGCTGAATGTGGCTGTATTTGGAGATGGGGTCTTTAAAGAGGTAAAATGAGGTCACTAGAGTGGGCAGGCCCTCATCCAATGTGACTGGTGTCCTTATAAGAAGAGGAGATCAGGACACAGACACACACAGAGGGACGACCATGTGAGGACACAGGGAGAAGACGGCCAAATGCAAGCCAAGGAGAGAGGCCTCAGGAGAACCAACCCTGCTGACATCTTGATCTCGGGCTTCCAGCCTCCAAAGCTGTGAGGAAACAGAGCTCTGTTGTTGGCCAGGCACGGTGGCGCACACCTGTAATCCCAGCACTTTGGGAGGCTGAGGCAGGAGGACCACTTGAGGCCAGTTTGAGACCAGCCTGGGCAACACAGTGAGACCCCATCTTAAAAAAAACATTTAAAAATTAGCCGGGCATGGTGGCATGCGCCTGTAGTCTCAGCTACTTGCAGAGCTGAGGTGGGAGGATCCCTTGAGCCCAGGAGGTCAAAGCTGCAGTGAGCTATGATTGTGCCACTGCACTCCAGCCTGGACAACAGCGAGACCCTGTCTCAAAAAAAAAAAAAAAAGAAAAAAAAAGAAAAGAAAAAAGGCCAGGCACAGTGGCTCACACCTGTAATCCCAGCATTTTGGGAGGCTGAGGCAGGAGGATCACTTGAAATAAGGAGTTCAAGACTAGCCTGGCTAACATGGTGAAACCCCATCTCTACTAAAAATACAAAAATGAGCTGGGCATGGTGGCATGCACCTGTAATCCCAGCTACTCGGGGGGCTGAGGCACAAGAATCACTTGAACTTGGAAAGCGGAGGTTGCAGTGAGCTGAGATTGTGCTACTGCACTCCAGCCTGGGCAACAGAGCGAGACTCCATTTCAAAAAAAAAAAAGAAAGAAAAAAGTCAAAAGTTCTGTTGTGGAAGCGCCTGCCTTTGTTATGGCAGCCCCAGCAGATGAATGCACACTTTTTCTGCATTCATGCTAGGAGATTTTTGAAGGCAGGGACTGGCTCTGGTTCAATTCTGGGTCCACTGCCCGCCCAACCCCCCCAGCACAGGGCTGGCCTCAGAAGGCGTGCCCTGAACTGACTGACCTCAGGTTGCCTCCCTATTTTCCGTTTCATGGAAGGACACGGTGCTTGGCAGAAAGGCCCAGGGTAGTGGGGAGCTGTCCTGCGCACCCACTGTGTGCCGGCCTTGCTAAGTGCTTAGCAGACAGCATCACTCTGCATCATCCCACGGTGACCACTACAGCCGCCACAGGAGGCTCCTGAGCTGGGAGCTCTGTCTTACCCAGCATTATACAACCCCAGCAACTAGAGCAGTCCACATTCACTCAGAGGATCCACCATTCTTCCAAGTAGAAATCATCACCCACATTTTCCAAAGGAGGAAGCTGAGACTCAGAGAGGGCAAGGGAGTTCCTCAAAACACAGTTTTTGGCAGGGCACCGTGGCTCATGCCTGTAATCCCAGCAATTGGGAGGCTGAGGCAGGCGGATCACTGGAGGCCAGGAGTACGAGACCACCCTGGCCAACAGAGTGAAACCTCATCTCTACTAAGAAAGAAAAATACACACACACACAAATGTAGCTGGGTGTGGTAGTGCATGCCTATAGTCCTAGCTACATGGGAGGCTGAGGCAGGAGGAACACTTGAACCTGGGAGGTGGAAGTTGCAGTGAGATTGTGCCACTGCACTCCAGCCTGGGCGGCAGAGCCAGACTGTCTCAAAAACAACCAACCAACCAAAAGAACAAAAAACAAAAAACACACAGCTTTGGAGGGCAGAGGTAAGACTTGATTCAGGCCTGCCAGCCTCCCCAGCCTGGGCTACCCCAGGCCCGTGCCCCGCCCCCAGCTGAACCCTGCCACCTCTGGCCCCACAGCCTCGTACCTTTCTGACGATGGGTGACCAGAAGGACGCGGCCATAGCAACCCTGGCCCAGGGGACGCACTTCCTCGTAGAGCTCGTCCACCTCGGCTCGGACCAGGGTCTGAGCACTCAGCGTCATCATGTCCTCCAGCGCGCGGGCAGCCTCCTGGCCCTGCTGGAGCTCCTCTAATGTCAGGCCGCCCAGACCCTCCTCCTCGCTGTCCTCCGAAGCCCCTGCCTCCGCCGGCCCTTCCTCAGACTGTTTGCCGGGCATCTCTGCGAGAACAGAGAGGGGTGCCCAGGCTCAGGTCCCAGGCCCAAGGGAGGAGGGGACTGGGGGTCTGGACTCCTGGGTCTGAGGGAGGAGGGGCTGGGGGCTCATCGCGCTTCTCATTGTGACTCAGTCTCCCTCTTGGTGAGAGGTGGGGAGACAAGTCTGGTGTGAGTTCAAGCCCCAGGTCACAGATGTCCCTGCCCGCGTGCCGCCGCCGCCACCCGCCCACCCTGAGGTTGAAAGATGAACCAGATAACTGAGACTCCCCCATCTTGTTTCCAAAGCAAACAGACTTGGGCCCTGGGGGTGGATGAGTAGACTCTGTCTCCTGAGAACAAACAGGTGCTCTTGGGCTCAGGGCTGGGAGGGCGGGCTGTGCAGAGGGCCTGGGACGCCTGGGTCCTGCATGGGACCGAGCACTTGGGATCAGTCCCCAAGCTCCTGACAGGCCTGGGGTCCCACTTTCACAGCCCACCCACCTCCCTCCGACCCAGCCCCCCAGCCCCTCCTCCGCCAGGCCCAGGGGTCCAGGCCCCCAGCCCACCTCTCTCCCGGAACCTCATACAATTCACACAACTGGGGACCCCCTGATTCTGTTTCCCTCACCCTCCACCGCTCTACAGCCTCCAGGTGCAGCCCAGGCTCCCCTGAGGGACCGAGGACTCGGGCCACCTGGTACAGTCACCCTCAGGTGCTGCCCACCTCAGGCCAGGGCACCTTGCCCACCTCCCAACCTGGGCTCAGACCTCCAGACCTCACCTCCTCCAAGGCCCTCCTGACCCTCCGGCCGCCGGCTGTGGTCAGTGCCCGGCACTTAGGGCTCATGCCAGCAGAGGCCTGCCTAGGAGCAAGACCCCGCCCCGACTTTGGGGGTCGTAAGGCCCCGCCCCTGGGCCCGCCCCTTCTGCCCCCACTGGGAGCAGAGCGACATCGTGTGATGACTCCTGGAACTGGCTGTGGTCAGGTGAATACCCTGACCCAAGAGTTGAGCCCTCCTCCTTCAGACCCAGGAGTCCAGGCCCCAGCCCCTCCTCCTCCCTCAGACTCAGGAGTCCAGGCCCCCAGCGCCTCCTCCCTCAGACCCAGGAATCCAGTCTCCCAGTGCCTCCTCCCTCAGACCCAGGAGTCCAGGCCCCAGCCCCTCCTCCCTCAGACCCAGGAGTCCAGGCCCCCAGCTCTTCTTCCCTCAGACCCAGGAATCCAGGCCCCCAGCTTTCCCTCCCTCAGACCCAGGAATCCAGTCCCCCAGTGCCTCCTCCCTCAGACCCAGGAGTCTAGACCCCAGCCCCTCCTCCCTCAGACCCAGGAGTCTAGGTCTCCAGCCCCTCCTCCCTCAGACCCAGGAATTCAGGTCTCCAGCCCCTCCTCCCTCAGACCTAGGAGTCCAGACCCCCAGCCCCTCCTCCCTCAGACCCAGGAGTCCAGGCCCCAGCCCCTCCTCCCTCAGACCCAGGAGTCCAGGCCCCAGTCCCTCCTCCCTCAGACCCAGGAGTCCAGGCCTCAGCCTCCCCCACCCATCTGAAGTTTTCCGGCAGAACTGAGGCCTCCCCACCCCCTCAAGGCCTCTCTTCCCAGTTGCTCCAGCACCTGCTTCCCGCCCCTCTGAGTCTGAGGTCATCCCACACTGCATCGTTCTGGAATCTCATTGTCTCATTCTTTCCCCAAACTAGACCCCAGCATCTGATCCCCTGGACACCCCTCTCCAAGCACTTGTGTCTGACCTGTCAATGGGGCATTGATGGGGCAGCTGGGTGGGGTCAAGGCAGGGGTGGGTTCCAGAAATGATTTCATTTTCTACACGGGACCCGGACTCCTGGGCCTGATGGAGGAGGGGGTTGAGGACCTGGACTCCTAGGTCTGAGGGAGGAGGGGGTTGAGGACCCGGACTCCTGGGCCTGAGGGTGGAGGGGGTTGAGGACCTGGACTCCTGGGCCTGAGGGAGGAGGGGGTTGAGGACCTGGACTCCTGGGTCTGAGGGAGGAGGGCCTGAGGGCTCCTGATTCCAAAGAGAGGAATAACAATAAAAATAGTTTGAAAGCGCATAACAGGAATACAGGCCAGTGAGTGCCTCCCTGCTGTAAGCACAGGGAGATTAAGCCCCACTAGGAAGTCCCCAAGCCTTGGGCCACAGTGGGACTTCAGACCCCTGTTTTTTTCTGGGACGGTTGCACCCACCCTTCAGGGTTTTTTATTTCTTTTTTTTTTTTTTTTTTTTGCTTTTTGAGACGGAATCTCGCTCTGTCACCCAGACTGGAGTGCAGTGACGTGATCTCGGCTCACTGCAACCTCCAACTCTCTGGTTCGAGTGATTCTCTTGCCTCAGCCTCCCGAGTAGCTGGAATTACGGGCATTTGCCACCACGCCTGGCTAATTTTTGTATGTTTTAGTAGAGACAGGGTTTCACCATGTTGGCCAGGATGGTCTTGATCTCCTGACCTGGTGATCCACCCGCCTCAGCCTCCCAAAGTGCTGGGATTACAGAGGTGAGCCACTGTGCCTGGGCTATTTTTATTTTTTTGAGACAGGGTCTTGCTCTGTTGCCCAGGCTGAGTGCAGTGGCCCAATCTCAGCTCACTGCAATCTCCACCTCCCAGGTTCAAGCGATTCTCATGCCTTGGCCTCCAGAGTAGCTGGGACTACAGGTGCCTGCCACCACTCCTGGATAATTCTTATATTTTTAGTAGAGACAGGGTTTTACCATGTTGGTCAGGCTGGCCTCGAACTCCTGACCTCAGGTGATCCACCCGCCTCAGCCTCCCAAAGTGCTGGGATTACAGCCATAAGCCACCGTGTCTGGCCCACCCTTCAGGTTTATACTGCCATGACTGATGTGAAGTCACTTCATTTTTTTAAATAAACTTTTTATTTTGGAATCATTTTAGGTTTATAAAATGGTTGCCAAGATCCTGCGGAGAGTTCCCATGCACCCTCCCCCAGCCTCCCCTGGTGTCGGCATCGCGATGCAAACCGTGAGACATTTGTCAAAACTACGAGGCTCACAGTTGGGCCAACACCAGACTGTTATTTCAGCAGCGCTTCCACGATGGATCGAGCCCAGGATGCCGTGTCGTATGTAGTGAGCTCACTTCCCAGCCTGGAAGCATACCTTCCTGCTTAGGAAACACAGTTTCCAGTTCTGGACCCTCCGCTGGGTGCTGGGGTCTTGGATTTGGATCTAGTTCATCCCCGTCCTGCAGGCGTGAACCTCCACAAGCCAGGCTCCGTGTCCTGTCTGGCAGGTGCCATGGGACTGCGGGGCGCGGGCTGGCCTTGGTGAGGAAGGAGACCCATGGGTACCAGGCCTGGCTCTTAGGATTGACGGGTCTGAGAAAGGGGGACGGAGCTGGGACAATCACAATCCGTGGTGCTCTGTGGGAGCAGAACTGGGAAGGATCTAAATATGGAGAAGACCAGGTCCAGCCTGGACAGTCAGAAAGAGACATGGATTGTTCTAATACAAGTTCCCCAGGAGGCCAGAGAGGGCTGGGGGTGGGGGCCACTTTCTGGAGCCATGGGTCAGGGGGAAGATGCTCTCGGTGGAGGCCACACAGTGCGCCAATGTCTGGCAGCAGCTGTGCGTGCATGCGTGTGCATGCGTGTGTGCACACATGTGTGCATGCGTGCGAGTGCGTGTGTGTCCATGTATGCACACATGTGTGTGTGCGCGCGTGTGTGTGCATGCATGTGCGCATATACGCGTGTGTGTATGCGTGAGTGCATGCACATGTATGTGCGTGTGTGTGCACACGTATGCACCCATGTGTGTGTGCGCGTGCGTGTGTGTGTTCTCACATGTGTAGATTTAGGTCCAGAACAGATGAGTGGCGCCCATGACATCACCCACAGCCCAGAGAAATGGGAGAGGTGGAGGGTGAGGTTTATATGGTGTCGGATCCTAAAGTTCAGATCTTGTGACATGGACAGCGGGAGCCACGGAAGGTCTTAGAGGAGAGGAGTGATCCCATCAGAACTCCATGATGGCCAGGCGTGGTGGCTCATGCCTGTCATCCCAGCACTTTGGGAGGCCAAGACGGGTGGATCATTTGAGGTCAGGAGTTCGAGACCAGCCTGGCCAACATGGTGAAACCCCACCTCTACTAAAAATACAAAATTAGCCGGGTGTGGTGGTGCGGGTGTAATCCCAGCTACTTGGGAGGTTGAAGCAGGAGAATCACTTGAACCTGGGAGGGGGAGGTTGCAGTGAGCTGAGATCGCGCCACTGCACTCCAGCCTGGGTCACAGACCGAGATTCTGTCTAAAAAAAATAAAAATAAAAAAGAAGACACTCTGGACGGAGGGAAGAGGAAAGGTCCTTGAGGGAGGAAGGGATGGGAGCCTGGATCCTGCGTCTGAGAGAGGAGGGGCAGGAGCTGGGCTCTTGGGTCCTCAGTTGGAAGAGGAATGCGCGTCCAAGCCCAGCGTTCCGTAGGGAGAGTGCAATGTGTTCCCTCTCTGTCCTCCCGGGTGCAGCTGTCTCTCCATCCAGGTGGCCCTGGGGGCTGGGGGAAGGGCCTCTGGCCCAGGCTCTGGCCACCTGTCTCTGTCACCTGGTCAGGGAGCTCCCCCATCTGTCCCCGTCCTCCCACCACTTTTGCTGTCATCACCCTCATCTGTCCACTCCTCCAGGCTTGAGCCTCCCTCCTCCCTGTCCTCATAGGACACGGCGCTCCCCAAAACCCCAGGTCCCTCTCTGTTCCCTTGCAACCCCCAGTCGTCCCCCAGGAAGTCCAGGACAGCCAGTGGGGGGCTCCTAGTCTCGGGATCCAGGTCCAGAAGCCCCTGGAGCAAGGCCAGGGCTGGGGGCGCAAACTGGTCCCAGGGTGGTGGTGGCTGAGGTGGCTGAGGCTTGGTGGTCACCCAGCCAGCGAAGGCCTCGAACTCAGGGTTGGGGGCCAGTGCCACGTCCCAAGGGAAACAGGCAGTGGCAGCACAGAAGAGAAGCACCCCCAGGCCCCAGGAGTCCACGGCTGGCCGCAGAGGCAGGGTGTCGGGCGGTAGCAGGAGACAGAGCTCAGGCGGTGCCGTGGGCAGAGGCACTGGTGGGGCGGGGGTCGGGCTGCCCTCTGGCCGGGTCAGACCCAGGTCTCCCAGGGCCACACGGCTGCAGACCGGGTCGAAGACCAGCACGTTGTCAGGTTTGACATCTGCGTGGACCAGCCCCCGGCTGTGGAGGAAGTCCAGAGCTCCTGCCAACTGGGCCACCACCCGCTTCACCAGCAGTTCTGGGAGGCCCTGAGGTCAAGAAGACAGGAGGAGGGTCAGAGTGTCTTGGTTTTGTCTTTTTTATGTTGTCCAGGCTGGTCTCAAACTCCTGGCCTCAAGCGATCCTCCTGCCTTGGCCTCCCAAAGTGCTGGGATTATAGGCATGAGGCACTGCACCAGTTGGTTCCTTCTGAATAATTTTTGAAAGAGGCTCTAGATTCCTAAGTCCTAAAAGTTTGACTCTTGGGGTTTGAGAATCTAGAACCCCAGACTAGTGGCTACCTCCAGTGTTCCCACCACATGCTCCCAAAGACTTTCTCTCCATCATCCTCAACCTCAACCTGCAGCCATATCTGCACTCCTGTAGACCAACTCCCAGCTGGTCTCCCAGTTTTCCCCACTGGAACCCCAGTTATAACCAGTAGCTCCTTCTTTTAGCTTCTTTCAAAGATTCTCCTAACTCAAACACTCAGGCCCACTGTGAACATTTCTTATATATCTTTTGTAAACTGACCATCCAGATCTTCTCCAGTGAGAACTCAAATTTCATTCTTAACCCTAATCTTAGTCTTGTATGAGTCTAGACCCCATCTCTAACTCAGAGGCTTTTCTAAAATTCCCCAGTTTATTTCATCAATTGATTATCTATCCGTCTAGCCAGCCAGCTGGCCAGGCAGCAATTCATCCATGAAGCCATCCATCCTTCCAACAGTATTGAACAGTGTGTCCATCCAACATCCATTCCACCAACCAGTCAGCAATCCAATAAGTTATTCTGTTATTTAATATCCAACATCCATATATTCATCCTCCCTTGCTTCCTTTCACCCATCCACTCACCATCCATTAATCATCCATCCACCAATCCTTCCGTCCACCCACCCATCCATCCATCCACTCAACCAATCCTTCCATCCACCCACCCACCCATCCACTCATCCATCCACCACTCACTCACCCACCAAACCTTTCATCCATCCATCCATCCATCCATCCATCCACCCACCAATCCTTCCTTCCATCCATCCACCCATCCGCCCACCAATCCTTTCATCCATCCATCCATCCATCCACCAATCCTTCCTTCCGTCCATCCATCCATCCGCCCACCAATCCTTTCATCCATCCGTCCATGCAGCCATCCACCCACCCATCCATCCACCAATTCTTCCATCCACCCACCCACCTATCCACTCAACCAATCCTTTCATCCACCCACCCACCTACCCATCCACTCATCCATCCATTCACTCACCCACAAAACCTTTCATCCATCCATCCACCCATCCATCCACCCACCAATCCTTCCTTCTATCGATCCATCCATCCATCCATCCATCCGTCCATCCACCCACCAATCCTTCCTTCCATCCATCCATCCACCCACCAATCCTTTCATCCATCCATCCACCCCTCCATCTACCCACCCACCCATCCATCCACCCACCCATCCATCCATCCATCCACCCATCCATCCATCCACCCACGGATCCTTCCATCCACCCACCCACCCGTCCACTCAACCAATCCTTTCATCCACCCACCCACCCACCCATCCACTCATCCATCCATCCACTCACCCACCAAACCTTTCATCCATCCATCCACTCACCTACCAAACCTTTCATCCATCCATCCATCCACCCACCAATCCTTTCATCCACCCATCCACCCACCCATCCATCCACCCACCCACCCATCCATCCATCCACCATCCATCCATCCACCCACCCATCCATCCACCCATGGATCCTTCCATCCACCCACCCACTCATCCATCCATCCATCCACTCACCCACCAATCCTTTCATCCATCCATCCATCCATCCATCCATCCACCCACCCACCCACCCATCCATCCACCCACCCATCCATCTACCAGTCCTTCCTTCCACCCATCTATTCACCCACCCATCTGTCCACTCACCCATCCTTCCATCCTTCTAATTCTCAATGAGACTCATTTCTCCACATGTACCTTCCTCATCCCCTTCCTTCTTTTATTCCTTCCATTTATCCCTAACTTTATCTCAAATCCAAAATCTATTCCTGAAACTATCCCTACCCCTAATCTCCAAACTCGAGAGACCCTAGAATATCATGGGTTCTGTCCTGACCTGGTCTCCTTTCTAGAAGAAACCCCATTATAGCCCATCTCCAACTCAGTCTATATACACATCCTCAACCGTCTCTGCTTCTCTCTGCAGCCCATTCATGCTTTTCTCCATACTCACGATGAATCTATAATCAACTCTAAACTCAACCCACCCAACTCCACCCATGCCCACACCCTAACCTCAGAGTCAACTAAAATCCCAACCCTGTCTCCCTCCCCACCCCCTTCATTGACTCCAGTCCATCCTCAATCCCACCCCCAGCTCCCTGCCTTTCCACGATTGTGTTTGGGTGATTGGATGGATTAGGGTTGAGGTCAGGCATGGAACCTCGTTGAGAATTAGAAAGGGGGAGGTCATGTGGGGGCTCAGGGTGGAGATGGATTGGGCGGGCCCTGATTTGGGGTCAGAGTTGGAGACAGAGACGGGGCTTGGGACAGAGTTGGACCTGGGATAAGCACTCCCAACCTTTGTCCCTCGTGGCCTCACCCTTTCCTGCAGCATCCCGCTGAGGTCCCCACAGGGCGCGTACTCCTGGGCGAAGGCAAAATAGCGGGGGGTCTGTAGGGGTCCTGCCAGGGTCTGCAGCAGGCCTGGGTGTGCAGAGACGCAGCGGCCCACACAGAACTCCCTCAGGAAGGTGCTTCTCAGGACCAAATCCCGACGCAGGAGCTTCAGAGCCACAGCTGGACCTGCCAGGGAGATGGGTCGGAGGGACACTCAGGCGGCTCCAGTCCTGCTGTGGGGCCTGAGGGAAGCCGTGTAAACTCTCTGAGCCTCACACTTCTCATGGGCAGCACGGGCTCCCCTGTCTGTGAAGTGTGGGTGGGAGGAGACCTTCTTTGAAGACCCTCCCTGCTCTGCCTCGGACTGCGGCGTGGGCTTGCACAGCCGCCTCACCCTCTCCGGGCCTCAGTTTCCCCTGGCATCAAGTAAGAGACACGGTGGTGACTTGGGTTCCAACTTGAGTTGCATACCTGTCCTGCTGTGGGACCGTAGGCAGTCCCTCGCCCTCTCTGGGGTGGGGCCTGTGTTTCTCAGAAGATCCCAGAGCTCTTAACTTTCAGAGTACCCCCACTGAGAAGGGTCCCCATCAGCTCCTCCTGGGAATGCCCCCTGTCTGGGTGGCTTCCGAGAATGCTTATTGTGGGGCAGTTGGGGAGGCTGCCCTTGGGTGGCTGAACTCACCCCCCTGGTGAGGCTGGGCAAGGAGCACGCGGCCGTAGGAGCCGGAGCCCAGCTTCCGGATGAGGTGGTACTGGTCCCGAAGGCTCCTCACCGGGGTCACCCTGCTGGTCGTCAGCTCCACCAGCCGTTGGAGGGCTGTGGCTGTGTCCTCCTACGGGAGAGGGGCAGGGTGAGGAGGGGGCGCGTCTGGGGTCCACTGAGAGTGGTGGGGGAGGAGGTCACGGCGCAGCCCCAGGATGGAGGGTGGGGCAGGGGACAGGGGTCACTGTCCCCAGAGAGGAGGATGAGTCACAGTGACTCACCCGGACTCGGGCCACCTGTTTTTGTGTCCTGGAGAGGTTAGGGGTCACTGCCACAGAGGCCCCGCCTGCCCCTGTCTGTGGGAGCAGGCCAGGAGCCCCCAGCCCCGAGTGGGGGTGCATCCTCAGCCCACACAGTCCCCCTGCCCACCCTGGTCTCTCTCTCCACCGTCCTCTTCCCCTGTGCATCCCGCTGTGTGTTTCTGAGTCCAATTCTCTGGGGGCCTTGGTCTCGCTGTGTGTCCTTGGATCTCTGTCATCCTCTCTCCCTGGGTCTGGGTCTCTGAGGTCTTTGCGTTTCCCTGTTTTCTGTTTCTCTTCCTCTCTCTCCCCGTGTTGCCTCCTGCCTCTCTCTCCTTCTTTTCTCTCTCTGTCTTCCTCCCCTGGCTCCCGTCTCTCACCTCTGGGTCCCCATCCTCAGGGGTCTCGGAGGCCCTGCGCTCCATCTCAGGGCTTCCTGATGTGGGGTGGCCCTTGGGCGGGACCCCCCCGTCAGGGCTCCCCAGAAAGCAACCAGCCCCCTGCACCCCACAGGTTCTCGCTGCGCAGAGCCAAGGGATGGAAGCTCGTCTGCAAGGTCAGCCTCAGTCGCCCCTTGTCTGTCCGGCTCTGTCTAGCTGGAGGAGTGTCTCTGCCTCTCTGTGCCCTCCTGCCACCCTCTGGGTGTATTCCCTGCTGTGCTTCCCAGGTGATAGCCCTTACTCCCCACACCCTCTCTTCCCCTCTCTTTAGCCAACCCCAGTCTCTCCTTCCTTCTACAGGAACACCTTTCTGTCAGCCTCTCTCTTGCTCCGTCTATCCTCTCTCTTTGTGCGTCTTTGTCTCCTTCTCTCCCCGTCTCTCTCTCTCCACCCTCCCTGTCTCTGTCTCGCACTTGGGTCTCTGGGGTGGGACTCCCCCTCCCTGTCCCGTCTCTGTGGGTCGCCGGCCCCTCTCCCCTGTCCGCACACTGTCTCCACTCTTTCTCCACCAACTCTGGGGGTGTCTCCACGCTCTGCTCCCTGCCTGCTCCCCTCTCTCTGTCTGTCTGTTTCCCGTCTCTCCCGGCCCCTCTGGGCATCTCCGTCCGCTCTCCCCAGTGTCTCTGCGTCTCTCTCCTCCTCTTTGTTCCTGACTCTCTCTCAAAGCCTTTGTCCCTCCCTTTCTCTGGGCCTGGGACAGGGGTGTGTGTGACAGCTCAGAGACAGAGACATCCTGTCCCCCCACACCCCTCCCTCACCCCCTCTGACCGCTGCCCCCTCCCTCTCCCTTCCAAACTTAGACCAGCTTGGACTCTGGGCTCCAGTCCCAGGACAGACGGGACAAAACATATTGTGAACCCCCAACAAGGCCCAGGCCTGAGGGCAGAGGAAAGGGTGGGACAGACCCCTCCACACACCTGAGCTGGGATGACTGGCCCAGAGCTGAGCACCTCTGTCTTGCCCCAGAGGCCAGGAGCGCTGGTGTCCAGGGACCAGGGAACAGTTCCCAAAGCCCTCCTCCTTCACACCAGGAGTGCTGGCCCCAGCTCCTCCTCCCTCACACCCAGGAGTCCAGGTCCCCAGTTCCTCCATCCTCAGACCCAGGAGTCTAGGCCCCAAGCCCCACCTCCCTCAGACCCAAGAGTCCAGGCCTCCAGCTCCTCCTCCCTCAGATCCAGGAGTCTAGGCCCCCAGCCCCTCCTCCCTCAGACCCAGGAGTCCAGGACCCCAGCCCTTCCTCCCTCAGACCCAGGAGTCCAGGCCTCCAGCCCCTCCTCCCTCACACCCAGGAGTCCAGGTCCCCAGTTCCTCCATCCTCAGACCCAGGAGTCCAGGCCCCAGCCCCTCCTCCCTCAGACCCAGGAGTCCAGGTCTCCAGCACCTCCTCCCTCACACCCAGGAGTCCAGGTCCCCAGTTTCTCCACCCTCAGACCCAGGAGTCCAGACTCCAGCTCCTCCTCCCTCAGACCCAGGAGTCCAGGCCCCAGCCCCTCCTCCCTCAGACCCAGGAGTCCAGGCTCCCAGCCCCTTCTCCCTCAGACCCAGGAGTACAGACTCCCAGCCTCTCCTTCCTCAGACCCAGGTCCCCAGCCCCTCCTCCCTCAGACCCAGGAGTCCAGGCCCAGCCCCTCCTCCTGCAGGACTCAGGAGCTGAAGTAGCTGTGGGAAGCGCCAGGGACAGAGGTGCTCTCATGTTCTCAGCACCTGTTCCGCGCCTAGCCCTGTGCGGGGCTTTACACTGGATCCTCCCAGCTGCCCAAAGGGTCAGTATTTATCCCCAGTTTACGGAGCAGGAAACTGAGGTTCCGAGAAACGATCGTGTTACACAAGGTCAGAAGGGGAGCGGGCCCCGGGCCAGGCCTGTGTGACTCAGAGGCCTGCTGCCTGCCCCACTCGTGTTTCCACTACTACTACAGCCCTGCTATTAATAAAGACACAGCAACGGCAGCGACGCGTAGGCGCTGGAAGGATCTGCAGGAAACAGGCTGTGGCGCTGGCCTCTGGGGAGCTGGAAGGGACCCAAGGAGGGGCAGAGGTAGAACTTCCTTTGCTGTTCGGAGGTTAGATTGGGGAAAGTCGCAAACCTACAGAAAAGTAGAAAAAGTGCTGTCCGTGCCTGTAGTCCCAGCTACTGGGCAGGCTGAGGCAGGAGAATCGCTTGAACCCAGGGAGGCGGAGGTTGTGGTGAGCCGAGATCGCACCACTGCACTCCAGCCTGGGCAACAGAGCGGGACTCCGTCTCAAAAACAAACAACAAACAAACAAACAAATAATAACAACAAAACAAAAACAAACAAACAAAAAAGTGCTGTCATGAACACCCATTGGCTAAACTTCACAGATGTGGCCACTTGGCCATACTTTCTTGATCTTTATTTCTTTGTCGGCGGGGGCATACAAACTAGTTTCAAGTAAATGATAAATATTGAAGTCTTTTGGAAGTGGAAATGCTGAGCTGCCTGGTGTGTTTGCTTTAAAATCATCTGGCCGGCTGGGCGCGGTGACTCACGCCTCTAATCCCAGCACTTTGGGAGGCCGAGGCGGGCGGATCACCTGAGGTCGGGAGTTCGAGACTAGCCTGAACAACATGGAGAAACCCCGTCTCTACTAAAAATACAAAATTAGCTGGGCATGGTGGTGTATGCTTGTAATCCCAGCTACTTGGGAGGTTGAGGCAGGAGAATCACTTGAACCCGGGAGGCGGAGGTTGCGGTGAGCCAAGATGGCACGATTGCACTCCAGCCTGGGTAACAAGAGCAAAACTCTATCTCAAAAACAAACAAACAAAAAAGTCTGGCAAAAGAAAAGAAAATGTGTGTGTGTGTGTGTGTGTGTGTGTGTGTATGGGGGGGTGGTGGGTGGGTGGTGAGACAAGTGAGAGGGAAGGGACTCATTTTATTCCTCTGTTTCTGGTTATGCTGGAAATTTTCCTTCATGAAAAGCTACAAGTTATAAACTAAACTACAGGCATTGTGATGAATTGTGCCCAAACATTTGAGAGTACCTATCTGTAAAAGTAAGGAAAATTTCTAGCTCAGCTACAGTAAAATTGTCATAATGACTTTTTTAACAAAATTGAAGATGAGGCCAGGTGTGATGGCTCACGCTTGTAATCCCAGCACTTTGGGAGGCTGAGGCGGGCAAATTGCCTGAGGTCGGGAGTTCGAGACCAGCCTGGCCAACATGGTGAAACCCCATCTCTACTACAGATACAAAAATTACCCAGTCGTGGTGGCGTGTGTCTGTAATCCCAGCTACTCAAGAGGCTGAGGCAGAAGAATCGCTTGAACCCGGGAGGCAGAGGTTGCAGGGAGCCGAGATGGCGCCACTGCACCCCAGCCTGGGCGACAGAGCGAGAGTCTGTCTCAAAAAAATAAAATTAAATTAAATAAAAAATAAAAAATTTAAGATAGGGTCTTGCTGTGTTGCCCAGGCTGGTCTCAAACTCCTAGGCTCAAGTGATCTTCCTACCTCGGTCTACCAAAGTGCTGAGAATACAGGTGTGAGCCACAGTATCCAGCCCAACAATTTCTCGAAATCAGATAATAACAAGTCTGTCTTCAGTTTCTCACATTTATTTTTTTTTAAATGCCTTGGCTGGGCGCGGTGGCTCATGCCTATAATCCCAGCACTTTGGGAGGCCGAGGCAGGTGGATCACCTGAGGTCAAGAATTCGAGACCGGCCTGACCAACAAGGTGAAACCCCCCTCTCTACTAAAAATACAAAAATTAGCTGGGTATGGTGGCAGGTGCCTGTAATCCCAGCTACTCGGGAGGCTGAGGCAGGAGAATTGCTTGAACCTGGGAGGTAGAGGTTGCAGTGAGCCAAGATGGACCACTGAACTCCAGCCTGGCGGCAGAGTAAGACTCTGTCTCAAAAAAAAAAAAAAAAAAAAAAAAAAAGAAAAAAAAATGCCTTATTTGCTTTATGAGTCAGGAATCAACGTCAACATCCCGTATGACTTTCAGGGAACTTTTTACCACTGTGCCTTTTACATTATTTGAATTTTTCCTGTGAGTATGTGTTATTCAAAAAATTTTAATGAAATAATACAGTGATGATGATACAGTAATATAGTAACACTCGGTGCTTACTTGGTGCCAGGCCCTGGTCACGCTCTCTCGGTCTCTCTCTCTTTTTCACTTAAGACTTTGTGGAGTCCTCCCAACAAGCCCTGGGTCGGTAGAATGATGGTTTCCAATTTCCTGATGGGGACAGTGAGGCATGAAGCAGCAGAGTCATGGGCCACAGAGCCGCAGCCAGGGAGAGGCAGAGCTGGGATGCCTTGAGATCTGGTGACTCCAGGCTCCTCTGTGCCCCCTGCCCACGCAGCTCCCGTGAGGCCGACCTCAGGTGCCCGGCCCGGCTCGAGCTGAGCTCCTCCACTGGAGACCCGGGGCTGGCTGTGCGCCGACAGGCAAGCGCATCTGCTACCCTAGAGCCGGCCACCTGGGTCCCCCGGGAGGAGAGTGAGAGGGGACGCTGCGGGCCTCCAGCCCTCCCCCAGACGCTCGCTGGTGATCCGAAGAGCTTTGCACCTCCCCATTTAGTAACGCCGCTCTGCGGGGTCACCCGGAGTGACCTCGGCACGCAGGTGTGGTGGGGGAGGTTGCAGTCCTGCAGCCCCAGGGTACACACACACCCCTCATTAAAGCTGGGCGGTGTGCCTCTCTCCTCCCCTCCGTCCTGCCCACCAGCCTCCGAGGCCTCCTTTTGTGACCGTTTCCTGGCTTTGTCCCCTCCTGGCCGAACGAGGGCACACAAGTTAAGTGTGTTAACAACAACAGCAATAATAATAGTGTCCAACACTCATACTGTACTCGGTGCTGTGGCTTGTGTTTTCATCTATTATTGTCATTGTTGCGAAGAGTTTTTGCAGGGATGGGGTCTCACTATGCGGCCTCTACCCTCTCACTATGTTGGAATTCGAGGCTGGTCTTGAATTCCCGGGATGCCTCTGCGCTTCAGTTTTCTCCTGTCTGAAATGCAGGTCATCCCCAGCTCCTACCCACAGCGCTGTTGATAAGAAAATTGATATGTATAATGCATATACTAATGTACATTATAATATTATATCTAAGATAATTATTTTAGATATGATATATACTATCCTATATTATATATTAAGTGATATATGTAGTATATATCTTTTGTATAATATATATACTTATATGTTATTTTTAAAGTAAATTCAATTAAGAAAATATATACTGAAAGAACATATAAAAATTAATTTACACTTCAAAGATTGTTCAGTTGACAATGTAACCCACCCACCATCACACTCCATCCTTGGGCCAAAAAAGGTGAAAAGAAAAACAGAAGGAAAAAAGTGTTAACATTAAACTGATTTGCTTTATCTGGAACGAGTTAGATTATAAACTAGTAGACCAAAATCTCAGCCTTTAATAGTCATCCTGATGAGTTAACCAACCTTCGCAGGAAAGGTGGAAATGTTTTCACTCCTGATTTTTATTTTTTTATTGTTGTTTGTTTGTTTGTTTGTTTTAGACGGATTCTCACTTTGTCACCCAGGCTGGAGTGCAGTGGCCCGATCTCGGCTCACTGCAACCTCCACCTCCCGGGTTCAAGTAATTCTCCTGCCTCAGCTTCCTGAGTAAAGTGCTGATTACAGGTGTGAACCACCGCACCCAGCCCACTCCTGTTTTTTTTTTATTTTGTTTTTAAGACAGGGTCTCACTCTGACATGCAGGCTGGAGTGCAATGACACAGTCACGGCTCACTGCAGCCTTGACTTCCTGGGTTCAAGAGATCCTCCCACCTCAGCCTTCCAAGTAGCTGGGATCACAGGTGCATGCCACTGGGCTGACTACCTTTTAAGTTTTTTGTAGAGATGGGATCTCACTATGTTGCCCAGGTTGGTCTCAAACTTCTCGCCTCAAGCTATCCTCTTGGCCTCGGCCTCCCAACGTGCTGGGTGGGATTACAGGTGTGAGCCATCTAGCCCTTTGCTCCTGTTTTAAGACAGTAATGCTATTTTCTTTCTATTGCACCATGTATACGTTGAACAAATATTGTTAAATAAAAGAATGGATGAAAACACAAGCCATACCACCAAGCATAGTGAATGCTTAACAATTATTATTATTGTTGTTGACAAATGCGCTTACAGCAGTTACTATGGGCCAGGTACTGTTCTGGGGCTTTGTATACCCTTGCAGTAATCTCATTAAATCCTTATGTTCTACCTATGACATAGGAACTATTATTTCCCGAGGCACAGACAGGCCACACGTGCTAAGTCTTATCGCCGTCTCTGACCTGCTCACACGCAGCACAAAACCTTGCTGGGATTCTCTGTGACATGAAATATTTCACGCATATCCCCCAAATATAATGAGTATTCATGTCTCCACCATTCTGTTTAAGAAATATAATTCTCAGCCGGGCGCGGTGGCTACGCCTGTAATCCCAGCACTTTGGGAGGCCGAGGCAGGTGGATCACGAGGTCAGGAGATCAAGACCATCCTGGCTAACCCGGTGAAACCCTGTCTCTACTAAAAATACAAAAAATTAGCTGGGTGTGGTGGCGAGCACCTGTGGTCCCAGCTACTCAGGAGGCTGAGGCAGGAGAACCGCTTGAACCTGGGAGGCGGAAGTTGCGGTGAGCCGAGATGGCGCCAGGGCTCTCCAGCCTGGGTGGCAGAGGGAGACTCTGTCTCAAAAAAAAAAAAAGAATTCTCACTGCAAAAAAAAAAAAAGAAAAAAAGCATGTGAGGTAATGCATATGTTAATTATACAGCTTGATGTAGCTATTTTCCAATCTGTGTGTGTATGTGTATATCTATATAAACATCATGTGAGCCAGACATGGTGGGACACGTCTAGTCTAGGAGGCTGTCATGTCATGTCTGTCTAGGAGGCTGAGGCATTTCTCGAGGCCAGGAATTCAAGAGCTGGAGATGCACTGGTGAAAAACACGCATGGCACTCCAGCCTGGGCAACGTGGCGGGACCCTGTCTTTAAAAACAATAGAAAAATCATGTTGTACACAACAATTGTATACATTCTTTATTTGTCAAGGTGGAACAAAAAAAAAATAATAAGAGCGGAAAGAACAACAACAATAACAAAAGAGTGCTTTTGCAGGTGCGCCCAGAGCTGTGAAAAACGTGAGTTGCCAATGCACACATCCCCAGCTGAGGCTGAAGAAAGCGATGCTCCGCCTTTTCGTGTCAGCCGCTCCTACAAACAAGCGTCTCTTTTTTTTATGTTGGTGCTGCGATTTTCACATTTTTGTGGTTTTTGTTGGTGATTCTGCAGGTTTGTGCTTTTTGTTGGTGATTCTACACTTCAGCTCCCACGCACAGCGCTGAACAGGGTCCCCTTCAGTGCTTAGGAATGTTCTGCAGTGCCTCACATAGAAAATCTGGCCTGGCACGGGGGCTCATGCTTGTAATCCCAGCACTTTGGGAGGCCGAGGCAGGCAGAGCACTTGAGGTCAGGCATTTGAGACCAGCCTGGCCAACATGATGAAACCCCATCTCTACTAAAAATACAAAAATTAGCTGGGCATGGTGGTGCACGACTGTAATCCCAGCTACTCGGGAGGCTGAGGCAGGAGAATTGCCGGAACCCAGGAGGCAGAGGTTGCAGTGAGCCAGGATCGTGCTACTGCACTCCAGCCTGGGCGACAGAGCGAGACTCCGTGAGAAAGAAAGAAAAGAAAGAAAGAAGGAAGGAGGGAGGGAGGGAGGGAGAGAGAGAGGGAAAGAAAGAAAAAGAAAGAAAGAAAGAGTCCATGTGTGTCAGATGAACTTCATTCAGGTATGAGCTGTACTCCTGCTGGCGGTGAGTTCAATGACAATGAATCAACAACGTGTCTGTAAAAGATGTCTTTAAACAGAAAGGCAAAGTCAGTGAGGTATTGATTGTTTGATGAAGATGTTGTAACCAGCGGCCTGCAGGAATCTAACCCTGTATTTCCCCCAGTGGCAATGGCTTGGTATTTGCCAGTTTGGTGTTCTCAGCAACTTCAAGGAAGATAGCCACCATGAATAAGGAGAATCGAGTGTGTCGAGTGAAATGAAACATATCATCAGGACTATTTTCACCTTGTTTGCATTTACTTTTGTAAAAATAGAAACACACAGTTTGGCAGACAACATCGGGGATTACAGATGCCACCGAATCAGCTATGGATCTCTCTAGAAGTCTGCAGGTCACAGGATGAGAGTTATTACATTCTCCATCCCCTGAAGCTGTTCCCCAGACCTCACCCTCTCCTGTGTGGATCACCATCCCAGCTTATCAGCTTCTTCCTGGCCTCCCCTCTCGCCTCTGGACTGCCCCGTCTGACACACAAAGGTTCTCCCTCCTTCCCTCCCACCCCTCCCTCCTCCTTCCCTCCTTTCTTTCTCTTTCTCTTTTCTTTTCCTTTTCTTTCTTTTCTTTCTTTCTCTTTCTCTTTCTTTCTTTTCCTTCCTTCTTCCCTTTCTTCCTTTCTGTCTTTCTTCTTTCTTTCTCTCTCTCTTTCTCCTTTCCTGTCCTCCTTCCTTCCCTCCCTCCCTCCCTTCCTTCCGTCTTTCCGTCCCTCCCTTCCCTTTCTTTTTTGAGGCAGGGTCTCACTCCATCACCCAGGTTGGAATGCAGTGGTGCAATCACAGCTCTCTGCAGCCTTGACCTCCCATACTTAAGTGATCCTCTTGCCTCAGCCTCCCAAGTAACTGGGACTACAGGTGTGCACCATCCTCCCCAGCTAATTTTAGAATTTTCTATAGATACAGGCTCTCACTATGTTGCCCAGGCTAGTTTCAAATTCCTGGATTCAAGTGATCCTCCTGCCTCAGCTTCCAAAAATTCTGGTATTACAGGCATGAGCCACCACACCGGCCATCATTCTAACACTCACTTCTGGCCCAGGCCCTCTCTTCCTCAGTAGCCTCCCATGGCTCCCTATTGCTCTTGGGATAGAGTTCACACTCCCCCGCCTGGCCTCCGAGCCCTTCTGGAGCTGCACCTGTTGCAACTTATTTCCACCCGGCTCATCTCACCCAACACCCAGGCAATGGAAGAACTCGGAATGTCCGAGCACACTGGACTCTCTCTCTGTTTCTCAGGAAACGTGTGTGGAATGAGGAGACGGATGGATGGCCGAACATGGCAGGTTTGTAATGGCTTCAGAAACCCCATGTGATTAATAATTATAGCCAGCATTTACTGAACATATTACCAGCCCCAGTGCTAATCCTCCCAGCACCCTGGGGAGGTGGCCCTGTTATTAGCTCGGCTTCATCATTGAGGAAAGTGAGACTCACAAAGACTAAGCCTCCTGCCCGGTGTCTCACTATAGATCAGCAGCAGGAGGGACTCAAACGCCAATCAACCCGGCAGTGCACACCCTCGGCCTCTCTGCTATTCGTAGATGTTTGTGGGCCAGGAGCCAGGGGCAGGTGTAGGCCAAGGTTGCTGACTTCTCTTCTTTCCATTCAAACACAACACACATTTCCTGGGGACTTTGTATGCAGAGCCCTGAGCTGAGGCTGGGTGCTGGGAGACCACAGACAGACTCTGTCCCTGCTCCGGAGGTGCCCAGAAGGTTCTGTGAACCAGGATACAGCCGCCAAGAAGCAAGGTGTGCCTCTTCCAAAGGCGACCAAGAGGGGCCTAGAAGTGGCTCTGAGCCAACCTGACAGGAAAGTTGGCAGGTGAGGAAGGGGTTCAGAGACCTGGCGGATAAGTAAATTAACAGTAGCAAGAGAGGCCAGGCCAGTGGTGACTGGGATTCAAATTAAAACAAGATCGATTAAATAATGATTGAGGGCCAGGTGTGGTGGCTCATGCCTGTCATCCCAGCACTTTGGGAGGCTGAGGCGGGTGGATCACCTGAGGTCAGGAGTTCTAGATCAGTCTGGCCAATATGGCGAAAACCTGTCTCTACTAAAGATACAAAAACTATCCGGGCGTGCTGGTACGCACCTGAAGTCCCAGCTACTCGGGAGGCTGAGGCAGGAGAATCGCTTGAAACCAGGAGGCAGAGGTTGCAGTGAGCCGAGATCGTGCCACTGCACTCCAGCATGGGCAACAGAGCGAGCCGCCGTCTCAAAATAAATAAATTAATTTAATTTAATTAACAATAATAAATAACAATGGATACCTACCTGCTACCACGCCGGACTCAAGCGTTGCTGCAGCATCTGGGACACACCTCAAAGCGAAGCCGACTCCAGCCCTCGGGAGGATCTGCAGAGACAGGAAGCAGATCTGCGCCTGCCTAGGACATGGGGGGCAGGAGGCAAGTACTGGGGGGCTATGGCTAAGGGGTGCAATGTTTCTTTTGGGGGTGATGAAAAACGTTTTAAAATTGTGTTAGGCCGGGCGCAGTGGCTCACGCCTGTAATCCCAGAGCTTTGGCGGGTCGAAGTGGGCGGATCACAAGGTCAGGAGTTCGAGACCAGCCTGTCCAACACGGTAAAACCCCGTCTCTACTAAAACTACATAAAATTAGCTGGGTGTGGTGGTGGGCGCCTGTAATCCCAGCTACTTGGGAAGCTGAGGCAGGAGAATCGCTTGAACCCGGGAGGCGGAGGTTGCAGTGAGCCGAGACTGTGCCACAGCATTCCAGCCTGGGCAACAGAGCGAGACTCCATCTCAAAAAAAAAAAAAAAACAAAAAGAAAACAAAAATTAGCCAGGCGTGGCCGTGCACACCTGTAATCCCAGCTACTCAGGAGGCTGAGGCGGGAAAAACGCTTGAACCTGGGAAGCGGAGGTTGCAGTGTGCCAAGATCACACCAGTGAACTCCAGCCGGGGCAACATAGTAAGACCCTGTCCAAAAAAAAAAGATTGTGTTGATGTTTGCACAAACTCTAGGACTATACCAGAAACCATTGATTTGTCTACTTTACACGGTGAATTTTATGGCATATGAATTACATCTCAATAATGCCAGTAAAAAAAATTTGGCCTATAGCCAGGCATGGTGGCCAGTGCCTGTAATCCCAGATACTCGAGAGACTGAGGCAGGAGAATCACTTGAGACCAGGAGTTGGAGGCTGCAGTGAGCCCAGACTGTGCCACTGCACTCCAGCCTGGGCAACACAGAGAAACTCTGTCTCAAAAAAAAAAAAAAAAAAATTGGAACCTGCATTTTAGTGAGTGAGGGACCAGAGCAAACACAGCCTGTGAGATGCCCAGATCATTTTAAATTTTATTTATCTTTTTGAAGCAGGATCTCACTCTGTCACCCAGGCTGGAGTGCGGTGGCATGATCAGAGCTCACTGCAGCCCTGACCTCCCAGGCTTAAGTGATCTTCCTACCTCAGCCTCCTGAGTAGCTGGGACTACACATACATGCCACCATGCTCGGCTGATTTTTTTTTTGGTAAAGACAGGCGAACTCTCACTGTGTTGCCCAGGCTGGTCTTGACCTCCTGTGCTCAAGCGATCCTCCTGCCTTGGCCTCGCAAAGTGTGCTGGGATTACAGGTGTGAGCTACCACATCAGGCCTATTTTTAACTTTTAACACCCCCTCCTGTATAGAAGAACTATTTTCAATAACCATCATGTAATAATCACCTGCATCTTTTTCTTGACTGCTGGGGGGGTTTCTTCCTTTTTTTTTTTTTAATTAATAGACTTTATTTTTTAGAGCAGTTTTAGGTTCACAGCAATATTGAGCAGAAGGTACAAAGATCTTTTTTTTGAGACAGAGTCTCGCTCTGTCACCCAGTCTGGAGTGCAATGGCGCGATCTCGGCTCACTGCAGCCTCCATCTCCCCGGTTCAAGTGATTCTTGTGCCTCAGCCTCCCGAGTAGCTGGGATTAGAGGCATGTGCCACCATGCCTGGCTAATTTTTGTATTTTTAGTAGAGACGGGGTTTTGTCATGTTGGCCAGGCTAGTCTCGACCTCCTGACCTCAGGTGATCTGCCTACCTCAGCCTCCCAATGTGCTGGAATTACACGCATGAGCCACCGTGCCCGGCCAGAAGGTACAAAGTTCTTCTATACTCCCTGCCCTGCCCCCACTGCCTCCCCCACTATCAACATCCCCACCAGGGTGGTGCATGGGACACACCATCATCACCCACAGTCCACAGTGTACATGAGGGCTCGCTCCCGGTTCATGACGTTGTATGTTCTGTGGCTTTAGACGAATGTATAATGACATGTCCCCACCACTATAGTATCAGACAGAGTATCATAGTTTCACTGCCCTAAATATCCCCTGGGCTGCACCTCCTCACCCCTCTCTCCCTCCTAGCTCCTGGCAACCACCGATCTTTTTCCTGTCTCTGTAGTTTCCTCTTTTCCAGAACCTCGTATTGTTGGAATCAAACAGTAAGCAGCCTTTTCAGATTAGCTTCTTTCACTTAGAAACATGCGTTTAAGTTCTCGCCATGTCTTTTTATGGCTTGGTAGCTCTTTTTTTTTTCTTTCAGTAAAACCTTTCATTGTCATCTCATTTCTTTTTATTGCTTAATAATATTCCATTGTATGGATGGACCACGGCTTATCCATTCACATATTGAAGGACATCTTGGTTGCTTTCTTTCTTTTTTTTTCTTTTTGAGACGGAGTCTCACTCTGTCGCCCAGACTGAAGTGCAGTGGTGCGATCTCAGCTCACTGCAACCTCCACCTCCCAGATTCAAGCGATTCTCCTGCCTCCCGAGTAGCTGGGATTACAGCCATGCACCGCTATGCCCGGCTGATTTTTGTATTTTTAGTAGAGATGGAGTTTCACCAGGTTGGCCAGGCTGGTCTCAAATTCCTGACCTCAGGTGATCTGCCCGCCTTGGCCTCCCAAAGTGCTGGGATTACAGGCGTGAGCCACGGCGCCCAGTCGGTTACTTTCAAGTTTTAGCAATTATGAATAAAGTCGCTGTAGACATTCACATGTGGGTTTTTGTGTGGACATAGGTTTTCAACTCATTTGAGTAAATACCAATAAGAGTGATTGCTGAATTCTGGTTTATTTATTTATGTATTTTTTTTTGACATGGAGTCTTGCTCTGTCACCCAGGCTGGAGTGCAGTGGCGCGGTCTCAGGTCACTGCAGCCTCTGCCTCCTGGATTCAAGCAATTCTCCTGCCTCAGCCTCTAGAGTAGCTGGGATTGCAGCACATGCCACCACACCCGGCTAACTTCTGTATTTTTAGTAGAGGCGGTTTTGCCATGTTGGCCAGGCTGGTCTCCAACTCTCGACCTCAGGTGATCTGCCCACCTTGGCCTCCCAAAGTGCTGGGATTACAGGCGTGAGCCACTGTGCCCAGCCTGCATTGTGTTTTAAGAATATGTTTAGTTTCGGCCGGGTGCAGTGGCTCACGCCTGTAATCCCAGCACTTTGGGAGGCCGAGGCGGGTGGATCACCTGAGGTCAGGAGTTCGAGACCAGCCTGACCAACATGGAGAAACCCCGTCTCTACTAAAAATAGAAAAAATTAGCCAGGCGTGGTGGCGCATGCCTGTAATCCCAGCTACTAGGGAGGCTGAGGCAGGAGAATCGCTTGAGCCCAGGAGGCAGAGGTTGTGGTGAGCTGAGGTCGCACCATTGCACTGCAGCCTGGGCGACAAGAGTAAGACTCCATCTCAAAAATAATAATATATATATATAATTTTTGTATATTATATATAATTTTTGTATATTATATATATGTATAGTGTTTTTGAGGGAGACATATTTAATCATTGACCTTGTTTACAATTGCTGCACTTGGTGACACTGAAAAGCAGACCAAGCTGGGCACAGCGGCTCACACCTGTAATCCCAGCACTTTGGGAGGCTAAGACAAGAGGATCACTTGAGCCCAGGAGTTCGAGACCAGCCTGGGCAATATAGTGAGTACCCATCTCTATGAAAAAAAACATCGTAATAAAATTTAGAAATTAGAAAGAAAAGCAGACCAAACTTTTGGTTGGTCATTTTATTGTTTTCACCTCCTCTATAGCCAAAACCTCCCTTATTGCCTGCGTCTGGAGCAGGCCAGTTCTGCTACCTGTCCACCACCTGGTAAGCCCCTATAGGGAGACCCCATTCACACCCATCAGAGAGGAAGAAATTGGGAAGTGGTTGAGGACATGGGGAAGCAGGGAGCTGGAGGCATTGCTGGTCAAGGGAGGGGGGTAGACTGGTGGGGGAGATGGAGGCTGTAGCGGGGAAATGGGTCTGAGGCGTCCTCTTCTGGGTGTACACCCCTGAGAGATCTTCCCACATGTCCTTTGCCACATCATGTGTGTGATGGGAACGGAAGGCAGTCGGGAAGCGCCAGACAGCTTCTGTTTGTCTATCTAAGTCTCCTCTCTGTTGGGGTGACACCCTCTGCCTGGAAGGCATGCAGCCAACTGGACTCCACCTGGCTTCTCTTTGGGTTCAGTCAACGGGAGACTTCAGCAGATGATGCGAAGGTGTGAGGACAGGTGCTATGCTGTCCAGCTCTCTCTCCACTGGGCTGCAGTGTGGCGGGGCGAGGGCTAATGATGGCCATGCTATGAGTCAGCTGGTGCCATCCACGCCACTCTCTGCAACTGAAATTTGAAAATTATAAGTAATTCTAAGAAAACAAAGATATATCATCACATTGAGTGATGATGGAGACTAGACACGTGGAGAAATTGCAAAGGATATGCCTTTGACAAATGTCAGCCTTTATTTATTTATTTATTTATTTGAGACAGGGTCTTGCTCTGTTGCTCAGGCAGGAGTACAGTGGTGCAATTAGAGCTCACTGCAGCTTCGACCTCGGGTGTTCAAGTAATCCTCCCACCTCAGCCTCCCGTGTAGCTGGGACTACAGGTGCATTCCACCAACAACCACACCTACCTACCTTCCTTCCTTCCTTCCTTCCTTCCTCTCTCTCTCTCTCTCTTTCTTTCTTTCTTTCTTTCTCTTTCTTGTTTTAGAGATGGCGTCTCACTATGTTGCTCAGGCTGGTCTCAAACTTCTGGCCTCAAGCAATCCTCCTGCCTTTTCCTTGCAAAATGCTGGTATTACAGGCATGAGCCACCACACCTGACTGCCAGTTATTATTATTTAACAGTGAAACAACAATAGTGGGGTGGCTAAAAGGATAAACTCTAGAGCCAGGCTATCTGGCTTTACCCCCCATCCCTGCCACTTACTGGCCTTGGGCAAACATCTCTGCCTCTCTGTGCCTCCATTTCCTCATCTGTAAAATGGGGATAATAACAGTATATATCACCTAGGCTTGTTATAGAAATTAAATGGGTTAATACATGTGGATTAGCTTCTACTGCTGAAGTTACCTTCAAAACGTAGCTGCTCAAAACTACACCCATTTCTCATCATTTCTCTGGGTTAGGAGGCTGGACCCAGCTCAGCCAGGTCCTCTGTTTCAGGGACTCTCATAAGCCTGCCATCAAGGCATCAGCTAGGCTGAGGTCTCATCTGAAGGCTCAACTGGAAAGATCTGCTTCCGGACTCACTCCTGTCTTGGCTAGAGTTGGTTTCTCACAGGCTATTGGACTGGGGGTCTCTGTTCCTCACAGGCTGTTGGATAGAGATCACTCTCAGTTCCTTACCCCGTGGGCTGCTCTATAGGGCAATTCCCAGCATGGCAGCTGGCCCCATCAAAGCCAGGAAGCCAAGCCAAAAAGAGAAAGTGGGGGTGATGGTGGGAAGAGAAAGAGAAACAAGACAGGAATCATAGTCTTTTGTAACCTAATCTTGAGAGTGACATCCCATCACTGTTCCCCTATTCTATTAAAAATCACTATGTCCAGCTCAAATTCAGAGGAAGGGGATTACTCAAAAGTGTGAGCACTGGGAGGCAGGGACCACTGGGGGCCTTTTCAGAAGCTGCCCACTGCTACATATAAAAGACTTAGGGCCAGGTATGGTGGCTCATGCCTGCAATCCCAGAACTTTGGGAGGCCAAGGTTGGAGGACTGCTTGAATCCAGGAGTTCAAGACTAGCCTGAGCAACATAGTGAGACATTGTCTCTACTAAAAAAATTTTAAAATTAGCTGGGTATGGTGGTGCATGCCTGTAGTCCCAGTTACTTGGAAGGCTAAGGTGGGAGGATTGCTTGAGCCCAGAAGTTTGAGGCTGTAGTGAGCTGTGATCTGTGATTGCATCACTGCACTCCAGCCTGGACAACAGAGTGAGATTCTGTCTCTGGAAAAAAAAAATTTATATATATATATATATATATATTTCTATATATATTTTTTTATATATTTCTATATATATATTTCTATATATATATATATATATATATATATATATATATATATATGTTGAAGTCCTAACCCTCAGTACCACAGAATGTGGCCTTATTTGGAAATCGGGTCGTTTTGATGAAATTAGTTAAGATGAGGCTGTACTGGAGAGGAGGAGTCCTACTCCAATATGACTGCTATTCATATACACAAGGGAGATTTGGACACAGATTCCCACATAGGGAGGATGCCTGTGCCGATGAAGGCCGAGGCTGAGGTGATGCAGCCACAGGCCAAGGGATGCCAAGGGTGGCTGGTGACACCCTGGGCAACAAAGTGAGACCCCGTCTCTACAAAACATGAAAACATTAGCCGGGCATGGTGGTATCTGCCCGTAGTCTCAGCTACTCAGGAGGCTGAAGTGGGAGGATCACTTGAGCCCAGGAGGTTGAGGTCGCAGTGAGCCAAGATCGCAGTGCTGCACTCCAACCTGGGTGACAGAGCTAGACCCTGTCTCAAACAAACAAACAAACAGATTGCTGGCAACCACTGGAAGCTAGGGAGAGGCAAGGAAGCACTCCCACAGCAAGGCTGTTCAACCTGCAGCCTGCAGGCCACATGTGGCCCAGGACAATTTTGAACGTGGCCCAACACAAATTGGTAAACTTTCTTAAAACATTATGAGATTTTTCTTTTTGCATTTTTGCATTTATTTATTTATTAGTTCATCCATAATTGTTGGTGTTAGTGTATTTCATGTGTGGCCCAAGACAATTCTTCCAATGTGGCCCAAGGAAGCCGCAATCTTGGACACCCCTCCCATACAGGCTTCAGACGGAGTATGGTCTTGCTGACCTCTTGATCTCAGACTTCCAGAGCCCTGGGACAGCACCCTTCTGTGGGTTTTTTTTTGTTGTCGTTGTTGTTGTTTTTGTACAAAGTTTCACTCTTGTTGTCCAGGCTGGAGTACAATGGCACGATCTTGGCTCACTGTAACCTCCGCCTCCTGGGGTCAAGTGATTCTCCTGCCTGAGCCTCCCGAGTAGCTGGGACTACAGGCGCCCGCCACCACGCCCAGCTACTTTTTTGTGTTTTTACTACAGATGGGGTTTCACCATGTTAGTCAGGATGGTCTCGATCTCCTGACCTCGTGATCCGCCCGCCTTGGCCTCCCAAAGTGCTGGGATTACAGGCGTGAGCTGCCACACCTGGCCTGAGCATTTCCCTATTTTCAAGTCAGCTGATTTGGAATCTTATTTATTATTATTATTATTTTAGAGATGGCAGGGTCTCACTTTGTTGCCTAGGCTGGTCTCAAACTCTAGGCTCAAGCGATCCTCTTGTCTCAGCCTCCCAAAGCGCTGGGATTCCAGGCCTGAGCCACCGCTCCCCGCCTGAACTTGGAACATTAATTCTACCTGGGGTAAATCTGCACCTAGAGCAGCGTCTGACTGAAGGGCTGGGAGCGGGGATGTGAGCACCCGGGGAACAGGGGTCTTGAGGACCCTCTTAGAATTGTGCCCACAGCAGGGACTGATAGAGAGAGAGATGGTTGTGGGAGGGGTAGGGAAGGTCGTGGGGGTGTATGTAAAGGGAGGCCTGAAACCAAGGGTGGGAGGTCATTCCAGGCAAAGAGAGTTGTCCGTGAGAGGCCGCAGAGGAGAGCGCGTGGCCTGTGCTAGGAACCGACAGAGTGCTGGAGATTAAAGGAGTGAATGATGTGTGTGGAGTGGCTGGCACTGGTGAGCGGGTGAGGTAATAAATAGCAGCAGGGTTATTATCCCACTGTCAGAAGGCTGGAGGCTGCCCAACCGCTTCACTCCCGCGCTCCGGGTCTGTCTGCCCAGGGCTTTCTCTCCCTCTCTCTCTGTCTCTGTCTCTCCCTCTCTATCTCCTCTGTCTTTCTGTCTCTCTTCCCATCTCTCTGTCTCTCCCTCCCTTTCTCTCCCTCTCTCGCACTGTCTCTCTGTGTGTCTCTTCCTCTCTCTCTCTCCCTCTCTGCCCCCTCTGTCTCCCCCTCTCTGCCCCCTCTCTCCCCCCTTTACTGCCCCCTCTCTCTCTTCCTCTCTGCCCCCTCTGTCTCCCCTTCTCTGCCCCCTCTGCCTCCCCCTCACTGCTCCCTCTGTCTCTCCCTCTCTGCCCCTTCTCTCTCCCCCCTCTACCCCCTCTCTCTCCCCCTCTCTGCCCCCTTTCTCTCTCCGTCTCTGCCCCCTCTCTCTCTCCCTCTCTGCCCCTCTGTCTCTCCCTCTCTGACCCCTCTGTCTCTCTCTCTCTGCCCCTCTGTCTCTCCCTCTCTGTCCCCTCTGTCTCTCGTGATCTGCCCTCTGACCTCACGATCCCCCTGACCTCGGGATCTCTCGTGATCCCCCTCTGACCTCTCTGCCCTTCTGTCTCTCTCTCTCTGCCCCTCTGTCTCTCTCTGTCTGCCCCCTCTGTCTCTCCCTCTCTGCCCCTCTGTCTCTCCCTGTCTGCCCCTCTGTCTCTCTCCCTCCCACTGTGTGTGACTTTGGGTGGGTCCCTCTCCTCTCCCTGGTTCCTCATCTGCTTCCAAGACTGCCCCCTCCCTCCCTGAGCCCAAAGAGCCGATGCCTGGGGAGGGCCCAGCCTGGACTAAGGCCCAGCGGCGGGAGGAGCCTGGGTTGGAGGCCGGGAGCAGTGGGGCGAACGGCAGCAAATATTTATGGAGCCAGGTCTGTGCCAGGCTCAGGGCTGGGTGTGGCGAGATAAGGGGGCCAGGGGAGGCGCCCGGACTTGGCCTCCAACCCGCTTGCCCCAGGGAGGCCGGGAGCCGGGCAGGGGGAGGTGCCCGGGAAGGAGGGCTGGGCGCTGGGGTCGTGCAGGCAGGGGTCCCCGTGGAGCCTCGGGCCCCTCTGGAGAGTGGTTCACACTTCATAGGTCAGCTCCAGCCTGGTTGGTATGAAGCCTTCTCCCACGAAGAAGCCCCGAGCACTCTCGCTGCGGTGGCACCTCCCGGCTGTCCCCGGCTTCCCCTTGGGCACCAGTCTGTGTTTTGTTAATAGCACCTGAGGTGGAAACAGATGGGCTTCAAGGAAGCAAGTCACATGGAATTGGACCCGAATGCAGATTATCAAATAAGTATCTGTGTGTCTACACTGATACAAAGAAATACGAGGATGAGGCCGGGAGTGTTGGCTCACGCCTGTAATCCCAGCACTTTGAGAGGCCGAGGCGGGAGCATCACCTGAGGTCAGGAGTTCCAGACCAGCCTGGCCAACATAGTGAGATCCCTGTCTCTACTAAAAGTACAAAAATTAGCCGGGCGTGGTGTTGCGCGCCTGTAATCCCAGCTACTCGGGAAGCTGAGGCAAGAGAATCACTTGAATCCAGGAGGCGGAGGTTGCAATGAGCCGAGATCGCACCACTGCACTCCAACCTGGGCGACAGAGCGAGACTTGAAAGAACGAAAGAAAGAAGGAAGGGAGGAAAGAAGGAAGGAAGGAAGGGAGGGAGGGGGAAAGGGAAAGAAAGAAAGAGGCAGATGAGCGAGTTAGCAGGAAAAGGTGAAGGAACACATCTCTCTTACAGAATAAAATTTTTTTTTTTGAGACAGAGTCCTGCTCTATCCCCCAGGCTGGAGTGCAGTGGCACGATCACTGCAACCACTGCCTCCTGGGTTCAAGCAATTCTCCTGCCGCAGCCTCCCGAGTAGCTGGGATAACAGGTACGCGCCAATGTGCCCAGCTAATGTTTTTTTTTTTTTTTGACACAGAGTCTCACTCTGTTGCCCAGGCTGGAGTGCGGTGGCGCGATCTCGGCTCACTGCAAGCTCCGCCTCCAGGGTTCAAGTGATTCTCCTGCCTCAGCCTCCCCAGTAGCTGGGACTACAGGTGCCCGCCACCACACCTGGGTAATTGTTTATATTTTTAGTAGAGACAGGATTTCACCGTGTCAGCCAGGATGGTCTCAGTCTCCTGACCTCGTGATCCACCCGCCTTGGCCTCCGACAGTGCTGGGATTACAGGCGTGAGCCACCGCGCCCGGCTGTATTCTTAAGAACTGTCTATCTACTCCCCCATTCTGAAGAAGGGAGCTTAATTCCCCCACAGCCCAAATGCCCCGTGGGCTGCACTCGGCGGCTTGTTTACAAAGACTAGATGAATGGAAAGGAAGGGGGGTCACATACAGTGGGGAGAGCTGGCAAACACCACCCCTGCCAGGTGACCAGGGTGGTCAAGCATGGGTGAGCAGACATGAGAACACGCACCTCCTGATAGGAGGCGAAGAGAAGGGATTTTTTTTTTCATACTAAAAAAATTTTTTTGGCTGGGCGTGGTGGCTCATGCCTGTAATCCCAGCACTTTGGGAGGCCAAGGTGGGTGGATCACCTGAGGTCAAGAGTTCAAGACCAACCTGGTCAACATGGTGAAACCCCATCTCTACTAAAGATTAAAAAATTAGCTGGGCATGGTGGCGCACGCCTGTAATCCCAGCTACTTGGGAGGCTGAGGCAGGGGAATCGCTTGAACCTGGAAGGCGGAGGTCGTAGTGAGCTGAGATCATGCTACTGCACTGCAGCCTGGACAACAAGAGTAAAACTCCATCTCAATTTAAAAAAAATGTTTTTTGAAGAGAAAGGGTCTCACTGGGTTGCCCAGAATGGTTCTCTAACTCCTGGGTTCAAGCGATCCTCCCTCCTCAGCTTACCAGATAGCTGGAACTATAGGTGTATGCCACCAGGCCTGGCTAATTTTTAATTTTTAATTTTTTTTTAGAGGTGGTGTCTTGCTATGTTGCCCAGGCTGGTCTCAAACTCCTGGCCTCAAGCAATCCACCCACCTCAGCCTCCCAAAGTGCTGGGATTACAGGTGTGAGCCACCTTGCTTGGCCCAGAGGGGCATTTTGTGTGTGTAACTGTCGTCCTAGCTACACGGGAGGCTGAGGCAGGAGAACCACTTGAGCCCAGGGGTTGGAGGTTACAGTGAGCCAGGATCACACCACTGCACTCCTGCCTGGGCAACAGAGCGAGACTCCATCTCAAAAAAAAGAGGTTTTTTTTTTTTTGCGTTTTTGTTATTTATTGATTGATTTATGTATTAGTTCATCAGCTGTTAGTGTATTTTATGTGTGACCTGAGATAATTCTTCCAATGTGGGCCAGGGAAGCCACAAGATTGGACACCCCTGCCCTGCAGGCTTCAGAGGCAGTGTGGCCCTGCCGACACCTTGACCCCAGACTTGCAGCCCCAGATCCCTGGGACAGCACACTTCCGTGCTCTGCTTTGCCAGGACTGCTCTAAACTGTCAAAGTCATCAGAACGAGGCAAGTCTGAGAAACAGTGGCAGACAGTAAGAGATTAAGGAGGCATGACGGTGAGACGCCATGTGGTATCCTGGGTGGGATCCTGAATGGAAAAAGGTCGTTCGTGACATCTGAGTAAAGGGCAGAGTTTTGTGCTGTACTAGTGTTTGCTTCTTGGTTTTGACAGACGTGCCATGGTAATGGGAGACGAGAACATTTGGGGAAATTGGGTGAGGGGTCTGTAGCAAGTCTACTATCACTCACTGCAGCTCTACTATCCCGTCTTAAATGTTTCTAAACAAAAAAGTTTATGTAAGAAAGAAAACCAGGTGGGCTTATGGGTACTTTTGCCACACTCCCCACCAGGCTATTCACACAGAAGCCAGGGAGAATCTGTCATACCAGGAGAGGGGAGTTTGTGTTATTCAGGTGTATGTCTTTGTCCAAATGTATCAAATGGTAACTTGGGAAATGTGGCATTTCACTGTATTTTAATTTTACTAATGACAAGAAGCTTAAATATTTGATATCTTGTTATGTTATGCATGCTAATAAAACATCAAACAAAAAAGAAAAAGTTTTTTAAAAACCAAAAAAAAATGTTATGCATGCTGAAGTGTTTAGGAGTGAACTGATATGTTGCTTTGAGAATTGCAAGTTGCATAGAGAAAGATGAATATATGAGAACTCTCTGTGCTTTCTGTTCAATTTTGCTATGAACCTACAACTTCTCTAAAAAATAAAATGTATTAATTTTATAAAGATGGATGATGGATGAATCAATGATGGATAGATGGATGGATGATGCATGAATGGATAGGTGAATGGATGGATGGATGATGGATGGATGAATGGATGGTTGGATGAATGGGTGAATGGATGGATGGATGATGGATGGATGAATGGATGAATGGGTGAATCAATTGATGAATGAATAGATGGATGGATGGGCAGATGGGCAGATGGATAAATGAATGAATGAATGGATGGGTGAATGGATAGATGGATAGGTGAATGGATGATGGATGAATGAATAGATAATGGATGATGGATGAATGGGTGGATGGATGGATGGATGGATGGATGGATGGATGGATGGATGAATGGGTGGCTAAATGGATAGATGCATAGATGGATGGATGATGGATGGATAGGTGAATGGATGGTGGATGAATGGGTGGATGGGTGAATGAATGGATGGATGGTTGGGTAAATGGTTGGATGAGTGAGTAGATAGATGGATGGATGATGGATGAGTGAATGGATAAATAGATGGGTAAATGATGGATGGATGGGTGGATGAATAGATGAATAGATGGATGGATTATGGATGGATGTATAGATGGATGGCTGATGGATAAATGGGTGAATGGATGAATGGATAATGGATGGATGGATGGGTGTATGGAAGGATGGATGGATGTGGGAATGGATGGGTTCATGGATGGATGGATGAATGTAGAGAATGGGTACATAGACATTCGCTGCACAATTATTTTTATTTCCTTATGTTTTTATATTTTTATAATGACACGCTAAAAGGAAAAAGGAACGTCGAATCCTGTCAGCCTCTGCATGAATTCCTCCAAGATTTCCATCTCATTTTGATCAGAAATTGGGTTCTCATGACTCTCTACCCAATCTGGTACCCCATCACCTCCTTGATCTCCTCTCCCATTGCTCCCTCCTTTGCTCACTCCTCTCCAGCCACATTGGCCCCTCTGCTCCTTGAACACTCCAGCTATGTCCCCTCCTCAGAACTTTTGCATCAGATGTGCCCTTCCTCTGGGACACATCCCAGTTATCTGCACTGCTCTCTCGTTCAGCTCTTGGCCTACACAACTGAAGTTCCTACATGCCCTGTCTTGCATTGTCTTTCTCCATAGCATTTCTCTTTCTCTAAGACGTTTTATAATTTACTTTCTTGCTATGTTTTCTTGCCTGACTTCCCTCACTAGAATGGAAGCCCCACCTAAAGAGGGATTCATCTATTTTGTTAACCAATGAATAAGCTGCACCTTGGACAGTGCCTGGCACATAGTAGAGGCTCAGTAATGAGTTTTAGGATGAGTGAATGGAAGACTGAATGAGGCCGGGCGCAGTGGCTCACGCCTTTAATCCCAGCACTTTTGGAGGCTGAGGCGGACAGATCACCTGAGGTCAGGAGTTCGAGAACAGCCTGGCCAACATGGTGAAACCTCATCTCTACTAAAAATAAAAAAATTAGCCGGGAGTGGTGGCACATGCCTGTAATCTTAGCTACTCGGGAAGCTGAGGCATGAGAATCGCTTGAAGCCAGGAGGCAGAGGTTGCAGTGAGCTGAGATCGTGCCACTGTACTCCAGCCTGGGTGACAGAGTGAGACTCCGTCTCCAAAAAAAAAAAAAAAAAAAAAAAACTTAATGAATGAGGTAAGGATGAAGCATTGTGTAAAGTTTAAAAGCCCAGGCTTTGCAGTCACAATGCCTGGGATCAAATCTGGCATGGTACTTACTAGCTGTGTGGCCTTGGCTAATTCATTTCACATTTCTGTACTTGAGTTTTCTCAGGAAAGCAGGGCCTACTGGGAACCTCATAATCGCTAGTGGGCTGTAAATGGTACAGCCACTTTGGGAAACAGTCTGGCACTTTCTTAAAAAGTGAATCACACACTTCCCACACAGCCTAGCAATTCTGCTCCTAGAAATCTGCCCCAAAGAAATGAAAACATATGCCCACACAAAGACCTGTTGCTGGGCGCAGTGGCTCAGGCCTATAATCCCAGCACTTTGGGAGGCTGAGGCAGGTGGATCACCAGAGGTCAGGAGTTTGAGACTAGCGTGGCCAACATGGTGAAACCCCGTCTCCACTAAAAATGCAAAAATTAGCTGGGTGTGGTGGTGTGCCCCTGTAATCCCTGCTACTCGGGAGGCTGAGGTGGGAGAGTTGCTTGAACCTCAGAGGCAGAGGCTGCAGTGAGCCGAGACTGCACACCACTGCACTCCAGCCTGGGCAACAGAGCAAGATCCCGTCAAAAAAAAAAAAAAAGAAAAAAAACAAAGGCCGGGCATGGTGGCTCATGCCTGTAATCCCAGCACTTTTTGGAGGACGAGGCAGGCAGATCATGAGGTCAAGAGATTGAGACCATCCTGGCTGACAGGGTGAAACCCTGTCTCTACTAAAAATACAAAAATTAGCTGGGTGTGGTGGCTGGTGCCTGCAGTCCCAGCTACTCAGGAGGCTGAGGCAGGAGAATGGCATGAACCCGGGAGGCGGAGCTTGCAGTGAGCAGAGATCATGCCACTGCACTCCAGCCTGGGCAACAGAGCGAGACTCCGTCTCTAAACAAAAAAAAAAGACTTGTACATGCATGTTCACAGCAGCATTACTTAAACAGCCAAAGAGTAGAAACAATACAAACACCCATCAACGGATGAGAGGATAAACAATGTGTGGTGTATCCATACAGTGGAATATTATTCAGCTGTAAAAAAGGAATGAAGAGGGTGGGTGCAATGGCTCATGCCTTTGATCCCAGCAGTTTGGGAGATCAAGGTGGGAGGATTGCTTGAGCCTAGGAGTTGAAGATCAGCTCGGGCAACATAGTGAGACCCCCATCTCTACAAGAAATAAAAATATTATCCAGGTGTCATGATGCACCCTGTGGTCCCAGCTGCTCAGGAAACTGGGGAGAGATGGATCACTTGAGGTTGAGGCTGCAGTGAGCCATGATAGCACCACTGGACTCTAGCCTGGGCAACAAAGTGAGGCCTTCTCTCAATAACAGCAACAACAACAACTAAAAAGCAATTAAGTACTGAACTGACACAATTTACAATGTGAATAGACCTTGAAGACATTATGCTAAGAGGAGGAAGGCAGTCACCAAAGCTACATATGGCATATTCCATTTATATGAAATGTCTAGAATAGGTTCATCCATAGAGACAAAATAGATTCGTGGTTGCCCAGAGCTGAGGGTGGGAATGGAAAATGACTATTAACAGGCACAGAATGTCTTTTTGAGGTGATCAAAATATTCTTTTTAAAATTTTTAATTAATTCATCAATTTATTTATTATTATTATTATTTTTTAGAGACAGGATCTTGTTCTGTGGCCTTGGCTGGAGTTCAGTGGTGTGATCATAGCTCACTGCAGCCTTCAACTCATATAGCTCACTGCAGCCTTCAACTCCTGGGCTCAAGACACCCTCCCACCTCCGTCTCCCAAGTAGCTGGGATTACAGGCACTTGCCACCACAGCCAGCTAATTTTTGTTCAATGTTTTGTAGCGACAGGGTCTTGCTTTGTTGTCCAGGCTGGTCTCAAACTCTTGGCTCCAAGTGCTCCTGCCGCCTCAGCTTCCCAAAGTGCTGGGATTACAGACCTGAGCCACCACACCCAGCCTGGAAATATTCTAAAATTGGATTGTGGTGATAGAGGCACAACTCTGTACATTTATTAAAAATTATCAAATTACGCCTGTAATCCCAGCACTTTGGGAGGCCGAGGTGGGTAGATCATGAGGTCAGGTGTTCAAGACCAGCCTGGCCAACATGGTGAAACCCCGTTCATACTAAAAATACAAAAAAAAATTAGTGAGGCGTAGTGGCAGGCACCTGTAATCCCAGCTACTTGGGTGGCTAAGGCAGAGAATTGCTTGAACCCAGGAGGCGGAGGTTGCAGTGAACCGAGATCAAGCCACTGCACTTGAGCCTGGGCAACAGAGTGAGACTCTGTCTAAAAAAAAAAAAAAAATTATCGAATTGTACGACCAAATGGATGAAGTCTATATGTAAATGGTACCTCAGTAAAGCTGTTTATGAAAAGGCAAAACGAAAACAGAGCCAATAATAGTATCTATTTTATGTGGCTGTTGTGAGGATTAAATGGGCTAATCTACGTAGTACCCTTGAAGCAGACATAGGGTGAATACTCAAGAAGTGGGTTCCTATTATTAACAAATGTGGTTGCAGGCTGGGCACGGTGGCTCACGCCTGTAATCCCAGCACTTTGGGAGGCCAAGGCGGGTGGATCACCTGAGGTCGGGAGTTCGAGACCAGCCTGACCAATATGGAGAAACCTTGTCTCTACTAAAAATACAAAATTAGCCGGGCATGGTGGTGCATGCCTGTAACCCCAGCTACTCGGGAGGCTGAGGCTGGAGAAGCACTTGAACCCAGGAGGCGGAGGTTGCGGTGAGCCGAGATCGTGCCATTGCACTCCAGCCTGGGCAACAAGAGTGAACTCCGTCTCAAAAAACAAACAAACAAGCAAAAACAAACAAATGTGGTTGCGATCGTACGTGTAAAGTGTTCAGCAAGTGAAAGACAAATGGCAGGTCGTGTTCCCTACATAACCACAACTCCTTCAATAATCACCGTCATTTGGTGACTTTATCATTCTCTGCATCTGTCCCACGCATCTGGCCTCAGTTTTCCACCTGCGCAATGAAAAAGCTGGGCTCTATCTCCAAGGCCGTCTTCTCTTTGTCAATTCTGTATTTGGTTCTGAAAATGTTTCTCTTCGAGGCGGCAGATCTGCAATGAGAAGGGTGGGCAAACCCATAGAGCCGAGGTGGGGCCCGCGGGTCCTGGAGACCAACATGTGTGTAGGAAGGGGCCTGAAAGTGGGCTGTGTGGTGGGAGCTGACGGGGAGGGTAAGATTGGCCTGGGTAAGGGTTCGAGGACCAGGTCTGCCAATTTGTAACCGTGATATCTTGGACAAGGAACTTCCTCTCTGCATCCAGAAAATGGGGAGGGTGTTTCCTGCCTCCCCGTGGAGCAGTGAGGATTCATTGAGATCATGTATATACCAGCCAGGGAGAATAATAGCTAAAAGTACCAACAGCAACAACCAACAGCAACAACTTTTTCTCTCCATTTTTTTTTTTTTTTTTTTTTTTTTTTAGCTCTGTCACCCAGGCTGGAGTGCAGTGGCATGATCTTGACTCACTGCAACCTCCACCTCCCAGGTTCAAGCAATTCTCCTGCCTTAGCCTCCCCAGTAGCTGGGATTACAGGCATACGACACCATGCTTGGCTAATTTTTGTATTTTTAGTAGAGATGGGGTTTTACCATGTTGGCTAGGCTGGCCTCGAACTCCTGACCTCAGATGATCCACCCACATCAGCCTCCCAAAGTGCTGGGATTACAGGTGTGAGCCACTGCGCCCGGCCAACAGCAACAACTACTTACCAGGCCCAAGCACTGTCTTCAGCCCTTTCCACTAAGTAACCCATTTAATATGCAAGGCTCATTTCATAGTAGTGATTACTGAAGCAGGACAAATGGCTTCTTTGCTTTAAGCCCCAATCTGGCCCTTCTATAAGTAGAGCTATGTAATTCCCTCGTTTGATGGGTTTTGTCCATGACATTGTATGGATAAGGTGTCTGGCCATGGTAGGCTCTCACTAAATAGGAGCCCACATTAAGATATGGTAATAGGGAGCCACTGATGGTTCCTGAGGAGGGAGTAGCTTTGATGTAATAAAAGCAGACTTCAGCCTCCCATCTCCCCAACACTTGACGCTTGGTTATAGTTTCTCATAGGATCTAGTTCTTTGGGGAACCAGTCTCATTTGGTAACCCTAATCTATTCGTGCCAATATTGGGTTATTGTTCATCTCCTGAGCTGGATGGTTGGTGTCAAAAGAGTGCCTAAGGGGTGTCATCAAATACTAGCCCCAACATCCAGCACTGGGCTTAAACTCAGTGATAAACAGTTGGGACAGGCCAGGTACAGTAGCTCACGACTGTAATGCCAGCACTTTGGGAGGCTGAGTGGGGAGGATCGCTTGAGGCCGGGAGTTGGAAACCAGCCTGGGCAACATAGTGAGACCTCGTCTCTACAAAAGAAAAAAGTAGGCCAGGTGCGGTGGCTCACACCTGTAATCCCAGCACTTTGGGAGGCCGAGGGGGGCGGATCACGAGGCCAGGAGTTCAAGATCAGCCTGGCCAAGATGGTGAAACCTCATCTCTACTAAAAATACAAAAAATTAGCTAGGCATGGTGGTGGGTGCCTGTAATCCCAGCTACTTGGGAGGCTGAGGCAGAGAATTGCTTGAACCCGGGAAGCAGAGGTTGCACTGAGCTGAGATCCCGCCACTGCACTCCAGCCTGGCGACAGAGCGAGACTCTGTCTTAAAATAAAATAAAATAAAATAAAATAAAATAAAATAAAATAAAATAAAATAAATAAAATAATAAAATAAAATAAAATAATAAAATAAAAATTAGCCAGGCATGGTGATACAAATTTGTAGTCCCAGCTACTCCAGAGGCTGAGGCAGGAGGATCACTTGAGCCCAAGAGATGGAGGCTGCAGTGAGCTATGATTGCGCCACTGCACTCCAGCCTGGGCAAAAAAGTGAGACCGTTTCAAAAAAAAAAAAAAAATCAAACAAACTAATCCATACAAGCCGGCACAGTGCTAAGGGCTCAGCCAAGATGTGTGAAATCATTGAAGGTGGAATTATTTGAAGCTTTCGGTGTCATCCTCTCCCACCTTGACCCTCAATCACCATCTTTCTTGCTTCTCTGCCTCCTTTGATCCATCTAGTATTGTTGACGCACTGGGGAAACAGCTTCCCTCTCAGAGCTTCAGTTTGTTGTCCTGGAAAAGGGGGAGGCTCTGCCCCTTTCTTGCTGTTTCTTGTGGGTGTGCAGGTACCTAAGTAGTCAACGTCTTTTTTTTTTTTTTTTTTTTTTTTGAGATGGAGTCTCGCTCTGTCGCCCAGGCTGCAGTGCAGTGTTGCAATCTCAGCTCACTGCAACCTCCACCTCCTGGGTTCAAGCAATTCTCCTGTCTCAGCCTCCTGAGTAGCTGGGACTACAGGCGCCCGCTGCCAAACCTGGCTAATTTTTGTATTTTTAGTAGAGACGGGGTTTCACCTTGTTGGTCAGGCTGGTCTCGAACTCCTGACCTCAAGTGATCCACCCACCTCAGCCTCCCAAAGTGCTGGGATTATAGGCATAAACCACTGCACCCCGCCCATCATTATTTGCATAGGGCAAGAGAGAACCATCGAAGGTGCTGGGGGAAAGCAGGATGTCAAGAGAAGGAAAGAGAAAGGTGTTTAAGGAAGATTAGCTGAGAGATATCCCTCTTCCTTCCACTCCTGGAACCTAAATAAACGGGTAAAAAGAAAACAACTGGGCCAGGCGCGGTGGCTCATGCCTGTAATCCCAGCACTTTGGGAGGCTGAGGTGGGTGGATCATGAGGTCAGGTGGTCACGAGATCAGGAGTTCAAGACCAGCCTGGCCAATATGGTGAAACTCCATCTCTACTAAAAACACAAAAATTAGCTGGGTGCGGTGGCAGGCGCCTGTAATCCCAGCTACTCGGGAGGCTAAGGCAGGAGAATTGCTTGAACCTGGGAGGCGGAGGTTGCAGTGAGCTGAGATCGTGCCACTGCACTCCAGCCTGGGTGACAGTGCAAGACTCCATCTCGAAAAAAAAAAAACCAAAAAAACAAAAAACCAAAAAAACCCAACAACTTGAAGATGTGTAGAAATTGAAACTTCCCACCTCACCTCCAATTACCTGCAGTTTCTAAAATATGTAGTAATGGCCAGGTGCAGTGGCTCATGCTGGTAATCCCAGCACTTTGGGAGGCTGTGGCAGGAGGCTTCCTTGATCCCAGGAGTCCAAGACCAGCCTGGGCAACATAGGGAGACACCATCTCCACAAAAAATTTAAAAATTAGTCAAGCATGGCCGGGCACAGTGGCTCACTCCTGTAATCCCAGCACTTTGGGAGGCCGAAGCAGGAGGATCACGAGGTCAGGAGATCGAGACTATCCTGGCTAACACGGTGAAACCCAGTCTCTACTAAAAATACAAAAAATCAGCCGGGTGTGGTGGCGGGTGCCTGTAGTCCCAGCTACTCGGGAGGCTGAGGCAGGAGAATGGCGTGAACCTGGGAGGTGGAGCTTGCAGTGAGAGGAGATCACGCCACCGCACTCTAGCCTGGGTGACAGAGCGAGACTCCGTCTCAAAAGAATAAATAAATAAATAAATAAAATAAAAATTAGTCAAGCATGATGGTGCACACCTGTAGTCCCAGCTACTTGGGAGGCTGAGAAGAGAGAATCCCTTGAGCCAGGAAGTCGAGGCTGCAGTGAGCTGTGATCGCACCACTGCACTCCAGCCTGGGCAATAGAGCAAGATCCTGTGTCCAAAAAAAAAAAAAAAAATCCTGTAGTACCTACCTCCTAGCCTTTGCCCCTGTTTTTTCTTTGTCTGGTGTTGTCTTCTCACAGATGTTTCTCTCTCATACCTGGTTCCCTCCATCTTCATTCAAATCAAACATCGCCTGGCCAGAGAAGCCCCAACCCCCAGTCCTGCTCTGCCATCATACTGTCTGGTGGTTTACTCTTGGTAGCCCTTATACCTGGTGCTATATTGCATCCTGCTAGGACTTTTTTCAATGATGTAATGTTCTAGATCTGTCCTGTCCAATATGGCAGCCACCAGCCACATGGGGCTCTTTGGCCCTTGAAATAGTGAGACTGAGGCCGGGTGCAGTGGCTCACGCCTGTAATCCCAGCACTTTGGGAGGCTGAGGCGGGTGGATCACCTGAGGTCAGGAGTTCGAGACCAGCCTGGCCAATGTGGTGAAACCCGTCTCTACTAAAAATACAAAAAATTAGTTGGTTGTGGTAGCAGGCTCCTGTAATCCCAGCTACTCGGGAGGCTGAGGCAGGAGAATCCCTTGAACCTGGGAGGTGGAGGTTGCAGTGAGCCAAGGTCGTGCCATTGTACTCCAGCCTGGGCGACAAGAGTGAAACTCTCTCTCTCTCTCAAAAAAAAAAAAAGAGTGAAGAGTGTGACTGAGGAACCGAACTTTTACATTTATTTCATCTTAATGTCTTTACATTTCCATATTCTAAATTTAAACGGAAATAGCCACGTGTGTCTGCTGGATATCATATTGGACAGTGAAGATGTAGAATATCCCATCATCACAAAAAGTTCTCCCAGACTGGGCAAGATAGCAAGACTCCGTCTCTGCAAGAAATGAAACAATCAGCTGGGTGTGGTGGCATGCACCTGTAGTCCTAGCTCCTTGAGAGGCTAAGAGGATTGCTTGGGTCTGGGAGTTTGAGACTGCAGTGAGCTATGACTGCACCACGGCACTGCAGCTTGGGCAACAGAGTGAGGGAAGAAAGATTATGGAAACTTTTCTGAGAAAAAAAAAAAGTTATGTTGGACAATGCAGGGCTAGAATTCCAGCTCTTTCAGAGGAAGGTATTGGACTCCTCCTCAGTGCCTAGTACCACCGCTGACACAGAGTAAGGGTGTGGTAGAGATTGACTGAGTAAGGCGCGGAGCTTCCACAGGGCAGTGGTGAGGATAATCGCGCGGAGCTTCCACAGGGCAGCGGTGACGATGATCTATCTTCTCACATTCCTGTTTCTTCTCAACCCAGCCTTCACCGGCTTCTTGCTTGGTTGAGGGCCACATATTTTCTGATGCATCTGTGTCCTTCCTGCTCTGAACCCAAGTTCAGAGTTGGCTGGACAAATCCTGACTCGCCCCAGCGCCCCCAGCCTGCCCCACCTCCACAGAACACCTCGCTCTCTTGGATTTCACGAACTCACATTTATTCACAGACAGACAAAGGGACAAGGACAGACCTTTGCTCACTGGGGACCCCCAGGGTCTGGCAGTTCCAAAGAGGTGATGGTGTCCAGTGTGTGAAACGGGGGACAGGGAGGCGGGGGCGTCCCCACCAGTCTCCATCCCTCTGGCCAACTGTCCGCCGCCTTTTTTTCCAAGTCGTCCTGCCTTAAGACACATGTTGGGGTGAGCGGTTCCTAACCAGCATCAGGGGTTCTGGGGGCGGGCGATGGGGGAGGAAGGGGCAGTCCAGGGCCCCCCACTCCTTAGTGTCAAGGGCGTGAAGGGGACGGGTGGGTAGACAGAGGAGGTGGCTCCTTCAACTTCCCTCCTCCATTCTGCAAACCGGGGAGCTCAGGCGGAGCGGCGGAGGGCAGGGCGGCGAAGGTCAGGAGGCCAGGCCCCCCAGCCCGCGCAGGTGAGCCTTGCTGTCTACCTCTTCCTCCTCCATCTCGAAGGCTGAGTGGTCTTGGCTGTCGAAACAGGAGGCGCTGAGGAAGACAGGGGGAGCCGGCGGGGACTGGGGTGGGGTCCCCGGAGAGGGCGGCTCTTCCTTAATGTTTGCGAGGGGCAGCGGGAGCCCTTCTTCCTCCTGCTCGGCCTTCAGGGGCGGCGGGGGCGGTGGCGGCGACGTCGGGGCCTGGGCCTGCAGTGCCTGCAGCGCGGCGGCCCTCTCCAGCTCTGCGCGGTGGCAGCGCTGGTGGCGCAGGAGGCTGTAGGCGCGCGAGAAGCGGCGCGGGCAGCGGGGGCACGGGTGCGGGGCTGGGCCCCCCGCGTGCACCTGTGCGTGGCGCGCCAGGTCGGCCAGGCGCTTGAACTCCCGCTGGCAGCGCACGCACTGGAAGGGGCGCGCTCCCGAGTGGGTCACCCCGTGCTGCCGCAGGTGCGCCCGGCGCCTGAAACCTTTGCCGCACTCTGGGCACCAGAAGCGGGGCTCCCCGGCGGGGGGCCGAGCCGGGGCGGCGTCGCCTCCGTTCTGCCCTTCTCCCCCTTCCGAGGCACCCCCGCACTCCGCCCCCTCGCCCCCCTCCGGCCCCTTGGCTGAGTTCCGTGCACCCGAGGCCTTGTCGTCCTTCTTGCCCGCCGCGGGCAGCGGGGCCAGCAGGCTGAGGGGGCCGTGGACGCGGCGGTGCTGGCGGAGGTAGGAGGCGAGGCGGAAGGCCAGGCCGCAGTCTGGGCACACGAAAGGGCGGTCGGTGGAGTGGACCAGCCGGTGGCGCGACAGGGACCAGGGCCTGGCGAAGGCCTTGAGGCAGATGGAGCACTGGTGTCGCTTGGGGCGTGGCGGGGGCCCCCCTTCCCCTTCCTGTTCGCCCTCGGGGCGCAGACACGGGTGCGCCTTGAGCTCGCCCTTGGTGGCGAAGGCTTCGCGGCAGCGCAGACACAGCAGCGTCCAGTCTGCCTGGAGCAGGACCTGTTTCTCCTCCTGCCGCCCGGCCGCCAGCGCCAGCTCGGCCCTCAGCTCTGCTGCCCCGGCCTCGGCCTCCTCCGACTCCGACTCCCGGGGCTCCGCGGCGCTGGTGGGCGCAGCCAGCGTGGAAGGCTCCCCCGCAGGCCACGTCTCAGGCCACGCTGCGACCGCCTCCTCCTCCGTGGCCCCTGCTGCAGCGGTGGTGGGCGGCTCCGAGCCCTCGTCCTGCGGGCCCCAGCTGGGTTCGGCCGTCTCCTTGGCCACCCTCTCGATGGCCAGCTCGACCTCGCCGCCCGCGTGCTCCTGAGCCAGGTGGCGCCTGAGCTGGGCCGGTTCTGGGAAGGTGCGGGGGCAGGCGGCGCAGCGCAGCGGGGGCTGGGGCCCGTGGCCGCGCAGGTGGCGGGAAAGGTGGGCCGGCCGGCGGAAGGCCTTGGGGCACAGCGGGCAGGCGTGGGGCCGGAGCCCCGAGTGGCTCAGCCGGTGCCGGGAGAGGTAGTAGGGGAAACGGAAGAGGCGGCCGCAGGTGGGGCAGGGCAGGGGCGCCCTAGGGGCTCCAGCGCCCCCCCTGCCACGGCCACGGCCCCGACCACGGCCTCGGCCACGGCCCCGGCCTCGGCCACGGTGAGGTGGGCTGCCCTGGGCGGGTGGAGGAGGCTGCGGATCCATGCCTGTGGGGAGAGAGGGGAGAGATGGGAAGCGGGGCAGAGATAAAAAGAGGTGCGTGGGGTGTGGCAGAAAGAGAAGCAGAGACAGTCAGAGATGGAGAGGCAGAGAGGGTCAGGTATTTAGCCAGGAGAGAGATATGAGACAGAGACAAAGATGAGAGACACCGAGGGGAGGCCAGAGATGGAGAGACAGGAGGAGAGAGATCAGAGACAGAGCGACAGAGCAGGGAATAGAGACAGGAGAAGGCAGAGATGGGAGACACAGAGAAGTGGGGATGGACAGACAGAGACCAGGAGTCGCAGAAAGACAGGATGGTGAAAGGCAGAGCAGAGAAGAGACAGAGGAGAGTGAGGAACACCCAGCAGAGAGACAGAGACACAGAGAAGAGGAAACAAAGAGACTTGGAGAACCAGAGGCAGAGATAGTGCAAGAGCAGAGATCAGAAGAGCAGTGGCGGGTTGGGGGCCGGAGAGACAGGGAGACAGAGACACAGAGGGAGTGAACTGGGCAGAGGCACGGAGGGGGACAAAGTCAGCGAACCGCTTCTGCTCCAGGTCCCCCGGCCAGGCTGAACGTTTTGGGAGGGGCTGGGACACAGCCCATGGGGCCTGAGTGGAGGGGGTGGGATTTGAAGCCGGTAGGCCCCGGAAATAGAGTGTGTTCTCAGATGCCAGGGGCTGGGAGAGGTCGGGGAGTAGGAGGGTTCAGACTTCTGGTCTGAGTTGGGAGGGGGCTAGGGGCCCAGACTCTTGGGACTGATGGGGATGGGAGCTGGGGATTGAGACTCCTGGGTCCAGGTCATGACGGATTGGGGAATCTGGACTCTGGTATGGAGGAGGTGTGGATTCCTGGGTCCCGGTGGAGGAGGGGCTGGGGAGGGGGCTGGGCTCCCAGGACAAGGGGGAGGCGGGGGCTGGGGACCCAGCTGCCGGGAATCCCCAGGGAGGAGGCGACTGAGGGCCGGACCCCTGGACTCGGGAGGGAGGCTGGTGGGGGTCGGGGGTCCCAGGTCCTAGAGGGGGGCCGATCTCCTCCGGGCCAAGCCTGCAGCTCCCCGAAGGCATGATCAGCAGAATTGGGGCCGGGTCGAGGCCTTGAGGATTTCTCAGCCCTGGGCCTGGGGCTTGGTCCTGGTCGCTGGGGCTGGGTTCTTACCTCGCCTCCTTGGCTCCTTTCTTCCTTCCCCACGGCCGGCCAAACGCGGACGGTGGTGGCGGGGAGGGAGGGGGGCCTGAGCGTGGTGGGGGGTGGAGGAGGAGGCTGGGCTCGGTGTCACTGCCTAAGCCTTCCCCCCGGAAACCTGGCCTTTCCTCGGAGCCTGAAAGAGGAAAGACTGGCTGGGAAGCCGGAAGCGGGAGGACGGGGGACCTGGAGAGGGGAGGGAAGGCAGCTTGCACTACAGGGTCCTGTGAGGGGAGGGGGCTGGGGGCCTGTCCCCCGGGCTCCCAGAGGGCGGAGGGTGCTGAGGGCCTGGAACACTGGGTCCAGCTACTCCCGGCTCCCCAACATGCACACACACATATTCATTCATTCCTTCAACAAATACACATTTATCAGGTCCTGTCTGTGCCAGGCACTGTGTCAGGCCAGGGGAGTGGCCGGGGGAGGAAGATGAATGAATCAGTGACAGAGGCTTCAGGAAGTACTGGCACTCTGGATCAGAACCTGGCTCCAGCCTTCCCTTGGCTGTCTGGGTGAAGGATTCTCCCACTTCGAGCCTCGGTTTCCCCCTTTGTGAAAGCCCCTGCATATACTCATTCAACCCTAAGCGACCAATATTTACTGAATATCTACTACGGGCCAGCCTGCATATATTTGTCTACATATACGCATATTCACTGGGACCTTAGCAGCCAATGTTTACTGAGCACCTACTATGGGCTGGTGCTGTCCTTGGTGCTGGAGTCACAGTGGCAAAAACCGGAGCTCACTGTCTGATGGGGAAGGCAGATAGATACGGATCAATCACGCTGGAGTGCATGTGGGGGAACGTGTGCTCCGAGGCAGGGAACTGCTATGGGAATGCAGAGAACAGAAGGCACTGAGCTGAGCTCACACTGGGAGGAGGTGATTCCTGAGGTCTTCCTGGAGGCAGCAATGTTTCAGCTGAAATTGGCAGAATGAAACCAACCTGGCGACATCTCAGAAACCTATTCTGGAGCAGAAAAGGCATTTTGCAGGAGTATACCCACAGCTTGACGCTGTTTGTTTAAGGTTACATTCCTGCCAAACAGTGCTAATGAGAGTGCGAGCAAACAGGTCCTTTCATACACGGCTGGGGCAAGTAGAACCTGGAACATTCTTACCGAGCCAGCAATTCCAGGAATTTATTCTTCAGAGGCATCTACTCGGAACTGCACAAAATAATGTCTGCACCAGGTTAATCATTGCAGTACTGCACATCACTGCAAACAGCTGAAACCAATCTAAACACCCATCTGTAGGAGAGCTGAGTAATAAATCATGACTGATCCACCCAGTGGAATACTAGGTGTCCATAGAAAAGAACAAAGAAGCTCACCGTGTGCATATATGGTAAGTCTCCAAGTGATAACCTGTAGAAGAGAAAAATGGAAGGTCAAGTACAGCCTGCAGCCTGTTCTGGGTTTGTGTGTGTTCTGGGATTGTGTCCAGATGAACTGGAACAAGAGAGAAGAAACTGAAACTGGCAACATAGTCTAACTTCCAGGACAGAAATTTACTACACTCTATCCTTGTTTTTTTGTTTGTTTGTTTTTTTTTGTTTTGTTTTGTTTTCTTTTGAGATGAGATCTCCTTCTGTTGCCCAGGCTGGCTGGAGGAAGTGCAGTGGTGTGATCTCGGCTCACTGCAGCCTCGACCTCCCGGGCTCAAGCAATCCTCCCACCTCAGCCTCCTGAGTAGGTGGGGCTACAGGAGTGTGCCACCATGTCTGGCTAATTTTTGTATGTTTTGTAGAGATGGGGTCTCCCTATGTTGCCCAGGCTGGGCTTGAACTCCTGGGCTCAAGCAATCCACCTGCCTCGGCCTCCCAAAGTGCTGGAATTACAGACATTAGCCACTGTGCCCGGCTTTTTGTACTTTTTGAATTCAAAACCGTGTGAATGTGCTATATACTCAAAAAAGTAAAGGAGGCCAAGCATGGTGGCTCACGCCTGTAATCTCAGCACTTTGGGAGGCCCAGGTGGGCAGATCACCTGAGGCCAGGAGTTCAAGACCAGCCTGGCCCACATGGTGAAACCCCATCTCTACAAAAGGTACAAAAATTAGCCAGGCATAATGGCACATGCCTATAATCCCAGCTACTCAGGAGGCTGAGGCAGGAGAATGGCTTGAACCTGGGAGGCAGAGGTTGCAGTGCGCTGAGATCGTGCCATTGCACTCCAGCCTGGGCAACAGAGCAAAACTCCACCTCAAAAAAAAAAAAAAAAAAAAAAAGAAAAGAAAAAAGTAAAGGAAAAAGAAATACATGGGGATTATAAAAATAAATGAAATGAAAAATAATAGCTTACTCTTGTGAGCGTATTACAAATATGATCCCATTTACTCCTTGCTTTATGAAGTAGGTACCATTATTTTTCCCTTTTACAGAGGATGAAAGTGAGATACTAGAAGTTTCCAAACCTAGCGAGTCTCAGTAAGAAGTTTCACTTCACAAACAGATAGGAGAAATGATAGTGGATCAGAAGCATGATTTAAAAGAAATAATAAAAGGCCGGGCGTGGTGGCTCATGCCTGTAATCCCAGCACTTTGGGAGGCCGAGGGAGGCAGATCACTTGAGGTCAGGAGTTCAAGACCAGCCTGGCCAACACGGTGAAACCGTCTCTACTAAAAATACAAAAATTAGCTGGGCATGGTGGTGCGCGCCTGCAATCCCAGCTAGTCCGGAGGCTGAGGCAGGAGAATCGCTTGATCCTGGGAGGCGGAAGTTGCAGTGAGCCGAGATCGTGCCACTGTACTCCAGCCTGCGACAGGGCAAGACTCCGTCTCAAATAAATAAATAAATAAATAAATAAATAAATAAATAAATAAATAAAATAGGAATGGGGTCTCACTCTGTTGCCCAAGCTAGTCTTGAATTCCTGAGCTCAAGCAATCCTTCCACCTCAGCCTCCGAAAGTGCTGGGATTACAGGCATTAACTACCGTGCCCAGACTAGGAGCATGCTTTTTAAAAGCACCTTGTCCATAATACTATATTTTAAAGAATATATACCATGGAATAAAAGTCTAAAAATGTCTGTGGTAATAATAGGCACCAAATTCAAGATATAAGTTATGTTTGAGATAGGAGAGGCAATCAGATCTTGGAGGGGGTGGTCCGCGGGGAGTCATTTGTATCCCTAATATTTCAAAGCTGGTAGTCAGAATATGGGTGTGTGTATTTTAACATGTTTTTTGTAAAATACACTTAAACTTTATAATTGTAACCATTTTAAATCACACAGCTCAATGGCACTAAGTAAATGTTGCACAACTATCCACGCTGTCTAGTTCCAGAACTCTTTTTTTTTTTTTTTTTTTGAGACAGAGTTACACTCTTGTTGCCTAAGCTGGAGTGCAATGGCGTGATCTCGGCTCACCGCAATCTCCGCCTCCTGGGTTCAAGCGATTCTCCTGCCTCAGTCTCCCAAATAGTTGGGATTACAGGCATGTGCCACCATGCCCAGCTTATTTTGTATTTTTAGTAGAGACAGGGTTTCTCCATGTTGGTCAGGCTGGTCTCAAACTCCCGACCTCAGGTGATCCACCTGCCTTGGCCTCCCAAAGTGCTGGGATTACAGGCGTGAGTCTCTTTCTTTCTTTCTTTCTTTCTTTTTGTAGATATGGGGTTTTGCTTTGTTCCCTAGCCTCATCTGAACTCCTGGTCTCAAGCCATCCTCCCACCTGAGCCTCCTAAAGTGCTAGGATTACAGGCGTATGCCACCATGTCCAGCCTAGTTCCAGAACCTTTTCATCAGCCCAAACAAACCCTAAGCCCATTAGCAGTCATTCCCACACTCCCTTCTATCCCCAGCCCCTGTCAACTAATAATCAGTTTTCTGTCTCTATGAATTTGCCTATTCTGGACATTTCATATCAATGGAATAATCATACCATATGTGTTCCTTTGTGACTAGCTTCTTTCACTTTGCATAAAAGTTTCTCCTCCTCCTCCACAAAGGACATTGCCCCCCTCTTTTTAAAAAGTGAGACAGGGTCTTTCTCTGTCGCCCAGGCAGGAGTGCATTGGTGCAATCACGGCTCACTGCAACCTCCACCACCAGGGCTCAAGCGATTCTCCCACCTCAGCCTCCCAGATAGCTGAGACTACGGGCATGCACCACCACGCCTGGCTGATTTTTGTTTTTGGTAGAGATGGGATCTCGCCATGTTGCCCAGTGTGGTCTTGAACTCCTGGGCTCAGATGACCAGCCCACCTCGGCCTCCTGAAGCACTGGGATTACAGGCGTGAGCCACCTCACCTGGCCAGCATAATGTTTCTAAGCTTCATGCGTGCCATGGCATGAGTTGGTTCTTCACTCCTTTTTGTGGCTGAATAGTATTCCTCTGCGTGAGTGCAGTCATCCCTCGGTGTCCGCAGGGGATTGGTTCCAGGACTCTCCTCAGATTCCAAATCCCTGGGTGATCGAGTCCCTTACAGCCTCCTATCTGAGGGTGCAGAACCCACGGATGTGGAGGGCCGCTGTCACCTACATTTTGTTTATCCATTCATTTGTTGATGGATATTTGGGTTGCATCTATCTTTGGGCTATTGTGAATAGTGCTGTTATAAACATTGGTGTGTAAGTTTTTGTTTGAACAGCTGTTTTTAATTCTTTTGGGTATATACCAAGGATGTGTGTACTATTTTATCATCTATATTTTGAAGGCTTGAAAGATGGATGAGGAGGAGAAATAATAATGAATTCAGGAATGGAGGTGATAGAAAAGAAAACTTTAAGCAGAGAGCACAGCACATGGAAGGGGGTTTGCGCTCTGCTTCCCCAGCACATGGCGGGGGATGGGGTTGGGGGTCTTGCATTAGGGCATAAAGGAGGCCAGTGTGGCGGAGAGAGGCCAGAGCTGCACCCAGCGACCGTGCCGGGCCTCCGAGTCCAGGCTGAGCTTGGACTCATTCCGAGTGCACTGAGAAGCCATTGAAAAGGTTTTAAGCAGGAGAGTCACATGATCCGATTAGTGTTTTAGAGAAATTCCTGTGGGACCCGCGTGGAGGCCGGGCCGGATGCTGGGGAGACCGAGGCGGGGAGCCGGGAGGAGGGGGGCGGGGGCCCAGGTGCTAGAGGGGGGGCCTGGGCCCCTCGACCTCCGGCTGGGAAGGCGGCTCCCTGGGCAGGGGGCGGGGCTTGTCGCTGACTGGCTCAGGGCTGGACTCCCCGATGCCAGTCCCACCGTCTCCCCCTCCTCATTGGCTCTCCTGCTTCCAGCCCCCCCCTCTCCCGTGCAGCCTCCAGCACCCAGAAATCATATCACCTCACTCCTGAGCCCAACACCCTCCCGTCCATGGCTCCCCATCTCCCTCGGAATAACACCCAGAGCTTCCCTAATGACCCCCACGTGCACCCCCGTCCTCAAGGCCCTGCTTGCCTGGACCCCGGTGCCTCCCTCCCTTCCTACCTCCCTCTCCGCGTTACATCGCCCTCTCCGCTCTGTCCCGAGTTAGGGCCTTTGCACTTGCGGTTGCCCCGGCCTGGAAAGCCCTCCCGAGGTTTGCATCCAGCTTCGCTTACGTCCCTCACTCCTACAGCTTCCTGGAGACACCTGTCTTGTCCACCCAGGCTAAAATAGCCTCTCGTCACCCTCTGGCCTTCACCTTGCCTTAATTTTCTTTTTTCTTTTCTTTTTTTCTTTTTTCTTTCTTTTTTTTTTTCAGTCAGGGTCTCGCTCTGTCGCCCAGGCTGGCGTGCAGTGATGCAATCCCAGCTCACTGCAACCTCCGCCTCTTGGGTTCAAGCGATTCTCCTGCCTCAGCCTCCCGAGTAGCTGGGATTACAGGCGCCTGCTACCACGCACAGCTAATTCTTTTTTGTATTTTTAGTAGAGACGGGGTTTCGCCATGTTGGTCAGGCTGGTCTCGAACTCCTGACCTCAGGTGATCCTCCCGTCTCGGCCTCCCTAAGTGCTGGGATTACAGACGTGAGCCACGGCGCCGGCCTTTAATTTTCAACATGGTACTTATCACGAACACACACTAGGCAATGTGTGAATGTCCCATGGATTCCCTATCTCCCCTGCCACTAGAATAAAAACTCCACAAGGGAAGGGGCTTGTTTTGCCTGTTTAACGGCTCTGCCCACAGGTGGCTGCCCGGGACAGACAAGGGGCTTAACAAGCATTTGTGGATGAATAAAAAGGGATGAAGGGTGGGAGGAGTGAGGCTGTTCCTGAAAGGAAGAAGGCTCGGGGGCCCGGGGGAGACTCCCGCTCAGGCAAGCGTGCAGGACGCTGGCTGGCTCCAAGGTCTGCACGCAGGAATCAGCTCGCCAAACACAGGCGTGTGAGTCGCCGGCGTCTGGCTAGTAATTAATGTTTTGCAACGGTTGAGATCGTCCTCAGGGTAAAATTCCCGCTCCTGTCCTCTCCTCGCTTCCCACCCCCCCTCCAACCTCAATCAGCGTATCTATAAAATGGGGCCGCTATGTGACGCGTTGGGTGCAGTGTCCAGTCCAGCACCGGGCGCTTGTGAGACACGGAGGAAATGGGATGGGTCCTTCTCGTTACCGCCCCAGAAGAGAAAGGACTGTGGTGCAGGTGAGGTGGGTGGGAACCTCAGCCTCGCGAGGTCCCTATTCATTACTCCCTGGCCGGCGGCCATCTCCATGGCAACGCTGGCGCCTTTCCAGTGCGCAGCTCCGGGGCTCAGCCTGTCTCTAAGCCGGTCTCGGAGTGGGCGGGTCTTGTCCCTGGGGGCGGTGCCTGCTTCGAAGTGGGCGGGCCTTGTTTCTCGAAAGAAGATACTTTTTTTCTCAAACCAGAAAGCATGTCTGGTTTTTGAGTGGCGGTTGCAGAGTGGAGAGGAATATCTCTAAGATTTAGCTGATTTTATTCCCAAAGGTTGAGCTTTTTCAAACAGGCAACAGTGGATCTCCATTCAAAAAGTCTCCCTTGAGTGCTAAACTCTTACTTGTTTTCTCCTCCCAGAATATGTCTTCCTCCTTTAAATTTTCCTTTCTTTTTCTTTCTTTTTTAATTTATATTTTAAATTTTAATTAATTAATTTATTTTTTCAGACGGACGTCTCGCTCTGTCACCCGGGCTGGAGTGCAGTGGCATGTTCTTGGGTCACTGCAACCTCTGCCTTCTAGGTTCAAGCGATTCTCCCGCCTCAGTCTCTCGAGTAGCTGGGATTACAGGCGTGCACCACCATGCCCAGCTAATTTTCGTATTTTTAGTAGAGACGGCATTTCACCATATTGCCCAGGGTGGTCCTGAACTCAAGTGATCCGCCTGCCTCAGCCTCCAAAAGTGCTGGGATTACAGGCGTGAGCCAACACGTTCGGAATTATTTTTTATTTTTGAGACGGGGTCGCACTCTGTCGCCCAGGCTGGAGTGCAGTGGTGCGATCATAGCTCACTGCAACCTCGACCTCCTGAGCTCAAGTGATCCTCTCAGCTCAGCCTCCCAAGTAACTGGGACTACAGGCGTGCACCACCATGCCGGTTTTTTGTTTGTTTGTTTGTTTTGTTTTTGGTAGAGACAGGATCTCACTATGTTGCCTAGGCTGGTCTCGAACTCCTGAGCTCAAGCCATCCTCCTGCCTCAGCCTCTGAAATTGCTGGGATTACAGACATGAGTCAACTCGCCCAGCCTAAAATATCTTCTTTGTGAAATATAAGACACACAGAGAAAAAATGCACAATACAAACACACAATTGAATAAATAATTATAAAATGATCGTCCGATTAAGAACTAGAACTTTGTCGGCTATCAGCAACCGTGGAAACTTCCAGGATATCCCCTCCCGCTTAACTTGTCCAGTCCACTATTCTGAGTTTTATAGGACATTGTTGTCCTTGCTTTTTTATATGGTTTACTACTGACAATGTATCCTTAACAATATTACAGTTTAGTTTTATGTGCATTATAATGGGTTTGCTTTTTTTTTTTTTTTTTTTTTGGAGACAGGGTCTCCCTCTGTTGGCCAGGCTGGAATGCAGTGGAATGATCTTAGCTCACTGCAACCTCCGTCCCCCTACCCCAGGCTCCAGCGATCCTCCTGTCTCAGCCCCCCGAGTAGCTGGGCCTACAGGCACACGCCACCACACCTGGCTATTTTTTGTATTTTTACTCGAGACGGGGTCTTGCCATGTTGCCCAGGCTGATCTCGAACTCCTGGACTCAAGCAATCCTCCTGCCTTGGCCTTCCAAAGTGCTGGGACTATAGGCGTGAGCCACTGCACCTGGCCTCAATGTTATGTAAATGAAATCATGCTCTGTTTCTGGCTTTTTGGGTCCTGTATCTTTGTAACTTTCATTCATGATACTGTGTTTATCTGCAGCTCATTCATTCTTGTTGCCGTATAGTATTCCACTGCATAATATGCCATCGCTAATTATCCACTGTATTGCTGATGGGCGTTTTGGTTGTCCTGAGTTTGGGGTTGAAAGTATTGCTGCTATGAATGTTTTTGTATGTCTCTGGGTGCAGGGGGACTTGAGTTAGCATTTACGCCTAGCAGTAGAATTCCTGCATCACAGGATATATGTATGTTCAATATTTGAGAATGGCAACCTGTGGGGCATTTAATTTAAGAAACTCAGCAGGGTGCAGTGGCTCACACCTGTAATCCCAGCACTTTGGGAGGCCGAGGCGGGCAGATCGATCACCTGAGGTCAGGAGTTCGAGACCAATCTGACCAACATGGTGAAAGCCCGTCTCTACTAAAAATACAAAAATTAGCTAGGTGTAGTGGTGCACATCTGTAATCCCAGCTACTTGGGAGGCTAAGGCATGAGAATCACTTGAACCCAGGAGGTGGAGTTTGCTGTGAGCCGAGATCACACTATTGCACTCCAGTCTGGGCAACAGAGTGAGCCCCTATCTCAAAAACAAACAAAAAAATCTTAAGGAACTAAAGGGGAGGAAACTTTGATTCTCCTAAACTCCTACTTAAATGTGTCCTCCCTCAGTTTTCTGGTCTTAGTAAGAAATGCCACCACTCAACCATTTATTCCTGATTTCTCCCTTCCCATTACACTCACCCCCAACCAATACACACATGCACACAACCAGTCCTCTGCATTCGTACTCCAGAGTTCATCTCCAACCCACCCATTTCTTTGTTTTGTTTTATTTTATTATGTTTAGTACAGACAGGGTCCCACTATGTTGCCTAGGCTGGTCTCAAACTCCTGAGCTCAAGTGATTCTCCCGCCTCGACCTCCCAAAGTGCTGGGGTTACAGGCGTGATTTCTGTTGGTCACTCTGGTTTAGGCTCCCACAAGTTTCTCCTGGACTGCAGGAGCGCTGCACTCTCCTGACTCTGCGTCCTGCAGCTTCGTTTACACTCAGCAGCCACAGGGATCTTGGTAAGATGCAAGGGTGGTCCCTTCCCTCCTCGATTAACACTTTGCTTCCCATCACCCAGAGAACACAGTCAAACACCTGTTTTGGCTTGCCTGGCTTACTGTGATGTGACGTCTACCCACCTGTTAACCTCATCTCATCCTTCCCTCCCTGAGCTCACTTTCCTCCTGTGTCCATTTGGGCATCCTCCTGGCAGGTCCTTGCTCACCCTTACCCTTCAGGGCTCAGATCAAACGCCACCTCCGCCGAGAAGCCCACATGGACCACCCCATCTAAGGTGGCATAAAAAGTGAGTAAGGTGGCCATTCATTTTCTTACCACCCTTCCCTATTGCCTTCAGAATGCTCAGGACGATCTGAAATTATTTTCTACATTTACTTGATTCCTCTTTTCTCCATACCCGTCGCCTACACGACAGAACATAAACCCCAGGAGGGCCGGGATGATCCCCACAGGGAGTTCCAACGCCTGGCTCAGAATAAGCCTTCAGTACGGGAACACAATGCAGTGTGCAGGAGACAGTCTGAAGGCACCCCCACCCCCAATTCTCTGATGAGCGGGTCCTATTCTGGGGGTCTGGTATAGGGTCCAAGGCAGCATCTAAGAGGCGGGGCCTCTGCTCAGACACGCCTCTAATGAGGCAGTTTGGTTTCCAAGGGGTGTGTCCTATAAGATTGGTGACTTCTAAAGGGCGTGTCTAGTTTCTAGGGGGCGTGTCCGTCTGTTGGAGGTGGATCATGTATTTAAGGGACGGAACTCATTTTGATTGATACTGACTCTAATTGTATTTATTTATGAAACAGAGTCTCGCTCTGTTGCTCAGGCTGGAGTGCAGTGGTGCAATATCGGCTCACTGCAACCTCCACCTCCCAGGTTCAAGAGATCCTCCTGCCTCAGCCTCCCGAGTAGCTGGGATTACAGGCATGTGCCATCACACCCGGCTAATTTTTGTATTTTTAGTAGAAACAGGGTTTCCCCATGTTGGCCAGGCACGGTCTTGAACTCCTGACCTCAGGTTATCTGCCTCGGCCTCCCCAAGTGCTGGGATTACAAGCGTGAGCCACCAAGCCCAGCCTAAACCGACTCTAATTTAAAAGGGCATGTACTATTCAAAGCTTTGAAACTTCTCAGGAGAAAACGAGGACCCGTCTCTATTTAGGGAGTCTGTCCTAAGAGATTCCCCATCCCCCCCGCCTGGAGCCAAGGATCAGAAAATGAGGCATCAGCGACTGACAGGACAAGGTTTATTGGGGGTCCTGGAAACACTGGGGAGAGGGACGAGGGGGCAAGGTCGAGGCTCACAGGGGCACCCCCTAGCCAAATGCCCCCTTCCCCTAGGGATTGGGAGGAAGACAGAGACAGACAAACCAACAGAGATGGAGAGAAAGACCAACGGATGCTACGGAGAGAGGGAAGGAAACCCCAGTGTCCACCACCTCCCACTCAGATGAGTTCACAGGATAAAGAATTGCGTGGACCGGTCCACACGCTACAGGAAAAGAGAGGAGTGTCCGCCCTATTCACTCTAAGGAAGGTGGCAGGCCACAGCCTAGACCAGCCCATTCCATGTGATGGGGGTGTGTGCACATAGATCAGTCCATTCTACTGGGCAAGGGGATTTCAGGCCAGTCTATTCTAGTGTTTGGGGCGGGGAAGATCGTTAGGGTCGATCCATTCCACAGTCGGGGAGGGGGGATTCGAGGGCAGGGGGCATCTACCCTGGTCCCTCTTTCAGCACAGGGAATGAAAAAGGGGAAAGGCAGATTTCGGCTATATCCATTTTCTGGGGTCACCAGTGACTCTGGTGGGTGGCATTTGGAGGGATCTAGGAAAATTCAGGGACATGCTCCCTCCACATTCTCCAGATCAAGGTCGTTAGGAATGATGGCTCTCAGGGAATGGGGCAGTCTTCCCTTGGTGGGGGTGGGTGCCCATCTTTTAGTATTAGGGCTCTCAAGATGAGAGGTACTTGTGGAGACCCATTGCTCACTGCAAAGTCCCCATGTCTTGGGGACTTACGGCTACCCACACTCATTCCAGGGACCTCAGGCTCAGGAGTCTCTCCCTAGATTTGGGCTCCCCTGCCCCAGCTAAGGACCCTGTTTGTTTGTGGTCCCCCAGCTCCGGGGCCTTTGTGGGTTTTTGGTGGCCCCCACCTCTCCAGTCAGGGTCCCCTCATTTCAGGGCCTGCGTCTGGATTTGGATTTGGAGGGCCGGGGCCTCACGCGCAGTCCCGAGGTCCCCTGGTCCAGGCCGAGTCCAGGAGGCTGGGTGGAGGGCAGGGCGCACGCAGCCTGGCAGTCAGTCCATGCCCCGGTGCAGCTTCAGGTGCCTGGAGAGGTTGCTGAGCGTGATGAAGCCCTTGCCGCAGATGTGGCAAGGGAAGGGCCGCTCGGTGCCGTGCAGCAGCCGGTGGCGCTTGAGGTAGCACTCGTGGCGGAAGAACTTGCCGCACTCCAGGCACGGGAACGGCTTCTCGCCAGTGTGCACCAGCACGTGCCGCTCCAGGTCTCGCGGTGAGCGGAACAGCTTCTCGCACTCGGAGCAGCCGAAGATCTTCTTGCCGCGGCCGGAGCCAGACGGGGGTTCCCCGGACGCCGGTTCCCTTTCCCGGGCGGCGGTCGCCGCCTCCTCCCCGCCGCCCTCACCGTGGCTGACCCGCCGGTGCTCCTCCAAGGCGGCCAGCGCCGCGTACAGAGCCCCGCAGTGGCCGCAGCCGTAGGTGGCCGGGCCCGAGTGGGCCTCCAGGTGACTGGCCAGGGCCGCGGCCGACGCAAAGAAGGTCCCGCAGTCGCACTGGTACAGGGTGTCTTCCGAGGGCTCGGCGGCCGCCGCAGGTGCAGGCGCCTCCCCACCGCCCTCGGGGAGCAGCCCCCCGAGCTTGGGCACGCCGCCCCCCGCGGGGCCCAGGAGCAGCCTGCGGTCCGAAGCCAGAGGAGCGTCGCCCGCCTCCGCAGCGGTGCCTTCGCCCGCCGTCTCGGGCCCTGCGCCTGGCCCCGCGGCCCAGGCCTGCGCTGGGGGCGCGCCCGGGCCCTGCAGGTCGTGCGTCAGCTTGTGCCGCTCCAGCAGCGCGGGCGCGTTGAAGTCGCGCTCGCAGCGCGGGCACTTGAAGGGCTTCACGTCGGTGTGCGCCGCCCAGTGGGCCGCCAGCTCGCGGCCGTGGTCGAAGCGCCGCGCGCAGGCGCCGCACGCAAATGGGGGCAAGGAGGCCGCGGCCGCAGCTGCCGCCTCTGCCAGCCCCCAGCTGCCCAGACCCGCGCCTGCCCCCTCGGGGCCCTCTCCGCCGCCGGCCCCTGAGCCCCCGCACACCGAGCAGGGCCCCACATTGCAGCAGACGGAGCAGGGCGCACTCAAGGCGGGCAGGCCAGGGCCGGGCTGCAGGGGAGAGGGGAGAACCCCACGGTGCTGGCGCTTGAGGTGGCGGCCCAGGCTGGAGCGTGAGGAGAAGCGGAGCTCGCAGACCAGGCAGCAGTAGGGTTTCTCACCAGTGTGGACGACCTAGGGGTGCGGGAGGAAGGGCACAACGTCAGGGCTGAGAACCTAGCCCGGACAACGGATTCCTGGACTCCCAGAGGGTTGTGGCACAAGCTCTCTGTCACACCTACAGGGCCATGATCTAGGGAAACGCTCGTCCTATCACTCTCTGTTTGGGGTCACGGTAGATTCTTTCGGTCCTTAAAAAGGCCATGTCCTGGCTGGCCATGGTGGCTCACGCCTGTAATCCCAGCACTCTGGGATTGCATAAGCCTAGGTGTTTGAGACCAGCCCAGGCAACACAGGGAAACCTTGTCTCTACAAATAATTTTAAAAACTAGCTGGACACGGCACACTCCTGTGGTCCCAGCTACCTGGGAGGCTGAGCCAAGAAGTTTGAGGCTGCAGTAAGCCGTGACCATGCCACCACATTACAGCCTGCATGACAGGGTGAGACTGTGTCTCAAAAAAAACAAAAAAACACGACTGGGTGCGGTGGCTCACGTGTGTAATCCCAGCACTTTGGGAGGCTGAAGTGGGTGGATCATTTGAGGTCAAGAGTTCGAGACCAACCTGATCAACATGGTGAAACCCTGCCTTTACTAAAAATACAAAAATTACCCGGGCCTGGTGGCGGGTAGTCCCAGGGACCTGTAGTCCCAGCCACTCAGGAGGCTGAGGTAGAAGAATCACTTGAACCCGGGAGGTGGAGGATGCAGTGAGCCAAAGACGTGCCACTGCACTCTAGCCTGGGTGACAGAGCGAGACTCTGTCTCAAAAAAAAAAAAAAAAAGCCCGGGTGCGGTGGCTCACGCCTGTAATCCTAGCACTTTGGGAGGCCGAGGCGGGCGGATCATGAGGTCAGGAGATCGAGACCATCCTGGCTAACACGGTGAAACCCCGTCTCTACTAAAAATTCAAAAAATTAGCCGGGCGTGGTGGCGGGCGCCTGTAGTCCCAGCTACTCAGGAGGCTGAGGCGGGAGAATGGCATGAACCCGGGAGGCGGAGCTTGCAGTGAGCCGAGATCGCGCCACTGCACTCCAGTCTGGGCGACAGAGCGAGACTCTGTCTCAAAAAAAAAAAAAAAAAAAAAAGAAATCACTATCGGTGGCTAATGGCTATACTGGACAGTGCAGCTCTAAAGTGACACAGCAGCCAGCCCTAGCAGGGTGTGTCTTCTCCCTTGTCAAGCCCTGCTATCCCGAGCCAGTTATCATGAGCTGAATACAGGCCTTAGGTGTGTTAGGGCAGAGAAGTGATTTTGAACCGAATCCGGCTACTGCTCAGAGTTTCTCCCACTGAACGCTTTTCACACATACAGATCCAGGGAATCACTTCCAAGTCTAGGGAATCGAATCTCCCAGGAGGGAGTCCAGGAATCTGTATTTTTTTCTGAGGCATTGCCAGGCTTGTAGACTGTGTAAAACCGTGCCTTAGAGAGGTTTTTTGTATTGATATTTGTCCTTGTTGATTTAAGATTTTGGAATAACAGAGAGAGATTTGTGAGTATGGTAATGTCTTCCTGGAGGCCTGTGAGGAGAAGGGTGAGGCTGGATGAGAAAGAGTGCAGTGCTTGATTAGTAATGTCTGCCAGGGGCACAGATCTGAAGAAGGAACAGGGAGTGATGTTCATTTGCCTTTCTGGCTCCAGACTCGATGCACCTGCTGTACAGTGTGGGTGTAGGGATCTCTATCCTCTTTGTCACTAAATTTATTCTCTCTCTACTCTTTTAACACAACAAGATTATGCTGGTCCCAGGGCCCTTGTACATGCTGTTCTCACTGCCTGGAATGCCCGTAGGTCTATTTATCTGTCAGCTCCTTGGAAACCCTTCCCGGAATCTGGCCCCCTGGCTCATCAGTGATCCTCTTCCACCCTCCTTCTTTAAAGCCTATGGCTCATAGCACACTTAGTGTCTACATATAACTTGAGTGTTGTCTGTCTCCCCACCAGCTAAGGACGATAAAAATAGTGACCACATTGGTTTTGCTCACAGCTGTATTTCCAGGGTCCGGCACTCTCCAGACTTCTCCTGAGCCACACTTTCTGCTTCTCCATGCTCCAGTCACATTGGCCTTCCTCCAGTTCCTCCAAAGCCTGCTTTGCTTCCTTGAAAGTACACATTTTGTTCCCTGGATCCGGAAAGCCTCGGACCCCAGAGGCAGATCATTCCTCACCTTTTTCTCGGGAAAACCATCCCTGACCCCATCCCCGATCCAGACTGCTTCAGCTCTCTCTTGCATTAGCCTCAGAATATGGTTATCCTCCATCCTCAGATGTCTCGGCTGCAGCCTAACATTGATTAACCTAGTTGTTCAGTTCACATCTCCCACATTTGACTCGAGGCCATACAAAGGGTGGACTGTATCTGTTTTGTTCCCTTAGCTATTTTTTTTCCCCCAGAGAGCCTAGCACTGTATCTAAATACAGTAGGTGCTCCTGAAATGGTTCAGTTGAATCACAACCTACTGGTGGGTGGGGGTGAGGCCCCTCAGGGGACTGTCAATTGTTGCATCAAGCTAAGGAGCTCCCCTTTCATCCTAAGGATCAAGGGATTTAAGCAGGGGTCACCTGGTCACTCTGTGATAGATGCAGAGACTGGATGTGAGGGAGAGAGACAGGAAGGAGGGAGACCACTGAGAAAGCCGGGGCCAACATTCAGGATGTGAAGTCCTGAACCAAGGCAGATGCATGGGGACAGAGAGGACAGCCAAGTGTGAAAGACCATCGGTAGATGCCTGGTTTTCTTCACCCTGGTTGTGCAAGTGTCTGGCACATAGACAGAGTGTGACCTAGCCCGTCCCATCTTTCACCTTACCTCCTTCCACCCCAACCCCACAGTCTCCCATCGCTTCCTGGAACACAGCACACTCCTTCCTTCCTCAGGGCCTTTGCACTTGCTGTTCCTGCTGCCTGGAATGCTCTTCCCAGGGAGGATTCCTCACACTGCAGGTTGGCTCAGGTATCACCTGCCCTAACCTTCCCCACCTGTCTGAAGTAGCCCATAGCTCTCCTCTCTTTACTCTCACACATTGATTTGTATTTTTTGTTTGTTTGTTTGTTTGGAGACTGAGTCTCGCTCTGTCGCCCAGGTTAGAGTGCAATGGTGCAATCTCACCTCACTGCAACCTCTGCCTCCCGGGTCCAGGCGATTCTCCTGCCTCAGCCTCCCAAGTAGCTGGGATTACAGGTGCATGCCAACACGCCTGGCTAATTTTTGTATTTTTAGTAGAGACAGAGTTTCACCATGTTGTCCAGGATGGTCTCGATCTCTTGACCTCATGATCTGCCCACCTCGGCCTCCCAAAGTGCTGGGATTACAGGTGTGAGCCACTGCGCCTGGCCAGTATTTTTTTGTTTCTTAAAATTTCCCTCCTATCTTTTTCCAGAACATTCTTGCCAGCATACTTGCTTTCTTGCTTCTTGTCTACTTGGCTACTGACCACCTCCAAAAGAAAGTAAGTTTTCTGAAGGCATGGAATTTGCTTTTGCCTTGGCAACACAGCCGTTTGGTGCAGGGAAAGCTGATAGTCAATGAATAAAGGAATTAAGTATATAACTGATAATCAATGAATAAAGGAATTAAGTATACACCTGATAAACCTAAGTCTTAAAACGGTAAGGAAGGAAAGGATAAACACTAGATTGCAGATGCTGGTGCGTGCACGCGGGGTATTGGCAGGGAGATGGGGCGGGCAGGAGCCTATAGATGGGGAAATTTACTATGAATGTTCCAGTTCGTGGGTTGCTGGTGACTGAATGAGAAATAGCGCATGCTTTCAAGGGTCAGGGTGCTTTGGTAGGGAGGGAGGGACATTTTCTAATGGGAGGAGGCGGGCGCCTAGGCCTTGGGCCAGCTTCCTTTTGCCCAGAGTACAGTGGGGCGCGGGATCCCACCGTAGTCCTGACCAGGGAGGCCAGCCTAGGGCCGGCCTGTGGGACTCACCTGGTGGTGCAGCAGGCCGGTGGAGTCGCGGAACCCCTTGGGGCAGGCAGAGCAGCGGTAGGGCCGCTCCCCGGTGTGCGAGCGCAGGTGGTTGGCTAGGTTGAAGCTGTGCTTGAAACCCTTGCCGCAGCGCGGACATGCGTGGGGCTTGAGCGCTGTGTGCCGGGCAAAGTGGCGCCGCAGGTCTGAGCGGTAGCGGAAGCTCTTGCCACATTCACTGCAGTGAAACGGGACCCTGGGGGCGGCAGCGGCGGGCGGTGCTGGTGCAGGGGTTGGGGCGGGGACGTCATCCATGGTGGCGGGGAATACAGTGGTATGTGGGGGCTCTCTCTGGAGTAGTGGGGAGACAGAGGAGCAGGTGAGGGGGTCGGCTCCCCATCAGCTCTCTCCTCCCAGGTTCCCAGACCCACCACCTGTCCCCTGGGAGACCCTCCCACTGCCCACCTCTCTAAGCCACTCTCATTGTTCTTTAAAATCCTCCTACTCTCTTAGAAACCCTTCTCTCGCGGCTCCACGCCTGTGGCAAAATCTTCCTAATCACTTCATAGTCTCCTCACTCCACGGAGTGTTTTTAAGCCTCTCCTCGCTCTTCGCCAATGCGCGGCCACTGCTCTCTGTGCCCCTCCCACTGTAATTTAAGCCTCTCCCACTCTTCCTTAAGTCCCACCTACTCCCTTCAAAGTCCCCCACAATGTTCCCTAAGGATCTTGTATTCTTTGCCAAGCCCTTTTCCTTCCAAAAGGCCCTCCCACTCCCCTCTAAGCTCCTCCCACTCCTCTTCCAGGATGACCACTTAGCGAATGGGAGGGCAAAGATTTGGGGCTAAGCACACTGGAGTCATCCTTGCAGGGAGACCAGAATTACTCCTGTAACATCAGATAATAAAAATTCTTCATCTGTAAAATGGGAATAGTAGTACCTACCTCATGGAGTGGTGGCGAGAATTAAGTAAAATTGTGGCAATAAATGCTACGTGCCCACTTAAGCTGGTGCACAGCAAAGACGCAACAAGTAAGCTGTTTGGATGACTATTATCCCGTAAGTTCCTCCTGGATTCCTCCTTAAGTCCTACCATGATTGCTAAGTTATTTGACTTATCTAAGCCCCTCTCGGGTCCACTAAGACCCACTTCCAAAACTCCACCCAATTTTTCCTTTAAAGAAGCCACATCCTTTCTAAGACTCTCCACTGGACTCCCGTCACCTTCTCAGGCCTTCTCTACGAAGTCTATTCCCATCCCCTGCAAGTCCTTTCCACATTCATTATAAAGACCTGATAGTTGCATTAAACCCCTCCAAATTACACCCTTAAACTCCACCCCCCTCACTAGGCCTACCTACTTCTCTAAGCCACACCCCAGACAAACTCCATCCCTTCTACTCTAAACTCCTCCCTCCTGCTTCCTGGGCTCCCTTTACCCAACCAGCCTCAATGAGTTTCCTTCCACCCCTCAATCCAGGGCCTACCCACCATTCCTTCTGAGCCACGCCCCTTTATCAAACCCCACCTCTTTGCCTAAGACCCTCCCATTTTCTATCCAGACTCTCCCTCCTCCACGCCCCTCCCACTTCCACTCTAAGCTCCGCCCAACTCAGGCTCCTCCCAGCCCTTGCTCCGCCCCAGCAGCCACTAGGCCCCGCCTCCTCCTCCACCCCGCAGCCTGAGGAGCGGGCCCCCCCACTTGCCCAGTCTGCTCCAGGCCCCAGGCCCCGAGAGCCGGCCTTTTGTGCCCCTCCCCCTGCCCCTAAAAGGTGCAGCCCTGGGCGCCCGGTTGGGGGGCAGGTCGGGCAGGCCCCGGGGCCAGGCGAGTCCACCTCGCTCGTACGGAGCGTTGGTCCTGGAGACCCGGGGCGGCCCCGGGAGGCCGGGGAAGTCCGTCGGCTTTCCTCTTTAATTACTTACACCTCCCTCTGGGCGCCGACATTTTGGGCAGCGGGGGCAGCGTCACTTCCACCCGGGGGGCCCCTCGACTTCCGCCTCAGCTCCCTTCCCCCGCCGTACTCCCCCTTTCTCCCGCCCTCTTGGCTCCCCTTCCTCATCCCCGCCCTTCTCCCTCTTTCCCTTTCCTTTCCCAGCCCTGGAGGTTGAAGAAGCCAGGCCCGCGCCATCTTGGGTGAGGGCAGCGGGAAGGGGCGGGGCTTAGGGACACCCACGGCGCCATACAGACTAAGGGCAAGGAGCTGAGAGCGAGGGGGCTTCTCCGTGGCGACACTAGGCGATGCTAACGTAAATGAGAGCAGATACTATTTCTTTTTCACAGCCTCGGACTCCTCCGATTAGGATGTACAGTTGGACTAGGGAAAAAAAAAGAAAGCGAAGTGCGCCAACTGCAATACAGAGCTGGAAAAGACCGGCACCATCTTATCCACTTAGCACTCCATGGGCTTCGAAGCCTGTCCGGTGCCATGTTAATTACGGGCACTGGGCAGCCATTTTCCCGCTCCTCATCATTCGGTATCTGTCTTTGGGTCACCCGACTGTGGGCTTTGTGAGAGGAAAGGCGTTTCGAGGTGGTTGGGGATGTGGTGCTGGGTTATTTCCCACTGGGGACACACCAGGGCCGCCGGTGCGCAGGCGCGGCTTCCGGGCGTGGCCGCGACCGGTCGTTAGGACCCAGCGAGTCCCCTTTGTTTCCCGCGGGCGCGCAGGCGGGCGGGAAGGGCAGGAAGGGAGGGGCCCGGCGCTTCTCCGAGGGGCGGGGCCGGCACCGCGCGCCGCCGCCCCCGCCTCGCCGCCGCCGAGGGGCAGGGCCCCCTCACCCCCTCCCCTTCCCACGCGCCGGCCCCGTTGCCCCCGCGCGCGCGCACACTCGCGAGCCCCGGCGACATGCAAATGAGGTACCCGAGAGGCGGGGGGCGCAGGCGGGAGGGGGGGTGTGGGGGTAGGGGAGGCCGGGCCGCGCGCTCCCGGAGCGCGCCTCCAACACCTGTTCCTGCTCCCGCGCTCGCGCCCCGCGAAGCCGTCCGGGCGCGCGCGCGCAGACCCCCTTCCTGGCAGCCCCCGCCGCCCGCTTACCCGGCGCCGCTCATTGGCCGTCGCCCCCGCAGGGCCCGCCCCGCGCTTGGGCTTCGCAGCTCGGGGGCCGATGGGCGCGTCAGTACCGGGGCGAGGGGACGGGGAGGGTCGGGGGACCAGTCTCCCCCTTTCCACCGTTCCAAAGACCAGACTCCTAGACTAGGCTACCCCGTGGGAGCGAACCGTATGGAAAGGTGGTTGCTCCTCTCTGGACAGCAGTCTATGTGGCTGTTAAAGGGGAGGGGGGGGTGCAGGGGGGCACCTGCAGCACCTGCTTCCAGCTGCACCTGTGCCTCCCCTTCCCCTCCGTTACACCCCAATCCCATGCTCCCAGTATCTGAGTGGGCGCCGGGAAGATGGTGGTGGCGTTGGTGAAGTTTATTGAGTGCTTACTGTGCACCAGGCAGTGTTCGAGGGGCATTTTAAAGCCCACTGTCTTATTCGATTCTCCTGACAACCCTGGTTTATTCACTTTTCAGAGGAGGAAACTGGCAAAGTCAATTGCTAGTTATAGGCAGAGCTGAATTCAAACCCAGGACTGAGCCCTCGTAATGTCCCCTTTCCTCCTTGGGTTTATTTGTTCTCCATTCTCTGGGACATTCGGGTCACAAGACCTGTTTCCAGTTTTGGCCCTGCCATTTACTGGCAGAGGAACTTAGGCAACTGACTTGGCTTTCCTGTGCCTCAGTTTCCCCATCTGCAAAATGGGACAGATATGCCCTATTCAGAGGGTTGATGTGAGGCTTAGCTGCTCCTGATAACAATGGCTAATGTGTCCTGAAAGCTTCTGTGTATGAACACTTTGTGGGTATTATGCTCATGGCATGTCTGGGCAAGTACGTAGAACTATGTGTCCCATTTTGCAAAAGTCTTGATTAAGGCTTAGAGAAGCGAACACCTTGCCCAAGGCCACGCAGAGAGTAAAGATTTGAACGAATGATGTCTTGACTCCAGGGCCCAGGCTCTTAACATCGCAGATATGTTTCCTCATCCAGGAATCAGGGTCAAATATCACCTGGGACCAGTCCCTTTTTTCCACTCTGGAACCCCTTCCCCACTTCTGCCAGTCAGCAGGGAGGGATGAGAGCATTCGTGAGGCCTCTATGGCTCTGGAGTTTGATGGGCTCTCCGTTTCAAGGATCACAATACTGGTCTGCACTCTCAGTTGGACTCTATCCTCTCTGGAAGGTTTTTTTTTGTGGGGAGGTGGGGAGGGGTGTTGCTCATGTTGATCTTGAACTTCTAGATCCAGAAGGAGAGTTAGGGAGGCATAGGGATGTCTGGTGGAGCTCAGGGAAGTGCCTGTTTATCAGCTGATACAAGATCATCTCACTGTTTTACCCACCAGCATAGCTAAAATTGTGTATCTGGATGAATGTCAAACACACCTTTGTCAAGAGACTTGGAGAGAGGGATGGGCGAGGTGTTGGGGGACACAGGGGTGCTCTAGACCCTGTGAGCACTGACTCTGCCCCTCTCTCCTCTTAGCTGGCTCCAGTGCCCAGACCCAAGCCCCCCACTGCTCAATGGACACCCCCAGCCCAGACCCGTTGCCTTCGCCTTTGCCCGGGGAGGAAGAGAAACCTCTGGCCTTATCTCCTCCTGTTCCCCGGGGCCGCCGAGGCCGTCGTCCTGGGGGAGCCACCTCCTCAAATCGGACACTCAAGGCCTCCCTCCCTCGCAAGCGGGGCCGCCCCCCCAAGTCAGGGCAGGAGCCCCCACTGGTGCAGGTGCAGGGGGTGACAGCCCCAGTAGGCAGCAGTGGCGGGAGCGACCTCCTCCTGATCGATGATCAGGGTGTGCCCTATACGGTCTCTGAAGGTTCAGCGGCTGGGCCTGAGGGCTCTGGCCCCAGGAAGGCCCCACACTTCTGCCCGGTGTGCCTGCGGGCCTTCCCCTACCTCTCCGACCTGGAGCGCCACAGCATCTCGCACTCAGAGCTGAAGCCGCACCAGTGCAAGGTTTGCGGCAAGACCTTCAAGCGCTCCAGCCACCTGCGGCGGCACTGCAACATCCATGCCGGCCTGCGGCCCTTCCGCTGCCCGCTGTGCCCCCGCCGCTTCCGCGAGGCGGGCGAGCTGGCGCACCACCACCGCGTGCACTCGGGGGAGCGCCCGTACCAGTGCCCCATCTGCCGGCTGCGCTTTACAGAGGCCAACACGCTCCGGCGCCATGCGAAGCGCAAGCACCCGGAGGCCATGGGGGTACCCCTGTGTGCACCAGATCCAGGGTCTGAACCGCCGTGGGACGAGGAGGGCATCCCGGCCACAGCAGGGGCCGAGGAGGAGGAGGAGACAGAGGGGAAAGGGGAGCCGGCCTGACCCACACCCCCGGCCATCGCTCCCTGGGCCAGGTTTAGAGCAGGGAGTTTGGCTGGTGCTGGGCCTGAGCCAGGGGGCCGGGACACCCTTGTTTCCGGTGGTCTTCCCGTTGTGGGAGCAGGTGGAGGGTGGAGACCTAAACTTTGGGGTCCAGCTGCCTTCAGCCCCCCTCCCCCAGACTAACAGACCCTTGGAGGCAGGGGCTGTGGAAATAAATCTCTGCCTGCTGGCTGCCTGTGTGTGTTCCGTGCCGGGATGCCATCCTCTCCTGCCTTCAAATGTTCTTCCTCGGCTACACCGTCCTGTCGGGAGTGCGGGGAATTGGAGAGGACCCCACTTCCTGTGCCTCATGAGCGTGGTGCTCGCCAAAGAATGGTTTTGGGGGGAACCTTGGCCCCTTCCCCATCTCCATCAGACCCCAAAGTCCATGGGTCCCTCGGAGTCCGCGGGGAATTGGTTCCACGAACCTCGCAGATACCAAGATCTGGGCATACACAAGTCCAGCAGTGGGCCCTGCGGAACCCGCGGATGTAGGAAAATCCGCCCTTCGTATACTGTATGTTCCACCGGTGTTTGGGTGAAAAAACGTCCGCCTCTCAATGGACCTGCAGTTCAAACCCCTGTTGTTCAAGGGTCAGCTGTATTCCCAGTACACATCCAATCTAACTAAAAACATTGAACCTTCCATGCAGACCTGACTGTAGGTCCGACCGCCTCTCTCCTAGCCAATTCCCAGAAATTCTGCAGCCACTTTGCCCCACCTCCTTGTCCTGAGGACCTACTGTTTGGAAGGAAAAATTAAGACAAAGGTATGAGCAGGACGGTCTGGGTAAGGTTTAGAGATAAGGGGTGTGGATTGGGGCGGGGCTAAGGAGCGAGGGGTGGGGCTGAGATTGCGGGGCAGTTAGGCTGGGACCTGGGGCGGGGGCTTAGAAGAGGGTTAGAGTTGGGTGGGGCTTAAAGAGGTTTAGGGGTTGGTCCGCAGAAAGTGAGAGCGGTTTAAAGAGGATGGATAGAGTTGATCTAATAGAGAGTAGGGGCTTGGAGCTGGGGAAGAACAGGAGGAACTGCGTGAGAGTGGGGCAAGGAGGACGGATAATTTTTTTTTTGAGACAGGGTCTCGCTCTGTCATCCAGGCTGGAGTGCAGTGGCCCTATCACCGCTCACTGCAGCCTCGACCTGCCAGGCTCAAGCGACCCTCCTGCTTCAGCCTCCGGAGTAGCTGAGACTACAGACGGGCGCCAGCATATTTAGCTAATTTTTTTTTTTTGAGACGGAGTCTTGCTGTCGTCCAGGCTGGAGTGCAGTGGGGCAATCTGGCTCACTGCAACCTCTGCCTCCCGGGTTCAAGCAGTTCTCTCCCTCAGCCTCCCGAGTAGCTGGAATTACAGGCGCCCGCCACCACGCCTGGCTAATTTTTGTAATTTTAGTAGAGACGGGGTTTCACCATCTTGGCCAGGCTGGTCTTGACCTCCTGACCTCGTGATCCACCCGCCTCGGCCTCCCAAAGTGCTGGGATTACAGGCGTGAGCCACCGCGTCCAGCCTAATTTTTGTATTTTTTTTTTTTGTAGAGACGGGGTTTTGCCATATTGCCCAGGCTGGTCTTGAACTCCTGTGCTCAAGCAATCCGCCTGCCTTGGCCTCCCAAAGTGCTGGGATTACAGGCGTGAGCCACCACGCCAGGCCAAGAGAACGGATTTTAAGGTGAGGGGCGGAGCTTATAATAATTCAGCTCTGAGGTGGGCGTGGTTCAGGGCCGAGGGCCGGGGGCCGGGGCTTAAAGGAGAAACTCTGAGGGAACAGGGTATTGGAGGTGGGACTTAGAAGGTGCTGATGGGGGCGCACGACTGCTATGGAGGCGATGGGGAGAGAAGGAAGTACTTAATCTAAGGGAAGTTCCTGGGAGAGTGGAAGCTTAGCAGGAGGGGCTGAATGGGTCTGGGTTTGGCTGTTTGGGATGGGGCTGAGTTGGGAGCCGGGATTATAGCGATTATATGAGCGGGCAGTGTCAAGTGTGGTAAATCCATGGCTCTTGACCAGCATGCAGCAGAATCAGAGTATTTCAAAACACGGATCCCTAGACCCCCAACCCCAGGGCTTCTATTCCGCATGGTCTGAGCAGGCAGCCGGATGCTGCTGGCCTCCCAACTATCCTTGACAACCACCGATTTAAAAGAATGCTTTAGAGGTGGGAGGCACTCAAAAGTCACGAGGTGCAACTTAAATGCTATGGGGTGAAGGGGCGGGGCTTGGATGGAGGGGGCGGGGCCTAGGGAGGGGTGAAGTTCCAGAGAGTGGGAGCTTGGAGAGGGGGAAGAACAGGAGAAACTGCATGAGGGCGAGGGGACGAAGACAGACTTTGAGGCAGTAGGGGGCTTATAATCACGCTGTGAGATGGGCGTGGTTCAGGGCCAGGGGGCGGGGCTTCAGTGTGAGACCCGAGCCGGAGGTGTGGCTTAACCGGACGCCCAGAGCGTGTCGCGGGGTTCCCGTAGAAGAGGCGGGCATTCAAAGCGCAGGCGCACCTGGCTCAGTTCGCCCACCGGAATCGGCCCGGGCTTTCACTGCTCGCGTCCCCGAGTCAGTGCGCAAGCGCATTTCCCCCCTCCTGGTCCCCGCCACCGCCTCCTCTTTCCGATCCTCCACGCCGGCGCCTCGGGAACGGGCGCGACTTCCGCTTCCGGGCGGGCGGGCAGGCGGGCGGTGCGGGGCTGCCGGGGAGGGGGGAGGGGGCGGCACTTCCGGTCGGGCCCTCGGGTCTCCCCGGAGCGGCGGCGCCTCCTCCGCCTCCTCGGCCTCCTCCCGGCGGAGACCCCGGCGCCGGTGAGTGACGGGGTGCGTGGCCCGGGGGCCCGGGTGCAGCGGGGGCGGGGGGCCCCGCCCTGGCCCGCTGTGGTCCCCAGAACGTCCCCCAACCCCTAGCAAGTCAGTGCAGCTCCCGCCGGGCCCTTGCCAAGGGACCCCCAATCACTGCTCCCCGGTAGGATCACTGCAGATAGCTCCCCCATGAACGCCCCCAGCTAGGATGGCTGCCAAAGCGCTTTCATTCGTGGCGATCCCCTAAACGGCTGCCAGGGCCCCCAAATGATACCTCCTCGTAGGATCCCCTCCACATAGCGCTCCCCGTCATTGCTTCCTCCAGGTCAGCCTCCAGATGCCATCAGCATTGCCCCTCCCCATGTAGGGCAGCTGCTCGTGAACCCTCTTATTAGTATCCTCTATATAATTCTCCCCAGAGTGTTTCCTTAGTGCCTTGCAGCAGAACTGTCCCCCGTTATCTCTGTCCATACAGCAACAGCCCCCAATGGCCCTGACCACCTCCCTCCCCAGCAGAACGCCCCTTCGTGGGTGTGAAAATACTTTCTATTCTGGTCAGCACCAAGAATGCCTTTTTCCCTTCTGCAGGTCCTCCAGTGATTCCCCTTAAGAATGCCCCTTTCAAAGCCACCCCCCCATCGCAGCGGCACAGCTCCCTCTAGAGTTCCTTCACACTCACATCCTCTCCCGCCTCAGGTAGAAATATCCGCCTGCTTAGCTCCAGGCTCCCATGACATACTCCCGTACCTCCTCTCACCCCACCCTCATCGCGGTCAGCCCGTCTTCATTACTTCTGCCACAGAACAGTGTCCCGCAGTGAGGCGGTGAAGCCTTCCTTCCCAGAATGTGCCTCATCCTCTTCCTATGGCGTGAACAACTGTTGCCCTGACCTGCAGCTTCTCACCCAGCTCTCAGGCTATCGTCCTGGACTCCCTAGGGAAGACCCTGGACTTCACTAGGGTGTGACTTCTTTTCTCGTAGGCATTCCTTCTGCGTTGAACGCATATTCACTATTCTAGCTGAAGGGTATAATATACAGCCACGAAGGGGGTCGATACACACAGTGTTCTCACTGTGCGGGGTCTCACAGTCTAGTTGATCAGACACGAGTCGACAAAGATACACGGGGTTTTGTGGGTTCTCTGAGAGCCTGATGAACTACTTTAGAGGTGAAAGCTGAATTACAAGTGGCAGCTTAGCCATGCAAAGATCTGGGTGAGCAGGCAGCAAGAACAACAAGTGCAAAGGCCCTGAAGTGGCGGTGAGCACGGTGAGTGGAGGAGCAGCAGGGGAGGCCGGTGAGGGTGGAGTGGAAGATTTGAAGGCAAGAACAAGAGGAAGGAAGCTTTGGTCTCAAAAGGCTTTGGAGGTGAGGGCACTGGGATAAATTATCTAGCCTTTGTCAGCTCTACCGAGCCCAGAATGTTCTTCATTCATTCATACGTTCATTCGTAAACACTGGTTGAACAACTGTTTAATGAGCACCTACTTTACATTGGGGGTACAACAGAGAACAAAATAGACAAGAATCCCTGTCCTCATGGAGTGGATATGCTAGTTGAGGGGGCAGATGATTAAAAGACAAAATACAGGCCAGGCGAGGTGGCTCATGCCTGTAATCCCAGCAGTTGGGAAGGCCAAAGTGGGAGGATCGCTGGAGGCCAGGAGTTCAAGACCAACCTCGGCAACATAGTGAGACCCTGTCTTTACAGGAAAAAAAAAAAAAAAAAAAAAAAGCTGGGTGTGGTTGGTGGGCACCTGTAGTCCCCAGCTATTCAGGAGGCTGAGGTGGGAGGGCTGCTTGAGCCCAGGAGTTCGAGGCTGCAGTGAAAAAAAATAAAAACAAAAACCAAGAGTATATGTGCGTGTTCAGAATATCACGGGATAAAGAGATAGACCTGGGGGGCTGTGGTTCAGGATGGCCTCCCCCAGGATTTTCCTATGTCTTGTCATCTTGTCCCTCCCAAAAGCCACACACCAAAAAGTTATACAAGAGTAAAAATTCCCCTTCTCCTGGACAACTGTGGCCCACTTGGGGGCTGCTCTTAACAGCGCCCTAACCCCAGGAGCGAAGTGATTGGGAGGATGAGCCCTGGATTCCACTAGGGTTCACAGCTTTGAGCAAATCACTCCCTCCTTTCCTAGCCTCATTCATTCACTTCTTCAAACAAAAATGTATCAAGCCAGGAACTGTTGTAGGTCCTGGGGATGGAACAGTGAGCAAGAGATAAAAATCCTTGCCTTCAGGAAGCCGATCATCTGGATGGGGAGACCAACAAAATCAAGGCAAAGAAGTAGATTATGTGAGGTTATAAATGATGCTGAGCAGTAAGGAGAGAAATGAAGCAGGGTTAGGGAGATGAGGATGTGGGCCTGGGTGACAGGTCATTGGTTACTGAGAGGCTCATTGAGAAGACAGTTGACCAAAGATGGGGAGGAGGTGAAGGGGTGAGCGAGATGGTTGCCTGAGAGTCAGAATATTACAGGCAACAGCAACAGCCAGCGCAAAGGCCCTGCAGCAGGAATAGAGTGGGCACATGGGAAGAGCAGCCAGGAGACTGTGGAGGTCATTGTAAGGACTGTGGCTTTTTTTTTTTTTTTTTTTGAAAAGGAGTTTCGCTCTTGTTGCCCAGGCTGGAGTGCAGTGGTGTGATCTTAGCTCGCTGCAACCTCCGCCTCCCGGGTTCAAGTGATTCTCCTGCCTCAGCCTCCCGAGTAGCTGGGATTACAGGCATGTGCCACCACGCCCAGCTAATTTTGTATTTTTAGTAGAGATGGGGTTTCTCCATGTTGGTCAGGCTGGTCTCAAACTCCCGACCTCAGGTGATCCGCCTGCCTTGGCCTCCAAAAATGCTGGGATTACAGGCGTGAGCCACCGTGCCCAGTCAGGACTGTGGCTTTTGAATGAGATGGGGTTACTGTTTGGTTTGGGACCGAGGATAGACATGCTTTGGTTATAGTCCTCCTGTCAGTAAAATGGGAATAATAATAACACATTTGTTGTGAAGTTTGAATGAAACAAGCCACATAAGGCACCTAAGTACAATGCTTGTTAGAGGTCAACAAATGTTGGTGACTTGTTCTGGTCTTGGGTCAAGCCAAGAGACTTGGGATTTGTTGGCAGGGAGATGGGTGGAGCAATGCATGTTTCCAGTATGAAGTGGGATTGGGGGCGGGGGTCCTCCTTCATTTTGGAGGGAGAAATACCGAAAGACAGCATGTGATGGGACTCTGGAGCCTTGCTGCCTTTCTTCAACCACTGGCCCTGCCACTAGTTAACAATGTGACTTTAGAAGTTTGTTTGTTTGTTTTTGAGAAACAGAGTCTCACTCTGTCACCCAGGCTGGAGTGCAGTGGCGTGAGCTCACTGCAACCTCTGTGTCCTGGGTTCAAGCAATTATCCTGCCTCAGCTTCCCCACTAGCTGGAACTACAGGTGTGCACCACCACACCCGGCTAATTTTTTTATTTTTAGTAGAGACGGGGTTTCACTATATATTGGCCAGGCTAGTCTCGAACTCCTGACTATAGTTGATCCACCCACCTCGGCCTCCCAAAGTGCTGGCATTACAGGCATGAGCCACCATGCCTGGCCTGACTTTGGAAGTTTAATTTATCTCTCTGGCCCTCAGTCTCTTCCTTTGTATTTCAGAGTCAATGCTTGTAACCATCTTCTAGGGTTACTGGGAGGATTCGTTGAGCTCACACACATCAGAGTTACAAGAGTGCTGGGCTGGTAGAAAGCACACATCCAGTGTTATATGCGCACGTTACTCTTTATTAACAAACCAGAATTTCATCACAAGGCAGCGTTGTTGCAGCAGAACGGCCCACAGTCTGGCATCAGAAAGACCTGGAATCAGTTACCTGCTTTCCTCTTTATTGGCCACATGACCTTGGAGGAATGCCTTCCCCATGCTGCTCCTCAGTTTCCCCACTTATAAGATGGGCCCAGTCATGGTACAGGACTGTGCTGCCTCCAGGCAATAACAAATATCAAACTGGTCAAACAATAAATGTGAACCGTTAATACACTTGCTGTGGGACTCCTGTCCCTTGGTGGTGGTGGTGGAGGGGTGGGTCCCTCCCCATCATGCTTCTCTCTGCATAAAACCCTCCTATGACATCCCCTCTTAAAAAGATACCAGTTTAGGCTTGAGTTGTATGAAAGAGGGAATGTTTCTGGTTTCCTAGTGGAGATTATCATAAGCCTGATCAATTCTGTCCACCACTGATGTATCCCCTTCAGCATCTCCACACCCTGCCCTCAGTGCCCTCCTCATAACATCACTGTCCCCAGAATTGCTTCTCCCAGGAATTCCTGGGATCATTTAGCTCCATTTCTGCTACATGTCCCCCTCCGTTCCTCTGGGAGTTTGATCAGCTTAGTCTCATCGCTTTGTTCATTCCACAAATACCAAGATAGACATTCACAGCTGTGCATTTCCCTCTGAGCATTGCTTTGGCTGCACCTCCTCAGCTTTGGTATGTTGTGTTTTCATTTTCATTAATTGCTAAGCAGTTTTTTTGCTTTTTGTTTGTTTGTGTTTTTGAGATGGAGTCGCGCTCTTGTTGCCCAGGCTGGAGTGCAGTGGCACGATCTCAGCTCACTGCAACCTCCACCTCCCGAGTTCAAGCGATTCTCCTGCCTCAGCCTCCCAAGTAGCTGGGATTACAGGCGCCCACCACCAAGCCTGGCTAATTTTTGTATTTTTAGTAGAGACGGGGTTTCGCCATGTAGGCCAGACTGGTGTCGAACTCCTAACCTCAGGTGATCCTCCTGCCTTGGCCTCCCAAAGTGCCGGGATTACAGGTGTGGGCCACCGCACCTGGCCAGCATTTTCTAATGTATGATTTCTTTGTGGACCCATTGGTAATTTAGGAAGGTGGTGTTTCCTTTTCACATACCAGCAGATATTTGTCAAGCACCCACACTGGGCCAGTGCTACGCTAAGTGCTGGGGTCACAGGGGCGAGCAAGACAGGCCAAGTCCTTGCTTTCCTAGAGAGGGGCCAAACAGTAAACACACAGAAAAGGAATGACATGAGTTGGTGGCAATAACTATAATGAAACACCTGCGGCTGGATGAGGGACTGGAGAGTGATGGGGTGGGGAGTGCTGAGTAGAGACCCAAGGAGGCTCCAGAGGGAGTCTTGTTGAAATCTGGCGAAGAACACTGTAGGCAGAAGAGAAAGTAACCACCACCCTCTCCCACCAGGCCCCTTGTATAGACACCCCTCATAACCCAGAAGACATCCCTAAATAAAGCTCTTATCCTGATAGTTCTCCCCTCACCTTTGTTCACTCGGGGAACAGCCCAGTGAAACACTGCTGTGGGGGCAAGGGTGGGAATGGGGTTCAAGCCCATTGATCCAGACTCCTACTCCGTGACCATGGCAACTCACTTTGCCTCTCCATGCCTTAGTTTTCTAATTTATCCAACGGCGGGAACAGCTGCCCCTATTTAGAGTTGTGGGGAGTCAGTGAATTAATATGTGTAACGTGCTTAGAACCGTGGCGGGCCTCTAGGAGATGTCCAGTCAGTGACAGCTACGATTAACCTGTGCTCTAGTGGAGACAAGCTAGTCAGGGGCTTCTTTCCCCAAACACTCTTGCCCTCCCTCCCCATAGCGCCCTAAATCACCCCCTATTCCCTGCATCCTTATGGCCTGTGTTTGCCTCCCTGGCCAGTCAGCCCCCTCCAGAGCTGTCTCCCCAACTTAGGTTCCACCTACAGCCTTCCAATTACCACCCCAGCCAAGCCTGTCCTCTTTCCGGAGATCAGATTAAACGGAGGGGGTGTGAAGGGCATGGGATGTTGAGTCTTGTCCAAGGACAAGGACACCCGGAGCTGGAGACTAAAAATATCTCACTCCAGGATGGCGTTTGGGGTGGGGGTGGAAGAGACACTCACCCCTCACCTGTGGGAGGAGAGAGCAGCCCGATGGATAGAGGATAAAGGGTCCAGGCCTTGGTAGGAACCCCCTTGACCCCCATAGCGGGCTGGGCTTAGAGCCTGGCCCCCATCGGGTAGGGATGATGGACAGGAAGCGGGTCAGACCTCATGGGCCCTTCACCGACTCACCCTCCGCCCACTTGGTGGAGGTGCTTCCCCAGGCCAGCAAGTAGACCAAGAACTCGGAGATCAGTTACGGGTGCTGAGGGTCTGGTGTGGTGTGGGGTACACACATGGATACCTGCCATCTGGAATGAAAAGTCGTGTAAAGGAGGTGCCAGAGAATGATGCCGGGGGTGGAGGGTCAGGAGAAGCCCCACTAAGGGCAAGGACATGGGGGGGTCAGGAGAAGCCCCACTAAGGGCAAGGATGGAACTCAAGCTCCCTGCTTCTGTTGCTAGGCTTAGCCCAGGTGTGTGATGTCATGGATGGTACAAATAGCTCAGGGGGTTGAATGCATTCTGCTGATGCATGTGTTTCATTATGTTCTGTTCCAACCCTGTTGAATCTCCCTGCGGTATAGGGGTTCCCCCATTTTAAACATGGAGAAAGTGTGGATCCCAGTGGAGATGGGATTTGAACCCAGGTCTGTCCAAGCCCAGGGTCTGTGTTTTGATTGTATCAGACCACCTTCTGACTATATGCCAGCCCCCTTGCTGGAATTTGTTTCTCCCAGGCAAGCAAATTCTCCTTTCTACTGTCTATTAATATTAAAAGAGTGCACTCCCCATACTGACTTTTTTCAGTTCTCTAGGCTTGTCCTGACTTCCCCATTTCTACTACTAGTAGTAACAGTGATAACAGTATCGTATCTTCAATTTTTTAATTTTAGTTTTTAGAGCCAAGGTCTTGCTCTGTCACCCAGGCTGGAGTACAGTGATGTGATCACAGCTCATTGTAGCCTTCACCTCCCGGGCTCAAGCAGCTCTCCTGCCTCAGCCTCCCAAAGTGCTGGGATGACAGCTGTCAGCCACTGTGCCCAGTCCATACCTTCTATGTACGGAGTGCTTACAGAGTGCCAGGAACCGCCCCCTAAGAGCCTTGCACATATGTGTGTGTTGAATCCTCACAGTCCTGTGAGGTAGGCATGTGCTTTGTGGTCCCCAGGTGTAGATGAGGAAATGGAGGCACAGAGAGGTTCAGTCACTTGCCCGTGGCCACACAGCTAGAAGTGGCAGGGCTTACATTTGATTCTGGCCCCAGAGTCCTCCCTCCTAATTACGCTGATAGAAACTGTGATTCCCCTTATCATTATGCTCATTTTAGGATAAAACCTGAAGGGATGAGGACGGAGGGCTGTGGGTGGGGTAGGGTGCAGGAGTATGGAGAGACAGCAGAGGGTCTGAGAGGGTTTGGAAAGAAAACTGAGTCCAGAGGCCCCCAGGATGCTTGGACAATTGGAGTCTGAAAAGGAGAGAAAGTAGAGACGGCCCAGGCCAGCGCGCTGGCTCACATCTGTAATCACCCAGCACTTTGGGAGGTGGAGGCTGGAGGATGGCGTGAGTCCAGGAGTTTCAGACCAGCCTGGGCAACAAAGCAAAACCCCGTTTCTACAAATAATAGAGGGCCTGCAGGTGGTGTGGAGGAGAGGGTCCCCTCTACAAAGCTGTGTCAGGACCCCAGAAAAGATGGGGAGAGATGGAAGGAATTAGAGAAGGAAAAGAGGTGGGGAGTGGGTGGGAGTTGAGAACACAGAGAGGGAAGGTGAAGGTGAGTAGGAGAGTCCTGGGGCCAGGGAGCCAAGAGGAAGGGCTGCCCTTTGGGGTGGACAGGCAGAGGGACTGGAAGCCTAAATCTGGAAGGCTAGGGGGTGATCCGCACAAGGATGGATGAGTGGGCGCACAGCTCCATTCACCTGCGGGGAGACCCAGCGCCGCGGCCGTGTCCTCAGCCCCGTCCTCCTCTTCACAGGGTCTCCCGTCTCCCACCCGCCGGAGATGGAGGCGAACCCAGCGGGCAGCGGCGCCGGGGGTGGCGGGAGCAGCGGCATCGGGGGCGAGGACGGGGTGCACTTCCAGAGCTACCCCTTCGACTTCCTGGAATTCCTCAACCACCAGCGCTTCGAGCCCATGGAACTGTATGGGGAACACGCCAAGGCGGTGGCGGCCCTGCCCTGCGCCCCCGGCCCCCCGCCGCAGCCCCCGCCGCAGCCCCCTCCCCCGCAGTATGACTACCCGCCCCAGTCCACCTTCAAGCCCAAGGCGGAGGTGCCCTCCTCGTCCTCGTCCTCGTCCTCCTCCTCCTCCTCTTCGTCCTCCTCGTCGTCATCTTCGTCCTCTTCCTCTTCCCAAGCCAAGAAGCCCGATCCGCCCCTGCCGCCCGCCTTCGGGGCGCCCCCTCCTCCCCTCTTTGACGCTGCTTTCCCCACTCCGCAGTGGGGCATCGTGGACCTCTCGGGGCACCAGCACTTGTTTGGGAACCTGAAGCGAGGAGGGCCCGCGTCCGGGCCGGGGGTGACGCCTGGGCTGGGCGCTCCCGCGGGGGCCCCAGGGCCGCTTCCTGCCCCCTCGCAGACCCCGCCAGGACCCCCCGCGGCGGCGGCCTGCGACCCCACCAAGGACGACAAGGGCTACTTCCGGAGACTGAAGTACCTGATGGAGCGGCGCTTCCCCTGCGGCGTGTGCCAGAAGTCCTTCAAGCAGTCCTCGCACCTGGTCCAGCACATGCTGGTGCACTCGGGGGAGAGGCCCTACGAATGCGGCGTCTGCGGCCGCACCTACAACCACGTGTCCAGCCTCATCCGCCACCGCCGCTGCCACAAGGACGTGCCACCGGCCGCGGGGGGCCCGCCCCAGCCCGGCCCCCACCTCCCGCCGCTGGGCCTCCCAGCACCCGCTGCCAGCGCCGCCACCGCCGCCGCCCCCTCCACGGTGTCCTCGGGCCCTCCAGCCACGCCCGTGGCGCCTGCCCCCTCCGCAGACGGGAGCGCCGCCCCTGCTGGTGTTGGGGTGCCCCCTCCTGCCACCGGGGGTGGCGATGGCCCGTTCGCCTGCCCACTCTGCTGGAAGGTTTTCAAGAAGCCCAGTCACCTCCACCAGCACCAGATCATCCACACGGGCGAGAAGCCCTTCTCCTGCTCCGTGTGCAGCAAAAGCTTCAACCGCAGGGAGAGTCTGAAGCGCCACGTGAAGACGCACTCGGCCGACCTCCTGCGCCTGCCCTGCGGCATCTGCGGGAAGGCCTTCCGCGACGCCTCCTACCTCCTCAAGCACCAGGCGGCCCACGCGGGGGCGGGCGCCGGGGGGCCTCGGCCCGTGTACCCCTGCGACCTGTGCGGCAAGTCCTACTCGGCTCCGCAGAGCCTGCTCCGCCACAAGGCCGCCCACGCCCCGCCCGCTGCCGCTGCGGAGGCGCCCAAGGACGGGGCGGCCTCGGCCCCGCAGCCCCCGCCCACCTTCCCCCCGGGCCCGTACCTCCTGCCCCCCGACCCTCCCACCACAGACAGCGAGAAGGCGGCGGCGGCCGCGGCGGCGGTGGTGTACGGCGCTGTGCCCGTCCCGCTCCTGGGCGCCCACCCGCTGCTGCTCGGCGGCGCGGGGACCAGCGGGGCGGGAGGCTCGGGCGCCAGCGTCCCAGGAAAGACGTTCTGCTGCGGCATCTGCGGGCGCGGCTTCGGGCGCCGCGAGACCCTGAAGCGCCATGAGCGCATCCACACGGGCGAGAAGCCCCACCAGTGCCCCGTGTGTGGGAAGCGCTTCCGCGAATCCTTCCACTTGAGCAAGCATCACGTGGTGCACACGCGCGAGCGGCCCTACAAGTGCGAGCTCTGCGGCAAGGTCTTCGGCTACCCGCAGAGCCTCACCCGCCACCGCCAGGTGCACCGGCTCCAGCTGCCCTGCGCCCTGGCCGGGGCAGCCGGCCTCCCCTCCACCCAAGGCACACCGGGGGCCTGTGGGCCCGGGGCCTCGGGCACGTCTGCAGGGCCCACCGATGGGCTGAGCTACGCCTGCTCGGACTGCGGCGAGCACTTCCCGGATCTCTTTCACGTCATGAGTCACAAGGAGGTCCACATGGCAGAGAAGCCATACGGCTGCGACGCCTGCGGCAAGACCTTCGGCTTCATCGAGAACCTCATGTGGCACAAGCTGGTCCACCAGGCCGCCCCCGAGCGCCTGCTCCCGCCCGCACCCGGCGGCCTGCAGCCCCCGGACGGCTCCAGCGGCACGGATGCGGCCAGCGTGCTGGACAACGGGCTGGCGGGGGAGGTGGGGGCGGCCGTGGCGGCACTGGCAGGGGTGTCTGGGGGTGAGGACGCAGGCGGGGCGGCGGTGGCAGGTGCTGGCGGGGGTGCCAGTTCCGGCCCCGAGCGCTTCAGCTGTGCCACGTGCGGCCAGAGTTTCAAGCACTTCCTGGGCCTCGTGACTCACAAGTACGTGCACCTGGTGCGACGGACCCTGGGCTGCGGCCTCTGCGGCCAGAGCTTCGCGGGCGCCTACGACTTGCTCCTACACCGCCGCAGCCATCGGCAGAAGCGGGGTTTCCGCTGCCCGGTGTGCGGGAAGCGCTTCTGGGAGGCGGCCCTGCTGATGCGCCACCAGCGCTGCCACACGGAACAGCGGCCGTACCGATGTGGCGTGTGCGGCCGAGGCTTCCTGCGCTCCTGGTACCTGCGGCAGCACCGCGTGGTGCACACTGGCGAGCGGGCCTTCAAGTGCGGCGTGTGCGCCAAGCGCTTCGCGCAGTCGTCCAGCCTGGCAGAGCACCGGCGGCTGCACGCTGTGGCCCGGCCCCAGCGCTGCAGCGCCTGTGGCAAGACCTTCCGCTACCGCTCCAACCTGCTGGAGCACCAGCGGCTGCACCTGGGCGAGCGCGCCTACCGCTGTGAGCACTGCGGCAAGGGCTTCTTCTACCTGAGCTCCGTGCTGCGCCACCAGCGCGCCCATGAGCCGCCGCGGCCCGAGCTCCGCTGCCCCGCCTGCCTCAAGGCCTTCAAGGATCCCGGCTACTTCCGTAAGCACCTGGCTGCCCACCAGGGCGGCCGGCCCTTCCGCTGCTCCTCCTGCGGCGAGGGCTTCGCCAACACCTACGGCCTCAAGAAACACCGCCTGGCGCACAAGGCCGAGAACCTCGGGGGGCCTGGAGCAGGGGCGGGCACCTTGGCCGGGAAGGATGCCTGACCGAGGGGTTCCCATCCCACTCCCATCAAAAGCCCCCTTCTGGACTCCCACCTCCCAGGACTGATCAGACTCTTCCCCCCTCCTCGCTGTTGCCCCATCCTTCAGAACTTCACACGGACTGGCGACCTTCAGGGCGCACGCCCGACAGGCTCAAGACTGAATCACTCCCATCCTCGACCTCTCTGCCCTCCCCTCATCCCATCAGACACTGAACCCTATCCTCCGTCCAACCCTCGTTTGTGACCCGCATCAGCCCCCGCCCCAGCAGCACTCTGCCCCCAGTAAGTTTTGGCGGAGATGGGTCTGAACCGCCCCTCCCCCTCCTTTGGAATCTGGCTGGACAGTGGAGTATGAGCAGAGTTGGGAGGGCACAAGGGAGTGCTGGGTGCTTTTTGGGGTGGGGGGGTGGGGGGCGGGGTGGCAGACGCGGCTTGTACAGAGCGGAGAATAATAAATCTTACCATGAGGGCCGCTGGAGTCCATCCTTGCATCCCACCCAGGGAGAGTGGGGATCACATGGTGGCAAAGCACAAAGTTAAAACTTGTTTCCTCTGCAGTTTTGATGCCGGGCGCCTCTGTCTCTCACTCACTCTCATTCAACAGGGACTTACTGAGGATTTGCTGTATTCCCAGCGTTAGTCTGAGCTGGGCAAATGGAGATGGACAAGACAGGTAAGTGTCTGCTCTCAGGAACTGACTTAACATGCCCCGACTCTTCCCCTTCCGGATGCTTTCAGCCTTTGTTCACTCCACCACCACTTCCGGAGACCTCCTGCCTGCCAGGCCCTGAGCTGGGCACTGGGGAAACAGATGAATTGGACGTGCCCCTTGGCCTCAAGTAACACAAAAGAGAACTCCCATCCGGCTGCCGTGGCTGCCTCACAACCATGTGCAGACTGATGGTCATGATACAGCTCCCTCTTAGCACTTGTCCTCCAGGGTAATGATTGGGAGATTCAAAAGCCCGTTCACAGCTCTCATGTTGGCTCTGGGAACAGCAAGATGTATGCCTGGCAATGTGTGTTTAGTTATCTCATTTGTTAGAAGAAGGGCCTGGGGTCCTGAAGAACAAAGGTGCTCCAGGGACATCTCAAAAATCCACAGAATTTGGACTCCAGGCCAGGCATGGTGGTTCACGCCTGTAATCCCAGCACTTTGGGAGGCCGAGGCGGGCAGATCACTTGAGGTCAGGCGTTTGAGACCAGCCTGGCCAAAGTGGTGAAACCCCATCTCTACTAAGAATACAAAACTTAGCTGGACATGGTGGTGGGCATCTGTAATCCCAGCTACTCAGGAGGCTGAGGCAGGAGAATCACTTGAACTCAGGAGGCAGAGATTGCAGTGAGCTGAGATCGCACCACTGCATCCAGCCTGGGTGACAGAGTGAGACTCCATCTCAACAAATAAATAATTTGGACTTCAGTCCCAGAGTACTTCAGTACAGAAACTTGAAGATGAGGCCAGGTGCAGTGGCTCATGCCTGTAATCCCAGTACTTTGGGAGCCCAAGGCGAGCAGATCACCTGAGGTCAGGAGTTCGAGACCAGTCTGGCCAACATGGTGAACCATCCTTTCTACTAAAAGTACAAAAATTAGCTGGGCGTGATGGCAGGTGCCTGTAATCCCAGCTACTCGGGAGGCTGAGGCAGGAGAATCACTTGAACCCAGGAGGTGGAGGTTGCAGTGAGCTGAGATTGCGCCACTGCACTCCGGCCTAGGCGACAAGAGCGAGATTCCATCTCAAAAAAAAAAAAAAAAAAAAAAAAGGAAAAAAAGAAACTTGAAGATGAAACTAGGTAAGAGCGCTGCTTGGGTGAGTCCTGTGTGACCCATGGGAGAGCAGCTACCCTGTGTGGCTCCATGTTCTAATGCTGAAGACCCAGCATGAGACAGACGTTGTGCCAGTGCCCCCAGGGTTCAGGGTTCAGCAGTAACATGGAAATGGAGCCTCACAGTGTAAGGGACTTGGAAGTATCACTAGGGCTTGAGGGAGCACAGAGGAGTCACCTGTCAGAGTGGAAGGGGGGCTAGAAAAGCTTCTTGGGGAGAAGGTGATCCCTGAACGATGACATAAACCAACTGGAGTTTTCCAGGTAAAGAAGTGGCAAAGAGGCCGGGCACGGTGGCTCATGCCTGTAATCCTAGCACTTTGGGAGGCCGAGGCAGGTGGATCACGAGGTCAGGAGCTCCAGACCATCCTGGCTAACACGGTGAAACCCTGTCTCTACTAAAAATACAAAAAATCAGCCGGGTGTGGTGGTGGGAGCAGGTGGCAGGCGCCTGTAGTCCCAGCTACACGGGAGGCTGAGGCAGGAGAATGGCATGAACCCAGAAGGCGGAGCTTGCAGTGAGCCGAGATCATGCCACTGCACTCCATCCTGGGCGACAGAGCAAGGCTCTGTCTCAAAAAAATAAATAAATAAGAAAAAAAAAAAAAAAAAGAAGTGGCAAAGATTTCCAGGCGGAGAGTTTAGTGTGTTGAACTAAACCCTGCTATTCTGGAGCATTTAAGACAGATTAGTATGGCTGGAGGTTGGGTTCCTGGGGGCTAAACCCTGAAGGGTCTTGAATTCCAAACTGTGGGGCTTGGGTGATTTTATAGGCTAGAGGCTGGAAACTGGCAGCTGCAAGGCCGAATATGACCACTAACACATTTTTGTTTAGTCTGTGCATTTTTTAAAAAGTTTGACTTGACTGCCAACATTGGGAAATCAAAAGATTTTACATAATGTGAACTAATGGAACTTCTGAAAGAAACTGGAAGATGTGGCAACCCAATCTGTGTTCCGGAGCTGAGCAGCCATTACCCTCTTCTGAAGAGGCACTCTCCAATTTGTTGAATACCAATTCTGAGACCTGGTGGCAATCGCCATTATTTCATGTTGCTGATATTTTCCCCTTGAACCTGGCCGTCTTGCTCGTGTATTTACATTTTCACCCAGCTCCTGTAGGCATTCACATTTCCAAATCGTCTCAAAGCCACAAGGAGCTGTGTCTTGGTGACAAGGATCTGCATGGATGCCATATGGAGAATGAAGAGGGCAGGTGGCCGGGTGCAGTGGCTCACGCCTGTAATCCCAACACTTTGGGAGGCCGAGGCGAGTAGATCACCTGAGGTAAGGAATTTGAGACCAGCCTGGCCAACATGATGAAACCCCATCTCTACTAAAAATACAAAAATGAACTGAGCGTGATGGCGCCCACCTGTAATCCTAGCTACTCAGGAGGCTGAGGCAGAAGTGCTTGAATCCAGGAGGCAGAGGTTGCAGTGAGCAGAGATTGTGCCATTGGACTCCAGCCTGGGCAACAAGAGCAAAACTCCATCTCAAAAAAAAAAAAAAAAAAAAAAAAAAAAAAAAAAAAAAAAAAAAATGCAGGCACTGGACTGCTGTGCAGTTGTCTGTGTGTGAGACCACTGTTGGTCTACAAGTGTAGTGATGCCGAAAACACGTTCCAGTTCCAAAGATATTAACTGGCTCAACTGAGGGAAACTGATAAGGGACTGGACATAAGAATGAGGATGAAGAAGGTTTAAACCTGCCCAGGTATCCAGCTTGGGTGGTGGTGCCAATGACATCAGAAGCATGGAGGTTTCTTTGAGGAAAATGGAATGAGTTCTGTTCACATTGTGAGTTGCCTGTGAGTTATCTCATGGGGCCCACTGGGTGAACAGAAAGGTGTGCAAATCAGAGGCTCTCACTCAACAAGCATGCAAAGCATGTTGAGTGTGCTTTTGCCAAACTTCCCTGACCCCCCTCTCCTACAGCTGAACCACATAACACGTAACCACAGTGGGGCCTACTCACCCCCCATTCTGATGATGGGGAAACAGAAGCTTGGAGGAAGAGATGATGCAACTGACTGCTGGTGGCAAAACCATGGTGAGGCCCCTCCTCCCCCAACTCCCCAAAGCGGACAATCCGAATACAAGACCGACAGAGAAGCCCTTCAGAAGGTCCTTTAATAGGAACAGAACTGAAGGTGTCACACCTCCAGCTCCCAAGTCCTCCTCTCGCCCCCACCACAGTGACTCTTTCACTCCACACCCAGGCCAGCCCACCATGCTGCCATCAGCCAGCCCGCCCTTGGGATTGGCGGGGACTAGGCAGTAAGCTGTTTGCTTCGAACTGGGAGTGGAGGAAATTAGAGAAACCTGAGGCTACCTTGAGGCTTGTGGGGGACCCTGGGCTCTGAGTCTAAAGCTTTAGGAGGGGGATGCTAGGTAGCTGCTTGCTTTATGTGTTCTCAGTTGCCTCCGAAGAAGAGTGGATGGGTTAAGGACGGACCACAATGGGGGTGGGGGTTGCCGCTGTTGGAGTCAAGATCCTATGGTCAGGCTTACATCCTTGAGGCTCAAGTGCTCTCAGCGGTGACTTGGGGACCCTCTGGCTTTGAGGTGATGGGATCCCAGAGTCTCTTCACAGATAACCTGGTGAGTGTCTTCTGCCAGAGGGTGGATAGGCATCCCAGGTCCAGTGCAATGCAGTGAGGTAGGCAGGAGACTCCATCCTGGTCCACCCGTGGAGGACCAGAGCAGAAGACTATGGTGGACCCCAATTCCCCCCTTCCATTCGATCCTGGCTCCTCCTCTGAAGTGCCCAGGCTCTGTCGTGACAGGCTGGGTCTTGCACAAGGACAAGCCAACCAAGAGACAGTCGGGGAAGTGACATCCAGCCCGTGGGCCTTGCCTTTGGCCGCACACCCGCAGAGCTGCAAGAGCTGCACCTGTCCTCTCCTAGGCCTGGCAGAGGTGCTGTGTGGGCGTGTGGGAGTCTGGAGCCTGGCCCTCTCCCTCTGCTCTCCATCACTAGCGGCTCACAACCATCCCTGCAGCTGTCATCTCTCCCCCAATCTCCCCTCTTCTGTCCCCTGCCTCCGTTTCCCCACCCCGTCCCCCTCCCCGGGTCGGCCTCGTACCTCCGCCTTAACTAACCCATGTCCCTGGTCTGCAGCCTACTGGTCGGCCTCCACCTTCACCTTCGCGGTCTCCCCCCGCCCCTCCTCCGCAGGGTCCCCTACCCCACACCCGCTCCCCGACCCCTCAGCCGCCGACGAGCCCAGCTGGCCTCCAGAGTCTCCCAGCCCCGGCCCCGGCCCGTGGAAGTGGGTGCGCTGGTGCTTGCGGAAGTTGGAGGAGTTGTTGAAGGTGCGGTCGCAGAGCGTGCAGCGGAACGGGCGCTCGCCAGTGTGGATGCGGGCGTGGCCGCTAAGCACCGAGGACTGGGTGAAGCCCTTGCCGCAGATGCCGCAATGGTATGGCCGCTCGCCAGTGTGCACGCGCTCGTGGTCTCGCATGTCTGAGGAGCGGCGGAAGGGCTTGGCGCAGAACCTGCAGGCAAAAGGCTTCCCCACCGCTGCGCCCGCCGCCGCCGCCGCCATCACCACCTCCGCCCTCTCCGGGGCCACCCCGGGCCTCTGTTCTGCAACGGCCGCTGTGTCCGGAGGCCTCCGAGAGGTGCCCGGCTCCACCCCGTGCCGGTGCTGGTGCCGGAGCAGGGGCGCCAAGGCCTTGAAGGCGCGGGGGCAGAGCGCGCAGCGGTAGGGCCGCTCCCCCGTGTGCAAGCTGTAGTGCGCGCGCAGGCTGGCGGGGCCCGGGCAGCTGTGGCCGCACACGTGGCACCGGCTCGGGTCCCCACCCTGCCCGCCTCCCTCGGCCCCAGCCAAGTGGCCATGTTCGTGGAACAGCAGCTCGGAAACCAGCCGGAAGGCAGCAGGGCACAAGGCACAGTGGAAAGAACCTGGCTCCGGGGGCTCAGGGACCAGCGTGGTGTCCGTCACCTTCACCACCTGGATCTCGATGAGGTCACTCGGGGGTGTGCCAGGCCGGCAGTCATCAGGCACCAGGACCTGGGCAAGAGGAGAAGAAAGAGGAGCCTGTGGAACCTGCCTCAGGACCGCCCCAGCACGCCCCAATTATTAAAGCTTGGGCTCCTCTGTTATTTTCAGACAGGGCCTCACTCTGTTGCCCTGGCGCGATCGTGGCTCATTGCAACCTTGACCTCCTGGGCTCAAGCGATCCTCCCACTTCATCTCCCTGAGTAGCTGGGATTACAGGCATGCACCACCACATCCAGCTAGTTAAAAAAAAATTATTTCTGGCTGGGCACGGTGGCTCAGGCCTGTAATACCAGCACATTGGGAGGCTGAGGTAGGCAGATCACCTGAGGTCAGGAGTTCGAAACCAGCCTGGCCAACATGGCAAATACCGTTTCTACTAAAAATGCAAAAATTAGCCAGGTGTTGTGGCTGCTGCCTGTAATCCCAGCTACTCGGGAGACTAAGACACGAGAATCGCTTGAACCCAGGAGGTGGAGGTTGCAGTGAGATGTGATCATGCCACTGCCCTCCAGCTCAGGCGACAGAACAAGACTCCATCTTAGACAGCAAAACAAACAAAAATTATTATTATTATTTTTAATGTAGAGGGAGTCCCACTATGTTGCCCAGGCTGGTCTCCAACTACTGGGCTCAAGAGATCCTTCTGGCTCTGCCTCCTAAAGTGCTGGGATTGCAGGCGTGAGCCGCCGCGCCCGGCCCATCCTCCAGGATTCTGTTGTATCCTCATCAACATTTCCTCTCCTGTCCAAAATATATCATGGATCCCACCTTTTGTCCTCCACCCTAGTTAAAGCCCCATCACTTGGCGCCTCCAAAATTGAAAAACCCAAGGGCATCTCTGTTCCTATTTCTGCTGGCTTGTAACCCACCTCCCAGGAATAGCCTGAAGGTCTTTTGAAAATGTAAATCAGATCAAGTCATTTTTCGCACTCAAAACCCTCCAGTGGCTCCAAATGACTTATCCCAAATCGTCACTATAATATCTGTGGCGATGTAGCTCCACTTATCTCTCTGACCCCAGCTTAAACATAAGCCGGCACCCAGCTGACTTCTCTCGTCTAAATTTAGCTGCCCCACCCCTACTCTTGGCTCAATTTATAGAAATTGGCTCAATTTTTATTTCCTTTATAGAACATATCACAGTAACTCTCCTTTATTGTCTCTCTCCTCTCAAGAGACTGCAGGCTCCAAAAGAACACAACCCTTGTCTGTCTTGGTCACTTCTCTATTTACAGAGCCGAAGTAGGAGCTCAGTAAATGTTTGTTGAATGAATGAATGTCCTCAATTAGTCTAATTCTGAGTGGGGTAACGTGGAGGAAGTTCCAAAGTCACCTAGACCACCCACTTCTACCCCCAAATTCTCCCTTGGGCATTCGAGAAGCATCACTAAGACCCTTGAAGAATTATCCCCTACCCCGACATAGGTGCTCCAATCATAATCCCCCACGTTTTTCAGGGTCACCTTCCCAACCTTCTACCCTAGAATTAGCCCTAGAATTTATGAGGCCCCGCCCCTTACAAGGCTCCACCCAAATTATGCAAATTATCCCTGGTAAGCCCCCTTCCCTGGACCCAAACCCGTCCCACAAGACAACACCGTCCTCAGACTCCGCCCCCATCCAGGCCCCGCCCACCACCCATAGGTCCCTCCCCCACCCCGCCCACCATGACATAGTCTCCTCCCCTGCCCCGCCCCTCGCGAAACCACAAGAAGCCCCACCCCCAGGGCCATAGCACTAAATACCTCCCTCGCCCACCCCCTCATAGGCCACGCCCCGGACCCGCCCCCCACACTACGACCTCCTCCCACCTCGAGCCCCACGCCCAGGCCCCTTCCTTGCCCGCACCAGGTCCAGTGGCTCCTGGGATCGCGACTCCGGAGTCGGTGAGCTCCGACTCTGGGCCTCTGGGCGCGCAGCGGCCATCTTGTGCCCAAGCCCCGCCCCCAAGGCCAATGTTCGCTCTGAAAGGGGGTGGGGCTCGAACTGGCGTAAGAGCTACTGCGCAGGCGCAGTGCGGGGCTGCGAGGGGGCGTGGTGCAGCAGGGGGCGTGGCGGGGCGGGGCGTGGCGGCTGAGCCCGGGAGAATGTGAGTTGTTCCCTCTCTAATTACCTGTCTGTCCCTCCGAGGGTACGCTCTGTGTGGCGCTAGGATGCCTGTAACACCCTGGGAACAAATCCGAACGTTCCTTCTAAACCAACGCAGGCCGACTCGAGGCTCTGGCTGTCAGGGGAACCTCAGCAGAACTGAAGAAGCTTTGCTTTGTTTCCACGGTAAACGTTTTTGTGATTACCTCTGCACTGCTCATGACAACGTAATGACGCCAAGTTTATAAACGTCGGTGTAGGCCGGGTGCGGTGGCTCATGCCTGTATTCTCAGCTACTCGGGAGGCTGAGGTGGGAGGATCGCTTGAGGCCGGGAGGTCGAGGCTGCAGTGAGCCATGATCTCGCCACTGCATGCAGCCTGAGTGACAGAGACTCTGTCAAAAAAAAAAAAAAAAAAGGCAGTGTGGAGAAAAATATTCAGTAAACAGCAACACAGGTGGTCCTGGGAGGACGCAAAAACCCGCAAGCTGATGTTATGTTTGGGAGGAAAGAGCTCAAAAACGCGGGGTTTTCAGCAGCATCAAGGACGGGGCTCTTCTTAGCTGCCCCGTTTAGTCATTCTGGTGGTATCACCTTGGATAAGTCACTACACTTCTCTGGACCATTTCTCTTTCTTTTGTGTAGCACTGTAGAAGCATTGTGACAAACCACTGAGAAGAGACATGGAAGAGTTTGGAAACATCTTTAAATAGTTTTCTTGAAAGGGCAGGATAGGAGATACTTAAACATGATCCTAAGCATGATCATTTCATTCATAAATATATATGAAATTATATTTTGTGATATGTTGGTATAAAATAAAGATAAACACCACTTAGGCTGAATTATCTCCTCCTCCTCCTTTCTTCTTCTTTTATAGAGATGGGGATCTTGCTGTCTTGCCTTGCCCAGGCTGGTCTTGAACTCCTAGCCTTAAGCGATCCTTCTGCCTTGGTCTTCCAAAGCTATATTTCCCTTCTTTTCTTTTGATTTTAAAATAATTTTTTTTTTTTTGAGATGGAGTCTCACTCTGTCGCCCAGGCTGGAGTGCAGTGGCATGATCATGGCTCACTGCAACCTCTGCCTCCCGGGCTCAAGCGATTCTCCTGCCTCAGCCTCTTGAGTAGCTGGGATTACAGGTGCCCGCCACCATGCCCGGCTAATTTTTGTATTTTTAGTATATACAGGGTCTCACCATGTTGGCCAGGCTGGTCTCGAACTCCTGACCTCAGGTGATCCGCCCACCTCGGCCTCCCAAAGTGCTGGGATTACAGGTGTGAGCCACTGCGCCCGGCCTAAAATAAATTTTTAAATGTTGTGGGTCCCTAAGAGTATCATGGGCCCTAGGCACTGTATCTACTACTGTGTCTAATGCTTAAGTCAGCTCTTTCTGTCCAGGTTTCCTAATTTGCAAAATGAGGGTGATAATAAAACCTACTTTACACAGTTGCTATGATGATTAAAGAAGTCATTATATATAAAGTATTTTGGACAATGTATGGCACACAGCAGGTGCTATGAGTTAGCTATAATAATTACTACCATTTGGCACTCCCACTAGCAATAAATAGGGACCTTTGTTGCTTAACATTCCTATCAATATCTGATACTCAAACTTTAAAATGTTCGCTAATCTCTTGGGTGTGAAATAATTTCATTTCTTTTCTTTTTTTTGAGAAACAGCCCAGGCTGGAGTGCAGTGGCGTGATCTCAGCTCACTGCAACCTCCACCTCCTTGGTTCAAACAAATTTCCTGCCTCAGCTTCCCAAGTAGCTGGGACTACAGGTGTGACACGTCATTACGTTATCGCAAGTGGTGCAGAGGTAACCACAAAAACCTTTACTGTGGAAACAAAGCAAAGCCTCTTCAGTTCCGCTGAGGTCTTCCACTGACTGCTAGAGCCTCGAGTCGGCCTGCGTTGGTTTAGAAGGAACGTTCGGATTTGTTCCCAGGGTGTTACAGCCCAGCTGATTTTTGTATTTTTGTTTTGTTTTGTTTTTTGTTTTTAGTAGAGACAGGGTTTCACCATATGTTGGCCAGGCAGGTCTCAAACTCCTGACCTCAGCTGATCGGCCCGCCTCGGCCTCCCAAAGTGCTGGGATTACAGGCATGAGCCACTGCGCCTGGTCTATTTCTTATTGAGAAGCTCTTTATTAAAAGAGATCATTCATAGCACCCAGAACTCATCCTCCAGTTTCCCTTTTTTGAGAGCTGGAAGTATGTCATCTCTGTATCCCCTCTGTACATCCCTATAGAGAAGGCATGTATATGGCTCAGTGAGTGTTTGGTGAATGAATGAGTGAGAAATTGAATTCATGCAGATAGAAGAACTTTGTACCAGAGCTTAAGGCTATTGAGTATTTTTTCCCTTTTTTTTCCTCCCCACCCCCACTAAAGCTATTAAATATTTGCAGAGGAGAGCACTGTTTAGTGGAATTACCATAAGCTTTCAAATCAGGCAAACCTGGGTCCAGATCCGTTTATCTGCTTGCTGTGCAACTCTGGGCAAGCAATGTCTCCTCTAAGTGTCTAGCTGACATCTACAAAGTGGGCACCATAATGTCATTTGGCAGGGTTGTAGTTAGAATGCCACTGATTGAGAATGCCAAAGGTCTGTGTGATGCCTGGAACCAACTGGTGCTCAATAAATGTGGGTTCTGCCTGGGCTTGGTATTCTCTACTAAGAATACAAAAATTAACATGCACAGTGGAGCACGCCTGTAGTCCCAGGAACTTGGGGAGCTGAGGCAGGAGGATTGCTTGAGCTTGGGAAGTTGAGGCTGCAGTGAGCCAAGATCACACCACTGCACTCTGGCCTGGGTGATAAAGTGAGACCCTGTCTCAACAAATAAATAAACATAAAATAAAATAAATATAAAATTTTAAAATTTAAAAATGAATCTGGGTTCCTTGCCTTTTCACCTGTTGTCTGGCTTCTGAGTCCCTCGGTACCTGGCATAACACTAACAGGCTATTGCATGACTTGAGGCTAGAAGCCCTGCTACACGGAGCCATTAGACAATTGCAAGAAGATTTTAGCCGGGCGTGGTGGTGGGCGCCTGTAATCCCAGCTACTCGGGAGGATGAGGCAGGAGAATTGCTTGAACTGGAGAGGCGGAGGTTGCGGTGAGCCAAGATTGCACCACTGCACTCCAGCCTGGGAGACAGAGCAAGACTCCATCTTAAAATAAAAAAATAAAAAAATAAAAGAAAATGCCAGGAAGAGTCTTGGACTTGGAATCAGATTTGCCTCGCTTCTCTCCATCTCTATCTTCCTGTAAAACCTGAGCACTTCACTTCTCCTCACGGAGCCTAGATTTCCTGCCTTTTAAAAGAAATTGGCTGATAGAATTAGCTAGATGGCTCTGCAGTTCCTCTCCCTTTCATTTTTCTATGTGCCCAAGAAAACTGAAAATATACATTCACACAGAAACTTGTAAACAAATGCTATTCATAACAGCCAAAAAGCAGAAACAGCCCAGATGTCCATAAACATAAACAACATGTGGTATATCCATAGAGTGGAATATTATTTGGCCATAAATGAATAAAATACTGATCCACATGACAACATGGATGAACCTTTAAAGCATTATGCTAACTTAGAGGCTGGGAAGGGTGTGTGGTGGAAGGAGGGATGAATGAAGGTTGGTTAATGGGTACCAACATAGTTACAGAGAAGACATACTTTTTTTTTTTTTTTTTTGAGATGGAGTTTCGCTCTTGTTGCCCAGGCCGGAGTGCAGTGGCTCGATCGCGGTTCACTGCAACCTCTGCCTCCCGGGTTCAAGCGATTCTCCTGCCTCAGCCTCCTGAGTAGCTGGGATTATAGGTGCCCACCACCACGCCCAGCTAATTTTTGTGTTTTTAGTAGAGATGGGGTTTCACCATGTTGGCCAGGCTGGTCTAGAACTCCTGACCTGGTGATCTACCCGCCTTGGCCTCCCAAAGTCCTGGGATTACAGGTGTGAGCCACCACGCCCAGTCCGTGTATTTCAAAGTAGCTAGGAGAGAGCACTTGCAATGTTCCCAACACATAGAAATGATAAACACTCAAGATGGTGGTTACCCCAAATGCCCCGATTTGATTTGATCATTACACATTCTATGCGTGTAACAAATACATGTACCCCAAACTCTGTAAAATATTATGTGTCAATAAAATAAAATTTAAAAATATATTAAGTGAAAGAAGCCAGGCACAAAGGACCACATATTATTAAGATTCTATTAACACCAGAATAGGGAAATCTATAGAGGCAGAGTGTAGCTTTGTGGTTCCTTAGGTTGGGTGGGGATAGAGAGTTGGGGGGAAGGAAGAATAGAGGAGTGATACCTAAAGGGCATGGGATCTCTTTTTGAGGTGATGAAAGTGTTCTAACGTTGACTATCATGATATGTGCACACAACTATGAATATACTGACTATTGAATTATACACTTTAAATGGGTGAATTGGGTGGGGTTCAGTGGCTTCCGCCTCTAATTCTAGCACTTTAGGAGGCAGAGGCAGGAGGATCCCTTGAGCCCAGCAGTTCCAGACCAGCCTGGGCAACACATCATGACAGCCATCTCTACCAAAAACCAAACAAACAAACAAAAACAAAAAACAAAAACAAAAAAAGCCCGGTGTAGTGGTGCATGCCTGTAGTCCCAGCTACTTAGCAGGCTGAGGTGGGAGGATTTCCTGAGCCCAGGCGGTTGAGGCTGCAGTGAGCCATGACCGTGCCATTGCAATCCAGCCTGGGCAACAGAGTGAGACTCCGTCTCAAAAAAACTACAAAGAGGCCAGGCGCGGTGGTTCACGCCTGTAATCCCAGCAGTTTGGGAGGCCAAGGCAGGAGGATCACCTGCGGTCAGGAGTTGGAGACCAGCCTGGCCAACATGGTGAAACCCCGTCTCCACTACAAATACAAAAATTAGCTGGGCCTGTAATCGCAGCTACTCCGGAGGCTGAGGCAGGAGAATCGCTTGAACCCAAGAGACAGAGGTTGCAGTGAGCCGAGATCGTGCCAGTGCATTCCAGCCTGGGCACAGAGCAAGAATATGTCTCAAAAACACACATACACACACACACACACACACACACACACACACACACACCTCTAAATGGCGAATTATATATGTAGTGATATGTGAATTACACCTCAATAAAGCAGTTTAAAAAAATAATCGGCTGAACATGATGACCTTTCAGGATCAAACTGCAGATGATATTTAAAAACTATAAACCTGGTATGGTAGGTATATGGATGTTTACTATGCAATTTTATTTTTATTTTTATTTTTTAGGCAGAGTCTTGCTCTGTCTCCCAGGCTGGAGTGCAGTGGCGCAATCTCGGCTCACTGCAAGCTCTGCCCCCAGGGTTCACACCATTCCCCTGCCTCAGCCACCCGAGTAGCTGGGACTACAGGCACCCGCCACCACGCCCGGCTGATTTTTCGTATTTTTAGTAAAGACGGGGTTTCACTGTGTTAGCCAGAATGGTCTCGATCTCCTGACCTCGTGATCTGCCCGCCTCGGCATCCCAAAGTGCTGGGATTACAGGCGTGAGCCACCGCGCCGGGCCAGTTTGTTTGTTTTTTGACAGAAAGTCTCACTCTGTCGCCCAGGCTGGAGTGCAGTGGCATGATCTTGGCTCACTGCAGCCTCTACCTCTTGGGCTCAAGCGAGTTTCCTGCCTCAGCCTCCCAAGTAGCTGGGAATACAGGCGCCTGCCACCACGCCCGGCTAATTTTTGTATTTGTAGTAGAGACAGAGTTTCACCATGTTGGCCAGGATGGTCTCGAATTCCTGACCTCAAGTGATCCGCCTGCCTCGGCCCCCCAAAGTGCTGGGATTACAGGCATGAGCTGCTGTGCCCGGCCCCTTTTTCTTTTTCCTTCTTTCTTTCTTTTTCTTTTTTTTTTTTTCTGAGACAGAATCTTGCTCTGTCGCCCAGGCTGGAGTGCAGTGGCGCAATCTCGGCTCACTGCAAGCTCTGTCTTCCCGGGTTCACGCCATTCTCCTGCCTCAGCCTCCCGAGTTGCTGGAACTACAGGCACCCGCCACCTCGCCTGGCTATTTTTTTTTTTTTTTTTTTTGGTATTTTTAGTAGAGACAGGGTTTCACCGTGTTAGCCAGGATGGTCTCGATCTCCTGACGTCGTGATCCGCCCGCCTCGGCCTCCCAAAGTTCTGGGATTACAGGCGTGAGCCACCACGCCCGGTCTCTTTTTCTTTCTTTCTTTGTTTCTTTCTTTCTTTCTTTTTTTTTTTTTTTTGAGATGGGGTCTTGCTTTGTCATCCAGGCTGGAGTGCAGTGGCACAATCATAGCTCACTGCAGCCTCGACCTCCTGGGCTCAAGTGATCCTCCCACCTCAGCTTCCTGAGTAACTTGGACTACAAGTGTTCACGCCATCATGCCCGGCTGTTTTGTATTTTTTTGTAGAGACAGGGCTTCACCATGTTGCCCAAGCTGGTCTTGAACTCCTGGGCTCAAGCAATCCTCCCGACTTGACCTCCCAAAGTGCTGGGATGACAGACGTGAGCTACCGTGTCTAGCCGCCATAATTTCTTTCTTTTTTTTTTTGAGACGGAGTCTTGCCCTGTCACCCAGGCTGGAGTGCAGTGGCGCGATCTTGGCTCACTGCAACCTCCACCTCCTGGGTTCAAGCAGTTCCCTGCCTCAGCCTCCCGAGTAGCTGGGATTACAGGCGTCTGCCACCACACCCAGCTAATTTTTGTATTTTTAGTAGAGACGGGGTTTCACCATCTTGGCCAGGCTGGGCTCAAACTCCTGACCTCCTGATCCACCCACCTCGGCCTCTCAATGTGCTGGGATTACAGGCGTGAGCCACCGCACCAGGCCTATCGCCATAATTTCATTCAACCTCTCTGGTCCTCAGTTTCCTTATCTGTGAAATGTTACTGCTGAATTTGAGAAACCAAAGGGCCTTCTTCCAAATTCTAGTCGTGAGTTACGTAAGGTTCCTTAGTGAGGCTGAACGAGTCTTTGAACTTGAGCTTCTGCAGGCTAGAGGAAACACAGTAGTCCCTACCTGCTTCTTCCAGGTTCTAAGGTGGGTGAGACATTTTGATATTTTGGTCTTTGTCGCCCCCACGAGGCCTAGGAGGGTTCCCTGTCGCAGCAGGTGTCCAATAAAGATCAATCCGCCAGGTGCGGTGGCTCAGGCCTGTAATCCCAGCACTATGGGAGGCCGAAGCGGGCGGATCACCTGAGGTCAGGAGTTCCAGACCAGCCTGATCAACATGGAGAAACCCCGTCTTTACTAAAAATACAAATTAGCCCGGAGTGGTGGCACATGCCTGTAATCCCAGCTACTCGGGAGGCTGAGGCAGGAGAATTGCTTGAGCGCGGGAGGCGGAGGTCGCGGTGAGCAGCGCTGAGATCTCGCCATTGCACTCCAGCCTGGGCAACGAGAACGAAACTCCTTCTCAAAAAAAAAAAAAAAAAAAAAAAAAAAAAGTGAGAAAGATTTACTTGCCACCTAGGGTAACTGCTGGTCTTCTTTCCCCCGTTAGTCTCGCTCAGGAGGCGGGTAATCTATTTTAACTCTGCACCTGCTGGACTTTGTGAATGGGCAGTTTACTCTCTGGTCTCAGCAGCCCCATCGATAAAATGGGAATAACTTGTCTCCTTGTCAACAGCCAGATGGTGGTGATTTGCCAAATCTAAGACATCTATTTTCTTGCCTTGTTCTTCTTTATTTTTTCCTCTCAGTTTTAAAACTGGATAGTCCCAGGACTTCTCCCAAACCAGGATGAGTTGCTCACCTATTTTGTCCTCACTTGTATCCTTAAGTCCAAACTGTCATTACCTTATTGACCACCAGGGGGTGCCCTACACACGTAGTACTGTGGTTTAAGAAGACAGCTCAGGAGGAGGCAAAGAAAGAGGGCCCAGTTCCCAGCCTTGCCCTGAGTTCCTACAAACCTTCACGAGCCTGCTCTACTTCACACAGCATCATGTCTCACACTCAGCATCCTCCTGGCCCTATGATATGAACATGTGTGTGGTCCAGTGGAAAGGTCTTTTAAGTACTCCAGCAGCCTCTGCCAACACTGGCTAACCAGCTGGGTGGACGGTCACTGCCTCTCTGCCCACTGTTCCCAACATTTCCAGGAGTTGGCCCAGCATATCCTGGCCGGCTGAGAAGGCTGAGGCCACCTACTTGATTTTATTTATTTATTTTTTGAGACAGGGTTTCACTCTTGTTGCCCAGGCTGGAGTGCAATGGTGCCATCTCGGCTTACTGCAACCTTCGCTTCTTGGGTTCAAGTACTTCTCCTGCCCCAGCCTCCTGAGTAGCTGGGATTACAGTCACACGCCACCACGCCCGGCTAATTGTGTATTTTTAGTAGAGACGGGGTTTCTCCATGTTGGTCAGGCTGGTCTCGAACTCCCGACCTCAGATGATCCTCCGCCTCAGCTTCCCAAAGTGCTGGGATTACAGGTGTGAGCCACCCCGTCCGGCCTCTTTAGGTTATCTTTAGAGCTGGATATCATTTCCCTCCATCACATAGCCTTGCAGAGGGAAGTGACATCATTGTTAACCAAAATAAGTTACTGAGGCAAGAGCCTCAATCACTCCAGAGCTTATATATCCAGAGCTTGAGGGCAGACCTGGGAAAGGCAAGAGTCACAGAAAACCTCTGTGGCTTATGGAAAGGTTTTCAGGAGGCTTAGTATTTATACATTTCCTTAAAGGAGGGAAGGCAGGTGGGAAGAGGGTGACAGATGGAAGAATGATTGAGCTCATCGTTTTTGTTCTGTACCTGGGAAGATAAGCATTATCAGTGGGAAACCTAACAGACTTTAGTTTTAGGAGCTAGACTTAGATTGCAAACCTAAAGTTACAAGGGACATGTTCTTCTTCTTATTATTATTTTTATTTGAGACAGAGTCACTCTGTCATCCACACTGGAATGCAGTGGCGCCATCTTGGCTCACTGGAACCTCCAGCTCCCAGGTTCAAGCGATTCTCCTGCCTGGGCCTCCCAAGTAGTTAGGATTACAGGTGTGCGCCACCACGCCTGACTAATTTTTTTTTTGTATTTTTTTTTTTAGTAGAGATGGGGTTTCACTATGTTGGCCAGGCTGGTCTTGAACGTCTGACCTCAGGTGATCCGCCCGCCTCGACCTCCCAAATTGTTGGGATTACAGGCGTGAGCCACAGCACTCGGCCCATGTTCTTGTTTTATGGGAGGATGGAGGACAGCAAACAACAATGTGTACTGGTGGTCACGTGGAGGTACTTGAGGCGCTTTGTTTTTCTGTGAGGGTCTGGCTAACGTGTAATGCTTTGACACAAGGTTCTGAAGCAACAGCTGTTGATCTGGGAAGCAGATAGCAGTGTTGCATAACTCAGTCTCCAGGCTTAACCTTCCCTTTGGCATAATGAATTTGGCAGCCCTGAGACTTTTAAAATAAAAGTCTTTACATCCTACTAGCCAGCTTTGACTAGCAGTGTGATCCAGGGCCAATGACTGCCCCTCTATGGCCTTGGCGTTACCACCTAACCAATAGGGATACGGTACTCCATTTTCTTGCCATGGAGCAAATCAAGAGTTAGGGCCTGACTGTCTTCAACTGTCTCATGAGTTGAAGAATTTCAGCCCTCTGCCTTTGCTCTGTAGCAACAGACAAATCACTAGACCTTTCTGATTTCAGGTCCTATTTGTAGAAAGACTTTGTACTGTCTTTCCTACTCTAGAAAGTCTTTCCTGGCCGGGTACGGTGGCACACGCCTGTAATCCCAGCACTTTGGGAGGCCGAGGTGGGTGGATCACTTGAGGTCAGGAGTTCAAGACCAGCCTGGCCAACATGGTGAAATCCCCATCTCTACTAAAAGTACAAAAATTAGCCGAGGGTGGTGGTGTGTACCTGTAATCCCAGCTACTCGGGAGGCTGAGGCAGGAGAATAGCTTGAACCCGGGAGGTGGAGGTTGCAGCGAGCCGAGATCACACACTGCACTCCAGCCTGGGCAACAGAGCGTGACTCCGTCTCAAAAAAAAAAAAAAAAAAAAAAAAGAAAGAAAAGTCCTTTTTTTTTTTTTTTTTTGACAAAAGCCATCTCTGTTGTATTCCCTCCCTCAGCATCCGGCACGGCGCCAAATAGTGATTTCATTTTAACTTTTGTGTAGTGTGTGTGTGGAGTAGCAAGGTGCGCGACGCAGGAACCTTTCTCTTGTGGGTGCGTTTCTGGCCCGAGTGCTTTCCTGCTGCTCTCCGAATCCGGAAGCTGCTGGAGAAGTCGGAGCATCCCGGAAGTCGTCACTGCGGCCGCTTCCGGACGTGAAAGTTTGCTGCGTAGGGATAGGGAGACCGGGCCGGATTGCGGGGAGTGAGCAGGTTCAGCAGTGACGGCATTCTTAAGAGTCCTGCCCAAGTGAGGGACTTGGGGTGTGGGACAGAGTGGCCCCCAGGGCAGTGGGCGTTGGAAACTGAGAGGCCCTGCGAAGGAGGCTTGGGGAGGGGCTACGGTGACCAGGGGACGAGGTATAGGAAGAGGAGGGCGGAAAGCCTTGAGGGTGGGCTTCTTGGATCCCAATTGCCCCAGAGGCACAGGCCTGGGCATCACTGTATTATTTCCCGAGGGGAGAAGGGGCTATTTCCCATGGGAAGACAAAGTGGGATGAATAGTGGACCTTGAGAAGAGGGGGTGGCCAGGAAAAGGTTCCTGAAGGAGGCAGGACCCAGACTGCAGGCTGGGGAGGGTTTGGGCAGCCAGAGGGAGGTGAGGGTGCTGGAGCGGGGGTCAATCGGTCACTCCGGCCGGAGATCTGAGTGGCCTCTGCCCCCTCTGCGCTGTGGAGTGCATCTGATTGCCAGCCTCGCTGGACCGTTGAGAGGATTCATCGAGACCCTGGATATGAATATGCAGTGTGAACTGAAGTTTGGGGACATGAGTAATCAGTCACAGTGGCCCAAGATTTGAGGTGTAAATGGAGAAGTCAGAATGATTCGCTGCAGCTGTCTGGAACAGGTTGGGTGAGGGCAAGGGTGGGAAAGGTGGCTGAGGCCAGGTTGTGAGAGGCCTTTCATGGCAGGCTGAGGGGGTTATACTATAGGGAGGATTTTAAAAAGAGGAGCTGGTGGACTGGTGAGCAGGGCATATAGGTGACACCTAGCCAACTTGAGAGGTCAGAATACATGATTCCAGAAGGCTAAGGAGAAGGCTGCCAGTAGAGGAAAGGGGAAGAATTCCCAGGGCGAGGAAAACACATAAGCCTTTGCGTGTGGAGCTGTGTAAATTCAAGGTCTGGCCAGGGGGCTGTGAGATGCCGTGTGTGCTTGGAGCACAGGAATGAGAAGTGAGGTGAGGAAGTGGCTGGGCCACCTCACAAAGGGCCTCAAATTCTAGGCTGAGAAACTCGGACTTGGTCCTGAGGGTAAAGGGGGCCGGGAGAATGTTATGCATGGTGCTGAAGTTGCATTCAACACAGCTGTGAGAAGCATCTGTCAGGGTCAGGCCAGTGTGGGAGGGGAACTGGAGGCCAGGGTACCAGATATGGTGGTCCAGGTGAGAAGGAAGGGGCCAGAACTTGGCTTGGAGAACGGAGGTCAGTGCCCTCAGGGGGTGGAGGTGATGGAACTTGGTGCTTGTCTGGCTTTGGGGAGTGAGGGAGTGGGTGGAAATGGGGACGTCCAAAGTTCTAGATGGTGTGGCAAGAATTTTGTCTAGATGGTGTGGCTTCCTCATGATCATGTCTTGGGGTTGAGCAGGGGTTCTCTTTGGTGGGGAGCTGGGTAGGGAGGTAATGCTTCACTTTTGGATGGGGCGATCAAATTCATTCATGTATTCATTCAACCAATATCGAATTGATTCCTTACCGTTTCCTGAAAGACCTTTGATAGATTCTGAGGGTAGAATGTTGACCAGGATGGAGCTGGGCCTTGGAGAGTGGGGAAGGCAGGCAGTAACACAGCAGGCAGTAGATCAACGAGGCCATATCATGGATTGTGCTGTGGGATGTGAAGGAAATGAACAGACGGAGGACGCAGAGCAGGGCACCTGGAGCTACCACGGTCACTAAAAGCTGCTATGACCAAGTGTTCTGTGAGCTGAAACCTGAAGGCCAGGAAGGAGTCACTCTTGTGAGGGGCTGAAAGGAACATCACAGAGAGGGGAGGAGCTAGCACAAAAGCTCTCCAGATGGGAGAGGCTGGTGCACTGGGCAAGGGAAAGCCAGCACCATGGTGCCCAGAAGGGAAGGCAGCTGGGGGGCCAGTCTACGCAGGGCCTTGCAGAGTGTCTGGGTTTACTCTAAGGGCAGAGGGGAAGGTTTTGATCATGACGCACTGCAGTCTGAAACTCCTGGGCTCAGGCAATCCTGTCTCAGCTTCCTGGGTAGTTGGGACTGTAGGCAGGCACCACCACCTCTGCCTAATTATTATTATCATTTTTTTTGGAGAGACAGGGTCTCAATATGTTGCTGTGTCTCAGAGGGGAAGGTTTTAAGTCAGGGAATGATTCTGTGAGCTTAAAAAATCACTTGGAAATTGCCATAGGGAAGGGAGGGAGAAGGCCAGGCATGGTGGCTCACGCCTATAATCCCAGGACTTTGGGAGGCTGAGGCAGGCGGATCGCTTGAGGCCAGGAGTTCGAGACCAGTCTGGGCAACAGGGTGAAACCCTGTCTCTTCTAAAATTACAAAAAATTAGCCGGCCATGGTGGTGCGCGCCTGTAATCCCAGCTACTCAGGAGGCTGAGGCGGGAGAATCGCTTGAACCTGGGAGGTGGAGGCTGCAGTGAGCTGAGATCGTGCCACTGTACTCAAGCCTGGGCGACAGAGTGAGACTCTGTCTGAAAAAAGACACAGCAACAAAAAAAACGAGAGGGGAGGGAGAGAGTGATGGAGGCGGAGGCTGCTGCTGCTATAAGCTGGGCGTAAGTGGTGGTGGTTTGCGCTGGGGTGGCAGCGGCGATGGTGGGATTACAGGGAAGTGTGTGGCTTGCTGACAGGGGTCATGTGCACTGACCTGGTGTGGGCAGAGGCAGGTGCTATCCTGGCCATCCCGCCTGCGGATGTGTGACCTCAGGCCAATCACACGATCTCTTTGAGCTCTGCTTCCCTCATCTGTAAAACAGGGATCCTCATGGTGCTTTCCTTGTAGCTCTGCCCTGAGGATGCTGTGCGTTTAGCAATGGCTGTTCCCGAGTGAGGGCTCAATAAATGTTGCTTATTGTTGTCATTATTTCTGGGGATAGCAGTGGGGGTGGGGGTTGTGGCCACTACAGTGCCACTAGTTATATGGTCTGAAACTCAAGAGAGGGATTGTGTTAGTTTCATTGTGTCTCTATGAGTGAATACCTGAGGCTGGGTAATTTATAAACAAAAGAAGCTTAATTGGTTTACGGTTCTGCAGGCTATACAGGACGTGTGGTCCTGGCAGCTGCTTCTGGCGAGGGCTTCAGGAAGCTTACAATCATGGTGAAAGGTAAAGGGGTAGTTGGCATATCTCATGGTGGGGGGAAAAGACTGGCAGGAGGTGACACGCTTTTTTGTTTGTTTGTTTGTTTGTTTGTTTAGATGGAGTCTTGCTCTGTTGCCAGGCTGGAGTGCAGTGGCACAATCTCGGTTCACTGCAACCTCTGCATCCCGGGTTCAAGTGATTCTCCTGCCTCAGCCTCCCAAGTAGCTGGGACTACAGGCGCCTGCCACCACGCCCAGCTAATTTTTGTGTTTTTAGTAGAGACCAGGTTACACCGTGTTGGCCAGGATGGTCTTGATCTTGACCTCGTAATCTGCCCGCCTCGCCCTCCCAAAGTGTTGGGATTACAGGCGTGAGCCACCACGCTCAGCCTGACATGCTCTTTTAAACAACTAGATCTCATGTGAACTCAGCGAGATCTCACTCATTACCTCGAGGATGGCACCAAGCCATTCATGAAGGATCCACCCCCATGATCCAAATGCCTCCCACCAAGCCCCGTCTCCAACACTGGGGATTACATTTCAACATGAGATTTGGAGGAGGCCAGGTGTGGTGGCTCAACCCTGTAATCCCAGCACTTTGGGAGGCTGAGGCAGGTGGATCACCTGAGGTCAGGAGTTGGAGACCAGGTGGCTAATATGGTGAAACCTGTCTCTACCAAAAATATAAAATTGTTATATTTTATATAATACAGCTGGGCGTGGTAGTGCATACCTGTAATCTCAGCTATTTGGGAGGTGGAAACAGGAGAATCACCTGAGCCCGGGAGTTGGAGGTTGCAGTGAGCCTAGAATTGCGCCACTGCACTTTAGCCTGGGCAACAGAGCAAGACTCCATCTCCAAAAAAAAAAAAAAAAAAGAAAAAAAAAAGATTTGGAGGGGACAGACATCTTAACTATATCAGGGATCTTGGCAAGACACTCAGGTTGGATAATTGTCTAAGTAGACCAGGGGTTCTCAGCTAGGAGCCATGTTGCCTCCTAGAGGACACGGGCAATGTGTAGAGACATTTTGGGTTGTCACAACTTGGGGTTGGGGGAGGGTGCTACTGCCATCTGGTGGGTGGAGGCCAAGGATGCTGCTCAACACTCTACAGTGCACAGGATGGGCCCCCACAACAAAGAGTGGTCCGGCTCAAAATGTGTGGTGGCCCACGCCTGTAGTCCCAGCTGTTTGGGAGACTGAAGTGGAAGGATCACTTGTGCCTGGGAGGGTGAGGCTGCAGTGAGCCAGAAGCATGCCACTGCACTCCAGCGTGGGCGACAGAGTGAGACTCTGTCTCAAAAAATATACATACTGCCCAGTAAAATGTTTAAAAAGTACCTTGTGTCCCAAACCAAATATAACTGTGAGGCCTTTTGGGCCCTTGGGCCTCCAGTTTACAACTGGTTGACAGTGGTCTCTGGAATTGTTCCATAAGGTAGGAGCCATATGTGGCTTAAATTTTGATTATGGGAAATTAGTATTTTTTGAGACAGTCTCCCTCTGTTGCCCAGGCTGCAGTATAGTGGCACGATCTTGGCACACTGCAACCTCCACCTCCTGGGTTCAAGCGATTCTCCTGCCTCAGCCTCCCAAGTAGCTGGGACTGTAGGGGAGCACCACTACGGCCGGCTAATTTTTGTACTTTTAGTAGAGAAGGAGTTTCACCATGTTGGCCAGGCTGGTCTCGAACTCCTGACCTCAGGTGATCCGCCCGCCTTGGCCTCCGAAAGTGCTGGGGTTACAGGTGTGAGCCACCGTGCTGATTATGGGAAATGTAATACAATTTAAAATTCAGGTCCTCTGATACACCAGCCACATTTCAAGAGTGTAAGAGTCCCACGTGGCTAGTGACTGTCATAGAACTTTCCACCATTGCAGAAAGTTCTGATGGACAGTGCTCTAGGATGTAGCTGTGGCACCCCAGGGTCTTGGGGCTCGCTGTGACAGTTACTCCTCTTCTGTCCCCCACTCTCAGCTGCACCTGCAGATGCTGCTGCTGCCGCCCTCCTGCGAGGCCGTGGCGCCACGTGGCTGGAGGAGGAGCTGCAGCTGCCCCGAGTGCTGCCGCGTGTGCAGCTCTCCAGTGCGGCTGCAGCGCCACCGCGCGTTGCTTTCGACGCCGGAGTCCTTCGCATGCGCAGCCAGCGCCCGGGCCTCAAGTGCCCCAGGACCTGGCGCAGCCCGCGAGCCCGCATCAGGCTTCCAGTGGGCCCCGTGGGCAGTGCCAGCCTTTCCCACCTCCGCATCTGGCAAAGCCTGGCCTTCGCTGCGCTTCGGTGTCGCCACATGCCTTCTGGAAATATCACACCTCCCCACCTGCGCATGCAGCCGTCTGGCCCTCTGTGGGCCTCGGTTCCCGCATGTGCCCCGTGGAAAGAACATACCTTCCCCAACTATCTGGCAGCGTCTGGCCTTCTCCGGGCCTCGGCCTCCCCATTTGCTGGGTGGAGAATCACGGCCCGGCCACATCGGAGCCAATGGCTGGTCTCTGGACCTCGGTCTCCACATTTGCTCAGCCGGCAGGAACATCCCTTCTCCCGCCCTCTACCTCGGTGGGTGGCCACGGCCGAGCAGGCAGCGACGGCCCAGTGGAAAGAGGACAAACCCTTGTGGGCCTTAGGGCGAAGACGTAACTTTGCTTAGTCTCGGTTTATTGGCCGATCTCTTGTCAAGCGGCGGAATCGTTCCGTTCGGGAGGTGGGAGGGGAGCGGGGCCGCCGGGGGCGGGCGTCTTCAGTGGACCCCACGCCTCCGGTCCCCTCCCCGCAGGGCGCTCCGCAGAGGCGAGGGGTGGGAGCGCCGGCTCCAGGCGGCGGAACCTCCGCACTGGGCTCGCGCGCTTCCGGCCGGCGCCTTTTCCCAGGGACTCCGCCAACCCCTCGCACCCCCGCGCCCCCAGTCCCCGCGTCCCCGGCGCCGCCGGCCCGGAGCTGCCCGGAAGTCTCGGTTCCGCCGCCGGCGCTCGCCAGGGGAAGCCCGGGGCCGCCCGGGACCTCGGCCCGTTCCTCCGGACCCGAGAGGCCGCCGCACGGGGTACGGGGGCCGGGATGGAGGGAGGAGCCTGGCCCTGGGACGACGCCGGGGCCAGGCAGGCTGGGGGAGTGCGCTGGAGCCACCCGGGATGGGGGTGGGGGTCGGGAGCGGCAGGATCGGGCGGAGGGACGGGAGGGGAAGTCGAGGCGCCAGGGCTCCTTGGGGAAGTGAAGGCAATAGGAGGGGCCCCAGGGCCAGGGGACAGGCGGTGTGTAGCGGGATGGGGGCGAAAACGCCCGGGCGCTGGGGTTCCCATAAACAAGGGGAGCAGAGCAAAAGAACGGGCGGGGGACCACGCTGTGTGTAACAGGGAGAGGGATGGGGCTCCTGGAAGAGGTGAACACGAGGAGAAAGAGAGATGCCAGACGTACACAGAAAGGAGGGGAAAGTGGGCTTGGGAGAGGTGCTGTGGGAAGCGGAGTCCCGGAGCCTGGTGTGCATAACGGGGTTTGGGAGAAGGCCCCTGATGGGTACAGAAAGAAGTAACGATGTCACCGCCATATATGGGGGGCGAGAGAAAAGGGGGCCTTTGGGGAGAATGTAGCAGGTAGCCAGGTTGGGGGGGCGGGGTATACAGAAGGAAGGCATTTGAGCCATTTTGGGGTGTATAGATGTAGTAAGACGATGGGTTCCGTAGTGGGGAGAGGTGACTAGACTTCGAGGTGCTAAGTGTAGGAACAGGATGGAAAAGCCCTAGTGAAATGTGGGGAATTGGGTTAGTGGGGCTCTGGGGAGGTACCTAGAGAGGAAGTGAGGGAGGCCACGGAATATGAAGATGGGGAGGCCCTGCGGCATGTAGTGGGGACGGAGGGCCAGGAGGCCGATACGGGGGCCGGTGGGGGGGTAGGGGGCGGCAAAGGGAGGGGAAGTAAACTGAACTGGGGCTGGGCAACAGGAAAAAAGAAGAAACCACAGATTAGAGAAATCTCGGCGGTCAGGAGGCCCGGGGTCTAAGATGTAAAGAGGTAAACAGATTTAGGGATTGATTGTCTGCTGGGGTGGGTTGAGAGGAGAAAAGGGAAGAAAAGTCGGGGGACTACGTCCTCAGACCTGACCTGAGTGGTGAGAGGTGGACCCAGGAGGAGTGGCAGGTGGTGGCGGGGTTTTGCAGAGCTCAGTTGGAGGCCCTCTCCGAGGCAGCTTGATGGAACGTGGGAGAGCCGGGCTGGAGTCACAGTTTTTATTTTGCTAGGGAGGTAGTCAGTGGCGCACAAAGGGTAACAAGCAGTGATAGTGGGGATGCTTTCCATTTTAGGAAACTTTTCCTAAAAGGAAGTGGCAATTTTAACTAATCTCCCCTCCGCCGCTCCCAGCTGCCGCTCCAGATGCTGCTGCTGCCGCCGCGGCCACCCCACCCTCGGTCCTCCTCTCCGGAGGCCATGGACCCACCGCCCCCCAAGGCTCCCCCTTTCCCCAAGGCGGAAGGCCCCTCCTCCACTCCTTCCTCGGCGGCGGGGCCCCGACCCCCGCGGCTGGGCCGCCACCTCCTCATCGACGCCAATGGGGTCCCCTACACATACACGGTGCAGCTGGAGGAGGAGCCCCGGGGCCCGCCCCAGCGCGAGGCGCCCCCAGGAGAGCCCGGCCCTCGCAAGGGCTACAGCTGCCCGGAGTGCGCCCGTGTCTTTGCCAGCCCTCTGCGGCTGCAGAGCCACCGCGTGTCGCACTCGGACCTCAAGCCCTTCACGTGCGGCGCCTGCGGCAAGGCCTTCAAGCGCTCCAGCCACCTGTCGCGGCATCGCGCCACGCACCGCGCCCGCGCCGGGCCGCCGCACACCTGCCCGCTCTGCCCACGCCGCTTCCAGGACGCCGCGGAGCTGGCGCAGCACGTGCGCCTCCACTAAGCTCGAGACCCGGCCTGTGCTGCCCTGCCCGTCTCAGGGCCACCAAGTCTGACCCACACAGCGTCACTCACTCCCACACACACCCCCTGGCTCTGCTGAGGTTACTGCCTTACCCTGGGCCTCAGTTTCCCCACCTTCCAAAGGGAGGAGCATCATTCCTTCCTTACCCCCTTTCTAGCTGTGTGATGTAGACCAAAGTCGTTGCCCCTCCCTGGGCCTGGGAACCAGTCGGAACTGGGTTCCAGTCCAGCTGTGCTGTGTGAGCCTGTGCAAGTGACATGACCTCTCTAAACCTTGGTTTTCTGCTCTCTGGAGCGGTGAACCGGTGGTTGTCTGCGGGGAAGAGATGATAAAGAGCACGGGCACGGTCTGGTTCATTTCTGTATCTACCCCCCTTCCGCCCACGCCCCCGACCCTTTGCTCAATAAACATTCCGCACTCCATTTTCAGGCTCTTCCTTGCGTGTGCGTGCACGTTGGGTGCTGGGGGGTGGAGACCGGATCTTCCTCGCTTGGGTACTTTCCTCTCGGTGTGTGTTTCTGGCCGGAGCCGTTTCGCGACGGCCCGGGCGCCCCGCCCCAACCTTCCTTCCCTAGACCCTCTTCTCTCCCTTCGGCTTCTCTCTTTCGGCCGGCGCCGCCAGTTCCTGGGGCACACCCAGAGGTCCCCTTCTCGCCGCCGCCTGCAACTGCGAGGGTAGCCCGGGGCCGCTTGGAGTCGCCCGGACCTGAGAGGCTGCTGCACTGGGTACGGGGGCCGGGAGGAGGAAGGGGGCTGGGGGCGGGCGGCGGGAGGGGCTGGACCGCGTGGAGGGTACCTGGGCCGGGGCGGGAGTGGGGCAGACGCCGGAGGGGGCTGTTCTGGAGCTTGGAGGGGGCGAGAACTTACACAGAAAGGCCCAGAAAGCGAGGGCTGCGGCCCCGGGGGTGGAACCCCGGAGAGCGCTGGGACCTAGAACGAGCCTGGTGGAGGCCGGGCGAGGACTAGAGAGAACCTGAGGTGGGTGGACGGGTGGGAGCACGGAGTTGTTCAGACACGTGGCTGGAGAGAGGGCCGGAACCTGGGGGTCCTAACGTCGGAGCCCCTGTGAATAGGCTTGGCTTGTATGGAGGGGGTCAGGAAAGGCTTGAGTATGTAGCATAGGCCAACACGCAGACCCTGGAAAGGGCTAGAAGGAGGGGAGGGAGAGGCCTGGAGGCCTGCGGGGTGGGGCACCCAGTGACCTGGGAGGGCACAAAGAGGAAGGTTAGAGCGAGGTCCAGGTTGTGCAGAGGAGGTCAAGAGATCCTGTGAGTACAGTGTATGGTGGAGCACCGAGGCTAGGAGAGGTTTTCCAAGGAGGAAGACCCTGGGGACCTTTTAGGGGGCCACAGACTCCAGCTGTGAGCGGGACTGGAAAAGAGGGACTGAGGGGCAGCAGGATGCAGAGGTCCTGGGCCGGGTATAGGGAGGGAAAAGGATGGAGCCTGTGGTGCTGAGCTGCCCTCTTCTATATAACCTTCTTATCCCATCTCCCATCCACCAGGCCTCAGCCAGCCCTCCGGATGCTGGTGCTGCCATCCCCCTGCCCTCAGCCTCTGGCATTTTCCTCCGTTGAGACCATGGAGGGCCCTCCCCGTCGGACTTGCCGCTCCCCAGAACCTGGACCTTCCTCCTCCATCGGATCTCCCCAGGCTTCATCTCCTCCAAGGCCCAACCACTACCTGCTTATTGACACTCAGGGTGTCCCCTACACAGTGCTGGTGGACGAGGAGTCACAGAGGGAGCCAGGGGCCAGTGGGGCTCCAGGCCAGAAAAAGTGCTACAGCTGCCCCGTGTGCTCAAGGGTCTTCGAGTACATGTCCTACCTTCAGCGACACAGCATCACCCACTCGGAGGTAAAGCCCTTCGAGTGTGACATCTGTGGGAAGGCATTCAAGCGCGCCAGCCACTTGGCACGGCACCATTCCATTCACCTGGCGGGTGGTGGGCGGCCCCACGGCTGCCCGCTCTGCCCTCGCCGCTTCCGGGATGCGGGTGAGCTGGCCCAGCACAGCCGGGTGCACTCTGGGGAACGCCCGTTTCAGTGTCCACACTGCCCTCGCCGCTTTATGGAGCAGAACACACTGCAGAAACACACGCGGTGGAAGCATCCATGAGCCGGGCTGCCGGGTGCCCCAGGTACCACAGGACTTTGCAGGGAGCCTGGACTCCTGTCCAGACACCTGGTGAGAGCCTGAGGCTGGTGTTCAGGGCCCTGGACACAGACACAGAGCAGCCGCATCTCAAAGGCAGAGCCCTGCCTGAAGGAGGAATCCGTGAGTAATCTTCAGGTCCTCCGTGTTCTGGAGCTGAGATGGGAATGAGCCCCTACACAGAATGGAGTCCTCTAGCCTAAAGATATCAGCTGTTCCATGGCAGAGCCTTGACTGGATGGAGGTGGGGAGTGTGGTGTGTAAAGTCTCTGGCCTCATAAAAGGTGGCTGTGGGTCGTCAGGAATCTGCGCCATCTTCCTGGGGCTTCTGCGCTGTTGTTGGGGAAGGGACCCCAGTCCTGCCTTCCACCCCCCAACCAGGCCTGAGACTGATCAAACAATAAACACGTTTCCCACTCTGAGCACTCGAGGTTTGTTTTTAGAGACAGCATCTCAGACCCTCTTTGGTGGCCGTCTAGCAGGGAGACCTCAGCTTGCCTGGCTGGGGAATGGGAAGGTTGGCCTGCCTTGGGGTTATCCCCTCCTCAGCTCCTGAAGACCTGGGTCATCTGGGAAGAATGTTTTTAACTGAAACAATTTTAAAACCACAATCTCCTGTTACAAACACATTTTATATGGCAATAGAGTATACAGATAAGCAAAATACACGTGAACCAAGTTTCCTTTTTTTTTTTTTGAGACGGAGTTTCACTCTTTTTGCCCAGGCTGGAGTCCAATGGCACAATCTCGGATCACCGCAATGCCTCCTGGGTTCAAGCGATTCTCCTGCCTCAGCCTCCCTAGTAGCTGGGATTACAAGCGTGTGCCACCATGCCCAGCTAATTTTGTATTTTTAGTAGAGACGGGGTTTCTCCATGTTGGTCAGGCTGTTCTTGAACTCCCAACCTCAGGTGATTCACCTGCCTCGGCCTCCCAAAGTGCTGGGATTCCAGGTGTGAGCCACAGCGCCTGGCCTCTTTTTTTTTAGACGGAGTTTCGCTCTTGTCACCCAGGCTGGAGTGTAATGGCGTGATCTCAGCTCACTGCAACCTTCACCTCCTGGGTTCAAGCGATTCTCCTGCTTCAGCCTCCCAAGTAGTTGGGGTTACAAGCGTGTGCCACCATGCCCAGCTAATTTTGTACCTTTAGTAGAGATGGGTTTCACCGTGTTTGTCAGGCTGGTCTCGAACTCCTGACCTGAGGTGATCCACACACCTCGGCCTCCCTCAGGGCACTAGGCCTCGAAACAAAAGTTTTTTTTTTTTTTTTCTTTTGAGACGGAGTCTTGCTCTGTCGCCCAGGCTGGAGTGCAGTGGCGCAATCTCGGCTCACTGCAAGCTCCGCCTCCCGAGTTCATGCCATTCTCCTGCCTCAGCCTCCTGAGTAGGTGGGACTACAGGCGCCCGCCACCATGCCTGTCTAATTTTTTGTATTTTTAGTAGAGACAGGGTTTCACTGTGTTAGCCAGGATGGTCTCGATCTCCTGACCTCGTGATCCGCCCCCCTCTGCCTCCCAAAGTGTTGGGATTACAGGCGTGAGCCACTGCGCCCGGCCCACAAAAATTTCTTTACCATAGTTAGCTTTAGTTTGTGCATTTTTTTTTCCATCAACTATTATTATTACTATTTGAGACGGAGTCTCGCTGTGTCGCCCAGGCTGGAGCGTGGTGCGATCTCGGCTCACTGCAACCTCCACCTCCCCGGTTTAAGCGATTCTCCTGCCTCAGCCTCCTGAGTAGCTGGGATTACAGGTGTGCACCACCACGCCCGGCTAAATATTTTTTTAAACTGCTGATTTCATCCTATTCTATTGAATTCTCCACCCATGAACCTGTAGTTTGGAAAAGACCAATCTAGGGCAGATGGCTCCCCCTGGAATTTTTGGACCAGGCTGCAGTTAATCTGTAAAGTGGGGAGGGGAGGATCATGGTCACAGCTTTGCAGGCGGTGCAGACATTTAGATTCTCCCTCCATCGGGTTAAGACCTTGCTCTTATAAGGGCTGGCCACAGTCCAGAGCTTGGATGCTTCTGGTGAACAGGAGAGGCAGGTGGAGCTGAGCCTGAAGCTTAATAAACATCTGCTTATTCATTCATTTTTCTTGCCTATTTTGTGCCAGGCACTGTGCTAGGCCTCATTTGCTCTTCCGACCTGTTTTTTTGGGAGGAAGAACAAATCTTCCGTTCATACTCCCCAGAGTGGGAAAGAGCCTCCCAGAGGCTGCCATCATACCCCACCATCTGACCTCAAATAATACCAGCAGCGCTCCTCTCTTCAGCCCTGACGATGGCCAGGTGCTGGGCTGAGCTTCTGTGTGTCGCATCACTGCATCCTCACAATAAATTTAGAAGGGCTTGTAATTTCCCCATTTTGCAGGTGAGTTAACAGGCTGGGGAGGAGCAGGAACAGTCAGGACTGGAATCTAGCTTTGCTCCAAAGCCAGCTCTTAATTACCAACATGGGGATGGGGGTGGCGTGTTCCTGGCCCTCATTTTCCGGGAGAGGGGTAACTCCCCCGATTTTGGCCCCCACATCCCTGAGAACCTTGGGGTCTGGCTGTAGGAGGTAGGGGAGCTCTGAGGGGTCCGCGCTGGCTAGTTCCTGAGAGAGCGTTAAAAGTAGATTCTCCTTTCGCTCCAACTTTCTCGGTGTCTCAAACACTCTCCTGCCTTCTGGGCCCATTGGGCACACCGCCACCCAATCCGGGGACCCCCGGAGACTCGCCAGCTCTCCAGGATGGGAATTTCGTGATGTTCCCTGCCTGAGCTTCGGGGAGGGCGGGGGAGTGCTGTAAGGGGCTATCGCGCAAGTGCAGACCCTCTGCTTCTGCCGCAAACGGCGGGCCTCACCTGGACCCGGGGACTCTTCAACGAGGGGCGCTAGCCTGGCCCGACTGGGCGAGTCCCCGCGTCCCTGCCCGTTCCGTCGCTCAGTTCCACGACACGCTCCCCTGCCGCCCCGCCTGTTCGCGGGTGGGTGGGCGCTTCCCTCGGCTCCCCGTGACACTTTGCAGACGCTCCCCGGCGCCGGGCATGGGCGCCGCCGCCGTCGGTCCCCGAGCCGGATTCCGCGAGCGGGTGGGTGAGCGCGGGGGGCCTCGGCCCCTCGGACCCCGGGCACCCGCGGGCGGGGGATGGTGGCCGCGTTTGCACCCCCGCCCTAGTGCATGTTCCCGCTGGAATCGTTCCACGACCGCTCCCCCTCCCACCCGCGGGACAAAGGGCGGGGGCGGGGGGGGCGCACCCCCACGCGTGACCTTTCCCCGTACTGCGCACGCGCCCAGCCCCCACCACCGGGGGACGGTCCGCCCGCCCACGCGAGTGCGGGGGAGGGGTGTGGGGGCCCCGAAGGTAGAGGAGGCAGCGCGCACGGGCTGGACCTCCTCCTACCCTGGGAAGTTGGGGCAGTTTCCCCCTGCACCTGCCTCTTCCTTAGGCCTGGCAGTGGCCCGCGATGAGAGAGGGTCCTTCCCCTTCAGGCTAGGTGTCCCTGGTCAGGCGACCCCTTGGGGCACCCAGCAATTTAGGGCTTCAGCTTCCTTTTCCTTCGATACCCAGGAGCCCACGTCCCCAGCTCACTTCTCCCCCAGGACCTAGGCGGCTGGGCCCCCTGCCCCTGACTCCAGGAGCCCAGGAGTTTGAAGCCCAGGCGCGTTTTGCCTCAGTCCTGGGGTCCAGGCTCCCTCCTCCCTCAGACCAGGGGTCCAGGCCAGAAGGTCCCTCCTGTCTCACTTCACCTCCCCCAGGATGGACCCTCCAGTCCATCTGCGTCTCTCCATTTGTGGCTGCCGTTTCTGTCCAGTGCCCCTGAGGCCCTCGGCTGCTGGGGTCCGTAGGAAGCCGCGCCATGAATGACCGGAGCAGTCGGAGGCGGACAAGTGAGGAAGCTGGGTCCCCTTCCCTACCCTGGGTCCCAGTGCGGTCGGCTCCAGGCTGCCGTGGTTGGGGGGTGGCCTGAGAGGCCCGGGGAATTCTCTGGGGTAACCCGGGGCCTCTCCTCTCCAGTGAAGGACGATGAGACCTTCGAGATCTCCATTCCCTTCGATGAGGCACCCCACCTAGACCCACAGATCTTTTACAGTCTGAGCCCCTCTCGGAGAAACTTCGAGGGTGAGCTGAGGGGGTGTGGAGGGACTGGAGTCAGCTGGGAAGCCAAGCCCTGAGTCCCAGGGTGTGACCTGGTCCCCCCACCCTCGCTGTGTCCCTAGAGCCTCCGGAGGCTGCGTCCTCCGCCCTGGCTCTGATGAACAGCGTCAAGACCCAGCTGCACATGGCTCTGGAGAGGAACTCCTGGCTGCAGAAGCGCATCGAGGACCTGGAGGAAGAGAGGGACTTCCTGCGGTGCCAGCTGGACAAATTCATCTCTTCTGCTCGGATGGAGGCAGGTGTGTGTGGGGTGCTCTGATCCACATGCCTCCCTGTCCCGCTACTGGGTACCCGCTCACCCAGACTCAAGGCTCCACTGTTTGGCTGGCTGGGTGGGACCTGCCATGTTGGCCCTATCTGCTAGTCCCCTGCCTGTTTTGGGCCCCCAGGCCCAGCTGCCTCCTCACTTGATTCCAGGGCCTCATCCCCATGAACTGTCTACTGGGGCCCGTCCTCCTGCCTTCTCCGTCAGCTCCCCAAATCCCATCAGCCTCCAGTGCCCTGCCATCTGCTTCCTTGGCCCATGGTGACTTCAGGGACCCTGGCACCTGAGAGCCCCTCTCTTCTGACTCCTAGGGGGACCTTCCTTCATCTCTTTGGCCAAGAGGCCCACCCTAGTTCTTTGGGTTTCCTCAGGGGGCCCCTGCTCCTCCTCCCGTCCCTGTCTTCTCCAAGATCCAAGAGTCCAGCCATCCGGCCTCCTCCTGTCCCCCCCTCCCCTCTGTGACACCAGGGGCCATCTTCCCACCCACCCTGTCCCATCCTTGGTTAATGAGCACTCCTTCCCCATCAAAGACATTAAGTCCCTTCCTTTGTGGGCCTTTTTGGGTGGTGACCCCAGCAGGTGCTGTCCCTCAAACCCTGCCTGATTCCTGGGCAGTCCCCACCCACATACCTTGCTCTGCTATAATTCATGGCCAGAAGCAGCCCAGATAGCTCCCACAGCAGCACCCAGCCCCAGCCAGTTCACAGCTAGCGTCTTCTCTTGACTGGTGGGACCCTGTGCCCTGTTTAATACATTTTGGACCCCAGCCCCATCCTCTTCCCCGGATGGTCAGGCCGTTTGCCCGACAGCCCATGGCCTGGAGAACCCACACTCTACCCCACCTACCCTCATCTCAGCCTTGCTAGCTCCTTGGCTGGGAAGACCCCTCAAAAGCTCCCACATCTCTCTTTGTGAATTCAACCCTTTCCCCAAAAATCCTAGGCAAGGGGGCTATGGTCTTGTGGTGTCTCTGTTACTGGAAGCCCAGCATCTGGGGATCTGGCTTTCCCTCTGCTCGGGAACAAACCACCTCTGGCTGCCCTTGGGCCTGCCACTGTCTCCTCTCACTGATGGTTCCATCCTGGGTGACTGACTCCTTTGCACAGACAGTTTGGCCCTGCGGCTTCGGCACTTTCCCAGTGGGGACCCTGGCACCAGAGCCCTCCCCTAACCCGCCTTCTAGAGGAATCTGTGTCTGGGCCTCCGCCTGCCGGCTCCCTCTGTCTAGATGGAGGTGGGACCCAGCCTGCTGGACCCAGGGCCCCTGATTTCTCTCGGTCTGACCCCCCGACTCCAGCCAAGGCCTTGCCTGCCTCCTGGGTTTCCAGAGGCTACTCTCCAGAGGTCCCGCCCAGTCCCCAGAAATTTCTCCCTCCCCTATGGGAACCGCGCATAGTCACAGGGGTCCTGAGGCCCCTGGTCGGCTGCCTCCGTAAGACCTCTTGCCAACCCAGGCCTCTGAGAAAATGCTCCACCCATTACCACCTCCCACAGACCCCAACTGGCTCTACTCAGCCACCAGCGTCTCTACCGTACTCCTTGTCTCTCTGTCTCTTTAGGGGACCAGCCCAGGTTGGGGGATCCAGTTCGGGGACTGCAGCCTCTCTCAGTCCCGGGACCTGTGATGGGATGTCTGGTCCCTTGGTTCATGTGTGTGTCTCCATCTCCCCAGAGGACCACTGCCGGATGAAGCCTGGGCCCAGGCGGATGGAGGGGGACAGCCGTGGTGGGGCTGGGGGCGAGGCCTCGGACCCTGAGTCAGCAGCCTCCTCCCTCAGCGGAGCGTCCGAAGAAGGCAGCGCCAGTGAGAGGAGGCGGCAGAAGCAGAAGGGAGGTGCTAGTCGGAGGCGCTTTGGGAAGCCCAAGGCCCGGGAGAGGCAGCGAGGTGAGTGGGGTGCATGGGGCGGGCGCTGAGGGGCCCGGGCTGCTGAATTGCTGTGTGTCCTTCCCAGAGGTCCCCCTTTCTCTCCAAGCCCCTCCAGCCTTGCTGGAGAAAGACCCACCGGGTTCTGTCTCTCCCTCCTCCACGTGTGGTCCTGGGTTTACTTTCTTTTTTTTTTTTGGCGGGGGGGACGTCTTGCCCCGTCGCCCAGGCTGGAGTGGTGCAGTGGCGCATTCTCACCTCACTGGAATCTCCGCCTCCCGGGTCCACGCCATTCTCCTGCCTCAGCCTCCCGAGTAGCTGGGACTACAGGCACCCGCCACCACGCCTGGCTAATTTTTTGTATTTTTAGTAGAGGCCAGGGTTTCACCGTGTTTGCCAGGATGGTCTGGATCTCCTGCCCTCGTGATCCACCTGCCTCGGCCTCCCAAAGTGCTGGGATTACAGGCGTGAGCCACCGCGCATGGCCTGTCCTGGGTTTACTTTTAAGTTTTGGTCCACCGTCGAGGGCAGGGCCACCTTGGGCACCTCCTTAACTTTCATCAGTAAGGAGGAGGTGCGCAGTAGGACCTACCTCACGGGGAGGGTGAGACTTGAATAAGTGAATTCACCTGAGGCAGGGAGACGAGGGTGATGGCTCGGGGTGTCGGGGGGTGCTGGGACCGCGTGGGTTGAACCCGGCCTCTTGGCTCATTTTGTCTCCTCACTCTCCTTCCTGGGCCTGCCTCTTCCCATTTCCCACTGGTCCAAGATCTGGCTGCGATTCTTCCCCTCCTCTCTGCCCCTTCCTTGCCTGTTGTTCTCCGTCTCCACCTGCACCGGCCCGTGCCTCTGCTCGCCGAGATCCTTTCTTCCCATGGCCGTTTCCCTTCCCGTGTCCGCCCCCTCAGTCTTGTGCCCTGCCCCTCACTTTCGTGTCCCCGCCTCCACCCCTCAGTGAAGGACGCCGACGGGGTCCTCTGCCGGTACAAGAAGATCCTGGGCACCTTCCAGAAGCTCAAGAGCATGTCGCGGGCCTTCGAGCACCACCGCGTGGACAGGAACACCGTGGCGCTGACCACGCCCATCGCCGAGCTGCTCATTGTGGCCCCCGAGAAGCTGGCCGAGGTGGGCGAGTTCGACCCCTCCAAGGAGCGCCTGCTCGAGTACTCCCGCCGCTGCTTTCTGGCCCTGGACGACGAGACGCTCAAGAAGGTGCAGGCGCTCAAGAAGAGCAAGCTGCTGCTGCCCATCACCTACCGCTTCAAGCGGTGATCGCACCACGCCTCCGCGCCTCCACCCGGGCCTTCCTCCCCCGTGGACCCCGGTGGATGACCTGCCCCTCTCCCCGCCGCGCCCCTGCCCCTCCTCCTCGCTCCCTGGGTTGGGGGCTCCCTTAGCCGGGCCCCCAAGCGCGACGGCCCCGGACCGGCCGCGGCCCCTTCCCGAACGCCGGCACCCCCTTCCGCTTGGGCTGCCCAGCCCTGTCCTCGCCGGGCCCCTTCCTCCTGGAAAACCAGGCAGGCGGGTGCCCCCCCCTCGAGTGGGGGACTGTACAGACCCCGTCTCCGCCCTGGCCCCGCGGAGGAGCTGCCCACCTGATTCCCGGACAGACCTCCCCAACTCCGCGTGAGACAGAGAATTATTCAGATAATTTAAATTAAAAAACGACGTGAAAATTTGGAATAAACTTGGCCTCAGCCTCTTCCTAGGAGGGGGACGTGCCTGGGAGGGGGCGGCCGTCGCCCCGAAGACGGTGACGGGGTTGCGGGGGCTTCCAAGGGGGTGGGTGGTCAGGCGGGAGGACGGGTAGGATACGGTGTAATTAGCCCCCCGGAGGCAGAGATGGAGAGTGAAGCAGCTGCGCCCCAGAAAACTCGGAGGCAGAGCTCGGGAAAAGAAGCGCGGACACAGCCGGGCGCGGTGGCTCACGCCTGTAATCCCAGCACTTTGGGAGGCCGAGGCAGGCGGATCACGAGTTCAGGAGATCGAGACCATCCTGGCTAACACGGTGAAACCCCGTCTCTACTAAAAATACAAAAAATTAGCCAGGTGTGGTGGCGGGCGCCTGTAGTCCCAGCTACTTGGAAGGCTGAGGCAGGAGAATCGCTTGAACCCGGCAGGCGAAGGTTCCAGTGAGCCGAGATCGCGCCACTGCACTCCAGCCTGGGCGACAGAGACTCCGTCTCAAAAAAAAAAAAAAAAAAGTAAAAAGAAGCGTGGACACTACCCGCTGGGCTACCCAGACCGGAGCGCGGCGCGAGAGGCGTGAGTCGATGACCTCTAGCGAGGGAGGCCACCTAGCGGCCAGGCCAAGTCTGGAGGATACTTCCGTTGGGCCGCCAGGGGGCAGTAACGCCAGATCATCTGTCTCCCGGAAGTAATGCCAGATGATCCGTCTGCCGCGCCTGCGCGGCGGGAAGAGCCGGAGCGCGTTGATGTGGTTGCCGAGACAACCAAGAGGGTGGCCGGATTTAACGGCTGGGGATTAAGCACTTTCACCGTTGTAAGGGAAATCTCGCGCACGCGCAATGGGGACTGAAACCTGGTCCCCGCAACCCCCTTCACGGGAGCAGTGGGAGAGCGCGCCACAGAACGACTTTTACGCAGGCGCAGAAGCCTGTTTCCCCTCACCCGCGGCTTCCACCCTGCGCAGGCGCAAAAAGCCGCGCTGGCAACCTCCGCAGCGGTCGCGCGCACCCTTCATCCCTCTTGCTGCTTTTGTCTGGCACAACCTTCTCAGGCCCTCCGCGAGGCCGGCCCTTTTTTTCTTTCACTTTCCCCACCCGGAGAGCCAGGTGCCGAGAACTAGGACCTCGTCCCCTTCTCTATCCCTTCCCCTGATCCATCTCGTCTCTGTTCTCCTTCCCTTTTCCGTTCCCGAAGCCGGAAGGAGCCGAGGTACCCACGGAAAAAGTCGAAGCTGTCCCCGGAGAGTGAGGCCTTCACGAAGCGGTGGCGGAAGGAGCCGAAGTTCTCTGATCGGAGGCGTGAGCAAGTGGCATCTCCGGAAAGAGCCGAAACACGGACTCGAGCTTAATCCCAGGAGGGGCCCGAGGGCGAGATCCGGAAATCTCCGGAAAGAGCCGAAGGCCGGGACGGTTAGGATTGTCGGAAGTGGCCGATTGCTTGGACAGGGCCGGCGGAGAAGATCGGAGCAAGTCCGTGGAAGAAGCCAAAGACTGGGACGGATTGAATTGTTGGAAGAACCCGAACTCGCAGAGGGGACTGGGCGCAGTGGCACACGAGGACACACGGAAACCTCCGAACGTTGAGGAGATAATCTCGGAAAAGTTACGGAAACCTGGGAAGTCGGCGAAACCCTACGTTCGGGTGTTTTCGGAAGCAGCCGAAGCGGCCGCCTGCTTCGCCTTCGTCCAGTATCCGGAGATAGCCGAGGCGCTTCGGAGCCAGGCTCGGGGGGAGGGGCAAGCTCGCGGGCGGGCGGGCGGGTGAGGGGGCGGAGCCCGGGCGGGGCGGGGAGGGCTGCCGGAGGCTTGATTAGGTAGGAGGTGGCGAAGCGCCGGCGGCGGCCGGAAGTAGCCGAAGCCAGCGGCGGAAGTAGCCGAAGCGGCTGGAGCGGGCGGCAAGGCGAGGCGAAAGCTGCACAGGGCCCTACGCGGCCGCCTCAGCATGTCGGACTTCGACGAGTTCGAGCGGCAGCTCAACGAGAATAAACAAGGTGAGGGCACCGGGGTCGCGGGGCGGAGGTGTGGGCGGCTCCTCGCGTCGCTCTTTGCCCCCCCGCCATTTTCTCCCTCGCTTCCCCCCACTTCACGGCCGCGCGGCGCCCCCCAACCCTGGTTCCGTGGCGCGCGCCTCGTTCACGTGACGTCCCCAGCGTTCCGCCGCGCGCTAGGCGAGGGGAAGGGGGCGGCGGGGCGCGGGCCCGTGACGCATGCGCACGGCGGCTGTCCCTGCGCCCCACGTGGTCCTGGCGGAGGTGGCGCGGGGGACGCGGCACGAGCGCGCCAGATGCCTCGACGTGAACTTTTGTTTTTTAAAATCTTTTTGGTTTCTCTGAAAAGGAGATTATGTTAGTCCCCGTAATCTCTTTTCTCCCGCTGCCTTGGCACTTCCGCTTCCGGTCGGGCCCACGGCAGCGTCTCCACGCCCCCTTTGTTTCCAAAATGGCGGTTGTGAGAACTTGGTGGGGGGGCCCCTTTCCTTCCTTCACGTGGATGAGGGCAGAGCCGTTTCGGCGGATGCTTGGAGGCCACGGGCCCCTCGCGTACCCCTTTTCCTTTTTGCTGATTTGCTCTGATCTCTCCCGCCAGGTGGTTTCTGCCCCGTCTGTTGGTAGTGGGGCGCCTCATATTAACGTGTTTGGCACATGTTGCCTAAAAGCATCTGCATTCTTTGAGTGTCCGCACGCACACATCCTGCATATGCGGGGCTTTTGGCGGTCCCGAGAATCGCGATATGGAGTGTTTGAGACAAACCTCAAATCATTTACAATCCCAATCTCAGGGCACCTGATAATACTCAGTCTCAGATCTCAATATAGAGATAAGAAAACAGGTTCTGAGGGAGGAAGAGGGATCTGGCCCACTGCGCTAAACTCTTCACTTACGGGGAAGGTGGGAGGCAGGTTCCCTTCAGGGTATCGAAAATTGTGATGGGTTAGAACAAAAAGCCTGGGGCCCTGATCTTAGGGATTCCAATAATATTAGAAGTGGGAGAGTTGTTAAGACGCTTTAAAAATCCTCCGTGTTTCAGTTTGTGAAGAAATACAGGACCAGGGAAGATTGGAGACTTGTTTCTTTTCAGGCTTCAGCTGCCCATGTTCCTAGCTCGTTCGGAGGACGAAATGAGGGCTGAGGAATTTTCCTTTGAACCCGGGCTAGAGTTGGGTAGGGGCTGTATTAGGAAACAGTGTCCTGGGGAAGCAATAACGTTTACTGAGGGTCTGACTCTGTCTTAGTTGATGGACTGCTCAAGAGCATAGGCTTTGGAGTTGAGCACATCAGGAAGTTTAGATACCTGCTTTGTCGTTTAGTAACTGCTTTTAATACGTTTATATATTTTTTTCCATTTGTAGACTGATTATTATTTTCTTGTTACCGGATTTTGAGAAGATTAAAAAGGATGATAGTAACGATAGATGTAGTTAAACTCTGAGCGCTTACCGTGTGCCAGGCTCTTCGCTAAACTCTTAGCATGTTTTACTAAGTGGATCCTTTTAACAGCCTTGTGAGGCCAAAATGATTTCCACCTCTACTGGGGAGGAAACTGAGGGCTCAGAAAAGTTAAAAACTTTCTCAGGGCTCAGCTAGTCAGAGGCAGAGCTGAGATTAAATGGGGTAACATGTAAAGTGTGTGGCATGTGGCTTTGCGTACACTGGGTGTGCAGTAAGCGATATTTGCAATTGTAAAATTCCATGCTTAGAGAGGAGGGTCTTCCGCTCACAGAGATTGTGTCAGAGTTGGGAAAGGGCAGGAAAAGGTGCTTTCCAAATGTCATTCTGCCACACAACACCTGGATGGAGTAGATACGACCCTCGTTTAAAGAGAAAACCAAGTCTTAAAGGCTAAGTTGCTTTTGCATGGTTTTTGTTGTTCATAAGCAGAAAAGCAGGTACTGATTCTGAGCTCTGGCTGCAAGGCCAAGTTCCACTCTGCTGGACCAAGTGGAGCTGATTGGGCGGTTCTTTGAGGCTCTCAGATGGTGCTTCACCGGTTCTCCCGGGGTTTCCCTTTTGGTGCTGGTAGGGCAGTCCCTGAGACCTGGCACGGCTCCTGGGTTGGCGGAGCTGCTCCCATAAGATGACCACAATACAGTGTTTTGAGCAAACGAAGCTCTCATTGTTTTTACCTGTCCAGCATCAGTGTGTGGGAGAGGGTTCTTGCCATAGGGGAAGCTCTGCCCGCGTGTCACTGCCTGTAGTCTTTGTCTCTGCGGAGGACGGGCCAGCTTCTGTACGTGTCGCCTTCTGCTTCAGTCCTTTCCTCTGCTACCTGTATCTACAGGGAATTTCCTTGTCTATATCCCAGGCACCCAGCGGGCATCATTGCTTTCTCTGCGTGGGTTCCTGTCTGCCTGCTTGCCTGTTTCAGAGCCTTAGCAGCAGAAAGGGCTCTTGGGGCTCACAGCCTGTCCATCTTATAAGCGAGGAGCTGTGCCCAGTGCCGTGCCTGTGTGCCCGCTGCTCTACACTGCTGGCCTGTCCTGCCGATTGTTCCTCCCAATTTCAGTTTTTGATTTTGGGGTTTTTGGCCTTCAAGGGGACAATTATATTGTCATTAATGGTTCTAGCCAGACCTGAGTGTTCTGCCTGATCCACATTCGAGAGTATGGCCTCGTGCTTAACTCACTGATGTCAGAGTGTTTAAATTCTGGTGTCACCATTTCCTAGCTGTTTGACCTTGGTAATTGTGATCTCTCTATACCTTAGTTTCCTTACCCATTATGTCAGCCCCCAGCAGTGTTTTTCCGAAGCAGTAGTGAGGATTAAGAACAAACAAAACAATTTAGTACAGATTCCGGTTGTAGGAAGCATCTCAATATTTGTTGCTGTTTTTTTCCCTGCTGGGTGCATATTTTTCTGAGTGTTGGTGGTTTTGGAATTGTGATGCTTTTCCAGACATTCACATTGCATCGCAAAAACGTGAGACAAAACACTGTGGGTGAGGCTGAAGTTTAACATCCTCCCTCAGTGCCCTTTCCTCCTCTTGTCCCCAGGGATGATCACTCCAGGAGATGCGTGTTAACATATATAAGCACCTTAACGTGTGCATCTGTTTTGTGTGTGTGCTTCATGGCTAGCTGAGAAATCTGGGTGTCTTTGAATTAAGGAAATGGTGTGGCGGTGCTCATGAACCCCCCCGCCCCCCCATGCTCATGGTTTATCCTCCATCTTGAAGGGCCGGTCTCTCTTCAGGGGTTGAAGGGTCTGGTGAGAGCAGAGGTTTCTGTGGTTTTGCCAGTGAGGCTCCGTTCCTAGTGGCTACCTCAGGCAAATAGAGGGTTGAGGGAGCCTGCTGGAGGCTGGCAGAGATACCCGCCCCTACTCACGCCTTTACAGTCTCTTCAGTACTTGGCTTTGAAGGGAGTGAGGCTGAGAGATTCAAGTGGTTTGGGATTCAAGTCTGGATGGGGCAAGCTCCTCCCCTGACCTGCTGAAGGAGAGGAGGGCCTCTTTCCCCTTCAGTCTGCAGATTCTCCGAGGCCCTTCTCTTCCCCTGGGAAGGGTGCTTGCTTCTGCATTATTCACCGGCTTGGGAAGGGATGGGTTGAGTTTCCCTGCTTCCTGGGGATATCAGATCCTGCCTGGCACCTGACCCCTAGTCCTGATGGTGGGGCTGTGGGTGCCAGCTAGTTGCAGAGGTCTTTCCTGAGGGGTCGCTGGGTCCCTTCAGGAAAACATCATTGGGTCTCTTGATTCCCCAGCCTCTAGCCCTGCCCCTCTCAGGGACGACCCTGGGGTCAGGCCCCTCAGCCCTCGAGGGGGACCAGGAGCCAGCCTCCTCTGTCTTCTCTGGCTCCCCAGCTCCTCCTGAGCATCCTCAGGTATCTTACACCCCGGGGGCATTTCCAGGCCCCGTCCCCCTGGTCCCCTCATGGTCCCTGGACTCGCTTGTGGACCCAGGAGGCCTGTTAATTCCCTTCCTCCATTGAATCCCTTCCCTTTGGGGGTGGCCTCCCTGGGGCTTGGGACATAGCCACCAGCGCGCAGGGTGGGCTGGGCCCGCATCCTTACTCCGCTTATCCCGTGCCCCTCCTCTCACCCTTGCCCAGAGCGGGACAAGGAGAACCGGCATCGGAAGCGCAGCCACAGCCGCTCTCGGAGCCGGGACCGCAAACGCCGGAGCCGGAGCCGCGACCGGCGCAACCGGGACCAGCGGAGCGCCTCCCGGGACAGGCGACGACGCAGGTACTAGGGCTCAGGGATCCCCTGGGCCAGCCTGGGAGTCGGGGGGTCGGTGTTGGCCGGCCTGTGGGTGGCCTGTGTGTGTCTGTGTCTGGGTCCGGGCCCTGTGTGGCTCGTTCGTTCTTTGTGTGGATCTGGGGGAGGGATCTACTGCTTGGTCTGTCTTGGATTCCGATTTTTTCCCCCGTTTCTGGGGTTTCTTTCATTTTCTGTCTTGGTGGTTGCTGGTGGGTTGCTGGGGGCAATAGGCTCTTTATCTGGAGCCTGGGAATTGATTCTGTGTTTTCCTTCACAAGGGGTTGTTCTCTGTCTCTGACTCTGAGGGCCTGTTCCTTCTTTTCGACTCTCTGTGGCTCTCTGTGGGACTCTCTTCGAGGGGGTTGGTCTCTGCCTCCAGTTTCTTTCTTCCCTGCCTCCCAGGAGAAGGGAGCTCTTGGGACCGAGGCAGTATCCACAGCCTGGGCTGACTTTTTGGCCCAGGGGTGTCGGTTTCCACCGCCTCTTCCCTTCTAGGCTCCCCTTTCTGTTCTCTGCCTCCTTAGGTGAGGAAGGGCAGGATAGGCGGAAGTCCTCCTGCCTCCTCCCGGCTCAGTTTCTCCAGCTAGAGACTGGTCCTTCCTGGCCCCTGGCCCCTTTCTCCTTTCCTCACTTCCTCTTTCCTGGGGGTGGGAGTGTTTGGGGGGAAATGGCAGGGCCGAGGGTGGCCTGCTTGCTGCTTGTTGACCTCGGCCCTGCTCCCACCCTGGGGCTCAGTGCCCTTGGGGGGGTGTGGCATGTGGGGAAGACGAGGGTCCCCAGTCACCCCTCCCCATACCTTTCCCTCCCACCCCCCAGCAAACCTTTGACCAGAGGCGCTAAAGAGGAGCACGGTGGACTGATGTGAGCTTCTCTTCCTGCCCCTTCCTCCCTGATGTCCACTCCCTTCACCTTCCTCACGCCCGTGCACCCTGTCCCGCCCATTTCCAGCCCTGGCCCAAGCACTGGGAAGAGTCCACTTACCTTGAAACCAGCACCCCTTTCCCAGGCCCTGCCCCAGACCCTCTCCTTCCCTGGAGAGAGTGGAGCTTACATGGTTGCGGGGAGGGTGAAAGGGTGCCTGGGAGGGGGCTCGCAGGCCCACTGTTGGTCAGACTGAGGTTGCCCTGCCCCGCTCTCCCCTCCCACCTCCCCCAGTCGTTCCCCCCGCCACGAGAAGAAGAAGAAGGTCCGTAAATACTGGGACGTGCCACCCCCAGGCTTTGAGCACATCACCCCAATGCAGTACAAGGCCATGCAAGGTAGGCCCCTGGCCAGGCTGCTCCCAGAGCGGGAGGGTACAGGGGTTGGGATTCTCCGTCAGTCATTCCCCTGCGTGTGTGCTTGGAGGGGGTCAAAGACACAGGTAGAGGGTTGCACACCCCTGGGGGTTCTGGTCTCTGCGCTTTTGAAGCCTCCCTAGAGGAGGAAATGACCAGAGACACCCGTGGTTGACAGGGGAATGAGGCCTCCATCTGGACGCCATTAGGAAGTGAGGCTTCTGAGGAGCAGCAGTTACTGGGTGGGGGCCCCGAGGGTGGAAAGAGGGTTCTGGAAGGTGCTAAGACCGAGAGCCTGTAGGAGCTTTCTGCTGAGGAGGGGAACTCCCAGTGTGTGGTGAGGGGTGGTCACTGAGCATTCCCCTGATGGGGTTTTATCCGGCTTTTATTCCCTTTGAAGCTGCGGGTCAGATTCCAGCCACTGCTCTTCTCCCCACCATGACCCCTGACGGTCTGGCTGTGACCCCAACGCCGGTGCCCGTGGTCGGGAGCCAGATGACCAGACAAGCCCGGCGCCTCTACGTGGGCAACATCCCCTTTGGCATCACTGAGGTACTGCCCTCCCCTGCCCCCTACCCTCTCCCTTGTCCCTCTACCCCGTTCCTCCCCTTCCCTCCATTCCCTTTCCCCAACCTGCACGGGTCAGACTCTGCTCCTGCAAGACCCCCCGGCCCCCTCCCAGACGGACCGATGGAGTTGAGCCAGCCAGGGGCCGGGCTGGGGGTGGCCCTCCCTCCCTCCTCTTCCCCTCTCCCGTCTCCCCTCCCCCCAACCTCCTCCAGCAACCCAGGGATCAAGCACACACATAATGTACCCACGTGTTGTACCTACGTGTCGGAGAGAGACAGAGAGGGAGACTTGGACACACACACACACACACACACACACACACACACACACACACAGACGCACGCTGCCCCTCAGTTTTTTTCTGACACGCCTCTCGTTCTCTGCCGCCTGTCCCCTATCCTCTCCCCCACGTCCCTCCCATGGTCGCTGTTCTTTTATTTTTGATCGCCCCTGACCTCCCCCTTCCCCACCACTCCTTTTCCCTCTCCCCTCTCCCCAACCCCTTCCTGTGGCACCCCCTGAGAATCCCGAGATCAAAGAGTTGTTTCCATTTCTCTTTAAAGTGAAATATTGTGGGGCTGAGATCCCTCGTAGCAACAAAAAGTTTGCTACCATCGTCGAAGGCAAGTAAGGTCCATTCTGACTTTCTCAACCTGCACTTTGCTACATTTGATAAACCAGCCCCCGGACTCCAGGGCCAGATTCCTCCACATCACTCTTTTCTCCTCCCCTCCCGTCCCTGCCCCTCCTCCCTACACTCCTCCTCTCCTGCCCCTGCACTCTTGACTTCCTCCTCCTCGCTCGTCTCTGTCCTGCTCTCCCTTTCTGTCCTTTGCTCGTCTCTGCCCCTGCCTGCCACTTCCTTTCTACTTTCCTGCCACTTTTCTGTCTGTCTCCACTGGGTGGCCCTTCCTGTGTGCTCTGTCTCTTCATCTCTTGTGTTTCGTGTTTTTCTTCATTTTGTGTTGTCATCATGCCCTCTGCCTTTTCTTGAACAATCTTCTCCTTTCCCCTGATTTTTTGGGGCCCCTGTGGCTGTCCCCCAACGCCTGTCCATCGCCTGCCCTTGGCCGTCTCTTGCTACTGCTTCCTCCCCATTTTCTCTCTTGCTTCTGTTCTTACTATTGACTTCTACACCCCCACCCATATTCCACTGTTCCTTCCCCCCCTCCTCCCTCCCCTCATCCCTCTCCCCTTACCCCCAAACCCCTCTGTGTCTCCCTCTCTCACCCTTCCCCTCCTCTCTCCACCTCCCTTCCCCCGCCCCCCCCCTTGTCTCCTATTCCCTCTGCAGGAGGCCATGATGGATTTCTTCAACGCCCAGATGCGCCTGGGGGGGCTGACCCAGGCCCCTGGCAACCCAGTGTTGGCTGTGCAGATTAACCAGGACAAGAATTTTGCCTTTTTGGAGGTGAGCTGGGGGAGTGAGTGAGGTCCAGGAAACGTGTGTGATGTGAGGGCCCAGCCCTTAGGCTGATGTTGTGTGGAGCTGCCTTGTGCTGTTTCCACCAGGCCCTCTGCAGCCTCTTCTCCACCCGGTCGCTGAAGTGAGCCCTGTTATAGCATTACAGATCTGATCCTACTTTCTGCCTTCCATTTGCTTTCTGTGTGACCTGAGAGGCCTGTTTGGCCTCTGTAGACCTCTTTGGCCTTTTCCAGACCATTCCGGCCCAGTCCTCTCTGCACTCTGGCCACACTGACCTTCCCAGAACCTACCATGCTCCTGCCTGCTTGGCTAGAGTTCTTTACACCAGCTAACTGATGTTCCTAACTAGTCTTCTGTTACCCCAGCTAACTGATGTTCCTAACTAGTCTTCTGTGTCTGTGTTTCTCAACTGTCGGGAAAAGGCCTTGGTTTTTGATTTTCGACTCTTGGTGGACTGATAACTCTCATGAAGTATTGTGAAGGTGTGGGCAGTGTTAGCTTACTGCAGAGATTTCTGAGCACTCCCTCTCACTGTCTGAGCACTCCCTCTCACTCTGTCCCTCTCACTCTGTCTTTGCCTCACTGCAGTCCACTTGCAGTTGCATTGCTCCGGAGATGGGCTGAAATGTCCCCCTCACCAGAAAGACTCCAGTACTGTCATCTCCCCGTTCAACTAACCTTTCCCGTAACATCCCTTTTCAGCACTTTGTCCCTCTTCCGTGTCATCACAGCCTGCAATTGTGTGTTTGCCTCTGTGTTTGTGTTGGGTGCCTGGTGTTTTTAATGGTCGAGTGTGAGCTCCTGGCAGCAGGGACATGCGTGTCTGTTGTACTCCCAGTGCCCAGCCTGGGGCCTGGCATGTTGTATTTGTTCACATGAGTGAAAGGAAAGAGGAAATCCCAATCCTGGAACACTAGGGGCTGTACTAGTCCCTGACCCCCATCCCTCACCACTCCTTTCTCTTTCATTCAGTTCCGCTCAGTGGACGAGACTACCCAGGCTATGGCCTTTGATGGCATCATCTTCCAGGGCCAGTCACTAAAGATCCGCAGGCCTCACGACTACCAGCCGCTTCCTGGCATGTCAGAGAACCCCTCCGTCTATGTGCCTGGTGAGTGGGGGATCCATTAAGGGCCCCTTTCTCCCCCAGTCCTGTTCCCATGGCCTGTCCATCCCTTCAGCCCAGCTGGAGTGGCTTAGGAAGTTGTGTAAGTACTGTGGAAGATAGGTGCCTTTTCCCTGCTTCCCCTAAGTCTCTGTGAGTGGGGTGCTCTCCTGCTGGTAGAGAAGGTGCCTAGGGCCGGGAGAATGAGCTGTCACCTGCTGAGGACACACAGCTTGTACGTGGCAGAGCCAGGATCAGACCAAAGGTGCTGGGGAAGCGAGGGGCTTGTGGCCTGGACCTCGTGCCTGCGTTGCGGCTGTGGGACCTTGGAGGGCTCAGTCTGTGCCCGTCGGGGCTGCTGTGTGTCGACGGTTGGCAGCAAAGCTGCTGCTGTGGGGTCTGGCACCTGGGTATTCACTTGTTTTTGTCTCCTAGTGTTTGCCTTGAATCTTGTGTTCTGGGCCATTCCCCATAGCTGTGTTGAACATCATCTGTAATTGGTAGGTAACATAGCAGACCAGGGGTTGGCGACCATGTCACTGTGTGTGAAAGCAGCCGGACGGTGTCTGCGTGCGTGGGCCTGGCTGTGTGCCGGCACACCTCGACACGCGTGGCTGCTGAGGTTGGGCTTTCCTGTGCTTCTCACAGGCCACAGAATGGTCTCCCTTTAGAAAGCTTGCAGGATGTGCAAAACCAGGTGATGGGCCCTGTCAGCCCACAGGCTATAGTTGGCTGACCCTTGTAGCTGATGAATGGGATTTGAGGGAGGGCTTGTCTGATGCCCTGTCAGGGTGCGGCTGTGTCTCAGGCCTGGGACATGGAGGAGGTGGGGTTCTGCTGGCGGGTACTCACTGTTCGAGGAGCCCTTTAGGAACTGAGTCAGCTCTTCAGGGCAGGCGATGTGGAGCCCCAGACGGAGGCACATCTGTGTCAGGCAGGACTTGGGCTAGGTCCCTCACTGGCCTCCAGTGCTTTTCTTTTTGTTGTTGTTGTTGTTTTGAGACAGTCTCGCTCTGTCACCCAGGCTGGAATGCAGTGGCACGATCTCGGCTTACTGCATCCTCCGCCTCTAGGGTTCAAGCAATTCTCCTGCTTCAGCCTCCCGAGCAGCTGGGATTACAGGCACCTGCCACCATGTCTGGCTAATTTTTGTATTTTTAGTAGAGGGTGGGTTTCACCATGTTGGTCAGGTTGGTCTCCGACGCCTGACCTCAAGTGATCCGCTCACCTCAGTCTCCCAGAGTGTTGGGATTACAGGCATGAGCCACTGCGCTCAGCCCAGTGCTTTTCCATCATGGGTTTTGGTAAATTCAGCTAACCTTTTGGAGCCTGTAATATATGTTGACATGCTCCCAATCGACATGGACTTTTTACGTATGGGTGCGTTTCCCCGATCAAGCTGCAGAATGTCTTCCCCACGTCTCTTCCTGGTGAATCCACTGCGTTTTCATTCATTTTAAGTCCCATGAGTGGCCCGCCACTTGCTGGTGCTTAGTGTGTGTCAGGCGCTGTCCTAAGTGCCCTCCATGCACGGCAGTTCTACGACACAGGGATTGGCGCTGTCCTAAGTGCCCTCCATGGACGGCAGTTCTACGACACAGGGATTGGCGCTGTCCTAAGTGCCCTCCATGCACGGCAGTTCTACGACACAGGGATTGGCGCTGTCCTAAGTGCCCTCCATGGACGGCAGTTCTACGACACAGGGATTGGCGCTGTCCTAAGTGCCCTCCATGGACGGCAGTTCTACGACACAGGGATTGGCGCTGTCCTAAGTGCCCTCCATGGACGGCAGTTCTACGACACAGGGATTGGCGCTGTCCTAAGTGCCCTCCATGCACGGCAGTTCTACGACACAGGGATTGGCAGGTTACAACTGAGAGTCCAACGCTGGCCCACTGCCTGTTTTTTGTTTTTTTGTTGTGTTTTTTGAGACGGAGTCTTGCTGTGTTGCCCAGGCTGGAGTGCAGTGGTGTGATCTCGGCTCACTGCAACCTCCGCCTCCCAGGTTCAAGCGATTCTCCTGCCTCAGCCTCCCGAGTAGCTGGGATTACAGGCATGTGCCACCACACCTGCTAATTTTTTGTGTTTTTAGTAGAGATGGGGTTTCACCATGTTGGCCAGGCTGGTCTCAAACTCCTGACTTTGTGACCTGCCTTGGCCTCCCAAAGTGTTGGGATTATAGGCGTGAGCCACTGCTCCCGGCCACTGCCTGTTTTTGTAAGTAAAGATGGATGGCGGTGCAGCTGGCCTCACTGTGCAGCGCCTCCTTCCTGGGTAGGGACGTGTGGTGGGCCTTGGGGAATAGGAACCGTGGGTTATGGATCTAAGGTTGCTTCTCTTACCAGGCTGAGGAGCTTGACTCTTCTGAAGGTGATGGGGTGCTCTGGCAGGGGCTGAGCTGAGGGCAACCCAGTGATAGTGGCTGCCGAGCTCCTCTCAGGCGCCCCCTGCACCAAGATGGCCTGGTCACCATGGGAGGGGACATTGCTCCATCTTACAGATGAGGAAAGAGCTTCGGGACAATGGGGATCCCTGCTGGGTCTTCCCCACACAGCCTCTGCTCCAGGTGTGATGCTTTGTAGATGCAGCCGCTGCAGAGGTATGGGGCCCTGTTTCCCCGCCCAACTCTTGGAACATCCCTGCCAAGCAGGGCTTGTCCTCAGTGATGAGTGGAGGAACTCAAGACTCCGAGAAGATTCCTTTGAAGTTGTTGTCATGTAACAGCGGCTGACCCCACTGACAGTGCTCACAGTGTGTGTCTGGGCTGGGTGGGTCCTGTTGTGGGCATTGAGTCTGGCAGATGCCCGGGCCATGGGGACTGCCGTGCCTGTTCTCACGTCCTCGATTGAATCAGCACTTGGCCTGAGCTGTTCTCACACACGTGGCTCACACGATGGGCACCAGGGTTCTTCCCATTCTACAGATGAAGACACTGAGGCCCTTGGAGGCTCATATGGTACAAACAAGACTTGAACCCAAGGAGCCATGAACCCAGGGAGCCCAACTCTTGTATCCTTGGCTCTGTGTTGCTCAAGTGAGACGGGCAGAGCCAGGGCTCGCGGCTGAGCTTCCAGTGTGACCCATTCTTCCTTGGACCCAGGCAGAGCCTGCAGCCTGCCATGCTGCCTGTGGGGAGTCACAGCTGAGTGTGGGCTCTGGAGGCTGCCTTTTTCCTGCCTGTGTGTCTTTGCTCTGTGCCTCAGTTTTTGCCTTCTGTGCTGTATGTATAGCATTGCAGTAGGAGGTTGAAAGTCTTACAGGATGCCTGGCCCATGGGGTGAGTGCCCGGTGTGTGTTCCTGCTCCCGGGCTGCTGCTACTTGTCCCTGTAGCATAGGAGCTGGGTCTCCTGGGGTCTGTGTGGCCCCAGTCTGGTGGTTGGAGCTGGCTGGGTTGGTGCTTCCAGTTCTGTGGGGGCAGCGTCATCATGGGCTGGAAGGGCTTGAGTGAGTAGGTGGGAGAGGGTGTGTGGGGGCATCTCCCCTCCTTCCATGGGCACAGCGGCTCATGCTTCTGAGGCTCTTTCCCATTTCCTGTCTTACCTATTCCTTCCCAGCATCAGGATGGAGGTGGGATGGGGCCACTCACACTTGGTGTGGAGGCTGCAGAGGAAGGGGAGGCCATATGGCCTAGGTTTTGAACTTGGGAGTCAGGCTGGTTGGTTACCGGGGCCTGGCATAGCTGATATCTGACAGGACGGCGTCAAGTTACATTGGCAGAGCCTGTGGGGTCTCAGGTTGAATCATCCCACCAGCAGGCACTTGTCTGTGAGTCCAGAGTTCAGTGGATAGGGCAGGATCGAGGGCCAGTAAATTCAGCTGATAAGCCCCCACTCTGGTATGTCAGCCCTCGAAGACACTGGATCCTGCATCCCACAGTCAGCCCACAGTTCCCAGTGAGATCAGAGCAGCTAATGCTGCGGATGCTGTTCTGAGACTTCCCGGGCAGCCGCGGCTGCTCATCGTGTCGTGCCACCCCTGTGAGGGCAGTTGCACCCCTGCAGTGGCACCTGCAGTTCTGACAGGGCGTGAAGGGAAGGGACTGAGCTTTTTTTTTTTTTTCCTTTGAGATGGAGTCTCACTCTGTTGCTCAGGCTGGAGTGCAGTGGAGTGATCTCGGCTCACTGCAACCTCCGCCTCCTGGGTTCACGCCATTCTTCTGCCTCAGCCTCCTGAGTAGCTGGGACTACAGGTGCACGCTACCACAGCCCGCTAATTTTTGTGTTTTTAGAGAGACGGGGTTTCACCATGTTGGACAGGATGGTCTTATCTCTTGACCTTGTGATCTGCCCGCCTTGGCCTCCCAAAGTGCTGAGATTACAGGCGTGAGCCCCCGCGCCCGGCCGGGACTGAGCTTTAATGGGAGCCTTGCCTGGGTGGCTGTCAGAGAAGGGGTGGGGTGTGTTGTGACTCACCAGTAGGTCCCGAGCCCAGGTGACCTGCCAGCATTCCACAGCAGCAGGTAGCAGATGTGGGTGTGAACTTTGTGCCTTTGGAGCGTTCTGGAGGATGTTCTAGTTTGAGGTTCCCCTGAGGCTGGGCAGATTTGGGAGACATGGTGCGTTCTCCCCGAGGAGCCTCTGTGTGCCACTGCCCAGGACCCTCACTGGTCAGATAAGGCTGGGGTGGGGTGGGCACGTGGCGACCCCTCCCTCGTCAGATCAGGCAGGAAGTGTTCTCTTTGGCAATTGAGGAGCTCGCCGTAGACTGTCCAGGTTTTGGGAGATAACCTGGTACTGGAATTGAAGTCCTCCTCTTCTCTACCCATAGGGGTTGTGTCCACTGTGGTCCCCGACTCTGCCCACAAGCTGTTCATCGGGGGCTTACCCAACTACCTGAACGATGACCAGGTAACTTCCCTGCCTCCCTCCAGACCCGTCCCCCCACCCCGCCCCACCTCATCCCAGCCCTGATGGACTCTCGGCTACTGCAGGTCAAAGAGCTGCTGACATCCTTTGGGCCCCTCAAGGCCTTCAACCTGGTCAAGGACAGTGCCACGGGGCTCTCCAAGGGCTACGCCTTCTGTGAGTACGTGGACATCAACGTCACGGATCAGGTGAGTCCCCGGTCGCTGGCCGCTGCCGCGTCTGTCCTTCCCTGCCCTGCGCTGTTGCCAAGCCATGGTCTCCCCTCCTCAGGGGACGGGGCGGGAGGCGGCCAACCTGAGGCAGTGCCCTGTGTGTGGGCTCGTCCCTGTCCCATGGCGTTGGCTTTTTCCAGGCTCTTAATCCCCTTTGCCTTCCCCTCTTCCCCCACCAATGCCCCGGCTTGGGGGTAGGTGTCGGGCTCCTGGTCCCTGACCCCACCTCTCCCCGCACCCCCCGACCCCTCATCCTCCAAACACAGGCCATTGCGGGGCTGAACGGCATGCAGCTGGGGGATAAGAAGCTGCTGGTCCAGAGGGCGAGTGTGGGAGCCAAGAATGCCACGCTGGTGAGCCCCCCGGCACGTCATCTTCCATTGGCTTGAGGGACCCTGGGGGTGGGAGGGGCTGGCTAGTAGGGGACAAGTGTTCCTGATCTTTCTCCCAGCTTTCATGGGAAGGCATTTGGGGGGCATTCAGTGCAGTGTTGGGGAGTCGGGCTTTAGGTGTTGGAAGTGGAGAGATGGCCTTTCCCCTGGGGGGGCATGTGAGGGGCCTAGGCTTGAGCAGAGGGAGACTGGGTCTGGGCCCCCTGTGACGCCGCTGCCTCCCCTGGCCCCACAGAGCACCATCAATCAGACGCCTGTGACCCTGCAAGTGCCGGGCTTGATGAGCTCCCAGGTGCAGATGGGCGGCCACCCGACTGAGGTCCTGTGCCTCATGAACATGGTGCTGCCTGAGGAGCTGCTGGACGACGAGGAGTATGAGGAGATCGTGGAGGACGTGCGGGACGAGTGCAGCAAGTACGGGCTTGTCAAGTCCATCGAGATCCCCCGGCCTGTGGACGGCGTCGAGGTGCCCGGCTGCGGAAAGGTCAGGAGGCCTCGGGCTCAGTGCTCTCTCACCCTCTGCCCCTCCTCTTCTCCGCGCCCTCTTTCTTCCTCTCTTGCTCCCTCACCCTCTCCCCCTCCTCTTCTCCGCGCGCTCTTTCTTCCTCTCTCTCTCCTCTCGCAGCGCGTGCGTATAGGTGTATGCCATCACTGAGTGCCGCCCTCAGGCCGGGCCATGGGAGATGTTGGTGACCCTGAGGGGTTTGTGGCCCTGTGGGGGCCCAAGACCTGCAGGCGAGACAGTAGTTGGGGAATGTAGCTCTGTATCGCTGTAGAACTTGGCCCTGCTCCCCCTTATATGGCCTGGCTTGTGCAAATGGTTTTGCCTGGTCTGTGGAGTGGGGAAGAGTGCCGGGAACAGTCCCGAGACACCTGCTGGTGTCTCCTGTGTGCCAGGCACCCTGCCGAAGCTGTGTCTGTGCTCACCCTGAGCCCTCCCCGTAGCCCCTGAGCCCCATCGTGGAAGGAGACAGGCACAGCGGGGGTGGCTCACACTGGCAGGTTTCAGGTTCTCGGAGTCTGATTTCAGACTCTGCTAAGTCCTGTCACCTCCAGCGCCGTGACAGGTGTAATCACCTCACCTCTCTGCCTCATGAGATGGTGGTGGTGAGGGCGTGTGACCTGCTCTTTGATCCCCTTGCTGGGTGTATGTATGGAATTCCCATCGTACCAGGCTCTGATCTAGACGCTGAGGGTTCAGTTGTGAATAGAGGTCCCTGCTGTCCGTGCACCCTGCTGTCCCGTGCACCCTGCTGTCCCGTGCACCCTGCTGTCCGTGCACCCTGCTGTCCGTGCACCCTGCTGTCCCGTGCACCCTGCTGTCCCTGCACCCTGCTGTCCGTGCAGCTGTTAGAGGACCTGCATGCCGTATTGAGTCGGGGCAGGGGCCGCATTCCTGGGTGTACTGTTCGTTCAGGGTGGTCAAGGTCAAGAGGTGGCAGTGAGCAGGTGAGTGAGCGAGGTGGTGGGGCCAGGGCTGAGTGGCAGGCCTTGGAGGGCTGCCTGGGTCTTGGAACGACCGCTTATTTTGAGCCAGATGGGAGGGAAGCAATACTGAGAGGCCTCCAGGGTGGTCACGCCTGGCAGATGGAAATGACCCCACATAGTGAGGTTGGGGGTGGGTGCGGAGGCACAGCAGGTACTTCCCCTGGCCCTGGCTTCCCTGCTGAGCCCTGCAGGGCAGGATGTGGATCAGCAGGAGGGCAGAGAGGGTGCTGTGGACAGGAGGGCTTGCCGGGAGCTGGCAGGGTTGGTCTTGCCAAAGCGATGCCACAGCCAGGTTTGTCAGGACCAAGGCTGGCTCTGCAGGGCCAGATCGGGCGTGGGGGCCTTCTTATGTCATGGAAGCAGCTCGGCTTTCCCCTGGAGTTGGTGGCCTTTTGAAGGAGAAAACAGGACTGTGGTGGTGGCATTTTTGAGGTGATTGTGGCTGCAGTTGGGAAAATGAATGAGGTCTCCCGCAATAATCTGGTGAAAGATGGTGATCTGATTTAAAGTAGTAGCAGGGGATGGAGAGAAGTTGATGGATTTGAGGGAGACTTGTGCCTGGGAAGTGTCCAGACTTTGGTGATGGGTGTGGGTTTGTGGGGAGGGGAGGAGAAGGCCTATGAGCTGCTTAGTGGCAGCTCTGATGGTGGGGATGGCAGGTGAGATGCAGGGGTGATGAGCACCTTGTCGGGGGTGAGCGGGGGGTGGGGGGCAGCTAGCTGGCTTTGCGGTTTCTGAGACACCCAGTAGAGATGTCAAGGAAAAATTAGCTGGACAGGTCTGTGTTCCCAGCATGAGGGCTGATGGACACTCAGGTGTCTGTCGAGGCCCTGCTTGGGATGTCGGAGTGGTTTGCCCAGGGAGAGCAGGGTTGGGGAGGGCGGCTGGAGAGGTGGAAGGAGCATCTTAGAAAAGGGGCATGGGGAAGGCCAACGGCATCTCCTCTCACTGCAGCTCCTGCCCACTGCCCTCCAGAGTCCCCTTCCCTTGAGCTGGTATGTCAGGGCTGCTCAGGGCTGCCCTCTGGTGCTGGGATGGAGCTTGGCTCAAGCAGGGGCTGAGGAAACATTTGTGGGAAGAAGGAATGGAGAGACCCTGGCCTTTGGGATCAGCTGACCTGTTTTGCATATTAAATTTATTGCATCGGCGGCCCGGCGAGGTGGCTCACGCCTGTAATCCCAGCACTTTGGGAGGCCGAGACGGGCGGATCATGAGGTCAGGAGTTGGAGACCAGCCTGGCCAATGTGGTGAAACCCCATCTCTACTAAAAAATACAAAAATTAGCCAGGCATGGTGGCGGTGCGTGCCTGTAATCCCAGCTACTCAGGAGTCTGAGGCAGGAGAATTACTTGAACCCGGGAGGCGGAGGTTGCAGTGAGCCAAGATTACGCCACTGCACTCCAGCCTGGGTGACAGAGCAAGACATGGTCTCAGAAAAAAAAAAAAAAAATTACTGCATTGTATTGTTTTATTCTTAAATTTTTTGTTACATGTCTTTTCAAATATACTTAAAAGTAGGGACTATGATAGTGATACGTTTTTATCATAGTATATGTGCTAATATTTTGGTGTTCCTTCATCTGGCTTCAAGTTACCAATATTTTGTCATTCTTAATTTTCATATTCAGCTTATTTCTCCCCCCTCCTTTTTCTTTGCTGGATTATTTTAAGGCTTATCAGGTTTATTTCACCTGAGATCCTTAAGTATATTTCTATTATTTCTCAATTAACATTTTGGGTCAGATAACTTCTCTGTGGGGGCCTTTGCTGTGCGTTGTAGGATATTGAGATGTATCCCCAGCCTCCACCCACCGGATGCAAGAGCACTACTCCCTGCTGAGACACCCAAAAGCATCTCCAAAGATTGCTCAGTGTTCCCTGGGGACACCCCCCCTCCTCCAGTTGACAACCACTGCTCTAACCAGATAACCTTAAAAAATTGTTTTGTTTTTTTAACAAAACCACAATAGCATGATTAGATTAGCGAAATTCCTTAGTGCCTATTCCATGTTCAAATTTTTCTATCTCAAGAATTTTTTTTTTTTTTTTTGAGACAGAGTCTCGCTGTTGCCCAGGCTGGAGTGCAGTGTGCCCGCCACCACACCTGGTTAATTTTTTTTGTATTTTTAATAGAGACAGGGTTTCACCGTGTTAGCCAGGATGGTCTCGATCTCCTGACTTTGTGAGCCGCCCGTCTTGGCCTCCCAAAGTACTGGGATTACAGGCGTGAGCCACCGCGCCCGGCCAATAATTTTTTTTTTTTTGAGACGGAGCCTCACTCTGTCACCCAGGCTGGAGTGCAGTGGCGCAATCTCGGCTCACTGCATCCTTCACCTCCCGAGTTAAAGAAGAGTAGCTGGGACAGGCACCCGCCATCATGTCTGGCTAATTTTTGTATTTTTGGTAGAGATGGGGTTTCGCTATGTTGGCCATGCTGGTCTTGAACTCCTGACCTCAGGTGATCCATCTGCCTCAGCCTCCCAAAGTACTGGGATTACAGGCGTGAGCCACTGTGCCCAGCCGAGGATATTTTTTATAGTTTGTTTCAGTAAGGATCCATATCAGGTCCCTGCCTTGAATTTGGTTACAAAGTTTGTGTAATTTATCCTTTGTACCTCACTCCCTCTTTTTTTTTTTTGCAAGCTCTTTTATTTGTAGAAGAAATAAGTTCATCTGCTATATAGAATTTTCAGTGTTCGTGTAGGCTCATTGTATCCTTCCCTCCCTCCATTTTCCTGTAAATTGGTTTAAGCAAGGTTAGAAGCTCGAATAGATCAAGGTTCAAGTTTTTAAATTTTATTCAACCTGGGTTTGAATCCTAATTTCTGAGCTTCCCTTAGTTCACTTATTGTTGGGAGAACATGGCTGTTGGGGTGGTTCTGGGAGCGCCCACCATGGTGGCTCGTGTGGAGTAGACACTCAGCACGAGGGACCCCTCCCCCGCGGTGAGCTCGTCTAGGCCTCCCGCCTGCGCTCTATGGCTCTGCTGAGTTTCTGGCATGTCTCTATTCTTTCTCCCTCTCCATGCCTATGGTGTGTTTATGCTCTTGTTTTTTGATCCTGGAGAATATTTGGGTGAACTCCACCAAACCTGCTTACTAAGGGTCCCTTTCTGACACCTGTGGCGAAGCCCCCTCCTCCCTGTCCCTTCCTGCCTTCAGTGCTGGGGTTGGGTGGACGCTGACTGGCTGTTGGGCGTGAGCCTTGTTCACAAACCTGCCTCTCCTTTCCCCACAGATCTTTGTGGAGTTCACCTCTGTGTTTGACTGCCAGAAAGCCATGCAGGGCCTGACGGGCCGCAAGTTCGCCAACAGAGTGGTTGTCACAAAATACTGTGACCCCGACTCTTATCACCGCCGGGACTTCTGGTAGAGGCGGCTGGGGGAGGGTGGGGGCAGGGCTGGCTGGGGGCTTCTCCCCACTCCCGCCCCCCCCTTATCCCCCTCTGAAGACGATGGGCAGAGGAGTGACAGCCGCAGACACACGACAGCCGGCAGCAACTGGAATGGCAGCAATTAAGGGTGGGGGGCGGGGGTTGGGGGGTTGGGGGGTTAGGGCAGGGAGGGGACTGGGGAAGTGCGCACACAGCCCACACAGACAACACGCACCCACACAGACACAGAGGGAAGGGGTTGGGATGGGGACAGGGTGCACAGCAGGGCGGGGTAGGACCCCAGCCCCTCCCAAAACAGCCTCTCCTTCTCCCATAGACCCCTTTCTTCTCCCCTTCCCCACGGTAGGAACATAGCGTGTTTATATTTTATGGCCAAACTATTTTGAATTTTGTTGTCCGGCCCTCAGTGCCCTGCCCTCTCCCTTACCAGGACCACAGCTCTGTTCCTTCGGCCTCTGGTCCTCTCTGGTCCCCTCCTGGGTTTCTTACGTAGTTGATTTTTCCTCTTTAGTCTCCCCCGACCTGCGCCCAGCCCCGTGGCCCCTGCCCCTCTCCTACTCTCTGTGGCAGTTTCATATTTGCTAAGACGAATTTGCTCATTAAACATTTTGTTGTATTTTACTTTATGGAGCGGCTGTGTGTCCAGTATGTCCGACCCTCTTCCTCGGTTCTGGGCTCGGGTGGGGGTTCCCTTGGCAAACTGCGGGCCCCTGGCTGGGACGCCCCTGCTGCCGGCGCCGGCAGCCTCGAGGCCTTCCCTGCTTGCGCGGTGCCCTTCTCGGGGTCGGCACAGGCACAGCCCCGGGGGACGTGAGGTTCCCGAGTGCTCTCCCACCCCGCCGACAGGAGGGATGGTGGCCGAGCGGGCCGGGGCGGGCGTGGCGTGGGTGTGCCAGGAGCTCCGCGGTTGCCGCCAAGCGAGCTGGAGCTGACTCTCGGCGTTCCGTGAGCACCGCGCGGATCCCCCGCTGCAGCGGGCGGAAGTGACGTAGAGGCGCCTAGCAACGGGGCCCAGCGCGCCGGAAGTGATGCCTTCCAGGTTGGCTTGGCTGCGGAAGCGACTCCTGCCAGGGCGGGGTGCGGCACGGGAGGGCGGGGAGCGCGGCAATTTCCGCTTCCGGTCCGTCGCCTCCTTCTGTTGCTTCCCGTCTCCTCGGCGGCTCCCCTCCCCCGCCCGGCTCTCCGCGCCCCTTCTGGGCGGCGGGGCGGCGGAGCCGTCGGCGTGCGGCCCTCCTTGCGTTCGTGCGTGCGCCCGTGGCCCGGCGCACGTCCCGCGACACCGAGGCCGAGCGGGGCAGGGGGCTGACCGCCATGACCCCCCAGAGCCCGGCGTGAGGGGGCCGAGGTGAGCGCGGGGCGGAGCGCGGGGGACGCTGGCCCGCCTGCTCCGGGTGTTCGGGCCTGGGCCGCGGCGCGCGCGGGCTCGCGTCTGGCCAGTTCTGGGTGTCTCTGGCGGCCTTTGTGTCTCTGCTCCTGTGTCGGCCTTGACTGCCCCCGTGTCGGTTGTCTGTGTCTGTCTCTCTCGTGTCTGTGTGTCTGTCAGCGTCTGTTTCCTGTGGGCCTCTGCCTGTGCCTGTTTCAGTGAACTTAGAAAAGGGTTTGGAGATAGGAGTGTGTTTGTGTGTCTGTCCCGGGTCTCTCTCTCCTCTGTCTGTCGTGTCTGTGTCTGTCAGGATTTGTTCGTGTCTCGTTGAGTTTCCGAGTCTTCTTTTCCCTAGGTGTCTCTAGCCCTTCCCTGCGGGCTTTTCTGCCTATGGTGCAAATCTTACCCCCGCCCCGTCTTCGCATCTGAGTTTTGCCCCCATACCTATCACCTCCAATCCTGAAGTTTCTTTCCAGGAGTCTGTTAACTTGATCTAGAATCTGCCCCTTTTCCCCAGTTTTCTGAGTCTCTGGTGTGATGGTGAAGAGCCCCAGCCTTGGATTCAGAAGCCCGGCTGCCTGCTAAGCTGTGTAATTGCCAGGTGATAGTCTCTGTGTCAAAACCTCAGTTTCCTAGTCGTAGGAAATCCATAGTTCGTAGGCATTCGTAGTTCCTACATCATAGGGTCCTTGTGCATGTAAGTTGAGGTGATGCTTGTAAAGTGCCTGACGGTATCTGACACATAGCAAGTGTGTAATTACTGGGAGCTCTGGTTTTTATTATTACAGTGCTTAGAGATTTTTACACAGTAAGTGTTAGATATCGGTCGGTTATTGGAGTACTCCTTGGAGAACTTTGCCATATCCTTTGTATTCTTTTTAATGTAAGAATTCTCTTTGAATCAATTTAATTTGAAATACAGTCTCATTCTAAGCAGTATCTGAGAAATCTCAGCTTTGATGTGCTAGTTGGGTAATTTTTTCTAATGCACGCCAAATAAGTACAGAGTATTAAGATAGTGCCTTTTCTGCCGCCACCCTTTTGGAAATGTTCTCTGTTTTTTCTCTGATAATAATAGCAGCCAGTGTTATTGAGCGCCTACTATCTGTGGGGCACAGAGCCAAGCACTGCATGTACCCATCTTATTTAATCAACAGGCCTACCAGGTAGGAATTCTTTCATTTCAGAGTTGAGCAAACTGTGTCTCAAGGAGGTGTGCGCTGCAGGTAGCTGATGTGGCCAGGATTTGAACCCACATTTTATATTCTTTGCCATTAGATTCCATTTTTCTTATCTCTTATTTCTCAGCGCCAGGTCTCTTTTTGTTTCTGGGCCTCTTTCTTCCTTGGCCTCCTGCCTCCCTGTCTTCCCATGTTCTTGTATCTGCTGCTGCCTGTGTTTTTCTCATTGTGTCTCTGCCTAGCTCCCTCTGCCCAGGTTTCTATGTGTCTCTTTCTGTCAGAACTGTCTTCTATTTCTTCTCAGTCCCCTTCTCTGCATTTGTTACATCATCTCTTCATCTTAATGTATTAGGCTGGGGCTGTTTTGGGACTCCAGAGAGTTACTTTTTAACTAGCTACATCTGTCTTCAGGTGCCTGGCTTTCTGGCCTGAGGTGGAAGCAGAGGCCAGCCTCTCTCCGTCATCCCTATCTCCCCTGGGCTTACATCATGGCGGGGCTTTGAAAATCTCCCTCTGTGGCTTCTTGGAGCCGCATAGATGGGTGATCAGAGCTGGCTCTGGAACCAGGCTGCTCCAGGAGTAAGGTGTGTGTCCCTGGGCAAGGGGCTGAACCTCTGTGTCTCAGTTTCCACCCTGTGAGGTGGCTATGAATCATGGGGTTGTTTCAAGGATTAACTGAGTTAATACATGTAAAGCACTTAAAACAGTGCCTGGCATGGGATAAGAGCAGTGCGAGTGTCTGCTGGTGTCATCATCATTTGCTTGACTCTCTTGTTTCTCGTCACCAGTCTCGGGATGGGTTAATTTAATTTAGGTTAATTTAAAAGTATGAGTTTTGGAGTTCAGGTGGGCCTCGGGTTGAGTCTGCCCTGCCATTCCTGGTGTGTGACCTTGGTTGAATTATTTAACTTCCAGGAGCCCAGTCTTTGCATGCAGTGTTGAAAAAGGTAATGTCCCTCTTGTGCTGAGCGAGCACCTGGCACACAGCAGGGACCCAGGCAGTGGGGCTGTTAGGTTCCTTATCTCTCCTGAGCCTTGGGCTTCCGCTATCCTTGGGACGTCTGGTCTTCTGGCTTCCCCGGTTCTTCCTGCCGCCCTGGGTTGGTTCCCTGCTCCTGCCTCTGTCTTTAATCCCTTCATCAGCCTTCTTTCCCATGTGTCCTTGTTTCTGCTGTGGATTCCTGCCCCCTCTGCCCTTGTTCCAGAGGTCTTTCCTGCCCTCCCTCTCCACTTCCTCCTTGCATGGTTTACTGAATGGTTTTTCTGGGCCAGCTTCTTTGCTGGGAAAAGCCACATGCAGACAGACATGTTCTCTGCCCCCATGGGGCCTGTGGGTTGACCTTAGCTACAGAATCAGACGAGAATATAAAATCATGAGGGAGACTGAGTTTACTGATGAGGCCCCAGGGATAGGTGACTGTGATGTTTGGGTGTGCACCTGGGAAGTGTAAGCAGAGCCCTTGGGGTGAGTGGATATCCCTGGATGAGGAAGAAGGAAGAGCGCATGGGCAGGACGGAGGGCCTCCTGATGCGCTGCCGGTGTTTACAGGGCGTCAGTTCTCTAGATGACCGCATGGAGCCCCATTTGACAGAAGAGAAAGCTGAGGTGCAAAAGATCCAGCCCGCCCAGGGTGGCCTTGCCAGGAAGTGCTGAGCCAGGTTGTGGGGCTGCGATCTGCCACTGCATATACTCTGCCTCACTGAGCAGGGGCCCCAGCAGGAAGGAGGCAGCCTGTTTGAGGAACTGAAACATGGATGGGGTTACTTTGAGACCTAGAGGTTAACAAGGGACAGAGCCTTCTGGGCCACAGTTAGGAACTCATCTTTGACCCTGAGGGCTCTGGGCAGGCCATGTCCCATTTGTGTTTCCAGAGGTCCTCTTCCCCTCGCAGATGCGGTGACCTGCCAGCACCTGCCGCAGCCTTCGTCCGGGAGTCGCCCCATCTCTCCACGCATCGGGGCCCTGTGCCCCTTGCTGCTGCAGCCGGGCACCATGTCGACCTCGTCCTTGAGGCGCCAGATGAAGAACATCGTCCACAACTACTCAGAGGCGGAGATCAAGGTTCGAGAGGCCACGAGCAATGACCCCTGGGGCCCATCCAGCTCCCTCATGTCAGAGATTGCCGACCTCACCTACAACGTTGTCGCCTTCTCGGAGATCATGAGCATGATCTGGAAGCGGCTCAATGACCATGGCAAGAACTGGCGTCACGTTTACAAGGTCAGCATCCTGCTCTCCTCCCCGGGCAGGTGCAGGGGCTCAGGTGGGAGGACAGGAGCCCGTGTTGTGCACCCTGCCTGGGATGGCATCCCGGTTCTCAAGAGGAACTGGAGAAGAGTAAAATCTCTCTTTTTGTTTAATGAAGGCAACGAATATAAGGCTAAGAAGTTTGGAGCCTTGTGGTTAAAATCTGTTTTTGAGTGAGTGGTGCGTACGTAAGATTCATGTGCTGAGGAGGCCTGAGAGGGCCCACGGTGCCCATCTCTTCTGTGTGCCCAGACACCCAGTTCCTTTCCTCACAGCAGCCAAGTTTCCGCTCTGGGCCCCATCTATGAATGCCTCTCAGGCAGGTGTGTGCTCCCCGTGGCACAGGCGATGCCACGCTGGGGATGAACGCTGTCGTGCCTGTGAGCAGGACTCAGCGACTGGGTTTTCAGTTTGCTGCTCTTGGGGTCCAGGGGCCTTGGCATCCCCACCTTTGGTCTTTGGTTACTGTGTTCCTCGTGTTACGGCAAAGTGGCCAAGGACATGGGCTGGGGCCGGGTTATACTCCCAGTGGCGGGATCTCAGGCTCGTCCCTGAATCTCCCTCTGTGAGGGCCCATGGAGCCGATTCACGTCTGACTTGGGGCAGGGGCTGGTGAGTGTTAGACTCCTGCTGTTGCGGTCCCGTCGGCAAGCATCTGCAGAAGGCCCGCTCTGGGTGTCTTGGTGCACCAGACCAACAAGGCCCCACCCTCATGCGCTTAGACCTGGGCCTGCTCTGGCGGAGGTCCCTGTCCTTGCTGATCTTTGAGACTTCTGCCTAGGTGAGGGTGGTTCCCTCCACTCACAGATGAGGAGGCTGAGGCCTGGAGCGTTGCAGCACTTACACATGGGAGCAGGGGTTGAGGCTCGTTTCCTGTGACTCGTTTTCATACCCATCCCGACACACCAGGATTGGGTTGAGTCATAGATTGAATCAGTTATTGGTCATTTATTGTGAAGGGCTGGGTGGCGTTTGTTTAGTTGAGAATCTTGGAAAACCCTGGAGGTGCAGGTGAGCCTCTCTGGAGGCAACGAGGAGGGATGGGGCTGGAGGGGTGGGTGTGCAGAGGGGATGAATCCAGAGGGGCCCCAGACGCACATCCTTCCTGGTCAGTGGCTGGGGTGATGCTGCTGGGGGCAGACACAGAGTGGCCTGTGGGCAGGGCTGGCAGGTGCCAAGGCCTGAGAGTCTGCTGGGGAGCATGTGGTGCTGGCAGCCAGGGTGGACGGCAGGACAGGGCAGTGCAGGAGAGGGGACGTGGCCTCCAGTGCCAGGCGGGGCTTGGGCTGCTTTACTGAGGTGTAATTTGCACACAGTGAAACCCAGCCTTTCGAGATAGAGTTCTCTGGATTCTGACAGATGCACATATTTCATAACTGTCATCACAGTCAAGGCATAGAAGGTTTTTGTCACCCCCAAGACCTCCCCTATGGTTTTTGCAGCCCCTCTGGGACTCTCCCCAGGCCTGGCTGTTCCTGCTGTATCCGCCATCCCTGCAGCATCTCTTGATTCTTGGGACTCTCCTTTCTATGATCCCCACAGCAGAGCCTGTAGGATCCCCAGCCCATGTGGCTGAGGACACGGGGTTCCCGCTCCACCCTGAACCACTGGTTCCTCATGCTGGGGTGGGGTTCAGCCTCAGTTCCCCGGGGGAGGGTTGATGGCGTCTGGAAACCTGCTTTGGTTGCTGCTTGTGCTGCCTGCTGGACACTGTCCTGAGAGCAGCTTTGTGAGGTCAGCACGTGTCACTGTTGTCCCTGCTGCGGCATGCGCCGATAGCTGAGCATAGGCACAGGGCAGGGGTCCAGGAGGGGGTCCCTGGGTCCACGTCTAGCCAGCGCCTCCCTTCCTGGCTGACCACTTCTATCCCGCAGTCCCCTTCTGGAAGTACGGGTGATGAGGACAACCCCACAGGCCCAGAGGCCCTGAGCCACTGTGAAGCTGCTACACCCCCTTTGGCCCTCTCCGGAGCCCTCTGTGCTGACCTGTTCTGGCATGAGGGCGAGTCCTCTTGCTTCTCACCATCCCTTCGCCACATGGTCTCATCTTGTCACTTCAGCCCCAGGTGGTGGGTTGTGCAGGAGCAGTCTTTCCACTTTGATGGATGGGGAAACTGAGGCCCAGAGACGGGGGAGGTGGCCTGCCGAGGCTCGTGGGGGAGCTGGGGCTTGGGCCCATCTGTTCAGAGCCCAGGCTGTCCCACCCTGTGGCCCTGCTGGCTGGCACTTTGTGGGCCTTATTGTCCCCGTGGAGAAGGAGGGTGAGCTGTGGGGGCCTTGCAGGCCTGGCTCTGCACGGCCTCCCTGCATGGCCTTGGGGGTGAGTATTGGTGAGTAAGGGCCGGCGTTTATTTGGTACCTTGTACGTGTAGCACACACAGGTTCTCATGAAATCCACGGTTACCCTGTAAAGGAAGTTCTTTTTCTCCTTTTCCTCTGTTTTCCAGATGAGGGAACTGAGACATAAAGGAGCTCAGCTCTACCTCGCAGGAGGTGGTAGAGCCAAGAGGAGCCCCGAGCCCACCCTCTGGGCCCTGCACTGCCACCTCACTTCTGAGGAATGCAGGGTCTCAGTCTTGGCTTTAAACCAGGGGTCAGCAAAGTACAGCCCACTGGTGAAATCCCACTCACAGCCTGTGTTTGTAAATAAAGTTTTATTGGAACACAGCCAGGCCCATTCATCTGTGGCTGTGAAGTAGTTGAGACAGAGAGTATATGGCCTGAAAAACTGAAATGTTTTTCATCTGGCTCCTTACAGAAATGTTTGCTGATCCCTGTTTTAAACTTTATTTCTGCATTGCAGGATGTCCTTGATAAAGCTGTCTTTAACATTAAGAAGGACTATCATTTTATGCAGTTGCCCACTGCTTTTTGGTTGTTTTCAGAAAAGCAAAGGAGAAATAATGACTTATTTTGCAAACTTTTTTTTTTTTTAACTTTTTTAGAGACAAAGTGTTGCTCTGTAGCCCAGGCTGGAATCCAGCAGTACAGTCATAGCTCACTGAGCCTTGACCTCCTGGGCTCCAAGCATGGTTGAGGAATAGCTGGGACCACAGGCACACACCACCATGCCCGGCTAATTTTAAGATATTTTAAATTTTTTTGTAGAGATGGCAGTCTCACTGTGTTGCCCAGGCTGGTCTTGAACTCCTGGGCTCAAGCGATCCTCTTGCCTTGGCTTCCCAAAGGGCTGGGATTATAGTCATGAGCCACTACACCTGGCCCACTTGCTCACTTCTAAAATAAGGTTTTAAATTTTTCATTAAGAAGTTGTATACTAAGCACATCATGAATGTATAACACAGCTGTTACGCATGTGGACACCTGTGTAGCCTTCACCTAGAGGGAGGTAGAGGATGCATTCAGCCTTCCAGGTTTCCTCAGGAGACCTGTCTCCCACAGCACCGTGTCTGATTTCTGTCTGCCAAGACTGTTCTTGAGCTTTATATATGTGGAGTCACACGCGTGGTCTTTTGTGTCTGGCTTCTTTTGCTCACCATCACCATCAGGTCAGCAAGGTTGACCGTGCTGTTGCATAAAGCAGTTGTTCATTTATTTTGAGAAAGTCTCACTGTTGCCCAGGCTGGAGTGCGTTGACATGTTCTCGGCTCACTGTAGCCTCTGCCTCCCGGGCTTAAGCAATCCTCCTGCCACAGCCTCCCAAGTAGCAGGGATGACACGCATGTGCCACCACGCCTAGCTAATTTTTTGTTATTTTATTTATTTATTTTTTTAGAGCTGGGGTTTTGCCATGTCACCCACGATGGTCTTGAACTCCTGGACTCAAGCGATCCACCGACTTTAGCCTCTCAAAGCACTGGGGTTACAGGATTTTGCCACTGCACCCGATTTTATATATTTATTTAATTATTGTTTCTTATTTATTTATTTATGAGACGGAGTCTCGCTGTGTTGCCCAGGCTGGAGTGCAGTGGCACCACCTCGGCTCACTGCAACTTCTGCCTCCCAGGTTCAAGCAATTCTCCTGCCTTAGCCTCCCGAGTAGCTGGGATTACAGGTACTTGCCACCACGCCTGGCTAATTTTTGTATTTTTAGTAGAGATGGGGTTTCACCATATTGGCCAGGCTGGTCTCGAACTTCTGACCTCGTGATCCGCCCGCCTTGGCCTCCCAAAGTGCTGGGATTACAGGTGTGAGCCACCGCGCCCAGCCTGTTTTTTGTTTTTTCTTGAAATGGAGTTTCGCTCTTGTTGCCCAAGCTGGAGTGCAGTGGTGCTATCTTGGCTCACTGCAACCTCTGCCTCCCAAGATCAAGCGATTCTCCTGCCTCAGCCTCCTGAGTAGCTGGGATTACAGGCGCATGCCACAATGCCTGGCTAATTTTTTGTATTTTTAGTAGAGATGGTGTTTCACCATGTTGGCCAGGCTGGTCTCAAACTCCTGACCTTGTGATCTGCCCGCCTTGGCCTCTCAAAATGGTAAGATTATAGGTGGGAGCCACCATGCCCGGCCTTATTTATTTATTTTTAAATGGAGTCTCACTCTGTCTCCCAGGCTGGAGTACAGTGGCGTGCTCTTGGCTCACTATCACCTCTGCCTCCCTGATCCACGGGATCCTCCCACCTCAGCCTCCTGAGTAGCTGGGATTACAGGTGTGCACCGCCACACCTGGCCAGTTGTTTTGTGTTTTTAGTAGAAACAGGTTTCATCATGTTGGCCAGGCTGGTCTCGAACCCCTGACCTCGGGTGGTCCACCTGCCTCAGCCTCCCATAGTGCCGGGATTATAGGCGTGAGCCACCACACCTGGCCTCATTTCTCTTTTATTTCAGTGTATGTGGTAGTCCCGCTGTGTGAGCGTGCCATAGTTGATGTATGCATTTCACTGTGCGTGGGTATTCGCACTATTTCCTGCTTCACAATCTTTTTAGCTGCGATACCAAAGTCCAGAGAGCTCTGGAAACGAAAGTGTTTCATGATCCGTTCGGCACAAAGTCTGACCCAGACTGAAGTGAGGTCGTTCACATGGTGTCTGTTGGTCCCACAGTAGTGTGGCTGTTGGCACGACTCTGCCCAGCGCGTTCTCTTATGTGTTGTATGTGCGTTATTTTCCTGGTCTGAACTCAGGAAAATTCTGAATTCCAAAACACAAGGGCCCCAGGAGTTGTGGACCTGGGACTGCCTCTTGGCTTGGGGTGTGATCAGGCATAGCAATGGCTTACCTGCTTTCCTTTCTTTCGTGTAAATACCTTGAGGGCCGGTTAAAGACTAATCTCTGATTACACTGTAAATACTGTTAACACACCTTTGAAAGGCCTTGCCAGAGCTAGGTCCAGCTGCCTCAGAGGGTGAGGAGATATGAATGGCCCTGGCATCTTTCCTGGCAGATTTCTCCTTGGTTCAGACGGAGCTTAGCTGTGATAGCTGACTCTTCCCCTAGGAGCCCTGGGTGGGTTTCTGTGGCTCTGTGAAGGCCCTGGAATCCCCTGCAGAATCAAAGTTGTGCCTTTTTTTGAGGTCAGTGACCAAGACACCCCCTGCAGAGCCTTAAGGGGGCCATGACTCCTCAAGCCCAGGACTTGAGCCTGAGCTAGGGAGAGCCTCAGAGACCTTGGTCCCCCCGCCCCCACTATTAATTTCAACTTGTTGAAAGGGAGTTTGTTTTCGTATTATAAAATACAAACATACCAAAGGGTGCAGATTGAACGATAATGTTCCCTCCGCCCTGTCCTTTTGCTCCTGGTGGTGTGGAACCTGGGTGCCCCTCCCAAGAGAGCCCGGGCCTACACAGGCCCTTGCGTGGATCTCTTCCCTTCTTGCAGAGGTGATAAACTACTGCTCCAGGCTGTTAGTACCAGCGTGAGGTTTTACAGTCAGAAATACACATTTCAAACTAGTACTAAGACCCCCTTCATTGTGATTTAACTAATGTGGTTTTCTTGGCCATGTTACTTTAGATTTTAGTTGTAAAGAAATAGACAGGGCTCCAGGATGCCAGGCGATGCCCATGGCGGCTGTGGTGCCTGTAGCTGCCATTTCCTCTTTTATTTGGATTGAGATGGAGCTCCTACACTGTGCAGCCCCCTTCATATCGCACAGTTCAGTGGCCTTCGGCCCATTCACAGTGCTGGGCGACCACCTCTGTCCAGCTCCAGAACGTCTTCATTGCCCCAGAAGGAAAACCCATAGCCTTCAGGTGGTCCCTCTCCATCCCTCCCTCCACCCCTGGCAACCCACAATCCACTCCGTCTCTCTGGATTTGCCCATTCTGGATGATTCACGTCGATGGAACCGTAGGCTGTGTGGCGTTCTGTGCTGGCGTCTGTCGCTGAGCGCAGTACCTCCGCGGCTGGTCCCCGTCACAGCGTGGGTCTGTGTTCATTCCTTTGCATGGCCGTGTCGTATTCTGTGGGGACAGATGTGTGTCCACCCACTGGCGACAGGTGGGTTGTGGGCCTTGCGCCCAGTCGGCCGCCCCAGAGCCCGCGTCGCAGGCAGTCTCTGGCCCGCCTTGTGCCCGGCGTGCTGACCGGGCATCCCCGTGCCCGCTCGCAGGCCATGACGCTGATGGAGTACCTCATCAAGACCGGCTCGGAGCGCGTGTCGCAGCAGTGCAAGGAGAACATGTACGCCGTGCAGACGCTGAAGGACTTCCAGTACGTGGACCGCGACGGCAAGGACCAGGGCGTGAACGTGCGTGAGAAAGCTAAGCAGCTGGTGGCCCTGCTGCGCGACGAGGACCGGCTGCGGGAAGAGCGGGCGCACGCGCTCAAGACCAAGGAAAAGCTGGCACAGACCGCCACGGGTGAGTCCCTCCCTGCGGCCCCTGACGGCCTAGAGTCTGTCCTCCGCCTACTGCGGCTCCCGGCACCCGGCCGCCCACTGCTTTCTCTCCCAGCCAGGAGGGACCGCGGCATCCCCCTTTGCTTCTCCTCACCTGGGCCCCTTGCTCTGGTCTCACTTGGGCCCTTTTTTTCCCTTAGCACCTCCCATGCAGCAGCTCTGGGACCCTTCCTGCCTCTTGCCTCGTGCCCCAGGGCAGGCCTAGAATTGGGAACTTTTATTCCGCTCCCCCATAGGCTCAGGGCCTGAGGGTGATCAGTGCTGGGGACAGGGCTCTGAGGGGACACGCACAGTGACCCCCGAGGGTGCTGTCCTTCTCTCTGCGCTGAGATGAGGGGAACATCGGAGAGGCAGAGGGGGGCCTGGAAGAGGCACAGAAGGAAGGCCAGAGCCAGGGCCTGCAGGTTGCACCAGGCATCTGGGCCTGTGTTAGGAGCCTTGACAGTGCCTTCTGGAGGTGGAGGACTCAGTCTGGTGGGTGGTGACCAGCACCGAAAACAAAACTTGAAATAGTGCATCCCACATCGTCAAGCCAAGATCTGTCCCACGAAACATTTCCAGTTATGTGATGGGTGTGTGGGTCTCGGACTGTTCCAGGAAGTGTGGTCTGTGTTGGTCGGGGGCTCACAGCCGTGAAGAGGCTAGTCCGGCTGCTCAGGACTGGGAGGGAGGCTGGAGAATGTCTGCCAGGCTCTTCTGCTCTCCAGGAAGAGTGGAGGTGCCTCAGTTAGTGGGGATACGTGGGATGGGGAGGGGCTGCTAGAGCACTGCCCTGGAGGTGGAGGTGGGTCAGCCAGGCCGGTGCAGACAGGAGGAAGGGCCTGTGGCCCTCGTGGGGTCCGGCTCGAGGGACTGGACTTGTTTGGGGAAGTCTAGGCCTTCTGTTTGGACGGGTCTCATTTGGGATCACCTTTCAGCACCCACGGGGAGACATGGGTGTGACGGGGTGTGTGCGACCCTGCCTGGGACTCCAGAGTAGGGACCCACGAGCCAGTAGATGGGCGTGAACGCAGAGAGAGAGTGAAGTGGAGGGAAGGAAGCCGGTGTGGCGTGGGAGTGCTCAGAGCCAGGGACAACAGGAGGGAGTGTAGGCGGCAGAGAGGGGCTGGTCAGCTCGAGGCAGGCAGGCAGGCAGGTGGGTGGCGGGGTTGGGGTGGACGGAGGAGGGACATTGGCAGTAGCTCGGAGGAGAGTGGGAGCCTCAGGTAAGAGGCCTGAGGGTGGGACATCCTGGCTCGGGGGTCGTCAGACTTTGTGCAAGGCCAGAGCTAATGTCCTCTGCGTTGCTGGCCACGCCTTCCCATCCTAGCTGCCTGGCCCCGTCCGCTGGCGGTTGCTGGGAAGCAGCTGCACCCCTCCGACACTCACCAAGGTCTCCGAAATTTGAATTTTATGTAGTTTTCACGTGTCTTTTTTAAGACTTTTAAGTTGTTATTTAATTTTTTAAGGGTACTCTGAATTTTCGCCCATCTTGGTGCATTCTTTTCATTTCTTCCAACCATTGAAAAATGTAAAGGCCTTTCTTAGACCTTCTCAGGCCAGCTGTGGCTGCCACTGTGGTGTGCTGGCCCCTGTCTTGGAGTGAGTTGTGTGGAGGGCTGTGGCTGGGGAGGAGGATGGGGGCAGCTAGGGAGTGAGCCCTGAGACCCTCAGTGGGCAGGGAAGGGCCTGTGGTCCCCGGGCAGCACCGAGGCTGGGTGCTCTGGTGATGGGAAGGCCCGGGTGTTGCTGGCTGGGTGCCAGTATTACCTGTGATGTGGGAGGTGGGGCCCTCAGGGCTGCTGGGCATTGGATTTAGCCACCACCAGGCTGGGGGGTTAGGGGCATGTGCAAGGTAGAGGTTGGGCAATGGGGTGTAGATTCCCAGCACTCACCTCTGAGAGTCCCTAGAGCTTAGGAGGAAGTCACAGGGGCAGGGAAGAGCAGGAGGGGCCACAGGGGTGTGGTCCTCCCTGTGCGCTGGCCTCACCTGTGCCCCACGCTGCCCTTCCATCTGCCCATCCCCTCAGAAGGCCGCTTACCCACCCAAGTCCGTCAATCCCTGCTGGTTCTCTCGTCCTTTCCTCACTCATAACCCCAGATGGTCACCCTTCGGCCCCGCTCTGCCACCCACATGCTCCCTGGAGCATCCCATGCACCCAGCCCTGCTGGGCACACCACACGGGGGCCAGCCTGGGGGCCCCTGGACCCGGTGCAGGTGGGGCCGCCAGACAGCTGCCTGCTGCGGCTCCGGGCAAGGGGAGCCAGGGCCTGCTCGTCAGGGAGAGGCCTGGGCCTGGGGAGTGGGTTGGGTGGGGACACAAGTACAGGACACAGGTGCAAGGCGGCGTCTTGGAGCTGGAGCAGACAGAACTTGCTGACCAGTGCACAGTGGTTGGGAGGGCGGGGCAGGAGAGGCAGGGTCCGCCCTGGGGCTTTGGAGGCTGGGGCAATGGCCCTGTGCTCGGCGGGCCTAGGGCCTGGTTGGAGCCTGTCCTCTGCACTGTGGAGGGGGGCAAGGGTCCACAGGCCTTGGGGGTGGAGAGAACAGTGTCAGGACAGAGTTTGAGGGTAGGCGGGGTTGCTGAGAGGATGCTGCAGTGGAGGCCGGGGATATCTCAGCAGCCTCCTGGAGGGTCCGGCCCTGCCTTCCTGTGTCCTCTCTCTCCCTTCCCCTCCTGCTCTTGGAACCAAGGGCTCCTCGCTAGCCCACTCCCTAACCCCGACTAGGCCTTGGATCCCGCTGTCTCAATGGATGCTGTTCTCCCCTCTGAATTCCAGTTGTTCCCTGCCAGAGCTACCATTCTCAACAAGCCCTGGAAACAGGCCTGGGAAACCTGGGAGGAAGGACCTCCCATCCCCCAGGGGCCCAGGGACAGACCCCAGGCACGCGGAGAGTCCTGGTGGTGGCAGGGCTCAGAGGTTGCTGGGGTTCCCCACCTGCTTATCAGACTGACTTTTGCTCTGGTCCTTCCCTGATGCCTGGCCCCTCCCGTGGGTGGGGCTGCCTGCATCCCCACCCTTCCTCCTCTGAGCACCTGGCGTCTGGTCTCCGCCTCTCAGTCCTAGTCTTGGCCTGCAGAGGTTGTAGGGTGGGGGACTTGGGGGGTGGGGTTGGACACAGAAGCCCCCGTCTGTCTAGGCTATGGGGTTTCCTGTCTCTCGTTCCCTGGTCTGGGTCTCACGCGTTTCTCACCCGCCCTCCAGCCTCATCAGCAGCTGTGGGCTCAGGCCCCCCTCCCGAGGCGGAGCAGGCGTGGCCGCAGAGCAGCGGGGAGGAGGAGCTGCAGCTCCAGCTGGCCCTGGCCATGAGCAAGGAGGAGGCCGACCAGGTACTGGGCGTGCAGCTGGGGCTGTCTGTCCGCCACCCGCCTCCACGCCTCACTTCAGGCTCCCTCCCAGCCAGGCGTGGGCCTGGCCCTCACTGTCGCTGCTCCACATGCTGTCACTCGTCTCCTCCCCAGTCCTGCCTCATCCTCACCCCGCCGTCCCTCTGCGTGTCACTCTCTGCCTGTCCCTCACTGGTTCAGGGACCCCCAGCCCTCTCTTTCTTCGGCTCTATCTGACCCTGGCTCTGCCTCTGACTCTGCCTCTGGCCCCTCCCGTCATGCCCCTCACACTCTCTCTCCCCCAGCCCCCGTCCTGCGGCCCCGAGGACGACGCCCAGCTCCAGCTGGCCCTTAGTTTGAGCCGAGAAGAGCATGATAAGGTCAGAGCAGCCTCCCTGTCCCTGCCCCTGCCAGGGGCTCCCCTCAGACCAGCCCCGTCGCCCCTTCCTAAGTCACCCCCCACCATCCTGCTGGGCCCGAAGCCCACAGGCTCACGCGTGTTGAAACCTCAGTACCTTCAGCCGTAGGATGTAGGACCACAAGTCAGACAGAGCCTGGGTGGTGGCCAGCACAGCTGTGCCAAGGTTGCTCGGGTGACCAGGGTCCCTTCCTCCCCCCAACGCAGGAGATACCACCGAGGCGGGTGCCCGTCCTCCCCGGGTGCGCCAGCACAGCACCCCACTCCCCTTATCCCCTGTCCCGCCTGACCTTTGACCCAGGTGCCCCATCCCCATTTCATACATTGTCCGCATCCCATCGAATCCTTCAGCCGCTTTCGTTGGGGTGGGAGGGGTTGCTGGGGCTTCCAGGCTGAGGTGGCATCTGCCCGTGGCTCACGTTCTCATGTCTCCCTGGTCGTGCCCGTGCCCCAACAGGAGGAGCGGATCCGTCGCGGGGATGACCTGCGGCTGCAGATGGCAATCGAGGAGAGCAAGAGGGAGACTGGGGGCAAGGAGGAGGTGAGCGGGGCTTGTTCTGCCCTCCCTGGCCCCTGCAGGTGTCCGTCCGTCCCATCGCTCATTCCTGCGTGGCCAGGTCCCTGGAGCAGAGACTGAAACACAAGGTCCTGGAGCTGGGCACCGGGTTTCCAGGCTTGGTCGGCCTCTCTGTGCCTCTCCCTCCCTGCTGGGCTGAGGCCGGTGACTGACCAGGCTGCCCTGCGGCCACCTCCTGTGGTCAGCGCTGGCCATCCCCCTTCGGGCTGAGCACCGTGAGGGCCACCACCGGCCGCCACAGCTGAATGGGGAGGCCCAGAATAGGCCAACAGCCTGGCATGGCCACAGGGAGGAGGGTGCAGGGCTCGCCCCATCTGTCACACTTTGTCGGGCACCTCCTTGGTGCCAGGCCGTGTGCTGCACACCCAGGGCCTGTTGGTGAGCGAGGAGGCATGGTCCCGCCCTCGCGAACACTGTTTCTGTGGCGTCCCCATGCTCTGCAGCTGAGTAGCAAACCCTCCCACAACCTTGTGCTTCCAGGTCACGCTTCAGTACTTCCCTGTGACGGGCCCGCTGGCTGGTTGTTTCGTGTCATGGCTGAGGTCACTCATGCCTCTGGGCCCGGGGTGTCCGCACTGGCCTTGCCCTCCAGCCTCCTCCCCTGGCCTCTCCCTGGTTACTAGTCTGTCCTGAGTGTCCTCATAGCACAGTAGCTGCTGCTGCTGCCGCCCCCCAGGACAAGCTCGTCGGGCTGGGTTGGAGTTGCCTCGTCAGCCTGTGCACTGCTATTGGTCTCAGCAGGTCCTGAGGCCAGCCCAAGTTTGAGGGGTGGGGACAAGGCCTCCTCTCCATGGGAGGCGGCAGACAGCTTGTGGCCATAAGTGATCAGGCACAGTGGGACTTTCTTGGTAGACGGAAAGCCTCTTTAGGTTGGCCTCGGCCAGGGGGTCTCTATCAGTGTCCACCACAGCCCAGTGACCCGAGTAAGGGCTGCCCTGCTGGGGGAGCACCAGATCTCACCCATCTCTTCTCCTGCCCTGCCCTGGACTCAGCTCTTCTCCCCTTCCCATCCCCGCCGGGGCCTTTGCCTCACGGGTGCTGACTGGAGATGTGTGCATGAGTATGTTGGGGGCATCTGCACGTTCTGAGACGGGCTCTGGTTAGCTGGGCCCGTCGTGTGCCCACTTCCAGAACACAGGACCATGCATGCGTGTGCGTGCGGCATGGGAAGACCTGCAGTGCGATGACTGCGGGGTGACAGTGGGGCAATGGGCGTGGGAAGGCCTGCAGCGCGATGACTGCGGGGTGACGGCGGGGCAACGTAGGGGGCATCGTGAGGGGTGCTCAGGTTGACCTGAGTGGGTTCATGGGGGGCTTCCCAGGGGAAGGCATGGAGCAGGGGCTGGCCAGTCTGGCTGGAGAAGGCACGGTGGGCAGAGGGAGGATCGAGCTGCTTCGGGTCGAGCGAGGGGAGGGCTTGGCCTCCATCCTCAGTCAGGGCCGGGCAAGGACCTGGGAGCAGGTGGAGTTAAGGGGCTGCCCTGCTGCAGTGTGGAGAATGGATGTGGGGCAGGAGTGGGGCTGTGTTGGGGCTCCCTGGTGGTACCCTCGGGTGGGGTAGGTGGGCAGGGGTGGGCCGACCCCATGACGGATGAGGAGGGAGGCCAGGTGGTGTGTTTGGGGCCTGCCTCCCTCTCACCCCTTATGGATGGCTGCTGTCTGGACACCCAGGGCCTGGCCGCCTCCCCCGCCACGGGCCCCAGCTTGGTCCCTGTCCCAGGCTTCCCACCACTTCTTCATGCTCCTTCTCTTCTCTCTCCCCCACAGTCGTCCCTCATGGACCTTGCTGACGTCTTCACGGCCCCAGCTCCTGCCCCGACCACAGACCCCTGGGGGGGCCCAGCACCCATGGCTGCTGCCGTCCCCACGGCTGCCCCCACCTCGGACCCCTGGGGCGGCCCCCCTGTCCCTCCAGCTGCTGATCCCTGGGGAGGTCCAGCCCCCACGCCGGCCTCTGGGGACCCCTGGAGGCCTGCTGCCCCTGCAGGACCCTCAGTTGACCCTTGGGGTGGGACCCCAGCCCCTGCAGCTGGGGAGGGGCCCACGCCTGATCCATGGGGAAGTTCCGATGGTGAGTGCGTGGCCCACTTGCATGCAGCCCCTACGCCTGTGTGCACCTGTCTTTGGTTGACTGTGCCCTTGGACAGGGACAGATCGAGCCAGTGGCGCCGGGCAGTGGTGGGGCGTCCTGGGTGCAGGGGAGGGGGCAAGGGCGGGGGTCAGATGAGAGCCCAGCACAGGGTGTGTGAGATTGTGCCTTGGAGGACATGGGGGGTGTGCTGTGGGGAGGGGATGGCAGCTCAGCCGAGGGGCAGAGAGGCTCTGGCCAAGGCAGAGCGTGTGTGACGTAGGCATCTGGGGAGGGCGGTGGGTGGAGCTGGGAGGTGCAGGTGGAGAAGGGGCCTGACACCCAGCTGGACAGGGGAGGGGTGGCCGAGCCGTGGGAGCTGAGGGAGGGCTGGGCAGGTCTGGCAGAGGCTGCGGGGAAGCCCCTCACCCCAGCTGGGGTCCCAGGGGCAGAGCCTGGCAGAGAAGCCCAGTTGGAATTTGAGTGTGTGTGCGGGAGGCCGGGTGGGGTGGGTTTCTGGGGGGCAGGGGGGCTTTTGTGTGAACAGCCACAGATTTGGAGGCAATGGTCCTCCCTAGCCATCTGGGCAGTCAAGGTTGCCAGCCCCTCATGCTCTTCTGTCCTCACCCAGGTGGGGTCCCGGTCAGTGGGCCCTCAGCCTCCGATCCCTGGACACCGGCCCCGGCCTTCTCAGATCCCTGGGGAGGGTCACCTGCCAAGCCCAGCACCAATGGCACAACAGGTACTGGAATGGGGGTGGGAATGGAGCCCCGGGTGGGAGTGAGTGGGAGAAGTTAGTGTTGAGTGTCCTAAGGGAGGGGTGGACGCCTGGACTGGAGGTGGGGGCTGAGGCGGGGCCCCAGGGAGGGGCTGAGCAGAACATCCTGACCCCACAGCAGCCGGGGGATTCGACACGGAGCCCGACGAGTTCTCTGACTTTGACCGACTCCGCACGGCACTGCCGACCTCCGGGAGCAGCGCAGGTGAGCCCCTGCCCTCCCCTGCCCAGTGGCGAGAGGGAGCCTCCCCTAGCTCTTCGGGAGCCCCGTCCCTTGCTGTCTTTGTCCCACTCCAGGCAGGGCCGGCTGGACTTAGGGATGAAAAGTTCAGTTGGGTAGAGTGGGCCAGAACCATCCACCTGTCTTTAAAAGAAGTGTGCATCTTTATTTTAGAGAAATTGCAGACTTAGAGAAAAACTGAGAATTGTTCTCAAGGTTTCCCACCCGAATGTTGACCTCTGACCCGTCTCTGCCTCCACGTTGCTTGAGTGCCTTGCAAACTCTCCAGGTGTCTCAAAGAACACGGACTGTCTTGTCCTGTGCAGTGAGCTGCGTGGACAGGGGTTTGGAAGGCAGCCGAGGCTCCCCTTCCGGGTCGCCACTCACCTGCTGGTGGCTCCTGGGCTGGCCAGGGTGCGTCCTCATGGGTGCTGCCTTTAGCTGCCCTGGCTCCTTGGGGTTTTCAGCTGGCGTAAGCTGGCGCCCATCGCCGGTGACGGGCCCATCTGCTGAGTCCTGAGTGGCTCTTCGTCAGGAGTGCCCGAGGTCATAGTGGGCCACTGGTGCTTCGCCGCGGCCCTCAGCTGATACCTGTCTGTCCCATGATGAGTCAGGTCAGCCTTGATCTCTTATTTTTATTTTAAGTGAGCTGTTAGTGAAGAGCAGGTTGTGGTACAGAAACCTGTTTCCACTGATGAAAGGCTGGCAGCTTGCAGGGAGTGAGCTGCACCCACGCTTCCCTCCTCTCATTATCTAGGTTAACGTAGAGCAACCTTCCAGCATGCAGTTTTCCTTCTTTTAGGCCCTTTTTTGTCCCATACAAATGTGTGCATTTTTTCAACATTAGGTAGAATTCTTAAATCTATTTAAAAGGAAAATCAGGCCAGGCGCAATGGCTCACGCCTGTAATCCCAGCACTTTGGAAGCTCGAGGTGGGTGGATCACCTGAGGTCGGGAGTTCAAGACCAGCCTGACCACCATGGCCAAAACTCCGTCTCTACTAAAAACACAAAATTATTACCCAGGCATGGTGGCGCACGCCTGTAATCCCAGCTACTTGGGAGGCTGAGGCAGGAGAATCGCTTGAACCCAGGAGGTGGAGGTTGCAGTGAGCTGAGGTTGCGCCATTGCGCTCCAACTGGGGAAACGAGCGACACTCCGTCTCAGAAAAAAAAAAAAAAAAAAAAAAAACAGAAAATCAGACCTCTAGCCAACAGATGTCTTCACGCTGGCCCGGAACACGTGTCTGTGCTGTCTGTCCACTTGGAAGCTCCCTCTGGGGCTGTGTACTCAAGGAGCGTCTGAGGGCAGGCTCCTCTGAGCCTGGAGGCACCTGTGAACACGCCCCCGCTGCCTTCCCCCGCGGGCCTATAGACCCTGGACGGCCCCACCCTGAAGCAGTTGCTGCCCTCTGGTTGTCAGAGGGTGACACCTGCTTCTGTCATCCCTCTTGTGTTTGCTCACTGGAATCAGACCCACCTTATGGGAATCTGGGCTGACGTGAGGTTTTGGCCTGGGCAAGCGATGCTTCCGCTCTGCACCTCAGTTCCTCCTTCCCGAGGCCTCTGGGCACCGGGCTCTTTGAAGCGCCCCCTATGATGGCCTATACTGCTCCCGGGTTGGAGCCTCACTGCTGTCTGCCCTGTCTGAGCCCCTCTCCCGGATCCTTCCAGGAGAGCTGGAGCTGCTGGCAGGAGAGGTGCCGGCCCGAAGCCCTGGGGCGTTTGACATGAGTGGGGTCAGGGGATCTCTGGCTGAGGCTGTGGGCAGCCCCCCACCTGCAGCCACACCAACTCCCACGCCCCCCACCCGGAAGACGCCGGAGTCATTCCTGGGGCCCAATGCAGCCCTCGTCGACCTGGACTCGCTGGTGAGCCGGCCGGGCCCCACGCCGCCTGGAGCCAAGGCCTCCAACCCCTTCCTGCCAGGCGGTGAGTGTGGGCCCATCACCTGCTCAAGTCCTTCCTGTGGGTTCCACCAGAGGAGGTGCCTCACGGGGCAGGGACACTTCGCCCTTTGCCTGCACATGCTGGATGGACACAGGTGGGCTGCGCCACTGACTCCACTCCGTGTCTCTGGTTTACTCTTCCTGCAGGAGGCCCAGCCACTGGCCCTTCCGTCACCAACCCCTTCCAGCCCGCGCCTCCCGCGACGCTCACCCTGAACCAGCTCCGTCTCAGTCCTGTGCCTCCCGTCCCTGGAGCGCCACCCACGTACATCTCTCCCCTTGGCGGGGGCCCTGGCCTGCCCCCCATGATGCCCCCGGGCCCCCCGGCCCCCAACACTAATCCCTTCCTCCTATAATCCAGGGCGGAAGGGGGCCTGGCTCCATCCGGCTGCCCCATTCCGGCTCCCTGGGAGATCAGTGTTGTGAGTGCATGTGAAATGGGGGATCCCCACCCCCAGTGCCCTTCCCCTTCCTGGGGCCCACTCACACTACACCCTCTTCCTTTCCCACCCCACCTCCCCGGAGAGAAACTGGACATGGGGCCTGGGGAGGGGAGCTGGCCAGAGGAGGACCCCTTTCCCGTGGCATTAGAAGGGGGAGGGGTGGCTGGGGCCCCCACCCATTCCCCCTCCCTCCAAACTCCCAACCCCCAGTCAGTGTTTGAGCCTCCTCGTTCCCCTCACGCACCCGCTCACGCACCCTCGGTGAATCCTTGGTGATGATTTTGGCAACTTTGGGAATAAATGGCAATTCCCACGGGCTTGGCACTCCCAGATTCCCATCTGTGATTTCGTGTGTCCCCCAGAGCCCCTTCATCCAGGGACCCAGGGCTCAGGTCACATCTCTTTCTCGGGGGTGGCTGGCAACCAGCCCCTCTGTCTCAGAAGCCCTGATTTCCCTGACCCTCCCAGGTCAAGGGATGGCTGGGTTGAGGGTGGACTGTGCGAGGCCTGGCGGAGCTGTAGCCCACACAGGTCCAGGTGGTCGGGAGGCCACTCATGGCCAGACGCTTCCGGTGCAGGAGGCCTTGCTCTTGTGTTGAGGGGACACCAGGATGAGGTCAGAGAGTGCACTGGGGTTCAGGGAGGAGAAGAATCCTGAGAGATGGCACATGTGCAACACAGGTCACCGTCGCCATCGCCCGGGCCCACCGCAAGCATCACTAATCCATCCCTGCACTCCTGGAAAGCCGGGTCAGCCTCTGCCGGCTGAGCTGAGTGGACCACCAGGCGCCTCCTGGTTGTCCTCTGTGTGCTGTTTTCCTCTGTGTGCTCTTGTCCTGGGCTGGACCACACCTGGTGAGACTATCCGGGAGAATCCTCGGGCCGCCTTGTGAGGGGGGTGTTGCTGTCATCTCCAGGGCTAGGTGACAGCTTGTTGCAGGCCCCACAGCCAGGGCCTCAGGGATGGGGATCTGGCCATGTCTGTTTTAAGCCGAACAGGCTGTTCTTCCATGTGGAGTCTCCCTCCGTGATCCCCTGGGGTCAAGTCCTGACGGCTGGGTTCGCTCCCTCAGTGACTCCGACAGCTCTTGTCTCAGAGGTGCTGGGGTGAAGGCTGTGTGGGGCCAGGCCCCTGGGGTCAGACTTCTTGCCCCTTCTGCCCGGGGGACGCTCTGGGCTCAGGGTGGGGCCAGACAGCTACATCACAGGGACACTTGTTATGGGTCGGGGTCCAGGGAGCACCCAGCCAGTGGAGTGTTGGAGGCCACTGAGAGGGACATGACTGCGGTGTCCGAGCAGCGTCGTGGCCACCCTGTGTGCCCACTCCCTGGTGGACAGACCTACGTCACCTGGGGATTGCAGAGCAAAAGGAGTGCTGTTGGGGTGATGTGAGGTTGGGGTTCTGTTTCTTGCTGTGAATTGGGTCATGACCTGTGTCGGAGCGTTCTCTGGCCTCCACTTGCCCCTGCAGACCAGGGTGTCTGGAGGGTTGTCGGGGGCTTGATGGAGGAATTGCTGACCACACCATGCAGGAAGAGGTGGGTCCCAGGGACACAGGAACTTTGGGGTCAGCCGGTTCCAGATTCAGTTGCAGAGGAGCATCCCCCTTGCTTAGCCAGGGAGGGGAAGCCCTCTTCTCACACCCGGCCTGGGTATGTTGTGGGAGAGTCATTTCCCAGGAGGAAATGGGGACTGTTACCGGGGGAGGGGGTGCTGTCCCCAGGCAGCAGCAAGCGTCCCTTACGCTTGGGCTGTCCGAGACCCTGCTGCTCTAGGCGGTTGTGATGGGGGAGCCCCACAGGGCACAGAGAGCCAGCTGAAGGCGGCAGCTCTGGGTGGGATCACATGGAAAGGGGAGGCGAGCCGAGCCTCCCTCTTGCCAATCTTGGTCTCCCCACAGGGTCATAGCTCCTGGGCCCCTCACTTGTCAGACCCTCCATTCACCAAATTAAGGATAAGTTTCACGATTTCGCACTGCGGAGCCTGCACTCCCTTTCTCTTCAAAAAAGCTGAGGACGAAGATAAAATGATACAGTTGGATTAGTCCAGTGGAGGGGTTAAAGGTGTGAGGCTTTAATTCTCCCCACCATTTCCTCATTTGGCAAAACAGAGAAGACAGGATTGAAAAACAAGACAAAAACCCAGAGGCTTGCACATAAATTTGGGGCTTAACTACAGCATCTTCGGCATCTTCTTTTCCCTACAGTGCGAATTACAAAGTAGCACCACAGATCTCGTGTCTCCTACTTTATTCCTCTTTCTAGAATATTCCAGCCACCAAAGTGCTCAGCAGGAGCTGCTGTGTAGGAGTCCCCCATGAGGCCCAAGCACCTGAGCTTAGTGACATACACGGTTGAACGCTGGGAGAATGCTGGGAGCCTGCTGTTGTCCCCGATTGAGGGCTCCCCCCACTGTGTGTGTATCACTCTTTCTACAGCAGATGTGTCTCTCTCCCCACAGTGGGATGGCGAGCTTGTTAAATGGCCGTGAGGAAGACTTTATTCAGGACCATCGAGACAGGTACAGGTACCATCAGTGGATGGAAAATCACTAAGAGCAAACCTCAGGGGTCCGGGGGTTTTCGGCTAAACCCACCTAGCAGGATTCTTGCTGAAGGCAGGCCAGGGTGATCAGAGGTCACCTGGGGATGGTGGAGGCTGAAGAAGCCTATCAGATGTGAGGGTGGCGGGGGTTGGGGGGGATGGCGGCGGGGTTCATTTGCTGAAAGGATTTTACAAGGGCATGCACGGATGGGCCTAGGAGGAGGTTCAGATCCCTCAGGTTTGGCTAAGCAAGAGTCATGGTGGTGCTCCCGGCTGGCTCTCAGGAGCAGATGTGCTTCTGACCCGACGTCTTCCCCCAGAGAGGGCTGAAGTGGAAAAAACCCCAGAATTTCTCCCTGGGACAGGTGAAGCGATGGGGCGTGGGACATTCCTGGGTCTCGACTCTGTTCAGGGCCTAGGGGTTGGGTGGGGAAGGCACTTGAGGGAACCTTCCTGGAGCCCGTAGGAGCTTCATCCGAGCTCCTGGGTCACCCCGCCCACCAGAGTCCAGGCCCACCAGAGTCCCCTGCCACCTGTGCTCACCCTAGCCTTACCCCTCGCTCTACTCCCGCCCTCGCCCTATCCTCGCTCCTCGCCCTACGCTTGCCCCTCGCTCTGGAGCTGCGATGCCAGCCTCAGGGCTTTCAGTCCTGCCTTGATCTTTTTTTATACTGAAACTCAATTTTACACACACAAACCCACTCCCAGCCAGCCTCTGCCTTTTGCCTTTTCCTCATGTTCTCATTGAATAGGAAGAAATGCCCTTTTTTTTCCCCCCTAGAAGGAGTCTTGCTCTGTTGCCAGGCTGGAGTGCAGTGGCACGATCTCGGCTCACCGCAACCTCCACCTCCCGGGTTCAAGCGATTCTCCTGCCTCAGCCTCTCGAGTAGCTGGGATTACAGGTGCCCACCACCACGCCCAGCTAATTTTTTTTTGTATTTTTAGTACAGACGGGGTTTCACCATGTTAGGATGGTCTCGATCTCCTGACCTCGTGATCCGCCTGCCTCGGCCTCCCAAAGTGCTGGGATTACAGGCGTGAGCCACTGTAGCGGCCCCCACCCCATTTCATTTTTTATTTTTTTATTATACTTTAAGTTCTAGGGTACCTATGCACAACGCGCAGGTTTGTTACATATATATACATGTGCCATGTTGGTGTGCTGCACGCATTAACTCGTCATTTACATTAGGTATATCTCCTAATGCCTTCCCTCCCGCCTCCCCCAGGCCCTTAGTTTGTGCTGCTCTGCGTTGGTTTTCTGCGTGTGCTAAAAGGGGAGGGAGAGTTTCTGTGCCCATTCCCAGGCACCTTCTTGCAGCCGCAGGCATCTCCCCCACACGTGCTTCTAGCTTCCCGGGTGTGGCGTGAGCCATTGCGTCCGGCCAGAAATGTTTTATTTCTTGAGAACTTGTCTGTCTCTGTGATGACTGTGGGTTGTCCAGCTCATCCCTCAAGCGCCATCCTGCCAGGCCCTTCACTGTGGTGAGAAACCGGCCTACTCACATCACAGGTGCCCCTGGAGTTTCTCAAACTGCAGCCCAAGGATTGGCTGCTTGCTTTTGTAAAAAAAAATGTTTTATTAGAGTGCAGCCACGGCTGCTTCTGCACTACAGTGGCAATGGTGACATTGAGTGTGGCAGAGACCGAGTGTCCCTTGAGCCTAAAATATTTACTATCTGGCTCTTCAACAAAAAGTGTGCTGACCCCCGGTGATTGCTTGTATGTGGCAGGGGTCTAAGGCCTGCCTGCACGTCCTGGGACAGCCCACGCTTCCACAGGGTTCCAGCATGCTTTCCGCCGAGAAATCGCTCCCTTTGCTGTTTGTTTTGTATTGAATGTTTCTTCATGCTTTTGTTTTACTTTCAGGGATAATTATATAATGTTATGTTTCATCCACATTATTTTAGTATGGATATTTATAATTTCCTAAAGCACTATTTTTTTTTTTTGAGACAGAGTCTTGCTCTGTCGCCCAGGCTGGAGTGCAGTGGCTCGATCTCTGCTCACTGCAAGCTCCGCCTCCTGTGTTCACGCCATTCTCCTGCCTCAGCCTCCCAAGTAGCTGGGACTACAGATGCCCACCACCATGCCCAGCTAATTTTTTTGTATTTTTTTAGTAGAGACGGGGTTTCACTGTGTTAGCCAGGATGGTCACGATCTCCTGACCTCGTGATCTGCCCACCTCGGCCTTCCAAAGTGTTGGGATTACAGGCTTGAGCCACTGTGCCCGGCCCATAAAGCACTATTTAATGACTGCTCCATAAATACAAACTTCCTTTCCTTATTATTATTATTTATTTTTTTTTTGAGATGGAGTCTTGCTCTCGTCCCCCAGGCTGGAGTGCAGTGGCGCGATCTCGGCTCACTGCAACCTCCGCCTCCCGGGTTCAAGCGATTCTCCTGACTTGGGACTACAGGTGCGTGCGACCACAGCCAACTCATTTTTCTGTTTTTAGCAGAGACAGGGTTTCACCATATTGGCCAGGCTGGTCGAACTCCTGACCTTGTGATCCACCCGCCTCGGCCTCCCAAAGTGCTGGGATTACAGGCGTGAGCCACGGCACCCGGCCCATAATTACAAACTTTCTGAGGGACATCTTGAAGCACACAAAACTATAGACAATATTATCATAACCACCCCTGCAAATGCCTCACTCGTGTTCAGCCATCATTTACATTTGAACCACTCCTGTTTCACCTACAGCCTCCTCATGGCCCCTCCCCTGGAGCACTTAAAAATGGTAATGACATGCTCTCTAGTAATCGTTGTGTGTTACTGTCAAAAGGTATAACTCATGCATTGATGGGGGTAACCCCTACAGCAGTTAACCCTGCGTGCTCAGAGGGGAATGAAAGGTAGCTCAGAGGCTCGGGAGGTGAGGTTGCAAAATGGCTTGTGTTGTGGGGAATGTTCTCATCCACCCAAATCAAGCATCACTACATCCATCCGCAGGGGAGGCAAGCTTAGGGCATCACGTCCAGGAGTGGCCAGGTCCCGATGTCACGGGGAGCCGGGCTGGGACAAGCTCCAGACGGCCAGGGTGGTGTGGGTTTGCAGTGGGAGGGCTGGCGCGGGGGCCCTGAGGGCTCCCTGGTTCCCATCTTATCAAGATGCTGGACTCGGTGCTTGAAACATGTCCTGACAGCCACATGAAAAGGGTTAGAAATGATACTGTTTCGCCTGGGTGCTGTGGCTCATGCTTGTAATCCTAGCACTTTGGGAGGCCGAGGCGGGCGGATCACGAGGTCAGGAGTTCGAGACCAGCCTGGCCAACATGGCGAAACCCCGTCTCTACTAAAAATACAAAAATTAGCCTAGTGTGGTGGCGGGCACCTGTAATCCCAGCTACTTAGGAGGCTGAGGCAGGAGAATCGCTTGAACCCAGGAGGCGGAGGTTGTAGTGAGCCGAGATTGCACTACTGCACTCCAGCCTGGGTGACAGAGTGAGACCCTGTCTCCAAAAAAAAAAAAAAAATGATACTGTTTCCTGTATTTTTTTCTCTTAGTATCTTAAGAAATACATGATTTGAACAAGGACCTTGTGTCTCCTCTCCCCTTTCCCGGACTATTCTGACCCCAGCAGTTCTCAGAAGGAGCTGACATTAATGAGAACTTCTCCCTGTTAGACCCTTAAAATACTGAGCTTTCGGGACCCTGCCTGGCTTGTTCCTGTAAAACGGTCTTGTCTGTGGTAAATACTAAGGTTTTTGGTCTCACAGCCGAGGAAATCAAGGATGTGGATGCACACAGAGTGAGATTTGGAGCAGGAGTTTAATAGGCAAAAGGAAGAAACAGCTCTGTCACAGAGACGGGTCCCGAACGGGTTGTGAAGTTGTAGAAGAAATGTCAGGGGTTTTATAGATGGGCTAGTGAGGAGGGGTGTCTTTTCTTCCTAGGGCCTGAAGAACCAGTTAGGACCAGGTGTGCTGTCTGCATCGAGCAGAGTCTCTAGCAGCCCCCACCCCATTCTTTTTTTTTTTTTTTTTTTTGAGATGGAGTCTCGCTCTGTCGCCCAGGCTGGAGTGCAGTGGTGTCATCTTGGCTCACTGCAACCTCCGCCTCCCAGGTTCAAGCAATTCTCGTGCCTCAGCCTCCCGCGTAGTCGGGATTACAGGTGCATGCAGCCATGCCCGGCTAATTTTGTATTTTTAGTAGAGACAAGGTTTCACCATGTTGGTCAGGCTGGTCTCCAACTCCTGACCTCAAGTGATCCGCCTGCCTCGGCCTCCCAAAGTAGTGGGATTGCAGGCGTGAGCCACCGCGCCGGGCCCCCACCCCATTCTTTGATCCTGCAGGCAGGCCCTTCGTTTGTGCTGCTCTGCGCTGCTGCTTATCTGTGTGTGCTAAAAGGGGAGGGAGTGTTTCTGTGCCCATTCCCAGGCACCTTCGTGCAGCTGCAGGCATCTCCCCCACGCGCTTCCAGCTTCCCTTAGTGTGCCTAAAGAAAGGGAAAGGAATGTGCTTTAGGCCCACTGTTTTCACTGGGGCCCATCTATGTATGTGGCTTGGTGATTACCCAGGAACCTCCCAAGTCTGTGCCCGAGTTGCTTATCTGTGTTTTACAGCCTGAAAGATCAGGCTGCTCTTTGTTAGGAGAAGTGATTTCTTTGAACTGCGTGGTGTGGTGAGAAAGGGAGCAATTTCTAAGCTGCTTTTTGTTAGGAAGTTTTTTGCTGGGGACTCTCTTCGCCCTATCTACCTAAATGATTTCTGTTTCTTACATCAATTGGGTATTGATTTCAGGTAGAATGGGTGAATGCATTTATTCGTTCATCTAAGCCGCATTTACTCCTTTCTTTTCTTTCACTGTTGTTTTTTTTTTGAGACGGAGTCTTGCACTGTCACCCAGGCTGGAGTGCAGTGGTGCGATCTCGGCTCACTGCAAGCTCCACCTCCCGGGTTCATGCCATTCTCCTGCCTCAGCCTCCCGAGTAGCTGGGACTACAGGCGCCCACCACCACGCCCGGCTAAGCTAATTTTTTGTATTGTTAGTAGAGACGGGGTTTCACCGTGTTAGCCAGGATGGTCTCAATCTGACCTTGTGATTCCGCCCACCTCGGCCTCCCAAAGTGCTGGGATTACAGCCGTGAGCCACCGCACCTGGCCTCTTTCAGTTTTGATAGCAGATTATTTCCTTTGGCCCTGCGTGGTCTCTCTCTGGCTGGGCAGCTCTGGGCCAGCCATAAATGGAGGGGAGGGCGTGTGTGTGGCCACGTGTGTTTCTGTCCTGGACAACACTGTCCGGAGGGGCCTAAGTGGGAAGTGCCCTCAACCAAGGAGATAGCTGCTGTGTGTGTGTGTGTTGTGTGTGGTTGGGACAGTCGGGGATTCTCACTTTTTTTTAAAATTTGAGATGGAGTTTCACTGTCGTCACCCAGGCTAGAGTGCAATGGTGTGATTTCGGCTCACTGCAACCTCTGCCTCCCGGGTTTAAGCGATTCTCCTGCTTCAGCCTCTCAAGTAGCTGGGATTACAGGTGCCCGCCACCACGCCCAGCTAATTTTTGTATTTTTAGTAGAGACGGGGTTTCACCACGTTGGCCAGGCTGGTCTGGAACTCCTGACCTCAGGTGATCCACCTGCCTCGGCCCCCCAAAGTACTGGGATTACAGGCGTGAGCCACTGGGCGCAGCCTGGGATCCTCACTTTTTCGCAGATTGGTCACTAGCAGGGCGTCTGATGGAACTTTCTGAGATGCCGGAAATGTTCTCTGTGCTGTACAAAAGGGATGCCACTAGCCACATGCCACGTAGAACAGTTGAAATGTGGCCAGCATGAGATTTTTTTAATCTTGCCAATTTTTGATGGATTTAAGTTTAAGCACCTGCGTGTGAGCGGCTACCGCGTGGGCTGGGATTGGAGGAAGCTGGAAAGCGCTCCCCTGCGTTTCGGCTGCTGGCCCAGCAGAGGGCGCCGGAGAGCGGACGGAGCCGCAGGCGGGGTTGTGGGAAGACGCTGGGATCCCGTGCGCGCTTGTGCTCCTTCCTTCTGGGCCAGCGCGCAGACTATCAACCGAGGTATTCAGTCCCTCGGAAACCCAGTTCCTCCGTTTCCAGGCTTCTCGCCCACACGGAGACAGTCGCTCTCACACGTACCTCTCGCGGGCTCTTACTCGTGGTCCCGGTCTCCTCCTGGTCCCCACCTTCCAGCCCAGCGCGCACACTAGACGGCACGTGCTCTCCACGCTCTTTCTCCAGCGCCCCTTGCTCACCCGCCCCCCGTTGGAGTGGCCCATCCTCTCCGCTTAGACACCTGCAGTCACTGTCACTAGCTGAACTGCGCCCTCCTGAAAGCTCTATGTTGAAACCCTACCCCCCACCCTGCACCGACCCCGTACCCCAGAATGGGGCTGTATTTGGAGACAGGGCCTTTACAAGGTAAGTAAGGTTAAAATGAGGACATTAGGGTGGGTCCTAATCCAATCTGACTGTTATATAGTGGGGTTGCACCTTCATGTGAGGACGCCGGGAGAAGACAGCCGTCTGGGAGCCAAGGAGAGAGGCCTTGGCGGAAGCCAACCCTGCAGCACCTTCATCTTGAATTTCTGGTTTCCAGAACTGTGAGAAAATCCATTGACGTTCTATAGCGCTCCCAGCTGGCGGTACTTTGTTATGACAGCCCTAACATGAATGCAGCCATCCACACTGTCTGGGGGAAGGCACACACACCCCACAGCACCCTTGCTGTCTCACCCCGTATCGCAAAAGCTCACGCATGTGTCTCTCCCGAGTCCCTGGAGGGTCCTGCCACCTACATCTCTCTCCTTGGCCTGCCGCCTGTGATGCTCCTGGGCCCCCTGCTCCAGCACCGCTCCCTTCCTTCTGTAATACAGACAACAGAGACAGGAGATGGCCTGGCCCCACTTCATTTCTGTTCCCTGGGAAATAAGCATCGCAAGTGATCCGTAGAATGGTAGACATCATCCACTTCCCAAGCATCTCTGGCTGAATGCTGTTCTCATCCACTTCCCAAGCATCTCTGGCTGAATGCTGTTCTACACATGCACGTGGGAGGCACCAGGGAGCCCAGAAGAAATGAAAAGCCTGGGCAGACTCGCAGTTCTGCCACACAGTGAATGTGCTACTCAAGCCACTCAGCCTGGGCTGCAGAGGTTGGAAGCCTCACTGGCCTGAGGTTTCTGAGTAAGCTCTGACCCAATCATTGACTATTAAACTTCAGAGGTCCATGGAGACCTCTTAGGAGTCTTTGAAGGAACTTAGCATAGATACCGATAGCTGCTGACTGCAGGGAGATGGGGAGATATGTTTTGTAAACCTGTCCAGGCAACTTTTTTGCCTACGGAAACACACAAAAACGAAAACAAACCAATGAAAAAAACCTCTCAGAACGATACAGAATCCAGAGCCACTACAACACATTTCATGAAGTGGCGTGAGCCTGTAATTCCAGCAGTTTGGGAGGCCGGGGCGAATGGATGACTTGAGGTCAGGAGTTCGAGACCAGCCTGGCCAACATGACAAAATCACCATCTCTACTAAAAATACAAAAATTAGTCATGCATAGTGGCATGCACCTGTAGTCCCAGCTACTCGGGATGCTGAGATGGGAGAATCGTTTGAGCCCGGGAGGTGGAGGTTGCAGTGAGCCGAGATCGCACCATTGCACTCCAGCATGGACAACAGAGCAAGACCCTTTCTTAGAAAAAAGAAAAGTATCCCCGAACATTATCAGAGTCAAGTTAATAAAGGCCAAAGGTAGAGAAAATCTTGAAAGTATCGAGAAAATGACATGTCAATCATAAGGTCAGGTTCTTCAACAGTCATACTGACATTGTGGCTGGAATATTTGTTGTTGTGGGATATATATATATATATATATTTAGAGTGTTGTGGGATATATATATATATTTAGAGACAAGGTCTTGCTCTATCACTAAAGCTGCATTGCAGTGTGTGATCATAGCTCACCATGGGATTCTTGATTTTCAGTGAGTATAAAGTGTAAGACAAAATAAGTCTTAGTTCAGGTATGCTGGATGGGAAGCCAGAGGTCTGCATAGCAGTTACAAAGAAGGCCTTATTATCTGGAAGAAAAGGGACCATAGAATGTCCATTGGTTGGGGAACAACCCAGCTTTAGTTTTTCCAGATTCTCTGCATGTGCAGGTTTATGAGACTGGAGAACTTTGATTTCTTCTTCCTCCTCCTCCTCTCTTTTCTTCTTCCTCTTCCTCCTTTTTCTCCTCCTTTCTTCCTTTATTTTTCTTTCTTCCTTTCCTCCTCTTTCTTCTCCTTTTTCCTCCTCTTTTCTTCCTTTCTTCTCTTTTTCTTCTTCTTTTTTTTTTTTTTTTAAAAGACCGTGTTTCGCTCTGTCACCCAGGCTGGAATGCAGTGGCGTACTGTTTTAGAAAAGTGAAAGAGGGCCGGGCGTGGTGGCTCATGTCTGAAATCCTAGCACTTTGGGAGGCTGAGGCGGGTGGATCACCTGAGGTTGGGAGTTCGAGACCAGCCTGGCCGACATGGCAAAACCCTGTCTCTACTAAAAATACAAAAATTAGCCGGGCATGATGGCAGATGCCTGTAATCTCAGCTCCTCAGTAGGCTAAGGCGGGAGAATCGCTTGAACCCAGAGGCAGAGGCTGCAGTGAGCCAAGATTGCAGCATTGCAGGAAAGAGAGAAAAAGGAGGGAAGGGGAAGGAAAAGGAAAGAAAGAAAAGAGGGGAAGGGAAGGGAGAGATTTAAAAAACAATAGTAAAGAGAGATTTAAAAAACAATAGTAAAGAGAGATTAAAAAAAAAAAGTAAATGGGCCAGGTGCGATGGCTTGTGCCTGTAATCCCAGCAGTTTGAGAGGCTGAAGTGGGAGGATCACTTGAAGCCAGGAGTACCAGACCAGCCTGGGAAACATAGTGAGACCCCGTCTATACTAAAAAATATTTAAATGGGCTGAGCGCGGTGGCTCAGGCCTGTAATCCCAGCACTTTGGGAGGCCGAGGCAGGCGGATTACCTCAGGTCAGGAGTTTGAGACCAGCCTGACCAACATGGCAAAACCCCATCTCTACTAAAAATACCAAAACAAAAACTAGCAGGGCATGGTGGCGCATGCCTGAAATCCCAGCTACTCAGGTGGCTGAGACAGGAGAATCACTTGAACCCAGGAGACGGAGGCTGCAGTGAGCCGAGATTGTGCCACTGCACTCCAGCCTGGGCGAGCAACAGAGTGAGGCTGTCTCTCAAAAAAAAAAAAAAAGGAACGGTAGTGTGCACCTGTGGTCCCAGCTACACAGGAGGCTGAGGCAGGAGCATCACTTGAACCCAGGAGTTCAAGGCTGCAGTGAGCTATGATGGCACCACTGCCCTCCAGACTGAGCCAAAAAGCAGACCCTGACTCTAAAACAAAAGAAAGAACAAATAACAAATGAAAATAAATACCCAAAAACCAGTCAAATGTGAAACTGGTGTCAGGGGTATGTTCTCCATGTTGAGCCCCTTCTGTGGAATATGACAGTGTCTCTATTTCGGGTAAAGGAAAGACCAAAATAACTTTCCAAGATGAAAAGCTAAGAGTGCTGATCTCATCACAGACATAGCCAGCTCTTCAGTTCAGACCACCTGGAAACCCTCCCCATGTCTTTTCAGAACAATGTCCTAAGAACCATAGGGGAAGTGGCCATAAAAACCATCTTTCCTTTGCAGACTGGGGTGGGGACTCTGGCCAATGCCATTCTGTTCTTCCATAATATCTTTCCCATCTTGACTGAGCATCAAATGAGGCCCACACACAAGATTCTCACCCACATGGCCGTGGCAAACTCCTTGGTTCTTCTTTCCACTGGAATCCCCCACACAATGGTGTCTTTTGTCCTATGGAAACCCTTGTCCAGTCTTGAGTGTAAACTCGTGTTTACAGGTCTTAAAGTCCTGACCTGGTGATCCGCCCGCGTGGACCTCCCAAAGTGCTGGAATTACAGGCGTGAGCCACCACTCCTGGCCTATGCCAGCATTCTTTAAAGTTGTGGGAAAAGGCCAAAAGCAAATAGAAAATTGGGCAAAAAAGTTCATAATTGCTTAAACATATGGAAAACCTGGAAGTAAAATTAAGCAAGTAAGTGCGAGCACTCTACATTGAAGATTATAGAAAATTCAGCCTCCCAAATATCCAAAGAATCCAGGAGTGTGCCAAGAGATCCAAGAGTAGGTCCACAATTTCTCATTCTCAGGAGAATCTGAGATTATATTTCAATCTAATGATAACTGATTATATAATCCAATTTCTGCATCATCTTGCTTTTATGTTTTGTAATAAAAATTTTAGACCAGGCCAATAAGGCATCAGCAATTTACCGTAGGGAACTAGGGAATGTTTAATTATGACAATGAAGTGTTTAATATTGTGTTTTGAAATATAAACAGTGTAGATATATTTGAATAATACTGAATTTTTAGAAAAATCTATTGGGGTGTCATATATAAAAGGATAAGTAGAGATTTGGAAATGCTTTTTTATTGGACAAGAAAATTGATCAAATCGAAATCTGGACAAACTAGAAAGTCTGGATGCTAGCAATACAATCTATAGACACATTCTAGCATCACTTCTGTGTCAGAAGTATCCGGATTGTGGTGCCTACAAATGCATGCTCCTACACACCAAGACATCCATTAAGAAAATAAAGCCATGCTTTCCAGAGCGTTTAGCACTTGTTTAACGTACTTGTGCTTCTAAATATCACAAGGCAGGATGGGATTTCTAAAGACAAGGGGATATAGGACCGAGGCAAAGACAATCAGCATGTACACTGAATCACACTCCATAATCATATTGCTAGAACACTTAGGGAGTACCTCTGAAATCACAGCCCTGCTGCCATGATGTGCAATTACAGGATAGAGGTGCCAGGTGAAGGTCCCACTGTGGCCAAGGAAAGCCTTTGTGAGACGACTACTTCAGGGTGTTCCCCATCAGAGGAGCACACCCCTGATCTTGTATTCCTCGTCAATCCAAGGTCCATGTGAAATGGTCAGATGGGGAATTTTTTCTTCCACAGACATCAGGATCTTCTGAGTTTCTTCATCAAAGCCAGATTTGTGCAGCCTGGGAAAATAGAAATAAAGTTTTTTTTTTTGTTTTTCATTTTTACACAGTATTGCCTCTCTACATTCTGATGTCTACCTCTCCTCTCCTCTTTATTCTTTCCTAGAAATCACTGGGAGAATTGTACTGAATTTGAAAAACAAGCATGAATCTTTCCTATAGGATAGGAAGCCTCTGATTTATACCATAAAGTGAAATTTCATATACAGGATGTATCAATTAAGATTTAATTCAAAAAAGATGAATTTAAGTTAAAAAGAAAAACACAGGATAACTTCCATTCATCTGATGTTCATATGCCCTGGCACATCTATTGCTTCTTATAATGTGCTTGCTTAAAAAAAAAAAACATGAGCTTTTCTCAGAGACACTAATATAATGAATTCATGTACCCATCACCAACTTCTACAATTACCAATATTCAGCCTCTTCCATTTACAACCTGCCCATTTTCTAAGAAATAATTAAAGCACATGCTACACCCATAAATATGTCAAACGTTCTTGTCTGTTTTCGCTATTTTCAGTTCCTTTCGTGTCATTGTCCCCTGAACCCACCTCAACAAAGCTGGTTTTTGTAGTCACCAATAACATCAATTTGTTAAATACATTCTATCCTACTTACCCAGTTAGCATTGAATACAGTTAATTACACTTTCTTGTTTATTTTTTCCCTTAGCTTACTGGACACGACTTCCTCCTGGCTTCTACTCCCTCAACAGCTATCGTTCTTGCTTTATACGTTGAATCTCTGTCTCTTTATAACTTCTAAATGTTCTCAGCATCAGGAAAATATAAAAAATAAGTTCACAAATAATTGGTAAGACTGGAACATAGGCCTTCCTGAAAGAATATAACTAACATTTGCAATTCTCTTCTCCCCTCTCCCGTGTCCTTCCTTCTTGCCAGGTGTTCATAGTTATATGCCTTTTTATCTCCAATTATAAAAAGAAGTTGAGGAGGATTAGCAGGTCACAAAATTTCGTAGACATTTAGACACAGGAGAAGTAGGAGTTTATCTTAAATCTTCAGAGGTAGGGAAGATGGCTAAGTTTCCTTTCAGCTACAGCGACACTATGAGAAAGTTACCCAGAAATAACTGCTCTGAATGCTTGCTACTGTGGAGATGACATGTTTTGGGTGTGGGGATGGTGGTTGAAGAGAAGGGAGACATTATTATTATTATTTTATAATGCAGGCCTTAAGTACCTGGCCTGTCCCTATGGGGACTGGGTCTCTGTCTCCTCTCTGAATTCATTTTTCCCTTTCTCTGCTATACAGCTCCCCGGGACTCCCTTCTGGCCCTGCAGGGTACAAGGCCTGGCCCCATCTCAGGGCCTTTATGTTTTGCTGTGCCCCCTTCACTTGGGGTCCTCCCTAGACATTCGTGATATGGTTTGAATCTGTGTCCCCACCCAAATCTCATATTTAATTGTAATCCCCAATGTTGGAGGTGGGGCCTGGTGGGAGGTGACTGGATCATGGGGGTGGATCCTTCGTGAATGGTTGAGCACCATCCCTTTGGTGCTGTTCTCATGATAGAGTTCTCACGAGATCTGGTTGTTTAAAAGTGTGTGGCATCCCCCCTGCTTCCTTTCCTCCTGCTCCCGCCACCAAAGACGTGCCTATTTCTGCTTCACATTCCGCCATGATTCAAAGTTTCCTGTGGCTACCTCAGAAGCAGAAGCTGCTATGCTTCTTGTACAGCCTGCAGATGCATAAGCCAATTAAACCTCTTTCCTTTATAAGTTACCAGTCTCTGCCAGGCATGGTGGCTCACGCTTGTAATCCCAGCTCTTTGAGAGGCTGAGGCAGGTGGATCACCTGAGGTCAGGAGTTCGAGACTAGCCTGGCCAACATGGTGAAACCCCGTCTCTACTAAAAATAGAAAAATTAGCTGAGCATGGTGGTGAGTGCCTGTAATCCCAGCTACTTGGGAGGCTGAGGCATGAGAATTCCTTGAGCCCGGGAGGCAGGGGTTGAAGTGAGCTGAGACTGTGCCACTGCACTCCAGCCTGGATGACAGAGCAAGACTCTGCCTCAAAAAAACAAAACAAAACAAAACAAAAAAAAAACCTTAAACAACATATTGTGAACTTTTCTTAGAGACACTAGCATAATGAATTCATGTACTCATCACCAACTTGAACAATTATCAATATTCAGCCTCTTCCATTTATACCCCGCCCATTTGTTTTTTAAAAAATAAAAAAATAACTTTTAAAAATTAAAAAAATAAAATCAGAAGGAAAAATTAACATAAAAAATTCATCCTACAGATTTCAAATAGGTACAACTCTAAAGGCAAACCTAATTTTCAGAACAACGTTAACTGCTGCCATTTGGCGAATGTATTTCTGAATCAAGACCTTAGCCCATTCCAGAAGCCCTTCTGAAGTCTGAGCTGGCGTTGCATATTTATGGGCAACGTAAGTAGAAGATGTTTTATAGAGCAGTGGTTCTCACCTGGTGCAACTGTGTCTCCGAGGGACTTCTGACAATTTCTGGAGCTCTTTTTGATTGTCACAACTGAGGGAAGTGCTACTGGCAACTCATGAGAAAGGCCGAGAATGTTGCTTGACATCTTACAATGTCAATGGTTTTTATATTTTATAGTGTCAACAGGGGCCCAAGGACAGGCCCCCACCACAAACAACCCTCCAGCCTGGCATCCATCATGTCGCGGTTGAGCAAATGGCCAATGAACTAAGCTCGTTCTGAAGTCACTCACCCCAAAGGAAACAGTGTCCACTCACCCCAGCATCTGCAGGGCACAGTCCGGGTGGCTCAATGCCTCACACAGCACCACCACTGCATCAGCATCCAAGGCAATCCAGTCGAGGTTCAGGCTCCTCAGTGTTTTGCAGGCGATGAGTGCTGCGGCGATGTCGTCGCAGCAGGCACGGGTGATCGGACACGTTTGCAGCCTGCAAAAGGGAAACACACCAGAGAATCCACTCTAGCTTTGGGTAGGCTGGAAGGCACGCCATTGTTACTTGCTAATTACACACCTCCCGGCAGGACGCTCTGCTGTCTAGACCCGGGCTTCTCAGCCAGGACGATTGTGCTCCTGGGGGACGTATGTCTAGTGACCTTTATCCCAACTGAAGGTGCTGCTGGCAACTTGAGGATAGTGTCCAGGGGCGCTGCTAAAGACCCTATCATGCACAGGATGGCCCCCAAGGCAAATAACTCTCCAGTTTCAAACAGCAAGAGTACCAAGACTGAGCAAACCCTGGGGCAGCATTTTACATATCAGATCGTCCCAGAGGGACTTGCTTTTAAACCTGCCTCCCTTCCATTCTATTGACCCTCCAGCAATTCCTATTCTTGAAATAGATAAATTTTCCTACGATGGTGATCAGTAGATACTCACCCGAGACACTCTAATTTACAGTGAGGATGCTGCAAAGCTGCACATAACTGTCTGACACCAGTGTCTCCTATTTCATTATGCCCAAGTTTCAGGGTCTTCAGTTTCCCATTGCAAATAAGAACAGCAGCAATGTCCTTACAGGAATCGGAAGTAAGGAAACAGCCCATCAACCTGGGGAGGTGGAAGACACACAAATACGTACACTTATGAGGTCAATCATAACAGCCCACCTTATTTTCATTTATTCATATGACGCAAGAAATACCCAAGTAAATCTGAGATGATGAGGAGGGTGGGGAGGGGAAGGAGGAGAGAAGAATGAGGGAGGAGAGAAGAGCAGAGGACGGGAGGGTGGGAGAATGAGGGAGGAGGGAAGAAGGGGAGAAAGAGGAGGGAGAGGAGTGGGAGGGGAAGAAGAGGGGAGGAAGAGGAGTGGGAGGGGAAGGAGGGGGAGGAGGAGGAGGGGGGAGGAGGAGGAGGGGGGAGGAGATGGAGGAGGGGGGAGGAGAAGGGGGAGGCGGAAAGGGAGGGGGAAGGGGAGGAAGAGAGGAGGAGGGAAGACAAAGAAGGTGGAAGCAGCAATGACTTCCCAGTTCCTCCACCTTCCCTACTCTGCTCCAACACTTTGGGGTCCCTGCACTTCTTCTCTCCTGCCTGGCTCTCTTTTCTCTGTGGCCTCTCCTCATTATTCTCCCTGGTTGAAATGCTCCTGCCCCAATTATCAGCATAGCTACCTCCTCCCCACCTTCAAATCCCTGTGCAAATGTCACCTTTTTGGTGAGCCCTCCCCTGACTATTTTGTATATCATGTGTCCAATCCCTCTCCAGGCCCCAAGCTGGTGATTCCTTACAGTACTTATTACTCCCTAATACAGATAGACAGAAAAATGGTAGATAGAGGACAGAGGATAGGGGACAGATGAATAGTTAATAGATGATAAATGACAGATGACATATAGATACATGATACACATAGATGTGTGGATAGGCACGTGTCTACCCACACTCACACATATATATGTATGTGTCTGATGTATGTACTTGTGTGTTGGTGGCTCTCAGGCAGGCAAGATTTTTGCCCACCAGAGGACACTGGTAGTGTCTGGAGACATTTTTGGTCTACCACGCCAGGAGAGAAAGTGCCCCTGGCACCTTCTCTCCCTCCTCCCCTCCTCCTCCTCTCCCTCCTCCCCTCTCCCTCTTACTCCCCTCCTCCTCCTCTCCCCTCTCCCTCCCCACCTCTCCCCTCTCCCTCCCCACCTCTCCCCTCTCCCTCCCCCTCCCCACCTCTTCCCCCCTCCTCCCCACCTCTTCCCCCCTCCTCCCCACCTCTTCCCCCCTCCTCCCCACCTCTTCCCCCCTCCTCCCCCCTTCCCCTCGTCCCTTACCTCTTTCATCCTCTCTTCCGCTCCTGCCCCGACTTCCATCCCCTCTTCCCCTCTCCTCCCCCATCCTCCCCTCTCCTCCCTCGTTCTTCTCTGCTCATCTAGTGGCTGAGAACCAGGGAAGCTGCTCAACACCCTAGGAAGCATGGGACAGCAGCCCCAACAACACAGAATGAATTGGGCTAAAATGCCCCCATGTCAATACTGAGAATCTAGGATGCAGACACATCCTTGCAGCCTCACACATGCATGTGTGTGTATCTGACACTCCATCAGATGGAAGTCCATGGGAACAGGGATGTTAGAATGCTCTATTGACCAACTTATCCACCTAGAAGCATCTTCAGTTCCTAGCAGAGGGAATGAATGAGTCTCACGCTCTGACTGTCATTTATCAAGAGTGTATGACAAGCCAGGCATTGATCATAGTCCTTCATGTGTGTGATTCCAACTGGCCATCTCGATTCTTTAAGGAGGAGGCTCTAGCTATCCTCTCATTACCTGGGGAGAGGTGAGTCACCTGCATGCATTGATCATAGTCCTTCATGTGTGTGATTCCAACTGGCCATCTCGATTCTTTAAGGAGGCTCTAGCTATCCTCTCATTACCTGGGGAGAGGTGAGTCACCTGCACAAGCTCAGGCAGTCAGGGCCACTCGGGACTCCATCCAGGCCTTTCTAGGGCTGGAGACCCAACTCCTGAGTCCCCTGCTGTGTCCTTACAACTCCTTCCCACTGAAGGTTCCCAGAACCAGGTGGGGTAAATGTATAGCCTCATCTGGATTTTTTTTTTTCAGAAGACACCATTCTCTTCTTGTCTCAGTCTATTTGGGCTGGTATAACAAAATGCCATAGACTGAAACGGGTCCCTTATAGACAACAGAAATGTATTTCTCACAGTTCTGGAGCCGGGAAGTCCAAGATCAAGATGCCAACAAATTCAGTGTCTGGCGAGGGCCACGTTCTGCTTTGGAAGTGGCATTTTCTCACGGCGTCCACAGATGGTGGAAGGGGCAGAAGAGTCTCTGGGGCCTCTTTTATAGGTGTGGGAGACTCCACCCTCATAACCTCATCACCTCCCAGAGGATCCACCTCCTAGTACCATCAGCCTGGGGGTGAGGACCCAACATACGAATTTTGGGAGGACATATACATTCAGATGCTAGCATATCCCTTTCCTATGTCTTTCCTAGAGCCACAGTATCCAAAAAAAGAAACCCTGACATTGAAGCAAATCATGGCCGGTCCTACCACAGCTCCCGTATGCTGCAGCCTGGGTGCTTCAGCGCTGCACACAGAGATGCCACTCCATTATCTTCCAGGGCATTTGAGCCCAGATCGAGGAGGGACAGGGACTTACTGCACAAGAGGACTTCGGAAATGGAGTCACAGGAGACAGAGGTGAGACAGCAGTACATCAACCTGCAAAGAAACACACCGTCTCCCAGCCTGCTGAACAGCAGTACATCATTCTGCAGAGAAACACACCATCTCCCAGCCCACTGAAGCTTCCTATGGTAATATTACCATATTTTCTTTGTCCCAGGCAAAACCTTTCCAGATGTTCCTTGAACTCTGCTGTCACTCAAGAAAATAAGGAGCTGGGTGCGGTGCCTCACGCCTGTCATCCCAGCACTTTGGGAGGCTGAGGCGGGCGGATCACCTGAGATAAGGAGTTTGAGACCAGCATGACCCACATGGTGAACTCCTGTCTCTACTAAAAATACAAAATTAGCCAGGCATGGTGACGCACACCTGTAATCCCAGCTACTCGGGAGGCTGAGGCAGGAGAATCGCTTGAACCCAGGAGGCGGAGGTTGCTGTGAGCTGAGATCGTGCCACTGCACTTCAGCCTGGGCAACAAGAGCGAAACTCCGTCTCAAAAAAAAGAAAAGGGGATTAAAACTTGTAACACCTACAGATGTACAGAAAGATGAATGTGGAATACAGTGTCCCAACAAACAATCTCAGATTCCAGTTCCAAGTCACATCATCACCAGCTGGAAGACCTAGGGCAAAAGTCACCCATTCTTTGCAACAGAGTATACATATGGCTTAACGGAATGTACTGGACGATATCCCATGTAGAATAATTTTTGTTTTGTTGTTTAATACACATATTTAAGGTTTTGTTAAAAGAATAGATTTTAAGTGCTCTAGTCACAAAAAAATAAAATGCTTCAATGATGTCAGATGATGAGTATGTTAGTTTCCTTGACGACAGTCAACATTTTACTATGGATATGTATGTCAAATACTTTTTGTTTTAAAAATTATTTAATCACAATGTACCGTATACTTCGCTGAGAGTTGATTTTAAATGTTCTCACATCCTCCAAAATGATAACTCTGTTAATTAGCTTGATTATAGTAATCATTTTACAGTGTATGCATATATCAGAACATCACACTGTATGGCTTAAATATATGCAATTTTTAAATTTAAAAATTTTCTTTTTTTTTTTTTTTTTTTGAGATGGAATCTTGCTCTGTCTCCCAGGCTGGAGTGCAGTGGCACAATCTCGGCTCACTGCAACCTCCACCTCCTGGGTTCAAGGGATTCTCCTGCCTCAGCCTCCCGAGTAGCTGGGAGTATGGGCATGCGCCACCACACCCAGCTAATTTTTGTATTTTTAGTACAGATGGAGTTTCCCCATGTTGGCCAGGCTGGTCTCAAACTCCTGAGCTCAGGTGATCCTCCCGCCTCAGCTTCTCAAAGTGCTGGGATTACAGGCATGAGCCACCACGCCCAGCCAGCTCCATTTTACTGATGAGCAACTGAGGCGTGGGAAAGGAACTCAGGTCTAGCTACGGATTCCGCATTCTGCTGCACCCCTCAGTGAGCACCGCGTTGCTTTGATAATGGGTGGATCCAGGTGCACGCTTCAGAAATCTCCGAACGTGCTTCCCGCAGACCAACTTACATCAGCCTCTCCAGGGCACAGTGTGAGTGCTTCAGGGCTTCACACAGCAACGTCATTCCTTCGTCCCTCAAGGGATTTTCTACCAAGGAGAGGTGTTTCAGCTTGCTGTTGCAGGCCAGGACGGAGGCGATGTCTTCACAAACTTCACTGGAGATGTCACACTTTCCCAGTCTACATGTGAAACACACACCATGAGACGGACCAAAGCTTTCAATCGCTCATGAAACATTATCCACAGACCAAACGACACCTCTGATTCTAGTCTTGCACCTGCCGATCCATTATCTACACTACAGACTCTTTTTCTTTTTTTTTTTTTTTTTTGAGAAGGAATCTCACTCTGTTGCCCAGGCAGGAGTGCAGTGGTGCGATCTCGGCTCACCGCAACCTCCACCTCCCGGGTTCAAATGATTCTCCTGCCTCAGTCTCCCAAGTAGCTGGGATTACAGGCGCCCGCCATCACGCCCAGTTCATTTGTATTTTTAGTAGAGATGGGGGTTTCACCATGTTGGCCAGGCTGGTCTCGAACTCCTGACCTCAAGAGATCTGCCCACCTCGGCCTCCCAAAGTGCTGGGATTACATGGATGAGCCACCGCGCCCGGCCACATTACAAACTTTTAAGAAGTGCAAACGTAATGACATGACTCCCTCATTAATCCCGTAGGTTTGCACTGAAGTTAGGAAAAATGTCAAAGCCCACGCTTCTCACCACCTGGGGTGATTTGCCCTAATGGAGACATGTGGAAATGTCTGCATATATTATTGGCTGTCACGATGGAGGCAGCCAGGAATGCTGCTCAACGTCCTTTAGTGAACAGGACAGACCCTGCCACAAAGAAGTATCCAGAACTCGATAAATCTGACTCTCTGTCAATAGCACTACAAGAAATAGGAAAACCCAAACTGTGTTTTTTTTCCTACTTTCACACACTCAGCGCAACACGCTTCTGTGGCCGGAGACGGGAGGGCAGCTCTTTTGCAGCCACTAAGTAGGTGTCCTAAAACTTAACCCAATCCTGACACTTCCCAGAGGAGCTAGACACAGAGTTGATCGATTATGCCTGTGTGATGAAACCTCCATAAAAATCCTACAAGAATGTGGTTCAGAGAGCGTCCAGGTTGGCAAACACATCCACACGCCACGCCCCAGCTCCACAGGGACAGATGCTCCTGCACTCGTGTGGGGAAAAGAATGAGAGATCAGATTGTTACTGTGTCTGTGTAGAAAAGGAAGACATAAGAAACTCCACTTTGATCTGTACTAAGAAAAACTGTTCTGTTTTGAGATGCTGATAATCCATAACTTTAGCCTCAACCCTGTGCTCACAGAAACACGTGGTTTAATGGATTTAGGGCTGTGCAGCATGTGCCTTGTTAACCATATGTTTGCAGGCAGTATACTTGGTAAAAGTCATGGCCATCCTCCAGTCTCGATTAACCAGGGACACAATGCACTGCGGAAAGCCGCAGGGACCTCTGCCCGAGAAAGCCTGGGTATTGTCCAAGGTTTCCCCCACTGAGACAGCCTGAGATATGGCCTCATGGGAAAGGAAAGACTTTACCATCCCCCAACCCGACACCCGTAAAGGGTCTGTGCTGAGGAGGAGGAGTGAAAGAGGGAGGCCTCTTTGCAGTTGAGATAAGAGGAAGGCTTCTGTCTCCTGCTGGTCCCTGGGAATGGAATGTCTAGGTGTAAAGCTGACCATTCCCATTCATTCCATTCTGAGATAGGAGAAAATTGCCCTGTGGCTGGAGGCGAGATATGCTGGCAGCAATACTGCTCTGTGACTCTTTGCTACACTGAGATGTTTGGATGAAGAGAAACATAAATCTAGCCTACGTGCACATACGGGCACAGTACCTTTCCTTGAACTTATTCATGATACAGATTCCTTCGCTCACATGTTTCTCTGCTGACCCTCTCCCCACCTGTTGCCCAGCCACATTCCCCTCGCCAAGATAGTAAAAATAGTGATCAATAAATACTGAGGGAACTCAGAGACCAGCGCCAGTGCGGGTCCTCGCACGTTAAGCGTCTGTCCCCTGGGCCCACTGTTCTTTCTCTATACTTTGTCTCTGTGTCTTGTTTCTTTTCTGAGTCTCTCATCTCCACCTGACTAGAAATACCCACAGGTGTGGAGGGGCTGGCCCCCTTCACACTCAGGACCCTTCCAGATCTCATCCTGTGTGTCTATCTGGCTGCACATCTGTATTTTTCAGATCATTTATTAAATTGAGAGTCAGATCCCAGCTGCACATCTGTATCTTTCAGATCATTTATTAAATTAGGTGAGAGTCAGATCCCACACGGTAGGAGCTCAGTCCCACAAGATCACCCTTGACTTCAGATGCCAGTTGCAAGCGCTGGGTTGCTCTGCCTGTGTTTGACCAACCGGCTATACATGGGGGTTCCCCTGACCCCTTCCTTGGGTTAGACTGATTTGCTAGAGTGGATCACAGACCTCAGGAAAACAATTACATTTCATAAATGATTGCTTGAGCTCAGGAGGCAGAGGCTGCAGTGAGCTGAGATCCCACCTCAGCCTCCCAACTAGCTGGGATTACAGGCACCTGCCACCACACCCGGCTAATTTTTGTATTTTTAGTAGAGACGGGGTTTCACCATGTTGGCCAGGGTGATCTCGAACTCCTGAGCTCAAGTGATCTGCCCGCCTCGGCCTCCCAGAGTGCTGGGATGACAGGTGTGATCCGCCATGCCCGGCCCGGCCCCTGGCCACCTTCAGATCTGTCTTCTCCATCCCGCTCAAAGGGCAATGCATATGCAAGTGTTTATGCATGGATTGTTTGCTCTCCATTGTGATAATTTTTTAAAAGCTCCTCAGTCTTTTGACTTTTTATTAATTATTGCATGCCTGTATCTAATTATCTTCTGTGCCGCATAGAAAGCTCCTCATTCTTCAAGCCTCTCGATTGAAACTATGATGGGGATCTCTCCTGTCAGACCAAGAGGAAATGGGAGAGAAGATGTAGCAGAAGCCATATTTAAAGATAGAGATCATGGTAAAATGTTCTCAGAAGCCTGTGCAAATGTTCATCCACAAATGCAGGAAGCTCAGTGAATTTTTAAGCAGGATAAACACAAAGAAATACCAAAACCACACACAATGGGGGTGGGAGGGGAAACTTAAAATTAGCCAGAGACAAGACACATTAAGCACATTGCCTACAATGGGACGAAATATACTGATTTATTTAGAAAAAGCATGGCAGCCTGAATGGGATGGAATTACATCTTTAACATGTAAAAGAACAAAAGAAAGAAAACAGTGAAAGAAAACCTACAATTCTCTGATGTGTGGGGGAAAAAAATCTACAAAAATAAAATCAAAACAGATATTTTTGGTCTCAAATACACCGTGGTCATCTGGTTTATAATGATAACTACTGTTGTTCACTTGAGAAAAAGTGGTTTTTCAACAGCATTCTGTGTTCATATGTGAATTTTTTTTAAACCTGACTTTATACTACATAGAAACACTTACTCAAAGTAGGTCATAGCCCCACTTGTGCATGGTACAATAAGACTTTGAGAGAAAAATGCACAGGAAGTTATTCTTATGACTTTGGGCTTGGAAACAATTATTTTCTTTTGAGACGTGGTCTCACCCTGTCACTCAGGTTACAGTGCAGTGACGTGATGACAGCTCACTGCAGCAACCTTGGACCTTTGGGCTCAAGAGATCCTCCTGCATCAGCCTGATGAGTAAGCCGTGACTACAGGCATCCACCACCATACCTAGATAATTTTTTTGTTTTGTTTTTAGAGACGGGAGTCTCACTATGTTGCCCAGGCTGGTCTCCAACTCCTGGCCTCAAACAATCCTCCTGCCTCAGCCTCCCAAACTGCTGGGATCACAGGCATGAGCCACCAAGCCTGGCAATGATTCCCTAAACACACACAAAAAGCAGCTGAACACGAAAAGACACATTCAGTTTTGATAAAGAATCTCTCTTAATTCAAAGATGATATTAAGAATGTGGAAAACCAAACCACATAGAAGATATTTGCAATGCATGTATTTGACCTAGGATTCATTCCGCAATATAAGAAAAACACCTGTCAATCAATTAGAAAAAGACAGCCCAATAAAACAATGGGCTACATCAGCACATCAAACAGACATATCACAACAGGAAGCCCAGAAAGTCAAACAAATGAAAAGGCGCTCATATTATTAGTCATTAGAGAAATGCAAATTAAAACCACTCAGATATTATGCCCGAAGCAGAATGGATTTGAAAAGATCAACACCCTTAAGTGTTGGGGAGAAAACGGGACAAGTGGAACACATTCATTTCATAGGCAAATAATCTGGTGAAGCCTCTGGTTAAAAGATACTGATTAAGTCTAGTTTCACTGGAAGTTTCATAAAAGCATATTTTTAAAAACAGCTTTGTACATTTCATTAGTAAAGTTTCCTAGTTTTAAGAATGCACTATTGTTATGTAAGATGTTACCTTTGGTGGAAGTTGGGTGGTGATTGGTATATGGGACTTCTCTGTACTATTATTGTAATTTCCTGTGAGTATAATAATCTTTCAATAAAAAGTAAACAACAATGACAAAGTAAAATGGCTGATGTGGAGAAACAGGTGTTTGTCATAAGGGTTTCCAGATACACACGAATTAAGGTGTGGTATCCATAAAAATGTTTGTCCAGGGCCACTGCACAGTATTAGATGTTTTTTTCCTAGTACAAGAGCCCCTGGGTTGGATTTAGGCAAATACCCCATTCTGTTTTAGCCAAGCTGACCCCCTCCCACCACCAGAAGAGAAGCATCACTCTAATCTCTCCTAGGGCACTTCACAGGCTAGCACTCAGTAGTCCAGTACTAGATAATCCTTTGTTGTTGGGGAGCTGTCCTGTACATTACTGGGTATTTAGCAGCATCCTTGGTGATATGGTTTGGCTCTGTGTCCCCACCCAAATCTCATCCTGTAGCTCCCATAATTCCCATGTGTTGTGGGAGGGACCCAGTGGAAGATAATTAAATCACAGGGGCGGGTCTTTCCCAGGCTGTTCTCCTGACAGTGAATATGTTTCACAAGGTCTGATGGTTTTATAAAGGGGAGTTTCCCTGCACAAGCTCTTTTCTCTTGTCTGCCGCCATGTGAGATGTGCCTTTCACCTTCCACCATGATTGTGAGGCCTCCCAAGCCACATCGAACTGCAAGTCCAATAAACCTCTTTCTTTTGTAAATTGCCCAGTGTTGGGTATGTCTATCAGCAGTGTGAAAACGGACTGATACACTTGGTCTCTATCCACCAGATGCCAGCAGCACCCTCCCCACTCAACTGTGATCATTGAAAATGTCTCTAAACATTGACATCCCCAAAGGGACAAAATTCCCCCATTGAGAACTACTGAGCTAGAGAGAACCTGACTTTGAAGACCTTCCACCACCAATACCACACTGAAGTAAATGAATAGTTAGTTTACCCCAAAAGGCAACATTCCCAGCTACATTATGTCTATCATTGTAGATATGTTCCCCAATCCTTATGTTAATGTATAATAGATAAAACCCTATGCAAATAACATAATTATGAAATGGAGCAAAATACTATAGAATTTTGAAAGTTCCCCCTGAGAAGAGAAAGTTAGAGTAGAAGTTAAAAAAAAAGTTGCCATGATATGGAAACAGCTTGAATAAGGAATGAGATCTACAGCAGTTCTATAAGCTCAAACAACCCTTATGCATAGAACCTGCCTCTTTCTCCTGATGGGTCTAGACGCATAAAATTAACCAAGTATAGATGAATCTGTCAATTACATTTTTGACGGTTACTGCAAAGACAAGACAGTGAACTGGGAGAGAGAAGAGCATATTCTCTTAGGGGGTTTAGTGGGCTGATTTTATTTATTGCTGCCTCAATGACTTCCTTTGTTCTCTTTGGAAAGATGGATTGGCCAGTGATTATTCTACTATAAAGATACATGCACATGTATGTTTACTGCGGCACTGTTCACAATAGCACAGCCTTGGAACCAACCCAAACGCCCATCAATGATAGACTGGATAAAGAAAATATGGTACATGTACACCATGGAATACTATGCAGCCATAAAAAAGGAAGAGTTCATGTTCTTTGCAGGGACATGGATGAAACCGGAAACCATCATTCTCAGCAAAGTAACACAAGAAGAGAAAACCAAACACTGCCTGTTCTCACTCATAAGTGGAGTTGATCAGTGAGAACACATGGACACAGGGAGGGGAACAACACACACTGGGGCCTGTCGGTGGGTGGGGAGCTGGGGGAGGGAAAGCATTAGGAGATATACCTAATGTAAATGACGAGTTGATGGGTACAGCAAACCAACATGGCACATGTATACCTATGTAACAAATCTGCACGTTGTACACATGTACTCCAGAACTTAAAGTATAATAATAATAATAATAGAAAAAGAAAGATAGATTGGCTCTGCCTGGAAATCACCCAGTTAGGACAGGGGCTGCTCTGACAATGTTCAAGAGGAAGAAATTACTTTGGGCAAGTCATTCTCCCCCTGGCTTTAATGCTGTCAACTGCCAAATCAGACGATCACACTTGTGATCATTAACATGCTTCAGTTTCAAGTTTCTATAAATATCTTTAGGGAAAAAAAAATGTTGTTCTTGTTTTGGCCTGGTTGCCTGAGGGCAGAACCAGGAAGTATCAAGGGAGGTGTCCGTGAGATGAGCCTGGATGCAGTGGCTCATGTGAAGTACTGTAATCCCAGTACTTTAGGAGGTCAAGGCGGGCAGATTGGTTGAGACCACGAGTGCAAGATCAGCCGGGGCAATATGGTGAAACCCCATCTCTACAAAAAATTACAAAAATTAGCTGGGTATGGTGGCGTGCACCTGTAATCCTAGCTACTTGAGAGGCTGAGGTGGGAGGATTGCTTGAACCCGGGAAGCTGAGGTTGCAGTGAGTCAAGATTGCGTCATTGCACTCCAGCCTGGGCAACAGAGTGAGACCCTGTCTCAAAAAAAAAAAAAAAAAAAAAAGAAGTAATTAAAGTGAGTACTAGAGATGGGAAGGCGGAAACAAACCTTCTGAGAGGAGGCCTTGCCCGGCAGAATCTACCTTCACCTTATGAGAGAGACAGATTCAAAAGATGAAAAACAAGAGAGATGAAGGCTGATGCAATGACCCTCCAGGAAGGAAAACAAGAAAATCAAACTGCAAAGCCCACCTTGGAAAGAAACAGCACTCGGCATGAACAGCCCGGACTTACATCAGCTCTTCTATCTTGCACATTGGATGTTTCAGCGTCTCACACAGGTGTCTGATGTCAGACTGGGAGAGGCTAGTGCCGTACAGGCTCAGAAGTTTCAGATGAGGGTTGTGAAGAACTGCCTTAAATAATTCTGAATCATGTCCAAAGTACACAGAAGTAAATCTGCAAAAGATTAAAAAAAAAATAGCATCATGCAATGAGATCCCAGCACAAAGACAGACACCTCTTGTACGATTCTTCCTGCCCTGAATGCTGGGCCTCACCACACTGTTTCTGGAATTCTGGTTACTCCTGCCAGTAAATTATTTCTCGATGGGGTTTTTAGACACCAGACAGCACAGAGGCTCAAGCTGCTTAGAACTTTCCTGTTTCTTCCTAGCCCCTCCACTTCTACATAACTCCAAACATAGAAGGAGAACGAGTCAGCCGAATCCCATGTTAAACCGAGCCCCATGGGGACAGGAACAAACTATACTTGTACCTCTTTGTATTCTGAGATTAATGTGATTAATGCCTCACATAAAATGACGCACACATATCTGAATTAATGCTCCAAGCAAAACTGTGTTACCCAAGGAAATAACCCATTTCTGTTTTAAAATTAAGATTTTTTTTTTTTTAATAAAAGAGACAATGTTATGTAGTGTCAAAAAACTCAGGCTCCAGAGTTACAGGAAACTGGATTTCACATTTTGCTTTTCTCCTTGTTGCTTTTGCAAGATTGGGCAAATGACCTAATGGCTGTGTGGCCCAGTCTCTTCATGAAAGATATGGTCATGGTAATTAAGAAATTAACATTTAAGGCCAGGCATGGTGACTCACACCTGTAATTTGGGAGGCCAAGGCAGGCAGATCACATGAGGTCAGGAGTTTGAGACCAGCCTGGGCAACAAGGCGAAACCCCGTCTCTACTAAAAATACAAAAAATTAGCTGGGTATGGTGGTGTGTGCCTGTAATCCCAGGCACTCAAGAGGCTGAGGTAGGAAAATCACTTGAACCCAGGAGGCGGAGGCTGCAGTGAGCCGAGATGGTGCCACTGCACTCCAGCCTGGGCAACAAGAGTGAAACTGTGTCTCAAAAAAAAGAAATGAGCATTTATTGTAATGCCTGGAACATGGTCAATTCATGCTGGCTTTTATTTTAATATCTACATGTATATGCCATATATGTGTATTTATAAACCAAATACGTAACTACAAATATGTGTCTATAAGCCAGATATGTACATATTTACCAGATAAATACAAAACCAGAATATGTACTTAAAATCCAGACAAAATTTATGTATAAACCATATATAATATGTATTTATTAGCCTGATAAATGTGTATTTACAAACCAGACACACGTAAGAATAAATACATGACACACAGAACTTGCTCTATGTGACTCCTGGCGTTACAGCAGATGAGCGCACCCTGATTTCTCTCCTAGTCAACTTTAAGAAATGACAGAGAATTTTAAAAGTAAATACTTTTACCATGTTCAAAAACTAGAATGGAAATTTTGAGTAGGCCAGAATCAAAACACAGATAAGGGCAGATCACAGAGGGGAACAGCAGGCTGGAGGAACTGTGCGGACTGCGGGCGGAGTGATCCCCTAAATGTCTGAGTGACACCCAGGTACCACCTGCCCGGAGATAAAGGAAGCCAGGAGCTGGTGACAGGGCGGTGAGGTGTACAGGGATCTGTGCGGCGAGGGTGAGCAGAGCCTGACCCACTAACAGGTGGAAGTGCTACCACATGAAAACAGGGAACCCAGGCCGGGCGCGGTGGCTCCCGCCTGTAATCTCAGCACTTTGGGAGGCTGAGGTGGGTGGATTGCTTGAGCTCAGGAGTTCAAGACCACCCTGGGCAACATGATGAAACCCCATCTCTACTAAAATACAAAAATTAGCTGGGCGTGGTGGCGGGCACCTGTAGTCCCAGCTACTGGGGAGGCTGAGGCAGGAGAATTGCTTGAACCCAGGAGGTGGAGGTTGCAGTGAGCCGAGATTGCACCATTGCACTCCAGCCTAGGGGACAGAGCGAGACTGTCTCAGAAAAAAAAAAAGAAAAACAGCAAACCCCCTTGATTTCTGGAGACACCTGTGAGAATAAGCGGGAGGTGGTGGCAAAAAGGACAGGAATATCCGGCCTCCAAGCCACCACACCACATTCATGAAAGCACCGGGATTGGTTAGCTAGGCAGCTGCAGTGAATGCCAACCGTCAGCCAGCAGCAAACAATCGAGTCAACAGACAATATGGTGGGAAAACAGTCACAAAGATGAACATGTAATCAGGAATCATCGCCATTTCAGGATAATCAACCTCATGGAAAAGGGGCAAACTAAAATAGAAGAGTTGATTATGATACCATTTGTTGACTATTTGCCTTGTCAACTTTTTCCTTTTTCTACACATAAAATGATAAAAAATGCAATTGCTGAGATGAATAAAGAAGCAGAAGCCTGGGCTCATTCCTTCAACTTTGAGTCCAATGCCTCCCCAGCGTTAGGGATTAAGGACCGCTGGAGGTATGTGTGTTTGGAACATATTGATCCATCTGTTATTAGTCTGCCCTACAACCCAAGGAATCAATCTACTTCTCTCAGCCTCTACTGATGCCACTCTGTTTCCAGAAACTATTATCACTTTTTCTCAAGTATAACTTCTTCCTTAACTATGAGGGAAAAAAAGTTGATAAATAGAACAGGATCTGAACTAACCATTCCATGTGAGTGATGGCAGTTGAATGATACCTCCAATGTTCCCTAAACCCTAACCTTGGGGAGGCATTAGAATCGATGTTGAAGGAATGAGCTCTGGCTTCTGATTCTCCATCGTCTCAGCAATTGCATTTATCATTCATATACACAACAGAAAAGAGAAGGAAAAACATTTTTCAATTTCAAGGCATGTGGCTAGATACCTTTGAAGAGAAATGACCAAACTGTCTCTATCATTTCTGGACAACTTAAAATGAATCTAATGATGTTTTTACTAGACACTGAACTAAAGGACTTGTGTAAAATATCAATGAGTTGGGAGGTCAAGGCAGGTGGATCACATGAGGTCAGGAGTTTGAGACCAGCCCGGCCAACATAGTGAAACCCCATCTCTACTAAAAATACAAAATTAGCCAGGTGTGGTGGGGGGCACCTGTAATCTCAGCTACTTGGGAGGCTGAGGCAGGAGCATTGCTTGAACCTGGGAGGCGGAGGTTGCAGTGAGCTGAGATTGTGCCATTGCACTCCAGCCTGGGCGGCAGAGACTCCATCTCAAAAAAAGTTTTTTTAAATAAAAGATCAATTATTTATTCTGTCATCAACACTGTGAAGAAGCACTAATGTCCTCATTTTGTAACCTAAGGTTCCTAGGAAGGACACGTGCATCTTAATTCACGCCTTCACCCAGGTTTATCCAGATTACTGTTCTGCTTCATGTTACCATTGACCTCATGTGAAAATCAATGACTTCTTGTGCTTTGAGACTGAATTTATAAAACAAAAATCAATGACAAATGTCTTCATTGCAAGACCACTAACCACCTCTTCCTTGCTAGTATCCCTCACATATCCCATTGAAATTCAGATACTGCTTATGCGTTATAATCAAGCCAGTCCCCTACTTTAACATTTTCCAGAAAAAAAACAGTTCAGTGAGGTCCACTTTTTACTCTCCATGTGGGATCTTTAGAAATTCTTTTGAGTCAGTTCCTTCATTATTTTCAGCACACATTCATTCTATGGATGTTTAGTGAGCCCCTACAAGGCTTTGTATTTTTCTAGATGCTGAGGATGTGAGGGTAAACGCATCCCCATCCATCATGGAGGTTTAGTCAACAGAGAAACACTGTGCTCCCCAAGATCACTCCTAGCTTTGGTGACTTGCTAGGAGACCTTGTACGACTTGCAATACAGTCTTACAATGGCTATGATTTATTTCAGCAAAAGCACACAAAGGAAAAACCACCAAGGGGAAAAGGAACATAGGAAAAATCCAGAGAAAACCAGACAGAAGCTTCCAAGAGTCCTCTCCCCGTGGGATCACCAGGACACAATAAATTCCTCTAGCAACAAAATGTGAGAACACATGTGAAGTGTCATCTACCAGGGAAGCTCATTAAGGATTCAATGTCCGTGGTTTTTACTGGGGCTTGTCATATAGGCACCCTCTGCCTAGCATGAACCAAAATTCAAAACTCACTGAAGGAAACCAGACATTCAGTATAAACCACAGTGCCGGTAGAATTTACGAACAGTGAACCATTCTTATCAGTCAGGTTGGTGGAAACTCTCCCAAAGTCCAAGTTTCAAGACATCAGCCAGGCCAGGTGCGGTGGCTCACGTCTGTAATCCCAGCACTTTGGGAGGCCGAGGCGGGCGCATCACAAGGCCAGGAGTTTGAGACCAGCCTGGCCAACATGATGAAACCCCGTCTCTACTAATACAAAAACTAGCCAGGCGTCGTGGTGCATGCCTGTAATCCCAGTTACTCGGGAGACTGAGGCAGGAGAATCGCTTGAACCCGGGAGGTGGAGGTTGCGGTGAGCCGAGATCATTCCACTGCACTCCAGCCTGGGCAACAAGAGCGAAACTCCGTCTCAAAGCAACAACAACAACAAAACAAAAACAAACAAACAAAAAAGACATCAGCCAAGGACCAACTTAGCAAACAGGCCTTTCTCGAGACAGCAGTCTTAACGTCTGCTATGTTAACTTTTTTCTGCACAAATATGTGGGCCAATAATTCAACGCAATAACTCTTACCAAAAAGATGTATAAGGTGCTTTGGGAGCATAGCAAGTCTTCCGTGATGACATGACTTTTCAAGCTGAAGGAAGACTTAAATTTAACCTGAAAGCAGTAAGTTTGCTTACAGGGGTGAAGAGAACAGCATGGCCCAGGCAAATCAAGATAAGTAAAATATCAGGGAACAACTGTGTTTCTATCCTCTCATACATTATTTGTATAAAAGTAATAATAAAAACTTTATTAGGATTAAAAGAAACGGAAGAAAATATTGCACATCAGCACTCTGTTTTATGAATGCTACCATTATGCTTATCTTATTTTTCTTTTTCTTTTTTTTTTTTTTTTTTTTTTTACAAATTTAAGGCTATTTTTCTGTCTGTCCTCAGCACTCTTCCTTTCTCACCTGAGAAACATCTATTCTCCATCCACTCACATCCAAGCAAAGGTCATCCCTAACCAGGACTGCTCGCTCTCTGGCCCTCCAACTAGATTTCATTTTACATGTCACTACATTTTTTTTTTTTTTTATTATACTTTAAGTTCTAGGGTGCATGTGTACAACGTGCAGGTTTGTTACTTATGTATACATGTGCCATGTTGGTGTGCTGCACCCATTAACTCGTCATTTACATTAGGTATATCTCCTAATGCTATCCCTTCCCTCTCCCCCCACCCCACAACAGGCTGCGGTATGTGATGTTCCCCTTCCTGTGCCCATGTGTTCTCATTGTTCAATTCCCACCTATGAGTGAGAACATGCGTTGTTTGGTTTTTTGTCCTTGCGATAGTTTGCTGAGAATGATGGTTTCCAGCTTCGTCCATGTTCCTACAAAGGACATGAACTCATGCTTTTTTATGGCTGCATAGTATTCCATGGTGTATATGTGCCACATTTTCTTTATCCAGTCTATCATTGATGGACATTTGGGTTGGTTCCAAGTCTTTGCTATTGTGAATAGTGCCGCAATAAACATACATGTACATGTCACTACATTTAACACACTGGATTGCCGCTCTGCATTTATGCATGGGTCTTCTTCCAAAAAGGCCACAGTAGAGAGAAGGAAACTCTGCCATTTGCTTAAAGGACAGGTTAACATAAAACTTACATGAGTTTTCGGAGTTTACAAACAGGCTGAGCCAGCGCTTTGCAAAGAATCGCCAGGGAGGGATCATCGAGGCTGGTATTTTCCATGTCTAAAATCTGGAAGTTCTTGTTGGTAATGAACATTGAGCAAAGCTCCCGCCAGTAGACGAGCTTCTCATTGTAACTATGAGAGAACAAAGATTGTGATTCTCCAGTGGCTAAACTCAATTCAAGACATTCTCAAAACAGGTCGAACACCATTTCCAAAGCACCTCAAAGCTGACAGACACCCAGGCCTGAACAGGGAGAAGGTCAGCCAGGTAAACGGAGCCAACATGACATAATAGTTAGAAAGTAGGCCCTGGCCAGGTAGAGTGGCTCAAGCCTGTAATTCCAGCACTTTGAGAGGCCAAGGCAAGAGAATCGCTTGAGCTTAGGAGTTTGAGGACGGCCTGGGCAACATAGCAAGACTCCATCTCTATTAAAAATTTAAAAAATTAGACAGATGTGGTGGCATACACCTGTAGTCCCAGCTATTTGGGAGCTGAGGTGAGAGAATCACTTGAACCCAGGAGTACAAGACTAAAGTGAGCTATGATCATGCCACTGCACTAAGCTAGGGAAACAGAGCTAGACCCTGCCTCAAGAAAAAAAAAAAAAGGAGCACTATTTACAATAGCAAAGACATGGAATCAACCTAAATGCCCATCAATGATAGACTGGATAAAGAAAATGTGGTACATATACATCATGGAATACTATGCAGCCATGAAAAGGAACAAGATAATGTCCTTTGCAAGGACATGGATGGAGCGGGAGGCCATTATCCTTAGCAAACGAATGCAGGGACAGAAAACCAAATACCACATGTTCTCACTTGTAAGTAGGAGCTGAATGATGAGAACACATGGACACAGGGAGGGGAACCACACACACTGGGGCCTGTTGGAGTGTGGGGCTTGGGAGGAGGGAGAGCATCAGGAAGAATAGCTAGTGGATATCGGGCTTGATACCTGGGTGATGGGATGCTCTGCCCAGCAAATCACCATGACACACGCTTACCTATGTCACAAACCTGCACATCCTGCACATGTATCCCTGAACTTAAAAGTTGGAAATAAAAAAAAAGAAAGTGGATCCTGAGACAAGAGTAGTTGATTGGAATCAAACTCTGGTGTAAACATTTAGTAACTATGTGACCCTGGACAAGCTATTCAACCTTATTCTGCTTCATTTCCTCCTCGTTTAGATGTGAATACTCGATTGTTCTGTGAACAAGGGTTATTTGGTGACCCCTCAGTGAACAGGGAACTGTATCCAAAAATGTTATCATGAACAGCAGCATGTATCTGAGAGCTAACGTATGAGCTGGTAACCTGAACCCGATGGAAGAATACAAGGCAAAATCAGCAGAGGGAAAAGGCATATGGAAAAAATGCAGAGGAAACAAGGCACGAACTTCCAGGAGTCCCCTCTCAGTGGGGTCACTGGGGGATACCGCACAAGCTATGGAGGGGGAAAAGAAAAGCACAGTCTGACAACAATAAAAATGGTGAAAAAAAAAAAGAAGAAAAGGAAAGAAAGAGAGAAAAAAAGAGGAAGGAACGGAGGGAGGGAGGGAGGAAGCAAGCAAGGCCAGGCGCGGTGGCTTATGCTTGTAATCCTAGCACTTTGGGAGGCCGAGATGGGTGGATCACCTGAGTTCAGGAGTTCAAGACCAGTCTGGCTAACATGGTGAAACCCTGTCTCTACCAAAAATACAAAAATTAGCCGGGCGTGGTGGCGGGCACCTGTAATCCCAGCTACCTGGGAAGCTGAGGCAGGAGAGTCGCTTGAACCTGGGAGGTGGAGGTTGCAGTAGGCCGAGATCGCGCCACTGCACTCCAGCCTGGGTGATAGAGCAAGACTCCGTCTCAAAAAAAAAAAAAAAAAAGTCCTGCTAGCCGCCTCTTAATCTCACACGAGCCCTATGAAGTAGACAAAACTTTTATTTCTCTTTATACAATGGAAAAAGTTCAAGAAGTTGCAGCTCATGATCCCACAGCAGTGCCAAGGCTCGAAAGGAAGGCTTTCTGACTCCGACCTCCATGCTTTTAAGCACAGTGGCATAAGGCCCATGAAATACCCACAGGCCACTAGAGCAAACTCCAAGTGTAGTGTGTGGGACGGGGGATTAATAGACAGACTCACTCTGAGATGCATCCTGAGTCATCTGGAAAGATATTCTCCACACACATGCGAAGTGTCGTTAAATGTTGACAATGCTTCAGGCAGAATGAAGCTATTACCAAATGTTCTATGTTACCAATATAAATGAAAACTTCTTCAAAGAAATTCATCACTTTGGTTACAAATTCTTTTTCCTGAGTTTCAAACAAACCAATGAATAGTTCCTGGAAAGCTATGGCTTCCCTATCAGCTTCACATTGACTTAAACTTTCAAGGCATTGGGTTATTTCCTGCTTTAGGTCTTTTGACAGTGGAAAACCAAAGGAGGTCTCCAGCATGCTGACGATTTCTTCTGTTGAAATTCCAAACATGAATATCCCCACCTGGGTCAAGAGGGTTTGAGGCTGAACCACACTTGCTCTTACAAGCTGGGTTATGCTTCCAATGGCCGGGTTAGGATCGTCTTTGGGTCGTTTGAGCAAATAAAACATGGCGGCACAAAACTCTTGGATACACAGATGCATGAAGGCAAAACAGTCCCCTCTCCTTTGGAGGAGTCTCATACCCACCCACATCACGCCCTCAGACTCAGATAACCCATTCCTCCGGAGATCCCCATGGGAAAATACAAATGTATATGTCCAAATTCCCTCTGCAGCCAAAGCACACAGGCTTTTTAGTCGGGCTCTGTTCACCTTAGGTGGAAAACTCTGACTTCCTGCTTTGAATACAGTTGTTAAAAAGGATGCATATAAATAGGTGGTGTTTTGGGAGTTTATTTCAAGGTCTTCTCCCCTCTCTAGCCTCTGTTTCACACAAGTACAGACCAACCAGCACGTAAAGGGATTATGGCACAAGATAAACAGCGGCCCATTATCTCTCACAAAATTGAAGACTTTCAGGGCTTTGCTCTTCTCACCAAAGAAGTAGGAGAAATACGACTTCTTTTCAGATTCACTGAATCCTAAGAGCTTTATGAGTTTTGGATGCCGCAACATAAAATAGTGTTTTTGCATAGCCAGTTTTCCTAATGCAATAAGGAGAGAGGATTCTGGAAGCATCTTTTTTTGCAACAAACTGCTCAGGATAATTGGCATTGGCTGCCGCTGCCTCCAATCATCGCTCAAGTCAGCCTTAAGTTGTAAGTTAAACTTCAGTTGCTCAAAGCCATCCATGATGAACAGAATTCTCTCTGGCTGGGAAAAAATGTCTTCGATCTTCTCTGAAGACTCCGGCCAGTCCCTAGAGAGGAGCTCCAGTAAGCTGGTCTCTGCGATACCGTTCATTTCACAGACATTGAGGAAAAACACAAATGTGAACCTGTCCTTCCATAAGTTTCCCTCTGCCCAGTCCAACATCACTTTTCTTAAAAGGGTTGTTTTTCCAATTCCATCAGGACCTTCCAGGACCACAGTGTGTCGTCTAGCCGCAGCAGTATATGCGTCATTCAATTCTTTATACTCATTTTTCATGGTTTCTTTGTAGAAATGCTCAGGGACGTGAAGACAGGTTTCCTTCTCCCATATGAGTTGAAATGTTTCCTTCATATGCTTTCTGTATGGGTTTAGCTTATCTGTGTTAATGAGAACAGGATATAAGATAGGTAAAAATGCACTCATTCTTTTATACTTCTGAGAACTGTAAACCAAAAATAAAATTCTAATACTCGCCAGCCATCTGAAGCCAGGGTGCTTTTAAAATTTAACCTGAGAGACTGGTTCACGCCATGATGGGAAGTGGGGGTCAGACATACTTCCTTGTACCTCTCCATTAACAGGAACACAGGCTTGAAGTCTGATAAGAAACATTTTACAACCTATTCTCTCTGAAGGTCTCCTGTGCAAATAAGGATGTGGATCTCCACAATCCTTTATCTTAACCCAGACATTTCCTTTATTTTGATCCCAGGTCTTTAGATAAACTCAACCAGTTGTCAACCAAATTTTTTTTTTTTTTTTTTTTTGAGACGGAGTCTCGCTCTGTCGCCCAGGCTGGAGTGCAGTGGCGGGATCTCGGCTCACTGCAAGCTCCGCCTCCCGGGTTCACGCCATTCTCCTGCCGCAGCCTCCCGAGTAGCTGGGGCTACAGGCGCCCGCCACTACGCATGGTTAAGTTTTTTGTATTTTTAGTAGAGACGGAGTTTCACCGTGTTAGCCAGGATGGTCTCGATCTCCTGACCTCATGATCCACCCACCTTGGCCTCCCAAAGTGCTGGGATTACAGGCGTGAGCCACCGCGCCCGGCTGTCAACCAGTACGTGCCTGTGGTCCCACCTACTCAGGAAGCTGAGGCACAAGAATTGCTTGAACCTAGGAAGCGGAGATTGCAATAAGCCAACATTACACCACTGCACTCAAGCCTGGGCAACAGCCTGACACTCTATCTCAAAAAAAAAAAAAAAAAAAAAAAAAAAAAAATTACTATATCAATTGTTTCTAAAATTGGTCTTGTCTATATAATAACCTTCCCCTACTTTCTGCATTTTCTTTAATTAAACTGATGATAGCAGGTCACCTGTCAGCAAAGTACACATATATATACACACACACATATATATATATATATACATATATACGCACACACATATATACACACATATACATATATACACATATATACATACACATACACACACACACACACATATATATATATATATATTTTTTTTTTTTTTGAGATGAACTCTCGCTCTTGTCCCCCAGGCTGGAGTGAGATGGCGCTATCTCAGCTCACTGCAACCTCCGCCTCCTGGGTTCAAGCGATTCTTCTGCCTCAGCCTCCCAAGTAGCTGGGATTACAGGCACCTGCCACCACGCCCAGCTAATTTTTGTATTTTTCGTAGATACAGGGTCTCACCATGTTGGTCAGGCTGGTCTTGAACTCTTGACCTCAGGTGATCTGCCCTCCTCGGCCTCCCAAAGTGCTGGGATTACAGGCGTAAGCCACCATGCCCAGCCACAAAATATATATTTTATGCAAAGTTTATCTAATGAGTGATGAGAAATGGGGAAGGGAGAAGAATTAAAATCCTGTTCATAATCTGAGTTTTCAAATTTCAGAAAAATTTTGAGTCTTGGGAAGGGACTGGACGGAAGGAGATTGCAAAGGGGCCCTACAGTCGCTCACAGGAAGGCAGGGACGGTTCCACCGATGGTCTGTGCTCTCCTTGCACACTCGTCTGTGGACATCACAGGAGGGAACAGCATCCACTTTATTCTCCGCTATATCCCTTTAACACCGTCGCACAGGAGTTATTCAAGTCTCTGAGCAGTGACTGACTTTGTATAAAATTAATATTGTAAAACTGTCTTGAATTTAAAACATACATGCTAGGCACGGTGGCTCACGCCGGTAATCCCAGCGCTTTGGGAGTGCTGAGGCAGGAGGAGCACTTGAGGCCAGGAGTTCAAGACGAGCTTGGCCAACATAGTGAGACTCCATCTCTATTAAAAAATTAAATTAAAAAATATGCAGATAAAGAGAAAGGAAATAAGGCCATTCCAAAATGTCATCAATGTATGTAATCATGGCTCATAGCTTGATCTGTGTCTGTATTACTCTACATTTTTCTTCTGCCCGATTTTTCTCTCTACAGTAGAATTATACTGTATATACTATTTTCAAACATGGTTTTTGACTGAACAATATATTATGGACATCTTTCTAAATTCATGCACATTTTTCATCACAAAACACTATGCTATTTATTAAAAAATTTTTTTTTTTAGACAGAGTCTCATCACTCTGTGGCCCAGGCTAAAGTGCAGTGGTGTGATTGTGGCTCACTGCAACTTCCACCTCCCGGGTTCTAGTGATTCTCGTGCCTCAGCCTCCCGAGTAGCTGGGATTACAGGCGTGCACCACCACGCCTGGGTAATTTTTGTATTTTTAGTAGATAGAGTGTCTCACCATGTTGGCCAGGCTGGTCTCGAACTCCTGACCTTAGGTGATCCGCCCACCTCAGCCTCCCAAAGTGCTGGGATTACGGGTGTGAGCCACCACGCCTGGCAAAACCCTATGCTATTTAATTGAATGGATTTATCATTATATTATTCACTTTCTATATTTGCCCATAGTAAACATTTGCTGACCTCCAAGGTTTTTTTTTGAGACAAAATTCATAAGCAAGGTTATTTAAAACTGATGATTCACGCCTGTAATCCCAGCACTTTGGGAGGCTGAGGTGGGTGGATCATGAGGTCAGGAGATCGAGACCATCCTGGCTAACACGGTGAGACCCCATCTCTACTAAAAATACAAAAAATTATCTGGGCGTGGTGGCAGGCGCCTGTAGTCCCAGCTACCTGGGAGGCTGAGGCAGGAGAATGGTGGGAACCCGGGAGGCAGAGCTTGCAGTGAGCTGAGATCGCGCCACTGCACTCCAGCCTGGGCGACAGAGCGAGACTCCGTCTCAAAAAAGAAAAAAGTCATGTCATGTCTTAGAGATTTTTATAACATTTAGGACCTCAGTGTCCCAAGTGAGAAACTCTCAGTTCAGACACTGACTCGGTCATTTTTTCATCTGCCAACATAGAACATTAATCAGCAGAAAAGTCAAAGACACGAACCACACAGATAAAGAAAACTGGCACACACCTGTAATCACAGCACTTTGGGAAGCCCAGGCAGGAGGATCATCTGAGGTCAGGAGTTTGAGACCAGCCTGACCAACATGGTGATACCCCGTCTCTACTAAAAATACAAAAATTAGCTGGGCGTGGTGGTGCATGCCTGTAATCCCAGCTACTCGGGAAGCTGAGGAAGGAGAATCGCTTGAACCTGGGAGGCAGAAGTTGCAGTGAACCGAGATCATGTCACTGCCCTCCAACCTGGGCAACAGAGCAAGACTCCGTCTCAAAAAAATAAAACAAAAACAAAAAAAAAAACAAAAAACTAACACAGCAAGCAACTCCAAACCAAATAAAATACCCTCAAGCATGTGGGGATACGAAATAAGGTCTCAAATTAGAATTACCAACACAAAGAAGAAACATGAACAAAACAGAAGTAAACGTAACAGAAGTTGATGGAACTCAAAAGTAAAGGGAGAAGATAACAATCATCAGAAACAAATGCTAATTACTAGATACCTAATAGGGAATATATTTAGTTTTTCCTAAGTATCCCCCGAGAGGAGGGTGTAGACCCCATCAATGAGTCCAGCAGAACTGGTTCGGAGTCAGATCTGTCACTTTTGGAAAAGTCATGTAACACATGGGAACACTGTTTTGTCCAGTTTTCTCACTTGTAAACCTTTCCTGGGTTGTGATAAGAATGAAAAGACATTATGCAGAAAGAATGCTTCCAGGACGTGAGGACAACCTGGCTGTGATGTCTGTCACCCCATTGGTCGCCCCAGGGCTAATTCGGCTGATGTGGCCAGCTGGGTGGGTGTCCACTTCCTCCCTCACTGCTCCATATGCGTCCGTCCTGAAAGTCTCCCCTGGGTCAAAGACGATGACAACCTTTGCCCATAGAGGAAGGTCCTTCCATCGCGGGCAGAAGAGAAGCTGTGCTCCCCTACTAGAACCTCCAAACAAGCTCGCAAGAATGCTTCCTGTAGTACCCGGGACATACGCTGTCTGATTGTCTTAAGATTCTACCTACTCCTTGGTACATGTCTGGTCAAAAAGGACAGGCAGTTAGGCATGGTGGCTCACTCCTGTAATCACAGCACTTTGGGATGCCTAGGCAGGTGGATCACTTGAGCCTGGGAGTTCAAGACCAGCCTGAGCAACATGGCAAGACCCTTTCTCTAAAAAAAAAAAAAAAAAAAAAAAAAAGATAGGCAACTACCATACTAGAATTCCATCTCAGTAGACCTGGCAATGCAGACACTAACTGGCCACTCATCTCCTATAACAACGACTCCACTTGGGGTGGAAAAATGGGAAGACACTCCATAGGTGAACAGTTGGTATCAGGACGCCATCTGTCCCCAGTTCATCGCTGGCCCACATATGAACAGCCCTGGCCTGCAACTCTTCCTACCTTCAACTCTCACCTTGACCCACACACATTCTCATCTGATGGAGGGGGTGGCCACTCATTTAACAATGCTATCACCTTGTTCCCAGGCTTCCCCCATGGGTCCTCGCCCCATCATCCAGCACTTACTTCTCATCTCTTCCTGAGCCTTTGTCCAGAGATCTTTCCTATTGATCTGTAGAAACAGGTTCAGTGTTACCTCCCATGCCTGCTTTCCTGGGTAATGTTTGTCCAGCAGCTTTGCTACATCTTCTTTGGAGGCCTTCTTCAGCTCAGCCCAGGGGATTGGCTTGAGTTCAAATTTCTCCAAAGGTTGTTTGAGGAGCTCCTTAAATTTCCAAAACTCTTCCTTTCTGAGCTCCTTCAGATACCACAACAAGCCAAAATCCGAAAAAAAAGATTCTGCCATATCGCCCCAGGATTGTGAACTGAGGTGTCTCCAGAGGGAAAAGAAAGATCCTCAAAAATAAAGAATAAATGATACCTGGAGAAGAATGACATGATTACAGAGTTAAGCTTCAGCAGCTGAAAGCAGCTCAAAATTATTGATATCATCATGCGTAGCTTGCACCAAACATCATCTAGGGAAGAAGCTTCATCTTTTTCCAAACAAATGCATGTGAATGGTAGAGTTGACTGCCACTTATGTGTCTTGTTTTTGTCTGACATAAATGATGCTTCCAGGAACAAGTGTTTTTGTGTAGTTTGGTGTATATAAGCACACATTTCTCTAGATTTATAAATTATAGGTCAAACAGCAAACACAGGTCACCATGTTTGCTACATAACACTCAACGGTTTTCCCTTGTGTATATAATTACTGACATTCCTACCAGCATTCTATGAGTTTGTTTGCTCTGTAGACCTTCCCATCCTTAGTATAGTCTAATCCAATTTTGATAATGAAAAAATGAACGGATATTAAAATTACAGATGATCACATTCAGGAAGATGAAAATAAAGGAAGAGGACATAAAAGCAAATTTAAATTTTTTTTTATCGTTTAGTGGTATATGCCTTCTTTTTTTTTTTTTTTTTTGAGACAGAGTCTCGCTCTGATGCCCAGGCTGGAGTGCAGTAGCGCAATCTCGGCTCACTGCAAGCTCTGCCTCCCGGGTTCACGTCATTCTCCTGCCTCAGCCTCCTGAGTAGCTGGGACTACAGGTGCCTGCCACCACACCCGGCTAATTTTTTTGTATTTTTAGTAGAGATGGGGTTTTACTGTGTTCGCCAGGATGGTCTCGATCTCCTGACCTCGTGATCCACCCGCCTCGGCCTCCCAAAGTGCTGGGATTACAGGCATGAGCCACCGTGCCCGGCCGGTATATGCCTTCTTATTACAGTATATAAGGAAAAAGTTAGATTTACTATAGGTTAGCATCTGCAGACAACTCAGACAGAAACAGAGCAGTGAACGTTCCCAGTATTATAAACCCTTCAGATAATCATTGCAATTCAACAAAAGACAGGAAATGAAGTAGAAATATATGGTAGACAAAATAAGACAGGTGGCAAAAATAATACCAAATATATATAGATATGTATTTTGAGATAGAGTTTCACTCTTGTTGCCCAGACTAGAATGCAATGGTATGACCTCAGCTCACTGCAACCTCTGCCTCCCAGGTTCAAATGATTCTCCTGCCTCGTCCTCCCAAGTAGCTGGGATTACAGGCACCTGCCACCATGCCCGGCTAATTTTTTTTTTTTGTATTTTTAGTAGAGATGGGGTTTCACCATGTTGGCCAGGCTGGTCTCGAACTCCTGACCTCAGGTGATCCACCTGCCTCAGCCTCCCAAAGTGCTGGGATTATAGGCTTGAGCCACTGCGCCCAGCCTAAATATAATCTTAACACATATGAATGAAATAAAATTGCTCACTAATATATAGACTCACATTGGATAAATACAAATCCTGCTATATGCTGTTTATAAGAGAATCCTAGAAAATACACAGAGAAGTAAAACAGAAGAAGAAAAAGCCTGGCAAATTCTTACCCAAAAAAGTATTAATAGTATAAAATATCAGCATTGAAAAACACTCAAGCTAGAAAGCACTAAATGGACTAAGAATTTTTGAACACCAAGATTCAGTTCCCCAAGATCTAGAACTCATGAGCATATGTGCACCTGGGAATACCACTTTACACATAAGGAGATGATGACAAACGCAATATCATTGTATCTGAGCTAATATACCTTTCAGATAATTACAAACCATTAGCAAAGGTTACATACCATCTATGGTCACATGCAAAAGAATAAACTTGGACCCTTAATACCATAAACAAAAATTAATGCAAAATGGATTGAAGAAGATCTAAATGGAAGGCCCAAAGTATAAAACTCCTAGGAGAAAATGTAGGGCAGAAGCTTCCAGACACAGATTTGGTCTGGATTATTTCTTGAATATGACATGACACAGACAAAAGAAAAAAATAGACAAACTGGACTTTATAAAAATTTTAAAATTTTGTGCATCAAAAGACAGTATCAGCCAGGTGCGGTGGTTCATGCCTGTAATCCCAGCACTTTGGGAGGCCGCAGCAGGTGGATCACTTGAGGCCAGGAGTTTGAGACCCATGGCCCACATGGTGAAACCCTGTCCCTACTAAAAATACAAAAATTAGCCAGGCGTGGTGGCAGACACCTGTAATCCCAGCTGCTCGGGAGGCGGAGGCTGCAGCAAGCTGAGATCACACCGCTACACTCCAGCCTGGGTGACAGAGCGAGACTCTGTCTCAAAAACAAAGACGATATCAAAAGAGTAAAAAGTCAACCAACAGAATGGGAGAAAATATTTGCAAAGCATGTATCTCACAGGGATTAAAATCCAGATTACAGGGAATGCCTAAAACTCAATAACAAAACAATCTTATAACAATGAGAAAAGGACTAGAATAGACATTTCTCCAAAGATATACAAATGGTCCATAGCCAATAAGCACATAAAAAGAGGCTCAACGTCACTAACCATTAGGGAAATACAGATCACAACTACAATGAGATAATCCTTCACATCCACTAAGATGGTAACTACAAAAAAAAAAAAATTCAAAACAAGTGTTGATGAGAAGGTAGAGAAACTGGAACCCTTGTATCCTAGTGACGTATAAATGTTAAATGGTTCAGCCACTGTGGAAAACTGTATCATATTTCCTGAAAAAATAAGAACAGAATTACTGTAGGATCCAGCAACCCCAAAGAATTGAAAGCAGACTCTCTCAGAGTTATCCGGACACTCATGTTAATAGGAGCATCAGTGACCCAAGTGTTCATCAACAGATGAATGGAAAAGTGAAATGCAGTCTATAAATACAGTATTATACAGCCTTAAAAAGGAAGGATGCTGGGCCCGGTGGCTCCTGCCTGTAACCCCAGCACTTTGGGAGGCTGAGGCGGTTGGATCACCTGAGGTCAGGAGTTCGAGACCAGCATGGTCAACATGGTGAAACCCCGTCTCTACTAAAAATACAAAAAAAAAATTAGCCAGGTGTGGTGGCAGGTGCCTGTAATCCCAGCTAACTCAGGAGGCTGAGGCAGGAGAATCGCTTGAACCTGGGAGTCGGAGGTTGTAGTGAGCAAAGATTGCGTCACTGAACTCCACTCTGGGCGACAGAGCGAGACTCTGTCTCAAAAAAAAAAAAAAAGGAAGGAGTTTTTTTTTTTTTTTTTTTTTTTTTGAGAAGGAGTCTCACTCTGTCCCCAGGCTGGAGTGCAGTGGTGCGATCTCGGCTCACTGCAAGCTCCGCCTCCCGGGTTCACACCATTCTTCTGCCTCAGCCTCCGGAGTAGCTGGGACTACAGGCGCCGGCCACCACGCCCGGCTAATTTTTTGAATTTTTAGTAGAGATGGGGTTTCACTGTGTTAGCCAGGATGGTCTCGATCTCCTGACCTCGTGATCCGCCCGCCTCAGCCTCCCAAAGTGCTGGGATTACAGGCGTGAGCCACAGCGCCCGGCCTAGGAAGGAGATTCTGACATATGCTGTGACATGAATGAACCTTGAGGACATTATGCCAAGTGATAGAAACCAGTCACAAAATGACAAATACTGTTCCATTAAACGTATATGAGGTACTTAAAGTGGTCAGAATCATAGAGACAAAGTAGAATGATGGTTGCCGAGGCTGAAGAAGAAAATGGAGAGCTATTGTTTAATGAGGACAGTTTCAGTTTTACAAGATAAACAGTTATGGAGATGGATGTGACGATGCTTGTACAACATTATAAGTGTATTTAGTACCACTGAATTATACACTTAAAATGGTTAAGACGGTAAGTTTTGTATTATGTGTATTTTACCACAATAAATTTCTTGAGACAAGGTCTTGCTCTGTGCCCAGGCTGAGTGCAGTGGCTCAATCACAGCTCCCTGCAGCCTCGACCGGCCCCCCACCCACACCCACCGGGGCTCAAGGACCTCCTCAGCCTCCCCACCTCCGCCTCCCAAGTAGCTGGGGCTAGAGGCACACACCACCAGGCCCAGCTAATTTTTTTAGATTTTTGTAGACATGATGTCTCACTATGTTGCCCAGGCTGGTCTCAAACTCCTGGTCTCAAGTAATCCTCCCACCTCGGCCTTCCAAAGTGCTGAGATTATAGGCAAGAGCCACCACACCCAGCAAAAAAAAAAAAAAAAAAAAATTAGTAATATGCTATTGAGGTAATGCACAAGTTTGTGACATATGTATGTGAAATATATGTATACATTTTTTAAAGGGAAAGTGGTTTGATTCCAAATCAAATATGTACATTTCATTCAAACGCATATGGGACATTTACTAAACATGACCTTATCTTGGGCATAAAGAAAAACTAAAAGAGAAACAGGTATTCTAAATCAGAGATCACTGGTCTCATTCAACAATCACAATAAAATTAGAAAATAAAGGCAAAAGCATGGAAATCCATTGTTAAATTTATTTATTTATTTATTTATTTTGTTTTTTGAGACAGAGTCTCGCTCTGTCGCCCAGGCTGGAGTGCAGTGGCATGACCTCAGCTCATTGCAACCTCCGCCTCCCAGGTTCAAGCAATTCTCTGCCTCAGCCTCCTGAGTAGCTGGGATTACAGGCACCTGCCACCACGCCTGGCTAATTTTTTTTATTTTTAGTAGAGACGGGGTTTCACCATCTTGGCCAGGATGGTCTGGAACTCCTGACCTTGTGATCTACCCGCCTTGGCCTCCCAAAGTGCTGTGATTATAGGCATGAGCCACGGCGCCCGGCCTCCATAGTTAAATTTTAAGTGTACATTTTAATGTAACAGGCAAGTAAGAAGCTAATTTAACTTACTGAGAAAGGAACAGACAAACTTCATGAAATAAACTTCAATGGCTGTTAAAAATAGGAAAAATTTTCTAGAAGCTCATTTTCCATCCAGATTTGAAATATATAGGCCGGGTATGGTGGCTCATGCCTGTAATCCCAGCACTTTGGGAGGCTGAGGTGGGTGGATCACCTGAGGTCGGGAGTTCAAGACCAGCCTGCCCAATATGGTGAAACTCTAACTCTACTAAAAATACAAAAAATTAGCCGGGCATGGTGGCGCATGCCTGTAATCCCAGCTACTCGGGAGGCTGAAGCAGGAGAATCGCTTGAACCCAGGAGGTGGAGGTTGCAGTGAGCCGAGATCACACCATTGCACTCCAGCCTGAGCGACAAGAGCAAAACTCAGTTTCAAAAAATAAATAAATAATATACATAATTTTCATCATAATATATGGGGAAATGGATGTTAAACAATGGTGGAATACAAATGCATGTAATTTTGGAGGAAAATGTGGCAACCTCTATTAAAATGGAAAATGAAGATTTTCTTCAACCCCACGATTTTACTCTCTGGTTATCCATTCCAAAGTAGCATTTGCAAATGTGCCTAGAGTTTTGTGTGCACAAATGGTCGCTGCAGGGTTTTAAATAATTGTTGAAAGCAAAAACCTAAATATTCATAAATAAGAAAACAGTTAAATAATGGTATACTATTATAGTACAATTGGACCATTGTATGGAGTCAGACGGAGACTAGAGGGGCTGGAGAAGATACGGGGAGTGGTTTGATGGACATTGCATAGAGTTTCAGTTTGGTATGAACAGGTTCTAGGGATGGTGGTGATGACCGCACAGCAATGTGAATGCACTTAATGCCACTGAATTGTACTCTTAAAAGTAGTTAAGATGGTAAATTTTATGTATATTTCACCAAAAGTTTAAAACAAACAAACAAACAAAAAAACAAACCCCACATCCCCTCAATCTCTTCTCCGAACATTCCTTTCTCCTCCCTGCTCTAGGGGACACCCCCCTCTACAGATACTGAGTCTCCCGCGGCTCTCTCATGCCGACGGTTTCATCAGCCCCATTCTTCATGCTGTGGAGTCCAGATAAGGTATAGATACCCTCGCTGGTGCTCCCTAACACCTCACAGACTTTCGGCCAACACTAGGCTCCACCACCCATTACCATTTTGTGTTGTTGCCATCCAAGGTCTCTGGCACAATCTCCTCATTCCTCCCAGATTCTACCCCCTGGCTCACCCCTACTCTCAAGCTATTCTTGTGGGCATGCAAAGCAACCATTACTGACAACGTGATGAATATGTCATTTAGCATAAGGTTAGGACATTTTAGAACTGGCTGATAAAAGATTACTTCAAAACCAACCAGCCAAGTCACCAGATCAACAGGTCTCAAACTTCCTTCTCTCCACTTCACTCTTTCTCACTGCCAGAGATTTGGTGTTTTATTATTTGTCTCCCCAGGTTACATGAATCCCCCAATCAGAACCAACAGACCAAGTCTGGAAAATGGACCTTCAGTTTTCGATATTTTCATCATTTCTCCTCAGCTCTCCAAGACCTCCAATTTTCTGTATCTCTAATTCAATTTCAGAAAAAAAAAAATAAGGAGACAATGCCTTCTGGAAGAGTCCCTTTCTCTCACCCAATTTAGAGTCCGGAAACACAAAAGTTAACAAGTGAAAGTGCCGGGTACACAATCTCTCTGCAAATTTATCTGGTTTTCATTACAGGCCGGGAGCAGTGGCTCTCACCTGTAATCTCAGCACACTGGGAGGTCGAGGCGGGCGGATCACTTGAGGTCAGGACTTTGAGACCAGCCTGGCCAACATGGCGAAACCGCATCTCTACTAGAAGTACAAAAATTAGCCGGGAGTGGTGGCGTGCGCCTGGAGTCCCGGCCACTCGGGAGGCTGAGGCAGGAGAATCGCTTGAACCCAGGAGGCAGAGGTTGTGGTGAGCCGAGGTCGCGCCATTGCACTCCAGCCTGGGTGACAATGCAAAACTCCATCTTAAAACAACAAATAAATAAATAAATAAATGGTTTTCACTACAATGCATCCTTGCCAAAACAAAAGGTCAAGACTTGATCATTTCTGGTGCCCTCTTACCTGTTCCTTATGCACTCCAGACCTTCAGGAAGCACTGAGACTTTAGGGAAATGAAGAAGAAAGAAAGGTCAGGGGGAAGACTTACCCAACCCAGCCCCTGGTCCTCCTGGCTGGAACTCAACAAAGAACAGCGGTGGAAACTTAGAATAAAAGGCCCTGGCTGCTCTGTGACTGGCCACAGAATCTCTCCTTTTCATTGGCTGTCATGGATATTGATGACTAGACCCAGACGGCAATTGTTTAGGTTCTTTTTTAACTCCTCAGGTGTGAATGCTTTTCCCCCAGCTGGATAGTCCGTGCTGCTGTTAATATCATCTCCCTACGTAATATAATATGATCACAGGGCTTCTGCGAACTATCTTCTCCCGACCAATGAGAGCTGGTTTGGAGACTAGTAATGGGAACCACTGTTCTCATAATCTGAGTATCTGACTCCTCCTATGAACTTCCTAAGGAAATCTATTTTGTGCATGTCTCAACTTCCGCTTTAAAAGTTGAGCACTTAAAAAGGAGCATTTGCATGTAAGGAAATCAATGAATATGCTCGAGTAACTGGCTTTGGATGTAAAGGGCAGAAGTCAGAATCTGCAGTTGTCTCCCAAACACCCTGTTACCCTCATCATTGACTCCTGTGCGAATGCTGCCCCCTCTTCACGCTCATCCCCATTATCCCTCCCGCAGCTGCCATTCTTGTCCCCACCCTCTTTAACATTAATTGAATGCTAATGGTGTAAAAGCCCTACAGCTGAGTGCATTTCATGCAAGATCCTTCTCTTCACAGTCCTCGGAAGTAGATAGCATTATTATTCCCATTGTCAAAGATACTTGAGGCCATCAGGGTGGAGGCTAGAGTTGAGAACATTCCTACTTGGTCAGCCCAAATTTTAACCGCTGCATTGTCCTGCCTCCCAGCCATCATTGATCCCAGTGAGGCTTAGGAATGTCTGTGTTGGATCTGTGGGGAGATGTGGCTCAGTTCTGCCTAATGAGACTGAGCTAAGAGACTCAAAGAATCTTTCCTCTCCAGGATCTTGGCCTTTCTTTAACCAGCTACTCACCATCAAAATTCTGACCTGACCTCTTTACCCTGACTGCTTAAACCATCCTTAGCTGGGCCGGGGTGCATCCATTAGAGGGCTGTGTCTTGATCTCCCTTTCTTCAGTTTTTCTGATAGCCACCACAGGATCTGGCATAGAAGGTTAGAAGTGGTTAAGCACTTGAGCTGGAACAGCAACCTCTATTCTAGACTGTTGGTGTGGCTATGGGCAAGTATTTATTAACTTCACTTGTTTTTCCTCTTCTGTGAAATGAAGAGGATGATGATCGTGATGATATTGATGATGATGGTGATGATGGTGATGATGATGATGACGGTGATGGTGAAGATGAAGATTATTATGGTGGTGATGATGGTGATGGTGAAGATGAAGATGATGGTGATGATGATGACGGTGATGGTGAAGATGAAGATTGTGATGATGGTGGTGATGATGATAGTGATGGTGATGATGATGATGGTGATGGTGAAGATGATGATGATGGTGATGGTGAAGATGAAGATAATGATGATGGTGATGATGGTGATGATGGTGATGATGGTGATGATGGGGGGCGGAAAGGGTGGCTGGGCTGTCACTTGGTTTCTCTTTTGTGAATTGCCTGTTCTTTTCCTTAAAGATTTACCTGACTTTATGTATTTTTTTGTGTATATTTATGCAAAATACAATTTGCTGGTTAATATAGAATCATAAATCTTTCTAAAATTTGGGATTTTCTATTTATTGTCTATGGTATTTTAGGGGTAGAGTTGTTTTAAAATGTATTAATGTCTATTTTTATTAATCTTATCATTTGTGGGTGATATAAATACTTCCTGTCCTGAAAGTCAACTATTTCCCTATATTTTCTTTCACACATTAATATCTCTTTTTACATTTTCAATTCACTTATACATAATAAATCTTCATAATGTGATGTAGTGGTTCAGTTTTATCTATTGATACCAATTACTTCAACACATATATTGCATAGCCTATCTTCCCATACCAATTTTCTGGCGCCATCCACTTGTTGTGAAACACCCACCTGTTGCCTTGATCTCTTTCTGTAACTTTTGTTGTACTATATTTGTCTATTTTCTGTTACTGCTACAATATCATACCACTTTACAGATATTGAGTATTGGCCGGGCACAGTAGCTCATGCCTGTAATCCCAGCACTTTGGGAGGCTGAGGCGGGCAGATCACCTGAGGTCAGGAGTTCGAGATGAGCCTGGCCAACATGGAGATACCCCGTCTCTACTAAAAATACAAAAATTAGCCAGGTGTGGTGGCACATGCCTGTAATCCCAGCTACTCAGGAGGCTGAGGTGGAAGAATCTCTTGAACCCCAGAGGTGGAGGTTGCAGTGAGCTGAGATCGCGCTATTGCACTCCAGCCTGGGCAACAAGAGCGAAACTCTGTCTCAAAAAAAAAAATTGAATATTTCTGTATTACGTGGGTTTATAGTAATGTATTTCCATATGCATTTTTATAGTTTTATCCTGCATACTATTTTAATAATATTAAAGTTATTGCACAGTGCCTTTTAGAGTGTTGAGTATCGGGACACACATTCTCACGTTGTGTCACTGATTCTTGCTCATGGGAAATTGTTTCCAAGTGTGTCTTGTAGTTATTTTGAAGCAATGAATAAGGAATATTTTCACTTTGGTGTGACCATATGGCTTCACTTGCAAAAGGTAACCAAAAGTGTTCAATTCTGCTTCTGGTAGGTTCATCCAAGTAGGCCTTGTCTCTCATAAGTGTGAGGGTTAGTGTGTTGGTTTCGTATTTTTTCTTTCACTATCCTTCCATGAAATTTCTGGGACTGCCTTTGGCTTTCAATTCCTAATATTTTAAAATTGCCGAGAAACAATTGTCCTTTGGGGGAAGTAATTGGCTTACTTTCTCTCCTGGCATAGAGGTAAGGATTCTGTTGCTGAATCGCTAGAGTTTCAGCACTTCAAGAATCTCCTGTGAGTGAAGAGTTCAGTTTCTGCATCTCACTTCGCCAGTGTCAACGCTTACACCCGTCCCTGCCTGAGTGTTGAGTCTCTGGGCCTCAAAGGAATCCAACTCATTTCTAACTCTGACCCTCCAACCATGCCCAAAGCTCGTAGTAGCATGGACTTGAGAGGGAACACTCGGAATTCCATTTCACTTTCGTTTACACGTCCTGGAGGTTTCTTTAGTTTTGTTGAAAGTTCACCTTTCATTATTATATTGATGAAATTAGAGTTAATTGTGTTAGACATAATTATGCCAATTATAATGATGGTGAAATTTTTCTTTTAATTTCAGGAAATTCTGCAGGCAGTTATCTCTTTCTCTTTTGGATATATATTAGTTCTTTAATGAATTGCACTATGCCTTATTTCGTTCTGGCTGAAACTGAATTTCCCATCCTGGCTGAATATTATATTAGTTAGACCATGCCTATTAAGAAGTCCATTGGTGTCCGGGCACCGTGGCTCACACTTGTAATCCCAGCAGTTTGAGAGGCCGAGGTGGGTGAATCACCTGAGATCAGGAGTTGGAGACCATCCTGGCCAGCATGGTGAAACCCCATCTCTACTAAAAATACAAAAATTAGCTGGGCGTGTTGGTGGGTGCCCGTAATCCCAGCTGAGGCACGAGAATTGCTTGAACCCAGAAGGCAGAGGTGCCAGTGAGCCGAGATTGTGCCACTGCACTCCAGCCTGGGTGACAGAGTGAGACTCTGTCTTAAAAAAAAAAAAAAGTCTGTTGGCAAAATGTTAGAAGTTGCATCTTATCCACATGTAACAAATATGTAGTTAGAGACCCTTTTGATAAAGCCTATTCACAAGTATTCCCTAAAAGCTCACTCAGAAGATAAAATTGTTTCTTCAGATATATTTTTCTAATTGCAGGAATTTATTTTCAGAAGGCTTTTTTTTTTTTTAGACGGAGTTTCGCTCTGTCGCCCAGGCTGGAGCGCAGTGGCGCGATCTCGGCTCACTGCAAGCTCCGCCTCCCGGGTTCACACCATTCTCCTGCCTCAGCCTCCCAAGTAGCTGGGACTACAGGCGCCCGCCACCACGCCTGGCTAATTTTTTGTATTTTTAGTAGAGATGGGGTTTCACCGTGTCGGCCAGGATGGTCTTGATCTCCTGACCTCGTGATCCACCCGTCTTGGCCTCCCAAAGTGCTGGGATTACAGGCATGAGTCGCCACCCCCGGCCTATTTTCACAAGTTTTTTAAACAAACTGGAAATTCTCTTGAAATGACTTGGAAACTAAACAAGAACCTTTTTGAACATTTTATTTGCCAAAAAGTAGTAACCAAAATAAATGATATTTTAATTTCTTTTTTATTAAAAGATTTTCCGCTAGCTTTATTAAAATATAATTGACGGGTAAAAATTGTACATATTCAATGTGTTTGAAACGATAATTCGATTATACATAGGCATTGTGAAAAGATTACCACAACCACATTAACACGTCATCACAATTACTTAACTTTTTGTGCTTGCGTGGGATAAGAACACTTAAAATCTACTTTCTTCACAAATTGTAAGTAAACTGTACAGTATTATTAAATATGGTCATCTCCTTGTACATCAGGGCTTCAGAATTTATTCATCTTATTATTGAGAGTTTGTACCCATTGACCAGCATCTTTTCATTTCCTCTTCTCCCAGCCCGCCACCTCTGTACTCTCTGCTTCTATGAGTTTAGCTTTTTAAAAAAATATTCCATATACAAGTGAGATCACACAATATTTGCCTTTTTGTATGTGGCTTATTTCACTGAGCACCACGTCCTCCAGACTCATCCATGTTGTCACAAATAGCAGAATTTTCTTGTTTCTTATGGTTGAGTAATATTCAAATGACAGTTTTATAACTTCATCATTTCTTCTACATTTATTAGCTGACGTTTTAATAGAGGGATGAATTTTACTCACTTGTTCGTTTATTTTTTTCTGTCTGATTTTTAAAAATTTTCCTTTAAGTTATTGGGGTACACAGGTGATATTAGGTCACATGAGTAAGTTCTTTGGTGGTGATTGGTGAGATTTTGGTGCACCCATCACTCGAGCAGTATACACGGCACCGTATTTGTTGTATTTTGTCCCTCGCCCCCCTCCCTCTCTTCCCCCCAAGTCCCCAAAGTCCATTTTATCATTCTTATGCCTTTGCATCCTCATAGCTTAGCTCCCACATATCAGTGAGAACATACGATGTTTGGTTTTCCATTCCTGAGTTACTTCACTTAGAATAATAATCTCGAATCTCATCCAGGTTGCTGCAAATGCTGTTAATTCATTCCTTTTTGTGGCTGAGTAGTATTCCACCATATAAATAAAAGTAGAACTACCATTTGATCCCGCAACCCCACTCCTAGGTATCTACCCAGAGGAAAAGAAGTCATTATATGAAAAAGACACTTGTACACACCTGTTTATAGCTGCACCATTCGCCCCTGCAAAATTGTGGAACCAACCCAGATGCCCAGCAATCACGGAATGGATGAAGAAACTGTGGTATATTTCACTTGTTCATTTCACCAGTATTGATTCATTGATTCTCATTTCATTCTCAAGGTTATGTTATTGTAAATATTTAGTTTGGTATTCAAATTGGTCCACATTCGGCAAGTGGGACCCACTTCAATTTCATTTTCATTTCAAGATCCGGTGACACGTCCCCATCACTGATCCTTTTCTTTTTTCTTTCTTTCTTTCTTTTTTTTTTTTTTTTTGAGACAGAGTCTCGCTCTGTCGCCCAGGCTGGAGTGCAGTGGCGCGATCTCTGCTCACTACAAGCTCTGCCTCCCGGGTTCGTGCCATTCTCCTGCCTCAGCCTCCCGAGTAGCTGGGACTACAGGCGCCCGCCAACATGCCCGGCTAATTTTTTTTGTATTTTTAGTACAGACGGGGTTTCACCGTGTTAGCCAGGATGGTCTCGATCTCCTGACCTCGTGATCCGCCCGCCTCGGCCTCCCAAAGTGCTGGGATTACAGGTGTGAGCCATCACTGATCCTTTTCTTATTTTCTGGGACTACAAGATAGTCCAGGTTCCTCTAGTATTTCCCTTGCCCCAGCCCTGATTTAGCTATTTCTTCAAGGGGTCTTGATTTCTCTTAGTGTAGAATAATATTTAAAATTCAAGATCTAGGTACCAGTTCACTGACTTTTGATAAAAATATATGCCCACATACTACCAACCCAGTCAAGATATGAGATGTGTCCACATTCCTAGAAAGTGCGCATTCTTCAACAGTCAATGTCCCTTTCTAATATATGAAAACATGTTTGGTGCCAAAGCTTAAAACTAATAGTCCATAAAACTGTGATTCATCAGTTTATTTTAAAAGCTATTTCTACTGCAGGTTAATAAGAAATACATTACAGAAATGCATTGTTGCTTATGATCCTAACACTGTACGTGCCATTTTGTTCTATTTTTAACTTTAACTTTACAAAATTCTGAAATCTACATACTGTGTTTGTTAAGGACTGGAACGATAGACATAAAATTCAAATGTGACTGTGGATGAATGGATAAAGAAAATGTGGCACATATACACAATGAAATACTATTCAGCCTTTAAAAAGAAGGAAATCCTGTTATTTGTAAGAACACGGATGAACCTGGAGGGTATTCTGGGTTTTTTCATTAGTCTTTCCATTTTTTTTTGTTTTTGTGGGTACAGAGTAGGGGTATATATTTATGGGGTACATGAGATATTTTGGTTCAGGCTTGCCATGTGTAATAATCACATCAAAATGTATAGAGTATCCATCACCTCAAGGATTTATCCCTTGTGTTACAAACAATCCAATTATACTCATTTAGTTTATTTTTATTTGTATTTTAAGACTGTCTCACTCTGTTGCCCAGGCTGGAGTGCAGTGGCACCATCTCAGCTCACCGCAACCTCTGCCTCCTGAATTCAAGCGACTCTCCTGCCTCAGCCTCCTGAGTAGCTGGGATTACAGGTGCACACCACGGTGCCTGGCTAATTTTTGTATTTTTAGTAGAGGCGGGGTTTCACCATGTTGGCCAGGCTGGTCTTGAAGTCCTGACCTCAGGTGATTCTCCTGCCTCAGCCTTCCAAAATGCTGGGATTACAGGTGTGAGCCACCGCGCCCGGCCTCTTTTAGTTATTTTTTAAATGTACATTAAGTTATTTTTTACTATAGTCAACAGGTTGTGCTAGCCAATCCTAAGTCCTATTCTTTCTATTTTTTAATACCAATTAACCATCCCCACTTCCCCGCCAAGTCCCCTCTGCTACGATTCCCAGCCTCTGGTAATCACCCTTCTACTCTGTCTCCATAAGTTCAATTGCTTTAATTTTTAGCTCCCACAGATAAGTGGGAAGTTTGTCTTTCTGTGTCTGGCTTATTTCACTTAACGACTGGAGGACATTATGTTAGATGGAATAAGTCAGGCACAAAAAGACAAATATCCCATGGTCTCACTTATACGTGAAATCTAAAAGAAATTTGATCTCAGAACTAGAGAGTAGAGTAGTGGTTATTAGAGGCTGAGGAAGGTAGGAGAAAGTAAGGAAATAAGAAGAGGTGAGTTAATCAATTGAGGTCAAGAGTTCGAGACCATCCTGGCCAACATGGCGAAACCCCTTCTCTACTAAAAATACAAAAATTAGCCAGACGTGGTGGTGGGCGCCTGTAATCCCAGCTACTCGGGAGGCTGAGGCAGGAGAATCACTTAAACCTGGGAGGTGGAGGTTGTAGTGAGCCGAGATAGCACCACTGCACTCCAGCCTGGGCAACAGAGTGAGACCCTATCTAAAAAAAAAAAAAAATTGACAGAAGGAAGGAATTCATAATAAATGTGGGTTTCCACGTTAAGCAAAAACATTTGTGGTAACCTCTCTATATACCATTAGTAAAACTCTTATTTCTGCCTAAATTAAAATATGATTGGATTAAGAAGGTGTGGCCTGATGTGATTAAGGTGGGAAGAGGTACCCTCTTCAATAAAAGCCTCTTGCCCATGGATGTCACTCCAAAACCAAATTATTTCAGAAGGTTCGAAGCCAAAAAAAAAAAAAAAGCCAAAAAAAAAAAAAGCCACAATGGAAGAAAGGTAAATCCAATTTTATATAATTTACATTTCTACAAAGGGCAGAGAGAGCAAAGTCCAGGGAACTGGGTAATTTATTAATTCAGCAAGTGTTGTGTGAAGCCGTGAAGCCAACTCCATGCCAGGTACAGTGTGTGCACTGAGCCCTCTGCCCTGGCAGGTATTGGCAGGACTTCAATTTCAAAACCCAGGCTGGTGTACTGACAAGGGCCTTCATTTTCTTTAATCAAATCATAGCTTCAAAGACTCTGCAGGACGCTGGTGAGTTGAGTCTCAGCCATTAACTTACTCAATTTCTCAGGTCCCGTTAGTTTTTCCCACAGTCATATTAGACCTGCTGGGGGGGAGTCGGAGGGTCTTTCAGTCTAGACCAGAGCTGTTCATAAGAAATATACTGTGACCCATATATGTAATGATAAATTTTCTAGATACACTAAAGAAAATGGAAGGCAACATGTTGAATTAATTTTAACATCCGAAAGATTTGTCATTTTAAAATGTAACCAATATTAAACAGCTATGAATGACGACCTTTTTCATCCAACATCATCACGATCTAGTGTGTGTTTTACACTCACAGTATGTCTCCATTCAGATAAACTCCATCTCAGCGGGTTGCTAGCCACATGCTGTTGGTGGCCACCATATTGGACAGCCCGGGTCTAGACCCTTTTTACCACTTCAACTCTATGTCGAATAATGAACGATATTCTTCATTCCAGCTAGCATGTGAAATTCAGAAGTCAGCAGCCATGACTCTTCACGTCTGTACCCGTATTGCCTGGTACAAGGGATATCACATAGTAGGTACACAATCCCTAAAGTGAAAGAACCCCAGTTCATTCGTCTCGTGGAATCTCCACGAAGAGGCACATTTTCCCCCCAGGCAGCAGCCACGGCTGAACATTCGTGAGAAGCAAGATGTCTTAACTGTCTGGCCTGTCTCGAGAAACTTGTATTCTTGAGATGTAGATCCATCAGCTGCATCAATTCACTGAAGAGGAAGCCCCAAAGTGGAGGGTGTATGGTGCCCTTTCTGTACCGTGGTCACTCAGAAGAATGAGATCAAGATCAACTGTCAACCGGGGAAGCCAGCTTCCGAGATCAAAGAACTAGAGCCACACCTGAGATCTGTTCTACAGCTGAACCAAGGATGCTGAAGTTCCAAGGTAAAGTATCTGCCCCACCTAGACCCTCCCCACAAAGGGCCTAGGGAAAAACAACTGGGCAAAAGCCTCTTCACCTAATATTAGAAGGATTCTGGCTCCTAACATTGTATGCACCTTTGAGCATCAGTGGTTCTTGCCTCTGAGTATAGAACCACCTGGAGATTTTTAAGGAAATGGAATATTCAGCTCATGCCCTAGCCCTGTGCTGTCCAACAGGGTAGGGACTAGTGGCTCTGGACCACGAGAAACGCAGCTGGTACCTAGTGGAAAGGATGCTATTCTGTACATATCGGGTTCAATGAAATATATTACTGAAGTTAATCTCACCAGGTCTTTTTTATGTTTTTGAATGCAGCTACTAGTACATTTACGAGACATGCGGGTCATGTTATATTTCTTCAGGCAGCACTGGCCTACAACTTGAATATTTGTTAAATTGTCTGAGGATCTTATTAAAATGTGCATTCTGGTACTACACCTCTGGGATCTCCTGAGACTCAGGATTTCTGACAAGAGCCCAGAAATTTCTGACAAGAGCAGCTGATGCTGCTGGTTCCTGAACCATATGTTGTTTTGGGTTTTTTTTTCCCTCCTTTACTAAGTTCTTTTTTTTCTTTTCCTTCCAACTTGTATTTTAGGTTCATGGGGGTACATGTGCAGCTTTGTGACATGATAAACTGCATGCCTCAGGGGTTTGGTGTACAGACAGTTTCATCACCCAGGTAATGAGCACAGTACGTGAGAGGGAGTTTTTTGATTCTCGCCCTCCTCCCACCCTCTACCCTCGAGTTGCCCCCAGTGTCTTTGTTCCCTTCTTTATGTCCATGTGACCTCAATGCTTAGCTCTCACTTCTAAGCGAGAACACGTGATATTTGCTTTCCTGTTCCCGTGTTATTTCACTTAGGACAGTGGCCTCCACCTGGATCCATGTTACTGGAGAAGACATGATTTCATTCTTTGACTGTGTAGTATTGCATGGTGTATATGGGCCACATTTTCTTTATCCAGTCCACCACTCCTGGCCATCTAGGTTGATTCCATGTCTTTCCTAGCGTGGATGGTGTTGTGACAAACATGTACGTGCATGTGTCTTTATAATAGAAAAATAACAATAATCAAAATTTATACATTACATTGGTACAGATTGTTTGATTCTAATTAGATTTTTTTTTCAAGTTGGAGTCTCACTCACTCTGTCGTCCAGGCTGGAGTTCAGCGGCACAATCTCGGCTCACAGCAACCTCTGCTTCCTGGATTCACGTGATTCTCCTGCATCAGCCTCCCAAGTAGCTGGAATTACAGGTGTGTGCCACCATGCCGGGCTAATTTTTGAACGTTTAGTAGAGACGAGGTTTCTCCATGTTGGCGAGGTTGGTGCCGAACTCCTGACCTCAAGTGATTCACCCGCCTCGTCTCCCCAAAATGCTGGGATCACAGGCAAGACCCGCCGTGCCTAGCCTTGAATTAGATTTTAATAACATTTGTAAAAACAAAAAGAATTGAAAAACTTCTGCCGAACCTCTGTAGTGAGTTTTCACTTCAGTTATTTTACTTTATGCCCCTCAATTTCTAATTAGTTCATTTTTAAAATTTCTATTTGGTTATTGATATTTTCTATTTTGTGAGGTGTTACTCTTCTAATTTACTTCAGTTCTTTGCCTGTTGTTTCCTTTAGTTCTTTTGGTCCTCCTTCGACAAGTAATTTAGTCTGCAGAGAGGAAGCCCAAGGTCTTGAGCACATTTATTTCATCTTGTGACTTGTAGACATTCGGTTCTCTTTGTGTGCCTCATATATTTTTTGTTGAAAATTGGAAGTTTTCTGTGGCAGACGCAGATCAGATTCTCAAAGTTCACAGGTTTTTTTTTTTGTTTTGTTATACTTGCGGGCTGTAGTTTTCTGTTTTTGTTTTGTTTTGTTTGGACTTAATGAAACTATTTTGCAAAAATTCTGTTTTTTCTCCTCTGTGTTCTCAGCTCATCCTGACTGACACTTCTCCTCACAGAACTTGGTAACCAGACGACCCACATGAGTGCTTCCTTATATCCTGGGCAAAACACAGAACCTAAGGAATCTTGAAGAAAAAAATTCAGAGCCACGGTTGAGCAATAACATGCCCTGCCTGGTTCTGAGCCACCTCATCCATGCCCCGGCTGGACTGACAGTGGGGCCACGTGCTGGGCAGTGGCTCAGGGTGGGACCACAATGTCCTGGTTCACCTCAAATCCGTTTGCCGTACCAACACTGACAATGAGAGAAAGGAAGACAGTTTCCTTTGGAAACTGAGCCAAGCCCTGGGTTGTCAGAAACTCTGAGCTTCTCTTCATTGTTAAAGAAGAAAATGTGGCACATCTACACCATGGAATACTATGCAGCCATAAAAAAGGATGACTTCATGCCCTTTGTAGGCACATGGATGAAGCTGGAAACAATGATTCTCAGCAAACTATCAGAAGATTGGAAAACCAAACACCACATGTTCTCACTCATAAGTGGGAGATGAACAATGAGAACACATGGGCACAGGGAGAGGAACATCACATACTGGGACCTGTCGGGGGGCGGGGGGTTAGGGGAGGGATAACATTAGGGAGAAATATCTAATGCAGGTGACGGGTTGACGGGTGCAGCAAGCCCACATGGCACATCTATACCTATGTACCAAACCTGCACGTTCTGCACATGTACCCCAGAACTTAAAGTATAATTAAAAAAAAAAAGAAAAGTTTGCTTGTACAGTGAACAGGGCCTGGGGATCGGAAGCCACCGAAGCCAACCATTTACGTCAGCTTCTGTGACACGCCTGCAGGGACGGGGCATGGAGAATACAGACCTCGCTGACTGGGATGTTGAAGGACAGGTTTTTATTCAAACACAGAAGACCCCTAAAGTACTGAACTGTACATGAGAGTGGGCAAGGAAACTTTACCACTGTCTGAATAGAAGCCAGCGGAGCTGCTTTCTGTGAAAAGATGCAATTGGAAAAGATGTGGAAAGTATCTAACACCCAAACCAACCCCACCAGTGTGCCAGCAATCCTAAGACGCTATTCTCTAATTCTGAACGGAAGAACTCCTCTCCCAAGACATGAGCATGAATGCAATTCCAGGCTGTAAGATATTTTGGGAGACTATTAGAGAGGCAAATCAACCCACTGGGCTTGGTGCTTTCCACAACTGAGGCCACCTGGTATTCCCAAAGAGAACAGAAATTTCGTTCAAGCTTTACGGGAAGCAGATAAAAATTAAAAGATGTGAGGGATCAGTGCTCCAGGAACATGGGCCCATAAAATTACAAGCTGGAGAATAACTGCTCCCAGAAATGTGAGTATATTTTAAAAGGATTTATATGAGAAAATAAAGCAATTAGAATTATGCAAGAAGAGATAAGCATTTTCTCCCTGCATGCATATGTGTAGATACGGTATGTGTGTATACATGGACATACATGTGGCAGATTATATTATAGGTCCCAATCAATGAAGAAATGCAATGTGCAAGGATTTCATCTAATATATGCACCACAACGTAGAGATTTGTGTTTCTCCATTTGCCTTCATGAGACAAAAGGAATTGAGAACTGCCTTGGCTTTGAATAGGAAAGAAGAGAATCTAGCAATCACTAGAGAATGATTACTGTGGAGATGATTAAATTAAAGACTATTAATTTAATCACATTAATGTAATCAAATCCTTTCCCACCTGACCTCCAGTCTCCCACTTTTACATTCTTATCCATGAACTCTGATCACCTATAATATATTTAATACATGAGGAACCCGTTTTTGAACATTTTTAAAGAGGAAATGAATCTCATTTTACTTATGTTGTGATGTAAGGGAAATAGATTGTAACAGTAACGTTTAACTTTCATTTTAGATGCTGCAACTACAAAGAAAAACGGACTTTCACTGGCTGACTGATTGTCTGGAAACCGTTTTGGGATTTCTTTCCTAAGCTTCTTAATTAGAATCTTTACATTATAGAGAAAATGATTTTGAGAGTTGAGTGTGGTCTGTGGAGTGTCCTATTAGTAACGACTTCTGAGTAGGTTTAAGTCACCTCTTTTATTGAAATGTGAAAAGGTGTGACATTTATAATAGAAAACTCTTTGAAAGTCGCACCGTTCATTTTAGAGGAATTTTAAATGTCACCCCAAATTTTACGATTTTAATTAATTTTAATTAATTTCCAAATTTTAACCAATAGGCATAATATTCAAGATCTTATCTAAAAATTATTACATGGCAATATTTTGTCCTTGTTAATTAAAAAATAACACTGAAAACACAGTCGTCTTCCTTTAAGGTAAAAACCTGTCCAATAGTAACAATCTCAATGATGGCAGAATGAAATCAGAATCTGATTGGATTAAAAAGGAGGGAAAGGGTGTGGCTAAGGTGGGTGGAGACACCCTCTGGTATAAAAGCCCCTGGCAGGCAGCTCTCACTCCAGATCTGAGCTGTCCGCAGAAGCAGCTGGAGGCCAGGGGAGAAACTCCAGAAGGAGAGGTGAGTTCAATCTTATGGAATTCATTTTTACAAAAGGCGTATGAGAGTCTAGGGGAATGCAATAATGTCTTGATTCCACAAGTGTTGTCTGAGGCCAAGGCCATGACAGACACACTGTATTTCTGGAGGATAAGGGGACCTCTTCCCTGGTAACAGTTAGGTAAGTCTTAGATTTTCAATACCAAGGCGAGAGACTTGACAATCTCCATTTGCTTGAATTTCGTGAGAATTTGGTAGACTTTCTGAAATGATGGACAGAGGTTCGGTGGCTGCGTTACTCAACGTCAGGTTTTCCTATGGGTTTGGTATTGTTTTCCTATTCTCCCCTTCCCACAACCCCTGGCAACCATCATTCTTCTCTTATTTTCTGATTTTTTTTTTGTTCAGTTTTTTGTTCCTTTTAATTCAGAAAGAGAAAGGGAAGGAAATGAAAAGCAAAGTTTGTTTACATTACTATTGCGGAAAAGATCTGGCCAGATGCTGGGACCCACCTCTTCCAGGATGGGGATTCATTATTTCTTTAATTGTTTTGAGACAGGGTCTCGCTCTGTCTGCCAGGCTGGAGTGCAGTGGCTATTTTCTGATTCTATGAGATCAGTCAACTCAGATTCCACATAACTGAGATCATACAGTGTTTACTTCCCTCAGCCTCACTTATTTCACTTCCCATCATGCCCTCGGCCTTCATCCACATTGGTGCAATGCCAGAATTGCCTTCTTTTTTATGGTAGAATAATCCAATGTATATACCACCATTTCCTCATCCATGTTTCTCTCATAGACTCTGGGGTTGTTTCCATGGCTCTTGTGAATAACGCTGCAGAGAACCTAAGAGTGCAGATGTCTCTTTGACATGCTGACTTCTTTCTTTCACGTAGAAACACGGAAGTAGGGTTGCTGGAACACAGGCAGTTCTATCCTTCATGTTTTCAGAAACCTCCCTACTATTTTCTGTAGTGGTTGTACCATTTTCTTTCCCACCAACCGTGCACAAGGGTTCCCCTTTCTCCACATCCTTACCAACACTTGTCTTTTGTCTTTTTGATCATAGCCATCCTAGCAGAGAGGGGTTAATATCTCATCGCGGTTTTGTTGCTGGAGGGCTCAGGAGGCTCTCTGGATGCCAGAGAGACCCCAGTCCCAGCCAGTTTCCAGGTTCTGGATGCTGTCGGGAGAACGAATTCAGGGATGAGCCAGAATGAAGTGAAAGGCAAGAAGTTTTTATTCCAGAGCAAAAGCACACTGTTAGGAGAGAAGTGTGGGCGTGATTCTGAAAGCTGGTGGCTTTCGATGGCCTTCGGGGTTTCTATTTTTGTCAGTCCTTCTAATTAGGAGGTGAACTAATCATTAGGTTTTCTAGGAAAAAGCAGAGATTTTTTAGAATTGGTGAGGTACCCATTTTTGTACTACATATGGGCATGCTGGGGTCAGCCGTGACACTGCAGAATGTGTGATTTAGTGTGATAATGACCACGGTCATTACTGTGGCAATGCTTTGAAACAGCTTAACTCCCTCCGGTTTTTTATCACCTCATGAGCCCAGGTTCCTCCTTGTCCTTGTAATTTTAATGACAAGTGGCTAATTTTAACAGCCACTGTTTTGGTCCTATGTGAAAATGTCACTGGATACGTTCTCGATTCTCTTGTGACCACACAGTATTCCTGCCTCAGTTTAAATTGCATTTCTCTGATGGTGAGTGAGGTTGAGCTTGTTCCTCAGTACTTGCTGGTCGTTGGTGTGTGCTTTTCAGAGAAATATCTATTCAGGATTCTGCCCATTGGAATTTGGATTATTTTGGCTTTTTTTTCTTTTTGCTACAGCCTTGAAAATATTCCTTATATATTTTGGATATTAATCCATTGTCATATATATGGCTGCTTGTTTGTTTTTCATTAGTTCTGGTTTTTCCTTTTTTTTTTTTTTTCCGCTATGCAGAAGATTCAGTTTTACCTGGTACGACTTATTTGTATTTTGTGTCTTGTCCTTTTGTTGCACTATCAGGGTTTTCACCACATGCAGTTTGCACAGTTGGGGAAGTAGAAGGTCTTCAAATGGACTCCAGCACTGTCCAATAGAAACATAAGATAACCCATATATGTAATGGTAAATTCAGTTTCTGGTAGTCACATAAAATAGAACAAAACAAGCCTAATGAATTTTAACTCAAAATATAATATCGTTTAACATGTGAGCAACTTTAAACGTTCTCAAGCAGATAGTTTACGTTCTCTTTTCCCCATTATGTCTTCAAAAATAAGAGCGTATTTGGCTCACAGCACATCTCCATTCAGATACACCCCATTTCAGGTCTCAATAGCCATTTGTCACTGGTGGCTACCATATGAAACAGTTCAGGTGTAGACTCCTTTACTATTTCAACTCAAAGTCTTTCGGTGAATCATGCCCTTTATTCCAATGAGTATTACAGATATTAGAAGTTCAGGGCCTCGAGTCATTGACATTTGTATTCATGTTGTGTCTTCGTCACTAGCAGTAGTGATTTTAAGTGTCGTGCTATGATAGCTCCATGCATGTAAAGATAAAAGCCCCAAACACTATCAGCTGTTCATTCAGCTCGTGGAAATTCTAATTCTGTGTTCATTTTTTTTCTATAGACATTTGCCATGGCTGAGCACTTCAAACAGATCATTAGATGTCCTGTCTGTCTAAAAGATCTTGAAGAAGCCGTGCAACTGAAATGTGGATATGCCTGCTGCCTCCAGTGCCTCAATTCACTCCAGAAGGAGCCCGATGGGGAAGGTTTACTGTGCCGTTTCTGCTCTGTGGTCTCTCAGAAGGATGACATCAAGCCCAAGTACAAGCTGAGGGCGCTGGTTTCCATCATCAAGGAACTAGAGCCCAAGCTGAAATCTGTTCTAACAATGAACCCAAGGATGAGGAAGTTTCAAGGTAAGGAATCTATAGGACCTGCCACAACCCATAAAAGGCACTGGGAAAATGTCTTTCAAACATTTCTTCATTAAACATAGGCATTAGCAGGATATCTAGCATCTAAAACTTCCATGCTTCACAAACAACAGCAGTTCTCACCTTTGCGTAGAGATTTTCATGGAATCTGTGCAAGTTTGTAGAATACTTTGGAGAGCAAGCTCCTGTCTTCTTTCTTGTATCATATGTGCTAAATGGAAAGCTAATTTTCATCAAATTATCCACTAACTTATTTCGAAAGGCATTTCTAATATGAATAAGGTGGACTTGTTACAATGATCATATTCATGCAACCTATAGATACAATTTAACCTCATCAGGTGGCCAAACAAGTTTCCCCAGGAAATTTTGATTTGGGAAAGAAAGTAGAATAAAAGTAAAAGTGAATAATGTGTTTAAGTGTTTGCAGTCAAAGGGCAGAGGGAGTCTGTAGTGTGTGTCTTTGCTGAACTCCTGGTTCTTCTTTGCACAGTGGATATGACGTTCGATGTGGACACAGCCAACAACTATCTCATCATTTCTGAAGACCTGAGGAGTTTCCGAAGTGGGGATTTGAGCCAGAATAGGAAGGAGCAAGCTGAGAGGTTCGACACTGCCCTGTGCGTCCTGGGCACCCCTCGCTTCACTTCCGGCCGCCATTACTGGGAGGTGGACGTGGGCACCAGCCAAGTGTGGGATGTGGGCGTGTGCAAGGAATCTGTGAACCGACAGGGGAAGATTGTGCTTTCTTCAGAACACGGCTTCTTGACTGTGGGTTGCAGAGAAGGAAAGGTCTTTGCTGCCAGCACTGTGCCTATGACTCCTCTCTGGGTGAGTCCCCAGTTGCACAGAGTGGGGATTTTCCTGGATGTAGGTATGAGGTCCATTGCCTTTTACAATGTTAGTGATGGGTGCCATATCTACACATTCATCGAGATTCCTGTTTGCGAGCCCTGGCGTCCATTTTTTGCTCATAAACGTGGAAGTCAAGATGATCAGAGCATCCTGAGTATCTGTTCTGTGATCAATCCATCCGCTGCCAGTGCCCCAGTTTCTTCTGAGGGAAAGTAAATAAACATTTGAACATAATCATCTTTAGGAAGTTTCAGTGCTCCCATAGCCATAGCTAAGAACTTTTCCGCTAGATACACATAGGTACAAAGGGACAGAAGGGAAAGAGCCATCACTCTGTAAACCATGAACAGAAAGCAATTATATTAATGAGGGGAAAATTACATTGTACTTAAAGTTTGTCATGTTGTTTTCTTTGGGGCTTATGTTTATATTTCTGTTCAATAAATATTTTGAAAATTCAGATTCATTTGCCAATCTTTTCTATTTTCTGCAAGATTAGTTTACTATGTGTTATGGAAGTTATGAACGAAATAATAATTTGAATGTGACCCAACACAGTAACTGAATTTCAAATGATAAGGACCTATGAATACGGCAAAATTATATATGTTCATGTATTCAGTTTAACCCAATAACTGAACACTGACATTCATTTCAAGTGCACACTGAGTGTTTGCCACGAATATGTGTGGTCTTAGAGAGAACTCGTTAGCTTTAAAATTGAAATACAATACACCCTCTCCTATGACGGCAACAGAGTCAAATTGGAAATCAATAACAGGAAGAAATCCATAAATTCTCCACATATATGCAAATTAAATAACCACTTCTAAATAAAATGATCAAATATGAAATTACAATGGAAATTACAGCTATCCTGAGTTGAATGAAAAGCACACATTTACAAAATTTCTAGATGCGGTTGAAGCTCAGTGAGAAACTCATAATAGGAAGAAAATATCGTAATCAATCACCTTAATTTCTACTTGAACTTACTTCACTAAGAGCAATTCAATTGTCAGCATTTTGATCAAAACCATCTGACAAGTATCTGGGAAGTTCCAGACATTCTCACATCTTCCTGTCTTCTTCTGAGCCCTGCAAACGGTTGCAACCTCTGCCCGTTACCCAGTTCCAAAGTCGCTTCCACATTTTCAGGTACCATAGTAGCAGTGCCTCACTCCTGGTACCAATATTCTGTAACAGTTCATTCTCACACTGCTCTAAAGAACTACCGGAGACTGGGTAATTTATGAAGAAAAGAGGTTTCATTAATTTATAGTTCTGCAGGTCGCACGGGGAACATCACTGGGTGGCCTCGGGAAATTTAACAATCATGGAGGAAGGCAGAGGGGAAGCGAGTGGCTTTTTCACATAGTGACAGGAAAGAGAGAAAGAGGAAAGTGCCATCCACTTTGAAATCATCAGATCTTGTGAGAACTCACTCACGGTCATGGGAATAGCGTGGAGGAAATCCGTCCCCGTGATCCAATCATCTCCCACCTGGTCCCTCCCCCAACACTGAGGATGACAATTCAACATGAGATTTGGCTGGGGACACAGAGCCAAACCGTATCACTTGATATGATCCCACAGAATACTATTCATTTTCATTCAGTCTTTTATTTCTTAACAAATGGTGGTAAAGTATATATAATTGACCATCTTAACCATTTTTAAGTGTAAAATTCAATGGTATTTATGATGTCCATATTATTTTGCCACCATCACTGCCATTCATCTCCAGAAATCTTTTCATCTTCCAAAATTGAAACTGTATAGCCATCCTAGCCCTCTTTTAAATTCATCTATTTGTTGTCTCGCCTGAGTGCCTTATGTATTCTGGATGTTAACCCCTTATCGGATGTATGGTTTGCAAATATCTTCTCCCACTGTGTAGATTGTCTCTTCACCTTATTGTTTCCTTTGTTGTGCAGCAGCTTTTACATGTGATGCGATCCCACTTGTCTCTGTTTGTTTTTGTTGCCTGTGATTTAGGTGGTTATATCAAAAAACAAGTTTGCCCAGACAAATTTCTTAGATCTTTCCCCCTGTGTTTTGATCTGATAGGTTTACCATTTCAGGTCTTTCATTTAACTCTTTTCTCCGTTTTGAGTTGATTCATGCATGCAGTTTGATGTAAAGATACAATTGCCTTCTTCTATATGTGGATGAGTTCTTCGAGCACAATTTATTGAAGGGGCTGTACTTTCCCCATTTCGTATTGTGGATCCTTTGTCAAAAATCAATTTGCCACATGTGCGCGGGTTTATATGGGAGGTTTCATTCCTGTTTCATTGGTAGAAACGGCTGTTTTTATTCTAGTAGCATGTCGTTTTGATTATACTAGTTTTATAATATATTTTGAAATCAAGTAGTGTGATGTCTACAGCTGTGAGATTTTTCTGCATATGATTGTTTTAGCTATTTGGGGTCTTTTGTGGCTTCACCCAAATTTTAGGACTTTTTTCTCTTTTTCTGTGAAAAATGAGAATTGTGATTGGGATTGCATTGAATGTGCGGATCCTTTTGAGTGTATAGACATTTTAACAATATTAATTCTAATCCGTGAACATGAGATATCCTTTTATTTGTGTTTTTGTCAATTTTGTTCATTGCTATTTTATACTTTTTATTGTACAGGTCTTTCTCCTTCTTTACTGAATTTACTCTTGGGTTTGATTTTCTTATTGTTATTTTAATTGGAATTATTATTATGATATTTGGAGAGAGAGTCTCTCTCTGTTTTCCTGGCTGGAGTGCAGTGCAACGATCTCAGCTCACTGCAGACTCCTGCCTCAGGCCCCCAAGTAGCTGAGATTACAGGTAGCAGTCACCATGCCCAGCTGATTTTTGTCTCTTTGGTAGAGATAGAGTTTCACCATTTTGGCCAGGCTGGTCTCGAATTCCTGACCACAAGTGATCTGCCCACTTTGGCCTCCCAATATGCTGGGATTACAGGTGTGAGCCACCATACCTGGCCCGGAATTATTTTTTATTTTCTTTTTTAGATGGTTTATTTACAATTCATAAAAATGCTAAGAATTTTTGTTTGTTGATTTTGTGTCTTGCACCTTCACTGAATTCATTTATCAGTCCTAACAGAATTTGTTGGAGTTTTTAGGGTTTTCTCTATATAAGATGGTGTCATCGGCAGTGACAATTTCACTTGCCTTGAATTAGATTTTAATAACATTTATAAAAACAAAAAAGGTGGAAAAACTTCTGTCGAATCTCTGTAGTGAGTTTTCATTTCAGTTATTTTCCTTTATGCCCCTCAATTTCTAATTAGTTCATTTTTAAAATTTCTATTTGGTTATTGATATTTTCTATTTTGTGAGGTGTTACTCTTCTAATTTACTTCAGTTCTTTGTCTGTTGTTTCCTTTAGTTCTTTTGGTCCTCCTTCGACAAGTAATTTAGTCTGTAGAGAGGAAGCCCAAGGTCTTGAGCACATTTATTTCATCTTGTGACTTGTAGACATTCGGTTCTCTTTGTGTGCCTCATTTATTTTGTTGTAAATTGGAAGTGTTCTGTGGCAGATGCAGATCAGATTCTCAAAGTTCACAGGTTTTTTATTGTTATACTTGTGGGCTGTGGTTTTCTGTTTTTGTTTTGTTTTGTTTGGACTTAATGAAAGTATTTTGCAAGAGTTCCGTTTTTTCTCCTCTGTGGTCTCAGGTCATCCTGACTGACACTTCTCCTCACAGAACTTGGTGACTAGACGACCCACGTGAGTGCTTCCTTATATCCTGGACAAAACACAGAACCTAAGGAATCATGAAGAAAAAAATTCAGAGCCACGGTTGGGCAATAACATGACCTGCCTGGTTCTGAGCCACCTCATCCATGTCCCGGCTGGACTGACGGTGGGGCCACGTGCTGGGCAGTGGCTCAGGGTGAGACCACAATGTCCGGGTTCACCTCAAATCCGTTTGCCGTACCAACACTGACAATGAGAGAAAGGATGACAGTTTCCTTTGGAAACTGAGCCAAGCCCTGGGTTGTGAGAAACTCTGAGCTTCTCTTCATTGTTAAAGAAGAAAATGTGGCACATCTACACCATGGAATACTATGCAGCCATAAAAAAGGATGACTTTATGTTTTCTGCAGGGACGTGGATGAAGCTGGAAACCATGATTCTCAGCAAACTATCACAAGATTGGAAAACCAAACACGGCATGTTCTCACTCATAAGTAGGAGCTGAACAATGAGAACACATGGGCACAGGGAGAGGAACATCACACACTGGGACCTGTCGGGGGGCGGGGGGTTAGGGGAGGGATAGCATTAGGGAGAAATATCTAATGCAGGTGATGGGTTGATGGGTGCAGCAAGCCCACATGGCACATCTATACCTATGTACCAAACCTGCACGTTCTGCACATGTACCCCAGAACTTAAAGTATAATTAAAAAAAAAGAAAAAGAAAAGTCTGCTTGTACAGTGAACAGGGCCTGGGGATCGGAAGCCACCGAAGCCAACCATTTACGTCTGCTTCTGTGACACACCTGCAGGGACGGGGCATGGAGAATACAGCCCTCGCTGACTGGGATGTTGAAGGACAGGTTTATTCAAACACAGAAAACCCTCAAAGTACTGAACTGTACATGAGAGCGGGCAAGGAAACTTTACCACTGTCTGAATAGAAGCCAGCGGAGCTGCTTTCTGTGAAAAGATGCAATTGGAAAAGATGTGGAAAGTATCTAACAGCCAAACCAACCCCACCAGTGTGCCAGCAATCCTAAGACGCTATTCTCTAATTCTAAACGGAAGAACTCCTCTCCCAAGACATGAGCATGAATGCAATTCCAGGCTGTAAGATATTTTGGGAGAATATTAGAGAGGCAAATCAACCCACTGGGCTCGGTGCTTTCCACAACTGAGGCCACCTGGTATTCCCAAAGAGAACATAAATTTTGTTCAAGCTTTACGGAAAGCAGATAAAAATTAAAAGATGTGAGGGATCAGTGCTCCAGGAACATGGGCCCATAAAATTACAAGCTGGAGAATAACTGCTCCCAGAAATGTGAGTATATTTTAAAAGGATTTATATGAGAAAATAAAGCAATTAGAATTATGCAAGAAGAGATAAGCATTTTCTCCCTGCATGCATATGTGTAGATACGGTATGTGTGTATACATGGACATACATGTGGCAGATTATATTATAGGTCCCAATCAATGAAGAAATGCAGTGTGCAAGGATTTCATCTAATATATGCACCACAACGTAGAGATTTGTGTTTCTCCATTTGCCTTCATGAGACAAAAGGAATTGAGAACTGCCTTGGCTTTGAATAGGAAAGAAGAGAATCTAGCAATCGCTAGAGAATGATTACTGTGGAGATGATTAAATTAAAGACTATTAATTTAATCACATTAATGTAATCAAATCCTTTCCCACCTGACCTCCAGTCTCCCACTTTTACATTCTTATCCATGAACTCTGATCACCTATAATATATTTAATACATGAGGAACCCGTTTTTGAACATTTTTAAAGAGGAAATGAATCTCATTTTACTTATGTTGTGATGTAAGGGAAATAGATTGTAACAGTAACTTTTAACTTTCATTTTAGATGCTGCAACTAAAAAGAAAAACGGACTTTCACTGGCTGACTGATTGTCTGGAAACCGTTTTGGGATTTCTTTCCTAAGCTTCTTAATTAGAATCTTTACATTATAGAGAAAATGATTTTGAGAGTTGAGTGTGGTCTGTGGAGTGTCCTATTAGTAACGACTTCTGAGTAGGTTTAACTCACCTCTTTTATTGAAATGTGAAAAGGTGTGACATTTATAATAGAAAACTCTTTGAAAGTCGCACCGTTCATTTTAGAGGAATTTTAAATGTCACCCCAAATTTTACGATTTTAATTAATTTTAATTAATTTCCAAATTTTAACCAATAGGCATAATATTCAAGATCTTATCTAAAAATTATTACATGGCAATATTTTGTCCTTGTTAATTAAAAAATAACACTGAAAACACAGTCGTCTTCCTTTACGGTAAAAACCTGTCCAATAGTAACAATCTCAATGATGGCAGAATGAAATCAGAATCTGATTAGATTAAAAAGGAGGGAAAGGGTGTGGCTAAGGTGGGTGGAGAGACCCTCTCGTATAAAAGCCCATGGCAGGCAGCTCTCACTCCAGATCTGAGCTGTCCGCAGAAGCAGCTGGAGGCCAGGGGAGAAACTCCAGAAGGAGAGGTGAGTTCAATCTTATGGAATTCATTTTTACAAAAGGCGTATGAGAATCTAGGGGAATGCAATAATGTCTTGATTCCACAAGTGTTGTCTGAGGCCAACTCCATGACAGACACACTGTATTTCTGGAGGATATTGGGACCTCTGCCCTGGTAACGGTTAGGCAACTCTTAGATTTTCAATACCAAGGCAAGAGACTTGACAATCTCCATTTGCTTGAATTTCATCAGAATTTGGTAGACTTTCTGAAATGATGGACAGAGGTTCGGTGGCTGCGTTACTCAACGTCAGGTTTTCCTATGGGTTTGGTATTGTTTTCCTATTCTCCCCTTCCCACAACCCCTGGCAACCATCATTCTTCTCTTATTTTCTGATTTTTTTTTTGTTCAGTTTTTTGTTCCTTTTAATTCAGAAGGAGAAAGGGAAGGAAATGAAAAGCAACGTTTGTTTAAATTACTATTGTGGAAAAGATCTGGCCAGATGCTGGGACCCACCTCTTCCAGGATGGGGATTCATTATTTCTTTAATTGTTTTGAGACAGGGTCTCGCTCTGTCTGCCAGGCTGGAGTGCAGTGGCTATTTTCTGATTCTATGAGATCAGTCAACTCAGATTCCACATAACTGAGATCATACAGTGTTTACTTCCCTCAGCCTCACTTATTTCACTTCCCATCATGCCCTCGGCCTTCATCCACATTGGTGCAATGCCAGAATTGCCTTCTTTTTTATGGTAGAATAATCCAATGTATATATCACCATTTCCTCATCTATTTTTCTCTCACAGACGCTGGGGTTGTTTCCATGGCTGTTGTGAATAATGCTGCAGAGAACCTAAGAGTGCAGATATCTCTTTGATATGCTGACCTCTTTCTTTCACATAGAAACACAGAAGTAGGGTTGCTGGAACACAGGCAGTTCTATTCTTCATGTTTTCAGAAACCTCCCTACTATTTTCTGTAGTGGTTGTACCAATTTTCTTTCCCACCAACCGTGCACAAGGGTTCCCCTTTCTCCACATCCTTACCAACACTTATCTTTTGTCTTTTTGATCATAGCCATCCTAGCAGAGAGGGGGTAATATCTCATCGCGGTTTTATTGCTGGAGGGCTCAGGAGGCTCTCTGGATGCCAGAGAGAACCCAGTCCCAGCCAGTTTCCAGGTTCTGGATGCTGTCGGGAGAACGAATTCAGGGATGAGCCAGAATGAAGTGAAAGGCAAGAAGTTTCTATTCCAGAGCAAAAGCACACTGTTAGGAGAGAAGTGTGGGCGTGATTCTGAAAGCTGGTGGCGTTCAAAGGAGTTTGGGGTTTCTATTTTTGTCAGTCCTTCTAATTAGGAGGTGAACTAATCATTAGGTTTTGTAGGAAAAAAGCAGAGATTTTTTAGAATTGGTGAGGTACCCATTTTTGTACTACATATGGGCATGCTGGGGTCAGCCGTGACACTGCAGAGTGTGTGATTTAGTGTGGTAATGACCACGGTCATTACTGTGGCAATGCTTTGAAACAGCTTAACTCCCTCCGGTTTTTTAGCACCTCATGAGCCCAGGTTCCTCCTTGTCCTTGTAATTTTAATGACAAGTGGCTAATTTTAAAAGCCACTGTTTTGGTCTCATGTGAAATTGTCACTGGATACGTTCTCGATTCTCTTGCGACCACACAGTATTCCTGCCTCAGTTTAAATTGCATTTCTCAGATGGTGAGTGAGGTTGAGCTTGTTCCTCAGTACTTGCTGGTCGTTGGTGTGTGCTTTTCAGAGAAATGTCTATTCAGGATTCTGCCCATTGGAATTTGGATTATTTTGGCTTTTTTTTCTTTTTGCTACGGCCTTGAAAATATTCCTTATATATTTTGGATATTAATCCATTGTCATATATATGGCTGCTTGTTTGGTTTCTTTTAGTTCTGTTTTTTGTTTTTTTTTTTTTTTTTTTCCGCTATGCAGAAGATTCAGTTTTACCTGGTACGACTTATTTGTATTTTGTGTCTTGTCCTTTTGGTGTGCTATCAGGGTTTTCACCACATGCAGTTTGCACAGTTGGGGAAGTAGAAGGTCTTCAAATGGACTCCAGCACTGTCCAATAGAATCTTAAGATAACCCATATATGTAATTGTAAATTCATTTTCTGGTAGTCACATAAAATAGAACAAAACAAGCCTAATGAATTTTAACTCAGAATATAATCATTTAAGATGTGAGCAACTTGAAACCTTCTCAAGCAGATAGTTTACATTCTCTTTTCCCCATTACGTCTTCACAAAGAGGAGTGTATTTGGCTCACAGCACATCTCCATTCAGATACGCCCCATTTCAGGTCTCAATAGCCATTTGTCACTGGTGGCTACCATATGAAACAGCCCAGGTGTAGACTCCTTTACTATTTCAACTCAAAGTCTTTCGGTGAATCATGCCCTTTATTCCAATGAGTATTACAGATATTAGAAGTTCAGGGCCTCGAGTCATTGACATTTGTATTCATGTTGTGTCTTCATCACTAGCAGTAGTGATTTAAAGTATGGTGCCATGATAGCTCCATGCATGTAAAGATAAAAGCCCCAAACACTATCAGCTGTTCATTCAGCTCGTGGAAATTCTAATTCCGTGTTCATTTTTTTTTCTACAGACATTTGCCATGGCTGAGCACTTCAAACAGATCATTAGATGTCCTGTCTGTCTAAAAGATCTTGAAGAAGCCGTGCAACTGAAATGTGGATATGCCTGCTGCCTCCAGTGCCTCAATTCACTCCAGAAGGAGCCCGATGGGGAAGGTTTACTGTGCCGTTTCTGCTCTGTGGTCTCTCAGAAGGATGACATCAAGCCCAAGTACAAGCTGAGGGCGCTGGTTTCCATCATCAAGGAACTAGAGCCCAAGCTGAAATCTGTTCTAACAATGAACCCAAGGATGAGGAAGTTTCAAGGTAAGGAATCTATAGGACCTGCCACAACCCATAAAAGGCACTGGGAAAACGACTTTCAAACATTTCTTCATTAAACATAGGCATTAGCAGGATATCTAGCATCTAAAACTTCCATGCTTCACAAACAACAGCAGTTCTCACCTTTGCGTAGAGATTTTCATGGAATCTGTGCAAGTTTGTAGAATACTTTGGAGAGCAAGCTACTGTCTTCTTTCATGTATCATATGTGCTAAATGGAAAACTAATTTTCATCAAATTATCCACTAACTTATTTCGAAAGGCATTTCTAATATGAATAAGGTGGACTTGTTACAATGATCATATTCATGCAACCTATAGATACAATTTAACCTCATCAGGTGGCCAAACAAGTTTCCCCAGGAAATTTTGATTTGGGAAAGAAAGTAGAATAAAAGTAAAAGTGAATAATGTGTTTAAGTGTTTGCAGTCAAAGGGCAGAGGGAGTCTGTAGTGTGTGTCTTTGCTGAACTCCTGGTTCTTCTTTGCACAGTGGATATGACCTTCGATGTGGACACAGCCAACAACTATCTCATCATTTCTGAAGACCTGAGGAGTTTCCGAAGTGGGGATTTGAGCCAGAATAGGAAGGAGCAAGCTGAGAGGTTCGACACTGCCCTGTGCGTCCTGGGCACCCCTCGCTTCACTTCCGGCCGCCATTACTGGGAGGTGGACGTGGGCACCAGCCAAGTGTGGGATGTGGGCGTGTGCAAGGAATCTGTCAACCGACAGGGGAAGATTGAGCTTTCTTCAGAACACGGCTTCTTGACTGTGGGTTGCAGAGAAGGAAAGGTCTTTGCTGCCAGCACTGTGCCTATGACTCCTCTCTGGGTGAGTCCCCAGTTGCACAGAGTGGGGATTTTCCTGGATGTAGGTATGAGGTCCATTGCCTTTTACAATGTTAGTGATGGGTGCCATATCAACACATTCATCGAGATTCCTGTTTGCGAGCCCTGGCGTCCATTTTTTGCTCATAAACGTGGAAGTCAAGATGATCAGAGCATCCTGAGTATCTGTTCTGTGATCAATCCATCCACTGCCAGTGCCCCAGTTTCTTCTGAGGGAAAGTAAATAAACATTTGAACATAATCATCTTTAGGAAGTTTCAGTGCCCCCATAGCCATAGCTAAGAACTTTTCCGCTAGATACACATAGGTACAAAGGGACAGAAGGGAAAGAGCCATCACTCTGTAAACCATGAACAGAAAGCAATTATATTAATGAGGGGAAAATTACATTGTACTTAAAGTTTGTCATGTTGTTTTCTTTGGGGCTTATGTTTATATTTCTGTTCAATAAATATTTTGAAAATTCAGATTCATTTGCCAATCTTTTCTATTTGCTGCAAGATTAGTGTACTGTGTGTTATGGAAGTTATGAACGAAATAATAATTTGAATGTGACCCAACACAGTAACTGAATTTCAAATGATAAGGACCTATGAATACGGCAAAATTATATATGTTCATGTATTCAGTTTAACCCAATAACTGAACACTGACATTCATTTCAAGTGCACACTGAGTGTTTGCCACGAATATGTGTGGTCTTAGAGAGAACTCGTTAGCTTTAAAATTGAAATACAATACACCCTCTCCTATGACGGCAACAGAGTCAAATTGGAAATCAATAACAGGAAGAAATCCATAAATTCTCCACATATATGCAAATTAAATAACCACTTCTAAATAAAATGATCAAATATGAAATTACAATGGAAATTACAGCTATCCTGAGTTGAATGAAAAGCACACATTTACAAAATTTCTAGATGCGGTTGAAGCTCAGTGAGAAACTCATAATAGGAAGAAAATATCGTAATCAATCACCTTAATTTCTACTTGAACTTACTTCACTAAGAGCAATTCAATTGTCAGCATTTTGATCAAAACCATCTGACAAGTATCTGGGAAGTTGCAGACATTCTCACATCTTCCTGTCTTCTTCTGAGCCCTGCAAACGGTTGCAACCTCTGCCCGTTACCCAGTTCCAAAGTCGCTTCCACATTTTCAGGTACCATAGTAGCAGTGCCTCACTCCTGGTACCAATATTCTGTAACAGTTCATTCTCACACTGCTCTAAAGAACTACCGGAGACTGGGTAATTTATGAAGAAAAGAGGTTTCATTAATTTATAGTTCTGCAGGTCGCACGGGGAACATCACTGGGTGGCCTCGGGAAATTTAACAATCATGGAGGAAGGCAGAGGGGAAGCGAGTGGCTTTTTCACATAGTGACAGGAAAGAGAGAAAGAGGAAAGTGCCATACACTTTGAAATCATCAGATCTTTGAGAACTCACTCACGGTCATGGGAATAGCGCGGAGGAAATCCGTCCCCGTGATCCAATCATCTCCCACCTGGTCCCTCCCCCAACACTGAGGATGACAATTCAACATGAGGTTTGGCTGGGGACACAGAGCCAAACCGTATCACTTGATATGATCCCACAGAATACTATTCATTTTCATTCAGTCTTTTATTTCTTAACAAATGGTGGTAAAGTATATATAATTGACCATCTTAACCATTTTTAAGTGTAAAATTCAATGGTATTTATGATGTCCATATTATTTTGCCACCATCACTGCCATTCATCTCCAGAAATCTTTTCATCTTCCAAAATTGAAACTATATACCCATCCTAGCCCACTTTTTAATTCACCTATTTGTTGTCTTGCCTGAGTGCCTTATGTATTCTGGATATTAACCCCTTATCGGATGTATGGTTTGCAAATATCTTCTCCCACTGTGTAGATTGTCTCTTCAACTTATTGTTTCCTTTGTTGTGCAGCAGCTTTTACATGTGATGCGATCCCACTTGTCTATGTTTGCTTTTGTTGCCTGTGATTTAGGTGGTTATATCAAAAAACAAGTTTGCCCAGACAAATTTCTTAGATCTTTCCCCCTGTGTTTTGATCTGATAGTTTTACCATTTCAGGTCTTTCATTTACAATCACCATTTTAATTCCACTCTCTAATTTTATGACTTCAGTGTTTTTAGGTTCCTAGTAAGTTAGGTCATTCGGTATTTATCGCTTTCTATATGACTTATTCCACTTAGCAAAATGCCCTCAAGTTTCATCCATTTTTTTATGGTGTACGATATTTCATTGTATATATAGCACAATTTCTTGATCTATTCTTCTGCCAACATTATCGAGTAAAAGGGATTCGCTGTCCAATACTCTAGGAGTGAATAGGATGACATGGGGATGTTTGAGAAAAGGAAAGCATTGCATTGAAATGAAAACCCTAGGGAGACAGGAGTCCAGCTCTAATCTGTCGTCTCATACTGGCTTCATGTCAGCATTTATTAGAAAAGGTTCAGAGGGCCTGGCATGGTGTCTCATGCCTAAAATCCCAGCAATTTGGGAGGCAGATGCAGGTGGATCACTTGAGCTCAGGAGTAGGAGACCAGCCTGGGCAACGCAGTGAGACCCCCCCCTCTCCAAAACCACAAAAATGAGCTGCACATGGTGGTGCAGGCCTGTAGTTCCAGCTACTCGGGGAGGCTGAGGCAGGAGGATCATCTGAGCCCGGGAGTTTCAGGCTGCAGTGAGCCGAGATCGAACCACTGCACTCCAGCCTGGGTGATTAAAAAAGGTTCAGGGGATGGATTCTGAGATCAGTAAGTAATTGATGGAAGGAAAAGGGAGGTCTGGAAAGTCCATGGGCATGGGCAGTTATCTTTTCGTGCTTTCTTGTGGGTCGACTGTGGAAATTCAAAGGGTGTTAATGTACAACATGCAGTGGAAATTCGGGCTGTGACTTCAGCAAGCTTGTTCTGCACAGACTCCAGCTGGCCACATTGGCTCTAGCCAATTTCAGCCAGTTCTTTTGTTTCCTGAACAGAGGGAGTTTCAGTGTTTCAGCAAAGTTGTTTCTTTTCTTTGTTTTCTTTTTCTTTTTTTGGGGGGAGACAGGGTCTTGCTGCTGCCTGGGCTGGATGCAGTGGTGCGATCTTGGCTCACTGCAGCCTCTATCTCCTGGGCTCACGTGATCCTCCCGTATCAGCCTCCCGAGTAGCTGGGACCACAGGTATGGGCCACCACACCCGGCTAATTTTTAAAATTATTTGTAGACACGGGTCTCACGATGTTGCGCTGGCTGGTCTCGAACTCCTGGGCCCAAACGATCCTCCTTTCTCAGCCTCAGAAAGTGCTGGAATTTACAAGTGTGAGCCACCGCGACCAGCCAAGTTTTTTCCCTTCTTACCTGCCATGCTGTACACTCAAAAATTTGTTAGTTACTGGTTTAACTCTTTTATTTTTATTTATTTATTGTTTTAGACGAAGTCTCGCTCTGTCACCAGGCTGGGGTGCAGTGGCATGATCTCGCCTTTGCCCATTTCATAATCAGAATGTTAGTTTTAGGGGTTTTTTTTTTCTATTGCGTTATGAGTTCTTTATATATTTTGGATATTAACCTAATATCAGATATATAATTTGCAAACATTTTTTTCCATTCTGTAGGCTTTCTTTTCATCGTCTCCCTTGTTTCCTTCACTATGCAGAACATTTTTTGTTTGACATAGTCCAACTTATTTATTTTTGTTTTTTGTGTAATATAATGCTGTAAGTTTCATGCCACATCCAGGTGGAACAAATACTATGCCACGGGAGTTTTTGAGAAAAGAAAAGCTTTATGTTAATTCAACTCCCAGGGAGACAGGAGTCCAGCTCTAATCTGTCGTCTCATACTGGCTTCAAATCACCATTTATTAGAAAAGGTTCAGAGGACCTGGCATGGTGGCACCTGCCTGAAATCCCAGCACTTTGGGCGGCTGAGGCAGGTGGATCATTTGAGGTCAGTAGTAGGAGATCAGCCTGGGCAACATAGTGAGACCTCATCTCTCCAAAACACAAAAATTGGCCAGGCTTATTGTGGAGGTTGAGGGTCTCCAGTGCTGTCCAATATAAACATAATGTGATCAACATATGTAAGATAAATTTATTGTCTAATAGCCACATAAATCAAGCAAAATGAAATAAGCCTAAGTAAGTTTAACAAAATATAAGCATTTCACATGTAATACATTTTTAAGATTCTCTAACAGATAGTTTACATCTCCCTTAGGTCTTCAAAATTTAGTGTATATTTTATACTCACAACACATCTTCATTTAGATAAGCCCCATTTCAGGTGCTCAGTAGCCACATGTGGCTGGTGGCTACCATATTGGATAGCTCAGCTGTAGACCCTTTTGCCACTCAACTCAAAGCCTCATACCAAGCCATGGCCTTCATTCTAGCCAGTATTTCCAATATTGGAAGGTCAGGGCCCTGATCATTTATATTTGTACTTATATTGTATCTTCATTTCCTAGTACCAGTGCTTTACAAAGAGTAGGCGATGATGTCTTCATGCAGGTAAAGATGAAAGTGTCCCAAGAACTATCAGCCATTCCACTCACGTAAAAGCTAATACCATGCCTATTTACTCCCAGACAGTGGCCATGGCTGAACACTTTAAACAAGCAAGCAGTTGTCCTATCTGCCTGGATTATCTTGAAAACCCCACGCACCTGAAATGTGGATACATCTGTTGCCTCCGATGCATGAACTCACTGCGAAAGGGGCCCGATGGGAAGGGGGTGCTGTGCCCTTTCTGCCCTGTGGTCTCTCAGAAAAATGACATCAGGCCCGCTGCCCAGCTGGGGGCGCTGGTGTCCAAGATCAAGGAACTAGAGCCCAAGGTGAGAGCTGTTCTGCAGATGAATCCAAGGATGAGAAAGTTCCAAGGTAAGGAATCTGTACTACCTGCTCCAAGCCCATAAAGGGCCTTGGAAAAAGCAGCTTTTAAATGTCTTTCCGTTCAATACGGGCATTAGCTGAAGTCTGCAACCTAAAAGATTTGTGATCCCAAACATCAGCTGTTATCAGCGCACAGTATAGATTTTCACAGGATCTGTACCAATTTATGAGAGCAAACTATCATCTCCTCCTTCATCCATCCTATGCACCAAGAGGGAGAAAAACCTTTAATCAAAATATTGAATAACTTAAACAAGAATTTTACTATGAGAAAGGTGGGCTTGTTGCAATTATATTCATACATTCTATACATAAAATTTGACTTAATCGGGGGGCCAGGGAAATTCCTAAAGAAAGTTCGGATCTGAGAATGAACGTGGAATAAAAGAAGTGACAATGAATAAAATATTTGGGTCTGTGCAGTAGAAAGGCAGAGGGAGTCTGTAGTGTGTGTCTTTGCTGAACTACCGGTTCTTCTTTGCACAGTGGATATGACCTTGGATGTGGACACAGCCAACAACGATCTCATCGTTTCTGAAGACCTGAGGCGTGTCCGATGTGGGAATTTCAGACAGAATAGGAAGGAGCAAGCTGAGAGGTTCGACACTGCCCTGTGCGTCCTGGGCACCCCTCGCTTCACTTCCGGCCGCCATTACTGGGAGGTGGGCGTGGGCACCAGCCAAGTGTGGGATGTGGGCGTGTGCAAGGAATCTGTGAACCGACAGGGGAACGTTGTACTCTCTTCAGAACTCGGCTTCTGGACTGTGGGTTTGAGACAAGGACAGATCTACTTTGCCAGCACTAAGCCTGTGACGGGTCTCTGGGTGAGCTCAGGTCTACACCGAGTGGGGATTTACCTGGATATAAAAACGAGGGCCATTTCCTTCTATAATGTCAGTGATAGGTCACATATCTTCACATTCACGAAAATTTCTGCTACTGAGCCACTGCGCCCATGTTTTGCTCATGCAGATACAAGTCGTGATGATCACGGATACTTGAGTGTGTGTGTGTAATTAATAATGGCATTGCCAGTTCCCCAATTTATCCTGGGCAAGGCAACTATACACTTGAACACAGAAAACATCCACAGTAAGTGGCTGTGTGCTCGTGACCAAAGGCGAGAACTTCTCCGCTTGGTCCACTTATGGTTCAAAGTTATGGAAGAAGAATGTGGGTCTTTCAAGGAATTCTGAGCTCTACTTGTATTGCTGATGAAAAATTGCATATGAAATATAAAGCAGTGTCATTTTTTGGTAACTCATGCTTATGTTTCTTTCACAATAAACGTTTAACATTTTCAGATGAATTTGCAAATGTTTTTCTTTTGCTTTGCTGTAAGATCAAGTAAATGTGTTATGGAGGTTATAAACTATAATAATATAAATTGACCCCCAAAATTAATTCACTTACTAAATGACAAGGAAACACTGCCTGTTAAACTGATAAAAGTATCTGCCTGTATTTGTTCAGTTTTACCCAACAACTGGAAAACACACATTCATCTCCAGTATACATTGAACATTCGCTAGCATAGACAGATGTGGCCATAAGACAAATCACATTGACATGAAAATTGAAATAATATACACGCTGTTCTCAAATGCCAACAGAATTAAATTATAAATCAGTAACAAGAAGAAATCTGTAAAATCTCCACATACATGAAAATTAAACAACCACTTTAAAATAAAACACAAATCAAAGGTGAACTTATAAAGGAAATTATAAAATACCTTACACTGAGTGAAAGTAAATGCACAATATCACAAAATGTGCAGATGTAGTTGAGGTTTAGAGGGAAATTTATAGAAATAGACACTTATAAAATCAAGGAAAATACCCTCATCCATGATCTAGCTTCCTTTTTTTTTTTTTTTTTTTTTTTTTGAGACAGAGTCTTGCTCTGTCGCCCAGGCTGGAGTGCAGTGGCGCGATCTCGGCTCACTGCAAGCTCCGCCTCCCGGGTTCACGCCATTCTCCTGCCTCAGCCTCCCAAGTAGCTGGGACCACAGGCGCCCGCCACTACGTCTGGTTAATTTTGTGTATTTTTGTTTTTTTTTAGTAGAGACAGGGTTTCAGCATGTTAGCCAGGATGGTCTCGATCTCCTGACCTCGTGATCCGCCCGCCTCAGCCTCCCAAAGTGCTGGGATTACAGGAGCAAGCCACCGTGCCCGGCCGGTCTAGCTTCCATTTTTAAGTGAGCAAATGCAGTGGCAAATTAGGTAAAAAACAAAACAAAACAAAGACTACAGTAGTAGTCAATGAAATAGAAAATGGATAAATGTTAAATAAAATTTTAAAAATTCAAGACACGTTTTTTCAGGATCAAAGTAGTAAATCTTCAGCTACAGTGAAGGAGTGAGGAAGGGGTGAATTAAAACAATGAGTAAGCAAGAGAAAAGGAAGACAGGGCAAAATCAAGAGAGGCAGAGAAAGAAGAGACAGAGCCCATCGTGATGGCTCAAGCCTGTAATCCCAGCACTTCGGGAGGCCGAGAAGGGAGGATTGCTTGGACTCAGGAGTTTGAGACCAGCCTAGGCAACAAAGCAAAACCCCATCTCTACAAAAATAATAATAAAAAAATTAGCTGGGTGTGTTGGTTTGCACCTGTGGTTTCAGCCACTTAGGAGGCTGAGGTGGGAGGATTGCTTGAGCCCCAGGAAGTTGAGGCTGCAGGGAGCCATGAGCCATGATCATGCCACTGCACTCCAGCCTGGGCTACAGAGTGAGACCCTATCTTCAAAAACAGAAAAGAAAATGTAACATATATACACAATGGAATAGTATTATCCATAGAAAAGAAGAAAGTTCTGTCATTTGCATCTACAGAAATGAACCTGGAATACACTATGCTTAGTGAAACATACAGCCACAGAAAGAGAGATATCACGTGATCTCATTCACTTGGAGAATTTTAAAAAGTGATCTCACAGAACTAGAGAGCAAGACCGGATGCAGTGGCTGACACCTGTAATCCCAGCACTTTGGGAGGCCGAGGCGGGCGGGTCACCTGAGGTCAGTTCAAGACCAGCCCGGCCAACATGGTGAAACCCCGTCTCTACTAAAAATACAAGAACTAGCCAGGCATGGTGGTGCACGCCTGTAATCCCAGCTACTCGGGAGGCTGAGGCAAGAGAATCGCTTGAACCCGGGAGGTGGAGGTTACAGTGAGCTGAGATTGCACCATTGCACTCCAGCCTGGGGTACAGAGTGAAATTCCGTCTCAAAAAAAGAAGGAAAAAAAAGAACTAGAGAGCAAAATGGGGTTACCAGGGGCCGGGGCTGGGGCTGGGGCTGGGGCTGGGGCAGTGAGGTGGGAGGGTTAGGGAATGGTTGGCCAAGATACACACAATTTCAGCTAGACAGGAGAAATAAATACAACATGGCAACAATAGTTAATAATAATATTCTTGAAAAATGCTAAGGGAGGCAATTTTCAGTGTTTTCATAAAAAACATGACAACTTTTCGAGGAAATGCATATATTACCTAACTAGATTTACCCGTTTGGTAACGCATCTACATTGCAAAACACCATGACATACACAATCATTACATACAATTATTCTGATAATTTAAACAAAACAAGAATCAAACTTTACATGCTCAAGATGTTCCGTTTTACCTCAGTGAGATCTCAAAAAAATTTTTTAATAAAAAATAGTTCTGTTGAAACTCTCTTGTGAATTTTCCTTTCAGTTGTTGTACTTTATTGCCCCTAAATTGCTCACTGGTTCCTTCTTAAACTTTCTCTTTATTCATGTTCTCTATTTGATGAGGAGTTATTCCTCTGGTTTATTTTTGTTCTTCTGCCCTTGATTTTCTTGAGTTCTTTGCACATATTTAAGATAATTAATTTAGTATTTGGAGAGGAAGCCCAATGTCTTGGCTTGCTCATATGCTATTTTTTCTTACGACTATTATACTGTCTTGTGTGTGTGCCTCATTGTTTTGGTAAGAAAAAGTGGACACTGTGTGTGGCAAACCCTGGACATCAAATTCTCACCCCTGAGCAGGCTTTCTTGTTGCTGCTGGTTGTGAGTTGGAGTCTTCTGTTTTTGTTTTCATTTTTTGTTTTGTTTGAACCTTTGTAAACTACTGTGTAAAGGTTTCACTTTCTCCTGTGTGGCCACTGAAGTCTCTGCCTTCTGGTCTACTAACAATTTGATGGAGATTTTTAAAACATGCCTGAACGCAAACCCAAAATTCTCTCAAGCTCTTTGCCATGGGATCCCTCTAGGGAGCTTAGCCAGGATTTTGATTTTTTTTTTTTTTTTTAGACGGAGTCTAGCTCTGTCGCCCAGGCTGGAGGGCAGTGGCGCGATCTCGGCTCACTGCAACCTCCACCTCCCAGGTTCACTAGCCAGGATTTTTACAACTCTCATTTCAGCCTTCATTTCCTGCTTGCATGGAGCCTCGGGATCATCAGAGGTAAAACATAGGGTTTCTCAGATTTTTATAATCTTGCATGGACATGTATGATTGAACTCAATCCTTGGTATACCTCAGTGCTATTCAAAGCCCTTACTATCTCATGTAATTCTCCCCCCAGACTCTTCCTTAATAGGCTTTTCATTCTGTCATCTGTTTTCCCTGTTATCCCTCACCCAGGCAACTTCAGCAAGTGTATTTGTCTTTAAGTGCTTTTAATGACACTGGCACCCCCCAATAAATCAGCTTCAGTCTGTGTAGATCTAAAAAGGGTGAAATAAAGGCAAGCCCTTGAGCCAACCCTTCAAGGAACCACTAAGATAGATGGAGGCACACAACCACAATTCTTTGAGAACAAAGATTCTTCATCCTGTGGCATCAGCGTGCTGGCCTGGGAATGAGGGACTCCATGTTCTCAGCAGCCATCAAGCTGCAGAGTGGGGAAGAGTAGGTGGGTGAGTCAAATTACCACAACTCAGCTGGGTGCAGTGGCTCACGCCTGTAATCCCCGCGCTTTAGGAGGCCGAAACGGGCGGATCACCAGGTCAGGAGATCCAGACCACCCTGGCCAACATGGTGAAACCCCATCTCCACTAAAGATACAAAAATTAGCTGGGCGTGGTGGTGGGTGCCTGTAATCCCAGCTACTCGGGAGGCTGAGGCAGGAGAATCGCTTGAACCCGGAAGAAGGGGCTTGCAGTGAGTCGAGATCATGCCACTGCACTCTGGCCTGGTGATAGAACAAGATTCCACAAAAAAAAAAAAAAAAAAAAAGCCACAACTCTCTTCCTGAAATTAAGCAGCTTCTTCCTTCACTCACGGTTCCCCTGGAGGTTGTAAATTATTAGATTCAAATTTTCCACAAAGGCTGATTTTGACAGTTATTTCCCAGTTTAATTTTTGTTTTACCAAAGACTACTTTTAAAATTCCCTACCTTGAAACTTGCAGTGAGATCACTCCATTAATTTTAAACAGAATTTTAAAATTCTGATATTATTGCTCTATATGCTCTAAATAGGGCTTTTGTCTATTTGTAGGAATGCTTCCTCTCAGTGCAAATTATCTAGAATAAAGAAGGGAAGTCTGTTTCTCCAAGGAGAGGCACAGGAGGCAGGGCTATATAGGTAACCTGGATGACAAATTACAATATGCCATGGAGTATGTGGACATTGAAGATATGCAATATTGAGGTGGGAAGATGGCTTCAATGACTTCAGAATTTTCAGTCATGGGAAAACAAGAGGTTTCCTTAAATTGTGATAGCCTGGCCGGGTGCAGTGGCTCACACCTGTAATCCCAGCACTTTCAGAGGCTGAGTTGGACGGATCACTCAAGACCAGCCTAGGCAATATGGTGAGACCCCTTCTCTACTAAAAGTACAAAAAATTAGGGGGGTATGGTTGCATGCATCTGTGGTCTCAGCTACTGGGGAGGTTGAGGTGGGAGAATCACTTGAGCTCAGGAAGTCGAGGCTGCAGTGAGTTGTGATCGTGCCACTGCATGCCAGCCTGGGCGACAGAGTGAGATCCTGTCTCAAAAAAAAATTATCTTATTTTAGAAACATGTCAGAAAAATCAAAGAACAAGCCCAGTTGAAACTACAGTAAGATCCTTTGATTCACCTTCAAGGTTTCTTTCCACAGCTGATTATGACTTGATTCTGAAATCAGAGTTTTGAAAAGGAACATAGAAAACACTTTTAGCCAGTTATTCTGCTAATCATCAGAATCTTCACATCATGTCCAGAAGTTGCATTTATCAGAAGTGGCTGAGGAGGTTTTGCATTGGGAATCAAATATTCTCATCAGAGAAGCCCCAGACTCACTGAGGCAATGTCACTGAGAGATACTACAGATGACATGATCGTGACATCTCTGTGGGGAGATCAGGTCCAGGAGCCTGTCTCTAACTAAGGACTCAGGTGCCCCAGCTTATGGTGACTGACACATCCCTGTACAGAGCTTGTTGCCAAGACCACCCCAGTGAGTGCTTCTGTACATTTAGAGCAAAAGGCAGAACATAAAGATCTCAAACAGGAGAAGAGCTCAGAGCTGAGGGTGAGCAATAGCATTGGGCAAAATAGGTTTACCCCTGCCTGGCTCTGAGCCACACCATCCATGCCCCGGCTGGACCAAGACAGTGGCACATTAAGCCAGGTGCTTGGCTTGAGCTCCTGGCTCAATGTGGGACCAGAAAGCTCAGGTTTACTGTATACCCCTGTGTCCTAGAAACACTGTCAAAGGGAGAAATTAGGACAGTTCTCCTTAGAAACTGAGCCAAGGATCACTTGAGGTCAGGCGATCCAGACCACCCTGGCCAACATGGTGAAACCCCATTTCCACTAAAAATACAAAAATTAGCTGGGCATGGTGGTGGGCGCCTGTAGTCCCAGCTACTCAGGAGGCTGAGGCAGGAGAATCACTTGAACCCGGGAGGCAGAAGGCTGCAGTGAGCTGAGATCACACCACTGCACTCCAGCCTGGGCAGCAGAGCGAGACTCCATCTCAAACAAAAAAAAAAAAATTTTTTTTTCAGCACGTAAAGACCCTAAAACCTACCCACCTTGAGTAGGTATCCTCTCACCTATGGAGGCCTATTAGGTACAGCAACCAGATGCTTAGCAATGGGGCATTGTAAATACAGTGTCAGGGTTGGAAACATTATCAGAGGATGCCCAGTTCAACTCCCTCTTCTGAAAGAAGGTGAAAAGGAGACGCTTTTTCTGAGGCCACACATATCTGACATTTCTCCACAGCTTAGAGAAGTCACCCTTCATCCCATGGAACACACACAAGTTTGTGAGCGGAGCTGGCTAAGAGCAGGGGAGATACGGAAATGAATGCCAGTTACGGTGTTAGGTAGATCCGGGAAGAACATGGTGCAGCAGGAATACGAAGTCAGGAGGGAAGGTGAGATGAGGATTTCATTTCGAAGGATTCCTAGGGACACCTTCTAACAACTCTCCCTAGACCAAAACAAAAACAAAAACAAAAACAAAAACAAAACCCAGAAAAACAAAAACAAGAAACAAACCATGAAAGGATCATAGTTTCTTTAGTGTTACTCCACCGTGCCCACTGATGAAACAATCATGCTTCACAGCTTTTTCCAATGCATTTTATCCTTTATTACTTCATATAATCCTTTTAATACTCTTGAGACAGTGTAGGAATTTGAAGTGGTTGACTGGATCAAGGTCACACACACACACACACACACACACACACACACACACACACACACATCAAATAGGAAAATTATAGTCCTAATTCTCTTGCATCCCAGTCACGGTAGTAATTTATAATAAATACTGTTTACGTACAACATGATCAAAGGGGTTGCCTAGATGCTGTATTTGACGTTCTCATGGCTGCAGACATTCTGGGAAATTTGAAAAACATGTAATCCAAATTAGAATTAGGTATTATTGAACCTGGCTGAGAAGCAGGTGTCACACCAATTTCTCTGCCTTCCTTTAAAGACCAAGTTTCAGACAGAAAGATCAAACTGGGTTTTCTTTCCTTTACAGTCATCAGCAACTGCTGGGTTTGTGTGTTCAGGCCAGTTAATGGAAGCCTGAAGGAAAACAGAGAGAGAACGCCGTTAATGCTACATGTGAGGTCTCAGCTTTGTTGCATCAATGACTAATTCCCCATATGGCATCCTTTGGGTATTCTTGGGAGTATCTCAAGCCATCTCTGAGGAAACAAAAATCTGTTCCAGACTGAAAACCGTGAGATAGCGATTTCTCCATTAAATATTAGAATGTAAGACAAGATTTCCACTGGGAGAACTGTTTGAAGTAATATTAGTAGTAACCAACGCCACTACGTGCTCAATGCTTTACATGCATCTCACATTACATCCTCACAATGGGTAATGGCATTCAAGACTTTATAGGTTCCAATACTGAGGGTCAAAGTTTCCAACTAAAATATGTTTACAGGCTGGACGCAGTCCAGTCCCACGTCTAATCCCAGCACTTTGGGAGGCTGAGGCAGGCAGATCACTTGAGCTCAGGAGTTTGAGACCAGCCTGGACAACATGCCAAAACCCCATCTCTACCAAAGATACAAAAACTTAGCCGGGTGTGGTGGTGCGTGCCTGTGGTCCCAGCTATTTGGGAGGCTGAGGTGGATTACTTGCACCTGGGAGGTCAAGGCTGCAGTGAGCCATGATCACACCACTGCTCTCCAGCCTGAGTGACAGAGCAAGACCCTAACTAGAAAAAAAAAAAATTTACATAGCTAGAGAACAGAGGCACACTTACACCGCAGCCCATGCTCATGTTTCTTTCTCCAAATCAAAGAGGAGGATTCAGCCACTTATTTTGTGCCCTCTCTGCATGTGAGTGTCCCAATTAGCATGTAGGCACAAATACCTTTATAACCTGAAATATGGTCATTTCTGCAGTTTAGTTTTTTTTGAGCACCTATAATACTGAAGGAAAAATATCCCTGGCATCATGGAGCTCATGTTCTAGTGGAAGGAATTAGATAATAGAATAAATACATTATACATTTGAAGGTGAGAAGAGCCCTGGGGAGGAAAAATAAAGAGAATAAGCAATTTGGAAAATTTGTAATGTTTATGGGTTTTTCTATGCATCTGAAAGTTTGACTCAATATCCATATTTATGAAAAAATTATCACTTAGAGATGACAAGGGAAAACAACTCATAGTAGGGTCTCCAGCATAGAGTCTGTGATCTCATTTAATCTTTAAGAGTTCTGAGATAATTATCACCATTTTCCATTTGAGAAAAATTGGACATGAGTGGGAAATGAGTTGCCCCTCCTGTATTTTATTAATGGGTCATCCGGATGCTTATACTTAGTCTCTAATTGAATGCTCAGTAACCTGAATATGATTTTCCTTTAAATAAGGCAGGTAGAAACAGAATGCTAGATATTGCCAGAGCTTTCTACACACGTGACAGTGTGAATGGAAGCTGATAGGCAGCTTCTAAATGGCTTCTAACAATCCTCACCTTGTATCAATCACACTCTTGTATCATCTTTGCCTCTAGCATAAGCAAGACCTGTGATTTGCTTCCTTTGAGATGGAGTCTTGCTCTGTCACCCAGGCTGGAGTGCAATGGTGCGATCTCGGCTCACTGCAAACTCCGCCTCCCAGGTTCAAGTGATTCTCGTGCCTCAGCCTCCCGAGTAGCTGGGATTACAGGTATGCATCACTACGCCCGGCTAACTTTTGTATTTTTAGTAGAAATGGGTTTTCACCATGTTGGCCAGGCTGGTCTCAAACTTCCGACCTCAAGTGATCCACCCGCCTTAGCCTTCCAAAGTGCTGGAATTACAGGCATGAACCACAGCACCTGGCCAAATTTGCTTCTATCCAATAGGCAAATATGGTGAGATGTCACTTTTTTGGTGAGCCTACATAGAATTGCTACTTCTGCCTTGCTAACAAACTCTATTGCCTTGAAAAACCTGACAAACAGTTGCTGTTTGAGAGTTGGAGAGCAAGTCTTTTCAGTGTTTCTTGCTGATAACTGAGGGCCTCTTCCAGCCAACAGCTCTCAAGGTACTAAGACCCTTAGCCCAACAGCACTACAGGAACTGAATTCTGCCAACAACCACATGATCTTAGAAGCAGGCTGATTTTTCCTTTCCCAGACATACCTTCAGATTTGACCCTAGCCCTGGATGACATCTTGGCTGCAGCCTCATGAGAGATCTCAAGGACGACCAACTAAGCTGGGATTGGAGTCCTGACACTCACATAGACTGTAAGATAGTGTGTCATTGAATCCAAGTTGGTGGTAACATACTTGGCAACAGTTAGGTAACACAGAAAGGAAGAGAACTTTTGCTTTTATGAGAGGAATCTAATGGATTTGGAAACATGAAATAGACTGAGAATTGCCTATTTTTATTCTCTCGTAATGAGGGGTACATCCAAATGGAGGAAAGAAAATAGAAAATATTCGTAGAACCCTTTTTGGTCTACGTCAAGTATAATATCAACTGTCATCTTTTACTCACCATTGAGTACATCCTCTGCTTTAAGAACGAGGCATACATTTTCAATCTCCCAAGAGGAAAGACTTTTTTTTTTTTTTTGTATTGGAAACTGGCAAGAGGGTTTCTCATCATCATCTTATAGGTCCTAGACCATCTCAACACAGAATTTTCCCCATCACAGCCAGGCGCGGTGGCTCACGCCTATAATCCCAGCACTTCGGGAGGCCAAGGTGGACAGATCATGAGGTCAGGAGATTGAGACCACCCTGGCCAACATGGTGAAACCCCGTCTCTACTAAAAATAGAAAAAATTAGCCAGGTGTGGTGGTGGGTGCCTGTAGTCCCAGCTACTCAGGAGGCTGAGGAAGGAGAATCGCTTGAAGCTGGGAGGCTGATGTTGCAATGAGCCAAGATCACGCCACTGCACTCCAGCCTGGGCAACAGAGTGAGACTCTGTCTCTCAAAAAAAAAAAAAAAAAAAAAAAAAAAAGAATTTTCCCCATCACCAAGGAAAATAAGCAACTTACCCAACTACCTTAAGTACACAATCTGGGCTGATCAAGCTCTCAAGAAGTTTTGCAACTCCATCATTGCCCAAGTGATTTTGAAGCAAGTTGAGTCTTTCTAGTGTTTTGTTGGTGGTAAGAACAGAGGCAAGAGATCGACAGCAGGCACTGGTTAACATGCACTCTTCTAGCCTGCAACGAAGATGCACAGGTAAGGTGGGGCCAAATCCTTGAGGAAAAATGGCAGATGAGATGGGTGAGAACTGGACATCTACTAGATCCCTCCAAGTTTTGGGCAAAAGAACTGACTGTGCAATAAGAGTCCCATTTCAAACACTAGACTATTATGTCCGAGGTATTGTATTTCCCAATCCACTTCCTCTTGTGCTTTTCTTCAGCTGTTGCTAGCTAAAGGCAGGGATCTTTCTCCACCAGGCACCTACCCAATATTCACCAACATGCAGTTGGGATGTCTCAAACCACCACATAGCAGCTGCATTCCTGCATCTTCTATTTTGTTGCTCCCAATCTCCAGGCTCCTCAGTTTTTCATTAGTAGCAATAACTATGGCAATATATTGACAGATATCGCTGCTAAAGAAACAGCCAGACAGACTGCAAAACAGAAACATGAGCTAGAGTCATGACCACCTGTCTCCAAAGATTTATTTCACAGAGTGTTAAGCATTCTTGGACCCGTCTTGTGACATTCATGAATAAGGGACTGCTTACAGAAACAAGAGCAGTGTTAACATCTACAGGTCACTTACAACATACCAGGCATTGTTCAAAACTCCTAATGCACATTAAACTCACAATGATCACAGGGCTCTTATCCTGGTTTTACAAACAAGGAAACTGAGGCCAGAATGTTTTAAGCATTTTTGTCCCGGGAAGCCACATACATTCAACCTACACCGTTGCAATACTGAGCTTGGATTCTGAAGAATTATGTTAGGCAACCTCCTCTGACATTCACGTTTCTGCCTTTCAGTACTCATGTCAAAATCCAACATCGAGAAGGGCTAAATACATTCTTTCTATAAAGAGGATTTTACCAAATGGTCCTTTCTCAAAGCAAGCAACGTACTCACGATTGTCCGTGTTCTCCCATGTGACCTGCCACCTTGTTTTTCCATTCACGTCTCCCCCATTATCTACTCCTACAATCCTACTTCATTGCCTCACCACGTTGGCCTTCGTGTTGATTCTCGAGCACAGTTGGCTGTTTCTCTGTTAACAGCTCTGCACCGACTATTCATTCTGCTTGCAAGCGCCACTCTAGTGATCTGTATGACTCCATCCACAACCTTCTCCAAGTCTTTGCTCAAATGTCCCCTTGTCAATGAGGTGACATTGACCTTGCTTAGAGATGGCCATACCCTACCCTCAGCACTCCTGATTACGTGCCCTTAGGATTGAATTAAAAAAGTTTCCATAGCAGTTTTTACTGCCTGATACAGGAGTTGACGGCCTTTCTCTATAAGGGGCCAGATAATAGTTTAGGCTTCACCGGCCATGGTGCCTCTGTCACAACTACTCAGTTTTGCCACTGCAGCACAAATGCATGCATGAAACACATGTAGATGAATGGCTGTGTTCCAGTAAGATCTTTATAAAACCAGGCAGAGGGCCAGATTTGGCGCCTGGGTGATACAGTTTGCTGACCTCTGGTCTAACAATACATAAGTTTCTTATGTTTTATTTCCTATCTCCCCCAGTGCCAATACAAGATCCATTAATACATGGATATTTATTCTGTTCACTGATGTATCCCAGCCACCTAGAGGAGTGCCTGACACTTAACATATATTCTTTGTTATAGAATGTATATTAAATACTGAATAATCATATTAAAGCAGATTCCAGAAGATCCTATTTTTCATTTAGTAGTTATAAAAGTTGGGTGGTGCATTCCTGTAGTCCTAGCTACTCAGGAGGCTGAGACAGAAGGATCACTTGAGCCCAGCAGTCTGAGACTGGCCCGGGCAATATAGCAAAACCCTGTCGGTAAAATATATAGAGAGTTAATGATGTGCCAACCACATCCATGCTTTCAAACTTAGAGGAAAATAAAGGGTGATCAATAATGTGGGCTTCCATGTGCCCTATGGGAGCTCATAGAGGAGGTCCCTATCCAGCTTTGGGTAGGTGATAGACAAAATGGACAGTTATACTTAAGACAATTCTTGAAGGATGACAAAAGAACGTGTTTGGAGTCTACAGCAAGGTTCAAACTATGGTCTGAGAGCCAAATCTAGACAACTTTGTTTTTTATTTATAAAGTTTTATTGGAACATAGCCACACCCATTTGACATTTTTCATGGCCTCTCTTCAGCTATGGGAGACTTAAAAATAGTTATGACAGGGACATTATGGCCCACAAAGCCCAGAGTATTTACTGTCTAGCCTGTTATAGAAAAAGGTTTCTAACCCCTATTCTACAGTATGAGTGAATTTGTCTCAACCTACTAAGTACAAACTAAGGGCCATGAAAAAAAGGGAGGGTGAGTTATATTATTTTCCCCAAGGCAGCTTTCCCTAAACTGCCTTGTCAAAGGAAGCAAGATTCTAGAAAGAAAAGATATCCCTACAATTTCCTATTTTACCTGCCCATTTGTACCAAATTACAATGGTAACATGGATTTAACTTATAACTACAAGACAGAAATAAAGATAAGATACCATACTGCTGAGCATATTCTTATACAGTCCAGTAAGCACTTCAGTTCAGGAGCTCACAAGCCATAGTGTTGCTATTTTATGAACAGGAGATGCTTTTAGGTTATCAGTTTCTTATATTTCTGAGCCCAAAAAAAGGCATTTGAAATAGAACATTTTCAAGAGAGTTCAAATTAAACAACTCCAAGGCATTTTTTAAACAATTTTTTTTTCAGGCAAGTGGGAGAATCACTACTTCTGAGAAAATACGAGAAGTTTGATTATTCAGCATCATTGATGAGGCACACTCAAAAAACTGTAGTGGCTTGTTACATATTTTTTCCTGGAAGTTCAATCAGAGGCCATTGCATCATGCCTAAATTAGATGTCTTTGGTAGGTACCAGTGGCTTGGATATGGCCACCTCCCCCAATGCATCCCTTTTCCAATAAAGCTATTTCCCAACAGAAAGATGCCCCCATGATCGCCAACCCCAAAAGATATTCACTGCCTCAGAAATTGCAAGCCAGGCCAGGGCAGGATCTTTGGGTCCCTTCTCCTGTGGCATTTTCCCATGCTATGTCCACCCGGGGCAGGGGGAGGGGTCCGGCCCAGGCACCCTTCTCCATGTGATAAGGATCTGAGGGATTTTGTGAACTCTGCTCCTTCTGAGCTAAAAGGTTTTGCCAATGAATCTTACCGTGCTTTCATGTCGCCTATTCTGGGGAGCCCATGCTCCCGTACCCCTATCACCCATGATGCCATCACTGGAATCTTATCCCTGCCACCAACCCCACCACCCAAGCCCTCATGCAGTAGAAACACAGTCATCCAGGACAACTGTGGGAGACTTACTGAAGCTCCTCTAACTGACAGGTTGGAAACAGCAAGGGAAACGTCACATGCAACACTCCGTAATTTTTTAAGCGATTCACACACAGGTCTAGTTGTCTTAGAGTTGGGCTGAACAGAAGCACTCTTCCAAGGGCGCTGCAGCAATTTTCAGTGAGACAGCAGAAGACTAACCTGCACACAGAGAAGAGTGAGTCAGTGACAGTGTGAGCACCAGAGAGGGGAGCACCTGAGACCACCCACCCCACGCCCACGGGCGCCTCGATGCCTTCTACTGCCATTGCCCCAAATCTCTACCAATGACTTTCTTATTTGGAAAAGGAGATTAGAAGTACCCCAAATAGTGCAGAGGCTGAAATACAGAATGGATGATGCAGAACAGGGCATGAGAAAAATCTAACTCCAACTTCTACTAACGGAATAATCTTATAGACGTTACTTCTGGAACTTGGTTTCTCCCATCGTTTGATAAAGTATATTTGGCTAAATTGAATCCTAGGATTTTCAGTTTAAAAACTCACTTTGAAAGAGTTACTTTATTATTTATAAGTGAATACAGGAACTGTTGAAGATTTTTTTAAACTGGGAAAAAGTGGAGACAGACGGCACACCAGAAGCCCTGTTGTTAGCCCATTTTGTGGTATCCCGTTTTGTCTGTCCAGGTTTAGCTCGTTGCCAATATGTGGAAGTTTACTCAATCCTAATCTGGATTTCCAGCCTCTATTTTTTTTTCCATTATTTATTTTTAAATAATTTTTAAAAATAGAGATGGGGGTCTCACTGTGTTGCCCAGGCTGGTCTTGAACTCCTGGGCTCAAGTGATCCGCCTGCCTTGGCCTCCCAAAGTGCCGGAATTATAGGCGTGAGCCACCACACCCGGCCGAATCTCTATTTTTTTTAACCCGTTTTCTGTTTGCCCTGGGAATACTGCACTGGCAGTGAGCTGCACTTTTTTCCTAAACAGGGAAGGGGTTAAAAAGTTGGAAATAGGCCGGGCACGGTGGTTCACACCTGTAATCCTGGCACCTTGGGAGGGGGAGACAGGAAGATCACCTGAGTTCAGGACTTCGAGACTAGCCTGGTCAACATGGTGAAACCCCGTCTCTGCTAAAAATACAAAAATTAGCCGGCATAGTGGTGTGCACCTGTAGTCCCAACTACTTGGGAGGCTGAGGCAGGAGAACTGCCTGAACCGGAGAGGTGGAGGTTGAAGTGAGCCGAGATTGCACCACTGCACTCCAGCCTGGGTGACTGTCTCCAAAAAAAAAAAAAAAAAAAAAAAAAAAAAAAGTTGAAAACAACCAATTTATTGGTTGGAAATACTGAATCTTGGCTCTGGTATGGGAAAAGGGTACACTAGACCAGAGGCTGGCAGCACACCAAACCTGGCCCCTCCCTGCTTTTGCACAGCTGCAAGCTTAGAATGATTTTTGTGCTTTAAAATGATCGGAAAATGTATATGTAGTTATTTTAATTTGGGTTTGACACGTGAAATGGGCTAGGTTTTCCTTTGTATACTAATGCGTGCTTATTTTAAATTATATGTACAAGTAAAAGTTAAGACTAAGAATGAGCTAGAGAAGTTCCCTGTTGTCCTCGTAGAAACCAGCACTATCAACTCATTTGCATACTATTTTCCAGCTGTCAGATTTGGTCACGACCATAAATTTGGCCTTTTACAGGTGTTTTCCTCAGACTACTGTGATTTCTTTCACGTTCTTAGGCTTAGAAATTCCTTGCCTATTTAAAATAAGTTACCAAAACAAATATTTTTTGCTTAGTATATCTGGATTATTTTAAATACAGGTATGAACTACGAAAAACTCCATGCCAACAATCTAAGGTGATAAAAATGTTCTAAAATTATATTGTAGTGTTGTACAACTCTAAATATGCATAAAAAACATCGAATGTGTACCTTAAGTGGATGAATTTTCTGATATGTAAATTATACCTGGAACCAGTGGGAAAAGAAAAAAAGAAAAAATCTAGCAGGAAACAAAAAACTTGTAGATATGAGATGAAAAAAATATCTATTTGGAGTCTGATTATTGAACCAATGGTCTGTCCCTTTTTTCATGAGACCTTCTTTTACAACAAAATTAGCTCATATTGACAATTACTTACTGGATTTATCTGGGGCCACATGGATCTTAGAACAATTTGAGATTTTAAAGACATGGCTGGACACAGTGGCTCACATCTGTAATCCCAGCACCTTGGGAGGCTGAAGTGGGTGGATCACGAGGTCAGGAGATCGAGACCATCCTGGCTGACACGGTGAAACCCCGTCTCTACTAAAAATACAAAAAATTAGCCAGGCGTGGTGGCGGGTGCCTGTGGTCCCAGCTACTCGGGAGGCTGAGGCAGGAGAATGGCGTGAACCCGGGAGGCGGAGCTTGCAGTGAGCCGAGATCGCGCCACCGCACTCCAGCCTGGGCAATACAGCGAGACTCCGTCTCAAAAAAAAAAAATAAATAAAAGCATACATAATGCGATATTACATAATATGAACAGGAGTTTCTGGTGTTATCCTGCAATCAAACAAGTATTTTTTACAGAAAATATAAAGAATATAAAGAATATTATATCAGTTTGTATTATGTTTTGGAATCTAGCAAGTCCTAAAAAGGGGGCGAAAGGAGCTAAAGGGAGCCAAAAATGGGCGAAACAAAAAAACAAGATGACCTACTGCATTCTTTTGTCTTTTTGGAATTTGGAATTGTGAACGGGGAATCATGTCCTTAAATACACCGAGCTACTTACTGTTTTGTTTTCTGACCATGTTTTACAGATCTCCGCCCTTCATTTTTGTACCTTTATGCCTCACTTTTGCCACTTTTTTGCCATCTTTCATCGTGTTTGCCATGCCCCAACCTTCCGGAAGTCTGCCTTTCTAGCCACTTTCCCAGAGCAGACAGAGCTTACCTACGAGTAACCCACAGTCGGTTACATACAGGGAGAGCCCGTCTTCCACCTTCTTGAAAGGAGACTCAGGGGAAAAAATCCTATTTCAAGGCAATCTAGCACCAAACCTTTCCTTTGCTTTCGTCTTTGTGTTCTCAGTCACATCTCATCCTACACGACACCCAGTTCACGTGTTCACTGTGAGAACAATATAGGTTCCCTGCTCTTAGAAAGTCAGTTGCTATGGCCTAGGTGCTGTGTTTAGAATGTTGTGACCACCATTTTTTATTTTTTATTTTTTTTGAGACAGAGCCTCGCTCTGTCACCCAGGCTGGAGTGCAGTGGCACAATCTCGGTTCACTGCAACCTCCGCCTCCCGGGTTCAAGCAAGTCTCTTGCCTCAGCCTCTCAAGCAGCTGGGACTACAGGTACCCGCCACCACGCCCGGCTAATTTTTGTATTTTTAGTAGAGACAGGGTTTCACTGTGTTGGCCAGGCTGGTCTTGAACTCCTGACCTTGTGATCCGCCTGCCTCGGCCTCCCAAAGTACTGGAATTACAGGCGTGAGCCACCGCGTCCGGCCGTGACCACCATTTTTAACTCTTATCTCCAAAGATGTATGTTTGGTCATGTTATGACTCCACTGTCCAGATTGAGAAATACAAGTTGAAAAAAAATCCAGAAACATTTTTGCCAACGTTTCGCAAATCAGCTGTCAACCCAGAGTATTAACCCAGACCTACTGAACTCCAAAGACTGTGCTTTCGGCTGCTTTGCTTTGCTGTCCCTTTCCCCACCACTGCTCTTTGATCATGTGCTTAGATATTCAAGTCAGTCTGAGCTTCTACGTGGTGAGCTCGTCTAAGCCAACTTACACCAGTGATATAAGAGTGCAGTTGGGATGAAGCAAGGCATCACACAGTATGTTCATCCCGTCGCTCCTCAGCGGATTGCTGGATAAGGTCAGTTTTCTCAGACTCCCGCCACTGATGAGGAGAGAGGCGATTTCTTCACATTCGCTGGCTCGCAAATCACATTTCATCAAGCTGTAAGAGGAATTCAGAAATGAAAAGAGGCTCCCGCGTTTAAGCTATCCCCTCTTTTAAATTAAAAAAAAAAAAAAAGAGAGACCTAACCAAGTGCGATGATGTCTACTTGGAAATAAATAGATCCCTTTGCTTCTAACCTTTCTTCTCCCTATGCCACTCCTCAGAGTTCAAATTTGGGCAAGGTTACAGATTCACGAAGGGCTGTGAGCAGGCAGTTCCTTCCTCTTTTGCATTCATCTCCATGTGGTTTCCAGGGTGATGGTTCAGAACGGTAAGTCAGGTATCAAGCATCCCACCTGACCATGGGATGTGGGTACGATCACATTTATAAATCTGATCAAGACCCTCAACTTACCATCACATTTACAAGGACTTCTGATGTTTTTTCTGCATAGCCTTGGGTGCCCCACATGCTCTGGCTCTCAACTATCTCTATTTTCTTTTTTTTTTTGAGATGGAGTCTTGCTCTGTCGCCCAGGCTGGAGTGCAATGGTGCGATCTCGGCTCACTGCAACCTCTGCCTCCCGGGTTTTTAAGCGATTCTCCTGCCTCGGCCTCCCGAGTAGCTGGGATTACAGGCATGCGTTACCACACCCGGCTAATGTTTGTATTTTTAGTAGACACCAGGTTTCACCATGTTGGCCAGGCTGGTCTTGAACTCCCGGCCTCAGGGGATCCACCCGCCTCGGCCTCCCAAAGTGCTGCGATTACAGGCATGAGCCACTGTGTCCGGTCTAACTTTCTATTCATTACTCATTCTGTACCATCCTCCCTGATCTCCTCACTCTCCCTCAAGTCCACAAGCATATTTTTGCTTTAGTGTCTAGTACCCTTATCTCTACTTAGTGATTTTCCCCATGGGACCCTATTTTTTAAAAAAAGTTTTTTTCCTTAAATTATCCAGGAGTGGTGGTGCACGACTATAGTCCCAGCTACTTGGGAGACTGAGGTGGGCGGATCACTTGAACTCAGGAGTTCGAGGCTGCAGTGAGCTATGATCATACCAATGCACTTCAGCCTGGACAACTGAGCAAGACGCATCTCTAAAAAAAAATAAATAAAATAAGTAGAATAAAAATAAGTGATCTTTCCCCAGATAGCTGCATGGTTTGCTGTCTCACTTTCTTCAACTTGTCACTCAATATTCTCTTCTTCAATGAGGATTTTGAATAATAACCATCTTTCAACTAACAAATATTGTTATTTTCAGGCATTGTATGAAGTTCCTGGGATACAGCAGAAAACTGGAAGAAATACGATGGAATTCTAGCATTGTAAAGACAGGGCTGAATGTATCATGTGCCTAGTAGATGATCAGTTCTTTATAGAAAGTAAATCAGAGTAGGTCATAGAGAAAGAAAAGGATGTATTCTACTTCCTTATGGGGCAGGCACTGAGCGAAGACTCTCACTGAGCCATCGTACTTGGCCTGTGTATTCTATTTTGAATGAAATGGAAGCCCTTGAGGGTTTGAAGATTAGAGGACAGAAGAGTCAGAAGCTCTGACTTAAATAAGGTAGAAGAATTTTAACAGAAACTTGAGAGAAGAGGGCAAGCTCTGAATCTCTAGGACAAGGGAATTTCTGTCAGAGGAAATGAGTGGAAAGAGTCAGAAGCAGGAGCAGGTTTGGTGTTTTAAACATCTACAACAAACAGTGCAGCCGCAGCACGGTACATAAACAGGAGATGGGGAGAGGGTTAGCCAGGGCCACCCAGCGTGAAATGGTGTATTCTATATTATTATTATTTTTTTTTTTTTTGAGATGGAGTTTTGCCCTTGTCACCCAGGCTGGTGGAGTGCAATGGTGTGATCTCGGCTCACCGCAACCTCCGCCTCCCAGGTTCAAGTGATTCTCCTGCCTGAGACTCCCGAGTAGCTGGGATTACAGGCATGCGCCATCATACTTGGATAATTTTGCATTTTTAGTAGAGACGAGGTTTCGCCATGTTGGTCAGGCTGTCTGGAACGCCTTACCTCAGGTGATCTGCCCGCCTCGGCCTCCCAAAGTGTTGGGATTCCAGGCGTGAGCCGTCGCGTTGGCCTGTGTATTCTATTTGGAATGAAAGTGAAAGCCGTTGAGGGCCTGAAGATTAAAAGGACAGAGTCACAAGATCTGACTTAGATTGCCATTATCCTTAGCAAACTAACATAAGGACAGAAAACCAAATACCACATGTTCTCACTTACAGATGGGAGCTAAATGATGAGAACACATGGACACATAGAGGGGAACAATACACACTGGGGCCGACTTGAGGGCTGAGATTCAGAGGATAGGATCAGAAAAAATAAAAATATCTATGAGGTACTAGGCTTAGTACGTGGGTGATGAAATAATCTGCACTAACTCCCATGACACAAGTTTACCTGTGTAACAAACCTGAACACGCATCCCTGAAGCTAAAAGTAAACTAAAAAGAGTTAAGTCTACCCTTGTAGTAAAACTGATATATCAAAAAATAAAGCTATGTTTTGCTTCAAACACACACACACACACTCACACACACACACACACCGGAAAACAAAACAATCCAAACTAGATGAAAGTTGCCCTTCTACACTCTTTTCCATGTAGCAAGCAAAGGTGTGGACAGGTAGGAAGATGCTGAAGTACTGCAGATAGGTGGGAGATGGGTTGGTCTATCATGCTTAGCAGTAAAGGAAGCAGGAAGGAGTCAGATGGATCCACTCTAACAACAGACCTAGAAAATTTGTCTAAGCCAGGCCACAAGAAAATCTGTATTTGAAATGCCTATTTAAATATCAAAGTAAGAGGCTGAGGTGGGCAGATCACGTGAGGTCAGGAGTTTGAGACCAGCCTAGCTGACATGGCAAAACCCTGTCTCTACCAAAAATATAAAAGTTAGCTGGGTGTGGTGGTGTACCCCTGTGGTCCCAGCTACTTGGGAGGGTGAGGCATGAAAATTGCTTGAACCCGGGAGGCAGAGGTTGAAGTGAGCCGAGATCACCCCACTGGACTCCAGCCTAGGTGACAGCAAGACTTTGTCTCATAAATAAATATCAAAGTTGATATCTCTACAAATACTTCACTGAGTCTGAAACCAGGAGAAATGTTTGTAAATAAGTACCTAAGAGTCTTCATCACATAGAGGCTACTTAATGCCATGAATAAGAACTCATAGAAGGGGTATAGAAAAGACATTTAGAACCACTTGGAAATATCCCAAAGATAAGAGTCCAGGAAGATGAAAAACAAGTAAAGATGACTGAGGAGGAATAATCAAGGTTTGGGAAAAACCAAAGGCCAAGAGGAAAATGTGTTCCAAGATGAAAGGAGTTTGGGGAGGGGGGCATTGAGGTAGGGGAGAGGCTAACTACAAAGTGGCAACAGAGTTGGGATTTAGCTGGGAGAATGTGATAGGGAGAAGGGATGCTGAGTGAGGTGGAAGGCAATGACTCTCAAGAACCATGGAATTTGAACTATGTCAGAAAGAAAGTGAGGGGCTGGGTGCAGTGGCTTCCAGCACTTTGGGAGGCTGAGGTGGGTGGGAGACCAGCCTGGCCAACATGGTGAAACCCCATCTCTACTAAAAACACAAAAATTAGCCATACGTGGTGGCAAGCTCTTGTAATGCCAGCTACTCGGGAGGCTGAGGCAGGAGAATCGCTTAAACCCGGGAGGCGGAGGTTTTAGTGAGCTGAGATCACACCACTGCACTCCAGCCAGGGCAAAAAGAGTGAAACTCTGTCTCAAAACAAAAATGAAAACAAAAACAAAAAGAAAGGGATGAAGGGGGTGAAAGGGTGGGAAGCTGCTGCTCAAATGGCTGAAGGACGCAGTAGGATTAAAGGGTGGGAAGATTTGCTTACAAGACAAAGCAGCTTGAGAATACAGGAGGTGCCGTTAGAGCATGAGGTACTTGAAATTGAGAGTACAAGCGAAATGTACTTATTGGAGATGAAGTCTAGCAAGTGGTATTATCCAATATTGAGTCACCAGCAAGTAGAGCTACTGAGCACTCAAAGCGTGGCTAGCATGACTGAGGCACTGGATTGTTAGTTTTACTACATTTACATTGGAATTTATTATTCATTTATTTATTTATTGAGATGGAGTTTTGCTCTTGTTGCCCAGGCTGGAACGTGCAGCGGCGCCATCTCAGCTCACTGCAACATCTGCCTCCTGGGTTCAAGCGATTATCTTGCTTCACCCTCTCGCATAGCTGGGATTACAGGCACCTGCTACCATGCCTGGCTAATTTTTGTATTTTTAGTAGAGGTAGAGTTTCACTATGTTGGCCAGGCTGGTCTCGAACTCTTGAATTCCTGACCTCAAGTGATCCACATCCTCTGCCTCCCAAAGCGCTGGGATTATAGGCATGAGCTACCAGGCTTGGCTAGTTTAAATTTAAAGGTTGATTCCAAATTATTGGAAGATTTAAGTATGTTTAGGACACGGGCATGTGAATTAGTTCTCTCAATTGTAAATTTTATGAAATCAATACGGAGGTCAAACATTTCTGATGAAAATGTGCCCGAGCGGCGATGTTCTCTGTGAAATACTGGGTTCTGCAGCCTTTTACAAAAAAGGGAATATAAAATCACATCAATAGCTTTTTGCATTAATGACATATGGATATAATTTGATATGCTGGGTTAAATACTGTTAAAATTAGTTTCAAGGCTGGGCACAGTGGCTCACACCTGTAATCTCAGCACTTTGGGAGGCTGAGGCCTGTGGATCACCTGAGGTTGGGAGTTTGAGACAAGCCTGACCAACATGGAGAAACCCTGTCTCTACTAAATATACAAAATTAGCTGGGCATGGTGGCACATACCTGAAATCCCAGCTACTTGGGAGGCTGAGGCAAAAGAATCACTTGAACCTGGAAGTCAGAGGTTGCGGTGAGCTGAGACTGTGCCACTGCACTCTAGCCTGGGCAACAAGGGCGAAACTCCATCTCAAAAAAAAAAAAAAAATTAGTTTCACTTGCTTCCTTTTACTTTTTAATGTGGCTACTGGAAAATTTCAGTTTGTGGCTTGAATAATTTCCACTAGACAGTGTTTTAGGGTTTGACCAGTAGTCTACTTCAGAATGACCAGAGGAATTAGATCATTAGAGAAATATCAGTCAAGGGAGGGAGAAGCCATGTTATATGAAATATCAATGTAGAAATTGAAATCAAAAGGCAGGAATAATGTTGGTGAAAGAAACAAACCACGTGCTAAAAAAATTGAGGAATGAGTGACATCAAAAGGTAGGAGCAGGTAGTGTTATTGAAGGGGCACCTCTATCCACCAACACCCAGGCATTCCCCTCACATGCACTGAGCTTTCAGCCGAGCAACAACTCACCTCAGATGACTTATTTGGCATGTGGGCTCGTGCAGGATGTCATGCAGAAGTGAAAACATATTTAGGGAAATGGACGTACAGTTGATACTCAGGTATGTCAGGCTCCGATTACGAGCCAAAGCCTTGAGTAAGTCTTCAAAACCAGAAGCAGTCGAGACATAGGACAACCTGTGGAAGACATAATAGCAGGAAAGCACTAGTGAAGGTCTGAACATCTTCTCCACAATTTCTCCTGCCTGCCTCACTTCATCCTGTAACAAAGATTCTCAGTGGATTACATCCTCACACATGGCTCTCGATCTTAAATTTCTAGTCAGGTCAGAAGACTATTGCTAATTCCAAGGTCAGCCTGTTGACTTTGAAGTAATCCCCTGGGTCTTTATGGTGTGTTCACCTCATGACCTTTCTTAAGTGGGACCCACAAGCCGGATACTAAGAATACATCCACATGCACAAAGATATTAAGATACATCCACATGCACAAGTTTAACCATGTTTTTCTACACTGAGAGCAAAAGACAAAATATGCTGATGGCTGATAATAGCCACACAATCAACCACATGTAAATTACTCCGTTTCAGCAGTCCCAGCCAGAGCAATCAGGCAAGAGGAAGAAATAAATGGCATCCAAATAGGAAGAGAAGAAGTCAAACTATCACTGTTTGCAGATGACATGATTCCATATCCAGAAAACCCCATAGTCTCAGCCCCAAATCTTCAGCTGATAAACTGCAAAAGTTTCAGGATACAAAAAGAAAAAAATAAAATCAATGTACAAAAATCACTAGCATTCCTATACACCAACGACAGCCAAGCTGAGAGCCAAATCGGAAATGTAATTCTATCCACAATTGCTCACAAAGAATACCTAGGAATACAGCTAACCAGAGAGGTGAAAGATCAAAAGGAGAATTACAAAACACTGCTCAAAGAGATCAGATGACACAAACAAATGGAAAAAACATTCCATGCTCATGGAGAGAAGAATCAATATTGTTAAAATGGCCATACTGCCCAAAGCAATTTACAGATTCAATGCTATTCCTATGAAATTACCAATGGCATTCTTCACAGAAACTAGAAGAACTATTTAAAGTTCATATAGAACAAAAAAAGAGCCCCAATACCCAAGACAATCAATCCTAAGCAAAAAGAACAAAGCTGGAGGCATCACGCTACCTGATTTCCAACTATACTATAGGGCTATGATAACCAAAACAGCATGGTACTGGTACAAAAACAGACACATAGACCAACAGAACAGAATAGAGAACCCAGAAATGAGGCCACACAACTACAACCGTCTGATCTTCAACAAAGCTGACAAAGACAAGCAGTGGAGAAAAGACTCCCTTTTCAATAAATGGTGCTGGGGTAACTGGCTAGTCATATGCAGAAGACTGAAACTGAATGCCTTCTTCACACCACATACAAAAACCAACTCAAGATGGATTACAGACAAAATGAAGTGCAAAACTATTAAAAACTTGGAGGCGCTGGGCACAGTGACTCATGCCTGTAATCCCAGCACTTTGGGAGACTCAGATGGGCAGATCACAAGGTCAGGAGTTCAAGACCAGCCTGGCCAACATAGTGAAACCCTGCCTCTACTAAAAACACAAAAATTAGCTGGGCGTGGTGGCGGGTGCCTGTAGTCTCAACTACTTGGGAGGCTGAGGCAGGAGAAGCACTTGAACCTGGGAGGCGGAGGTTGCAGTGAGCCGAGATCATGCCACTGTACTGGGGAACAGAGCAAGATTCCGTTATAAAAACAAAAACAAACAAAACAAAACAAAAACTAGGCAATACCATTCTGGACATAGGAATGGGCAAAGATTTCATCATGAAGATACCAAGAACAATTGCAACAAAAGCAAAAAATGACAAATGGGAAGTAATTAAACAGAAGTGCTTCTGTACAGCAAAAGAAACTATCAGAGCAAACAGTCAACCTGCAGAATGGGAGAAAACCTTTGCAAACAATGCATCTGACAAACGTCTAATACCCGCATCTATAAGGAACTTAAATTTACAAGAAAAAGATAACCTCATTAAAAAGTGGGCAAAGGGTATAACAGACAGTTTTCAGAAGGTGACATACATGCAGACAACAAGCATATGAAAACAAGCTCAATGTCACTGATCATTAGAGAAAAGCAAATCAAAACCACGAGATACCATCTTACACCAGTCAGAATGGCTACGATTTAAGAATCAAAAAATAACAGGCTGGGCGTGGAGGCTCATGCCTGTAATCCTAGCACTTTGGGAGGCCAAGGTGGGTGGATCACTTGAGGTCAGGAGTTTGAAACCAGTCTGGCCAACATGGTGAAACCCCGTCTCTACCAAAAATACAAAAAATTAGCCAGCTTGGTGGTGCATGTCTGTAATCCCAGCTACTCAGGAGGCTGAGGCAGAACAATCACTTGAACCTGGGAAGTGGAGGTTGCAGTGAGCCGAGATTGTGCCACTGCACCCTAGCCTGGGTGACAGAGCAAGACTCCACCTCGAAAAACAAATTATGTATATATATATATGTGTGTGTGTGTATAAATAAAACAGATGCTGGCAAGGATGTTCCCACTGTTGGTGGGAGTGTAAATTAATTCGACCATTGCGGAAAGCAGTGTAGTGATTCCTCAAAGAGCTAAAAGCAGAACTACCATTTGACCCAGCAATCCCATTACTGGGTATATACCCAAAGGAATACAAGTTATTCTACCAAAAAGATACATGCACATGAATGTTCAATGCAGCACTATTCACAATAGCAAAGACATGCAATCAACCTAATGCCTAGCAACAAGATTGGATAAACGTGATACATATATACCATGGAATACTATGCAGCCATAAAAAAGAGAGCATTTTTTTTTTTTGGCGGGGGCAGGAATATGGAGTTGGAGGCCATTATCCTTAGCAAACTATCACAGGAACAGAACCAAATACTGCATGTTCTCGCTTGTAAGAGGGAGCTAAATGATGAGAACTCATGGACCTGAAGAGGAGAACAACAGACACTGAGGTGTACTTGAGGGGAGGAGGGAGAGGATCAGGAAAAAATAAATGAGTACTAGGCTTAGTAGCTGGGCGTACAGTCTTATAGTCTATATACAAAATATGTACGTCAAACCTGTGACACAAGTTTACCTACATAAACAAACTTGCACATGTACCACTGAACCTGAAGTTAAAAAAATAACAATTCACGGCTGGGTGCGGTGGCTCACCCCTGTAATCTCAGCACTTTGGGAGGCCGAGACAGGTGGATCACGAGGTCAAGAAATCGAGACCATCCTGGCTAACATAGTGAAACCCTGTTTCTATTTAAAATACAAAAATTAGCCAGGCGTGGTGGCGTGCACCTCTAGTCCCAGCTACTCAGGAGGCTGAGACAGAAGAATCGCTTGAACCCTGCAGGTGGAGGTTGCAGTGAGCTGAGATCACGCACTGCACTCTAGCCTGGGTGACAGAGCAAGACGCTGACTCAAAAAATAATAACAAATAATTCACAATTTCATTGAGGAAAAAGAAGTTGTCCTAGAGTCCCACCACCACCACCGGCCCTCACCCCCAACCCCGGAAGAACATTTCTCATTACTCCCTTGGAGTTGCAGCAGGACATCAGGGCAACAGCTTTGGTCATTGTCTCTAAGGGCCACCTAGAGAAAAGAGTTAGGAATCTCCAACTCAACATTAAAGGAAAGAGACGGGAAGGGAAATGTGGAAGCTGGCCAACCCTTGGAGGATTGAGGATCCTATGGCAAATCCAGGCATAGAACACACGGGAAGCCCTTTTAATTTACTTCCCAGCCTATGTGGCGACTCGGTGGGAGACTGGATGTTTTCCATGTTGCCGTATTTTCAGAGTCCTTTACCTAGCAATTCTCCTGATCCCCATTTTACACAAACAACTTCTCTCCCAAGTCTTTGCCCCATGTTGCAACAAAACTGTTTAAGGTTTTGTTTTTTTTTTTAAATACACACAATGGAGTCTCACTCTGTCACCCAGGCTGGAGTGCAGTGCCACAATCTCAGCTCACCGTGGCCTGCGCCTCCCGGGTTTAAGCGATTCTCCTGCCTCAGCCTCCCAAGTAGCTGGGATTACAGTTGCATGCCGCCACACCCGGCTAATTTTTGTGTTTTTAGTAGAGATGGGGTTTCACCATGTTGGCCAGGCTGGTCTCGAACTCCCAACCTCAAGTGATCCACCCGCCTCAGCCTCTCAAAGTGCTGGGATTACAGGCATGAGCCACTGCACCCGCCCTAAAAGTCTTCAGTTCTCCTTTCATCATTTTCAATTAGGCTTTTCTGCTCTCACTACCCTTCCAGAACTGTTCTTGGCCAACAATGACTTCTACCTTGCTAATGTCATTGGCCAATTCTCAGTCTTCAGTCTCCTTGAATAAGGACTGCCATCTGACACAGTTGACCTTTCCTTCGTTGGGAAACTTGCCTCACTGGGATCCGAGGATACCACACCCTTTACTTTACCTTCTAGCCTAATGACCACTCCCTCAAAGGCCTTCGCTAGTTTCTGCTTTTCTCCCCAATCACTTTATGTTGGAGAACTCCGGGCATCAGTCTTTGGATCGTTTTGCTTCCTGAGCAACATTCCTATCCTTGGTGAACTCAGTCCTTGGCTTTAAATACACATTTGTGTTATACACATGTATACATGAACGACACCCACATTTTACCTTCAGTTCAGAAACATTACACACTGCTCTCTGGACACCTAATAGACATCACAGCTTTAGCTCAAACAACTTTAGACTGACCTTCCTCAGATTCTGGCTCTCGCCGTCATTTCCCAACTCAGTGGCAACTCTCACATGGCAGTTTTCAAAACAAAGATCTTGGGACAATTCTCTCTCCTAGTCTAGATTTAATCAAGGAATCATCCTTTGTCAACATATGCCCCGGAGTTCGCACCTCACCAACCTCTACTATTCACACCCTCAGAGGCACCATTGATTCTCACCTGGCAAATGCCAAGAAAAAGAGCCTCCTCTGAGCTTTCAGATTCTGCCCTATGCTCCCCGATTGGCCATTTTTAAACGCGGTATCCAGAATGAGCTTCTTAAAATGCAAGCTAAATTATGGCATCTCTGCTCAAAACCCCTCAAAATGCCTCACCTCACTCCAGAAAACCCAGTCCTGACACTGGTTTACAACACCATGATCATGCCATACATACTTGTGAGCCATCTCCGTAATACCCTTCCTGCCTCACACTGGTCTAAACATGTAGGTCTCTGAACTCAAAGCCTTTGTTTCATGGATCCCTCCCATCCCAGGGGATGACCAACAGTTTATCTGGCTCATTCTTTCACCTCATTCAAGTCTTTGCTCAAATCTCACTTTCTCTGTGGAACTTATTACTACAGCCTGTACCCTCCCACACCCCTAAATACCCACTTATGCACCCTGACCTTGCCATTCTTTTCCCCCCGTAACACCATTATCCTAAAATACTTTAAAATGCGTGTACTTATTATGTCTGCCTATATTCTGTCTCATCAGATAGCAAACAAGGAAATTTGTCTTTTTTCCCCCCATTGATATATCCTAGTGCTTAGACTAGCACCTCAAACAAAGTAGGCATTCTTCTTGAATGAAAATAAAGTTAACTCCTGGGCTTCCAGAATCCTAAGATCATATATGTTGATGTGTACTGAATATTTTAGTGCCATTTCCTATAGAGCTATTATAAACTCAGATAAATACTAATTTTCCCAGTGACTGTTTAGGCAAGTACAGCTGCTTTTCACCTGATTCTAACGCATTCTGTAGGAAAGAAACTGTTAGACTCCTACCCTGACCCATTTTTGCTTTCTTCCTTAGGATAAACCCACTTGTTACTATTTCTTCCTGATTCCAAGAGACTACTTTCCCAGTCCCCCTTTGTAGTTATATGAAGCCGTATGAAGACAAGGTAAACAGGCCAATGAGATGCAAGCAGAAGTGATACAAGAAAGAGTTTTGAAAAGACTCCATCAAGGAAGCTCCTGAAGCTTCTAGATAAACCTTTCCTTCTCCCTTCTGTTGCTTCCTGCCTTGAAGGCAGCCATGATGGCTGGGACCTCAGATGCTACTGTGGCCTAAGGTCATCTTTATCATAGACACACTAAAGATGGTTGAGAAGTACAGAAGGAGCCTAGGCCCTGATGAGCCTGACCTGAAAGTGTGTTTTGTATATTGTCTTCTCCCAGAGAAAGAAAAAGACCACCGTTATTCCTAGGGGAACCTCTAAGGCAGAGGTTGATATAGTACTTACTTGAGTGTGCGAAGTTTACAGCTAGAATGCTCCAGGGCTTTAGACAGAATCCTTTCTGAAATACCATTAAGGTCATTGTCAAAGATATGCAGCTCCCGGAGGCTCTCCATTGTATAAAAAAGAGAGCAGATCTCTCTCCAGTAGACAAGGCTCTTCATTTGACTACATAGAAGAAAAATTGAGTTTTCCAATGGAATCGATTCAACTCCAGCAATTTGTAAAACATGTAAATTAAAGTATGTTTTGAGAGTGCCTGTTGTCTGACTCAGATTTAATACCATGCAGCAAGAAATAAAGTAGGGTCAAACATGAATGAACAACACTCAGATCCATTAAAGTAGCTGGTGATTCCATATTCTGATAAGACACATCTGAGTGCAGGGCCTTTAAATGCGAGATTATTAAATATTTTTAAACTTCAATATTAAAAATCAATGTTGCATGTTTTGTGCTATCATGAATACTCCTATAATGTAACAATACAAGGTTTATTTCTTTTTAATCTATACAACAGATCTGAAGAAATTAGGTTAAACCACTGGTTTGCAATGAGGCAATTCTGCCGCTAAGCAGACATTTGGTGATGTATAAGATTTTTGTTGCTGTCACAAACGGGGAAAAGGGGACCCTACTGGCCACAGGAGAGACCAGAGATACTGCTAAACCTCTTACAATGTGCAAGATAGACCCCCACCACAAAGAATAGCTGGCCCAAAACTTCAACAGTGCTGAGGTTTAACTCAAACTTTGAGTTTAAACAGAAGCAGAGAGATTTAAGTCACTGGTCTAATTAGAAGCTAGATTGGAAGTCAAGTTCTTCATGGCCCCGAGTTTGTCTTGTTCTGGTCAACAAGCTCTAGAATTATGGGCAGGTCTTAGGAAGACAGGAAAGAGGATTTATTTTTTAAAGACTCACCTAGCAGTTGGCCTTATAAGTGGCTCTTTGTTTTGAAAGATGCGCTGAACACTCAACTTAAGTGTCCTCAGGTGACAGCAGTAATCCAGACAGTATAATGAGACCATCATATCCTTGTCTGATTGAAGGTAAACTGTAACCTCCATGAGAGCATCCACAATCGTCTTCACAAATTCTTCTTCCCGATTCTCATAGAGACAGTAAAACAAAGGCATATGGTGCGTCAACTTTTCCGGGTCACGGTCCAAATGTTTCATGTATCCCACCGAGTACCACTTGAAGCTGTCTACCATCGGTAGCTGGTATCCAAAGGATGTCTCAAGAATCTTTCTCCTGTTTGCATTTAGAAGACCAAAAATGAAAGTAAACACTTGATTAAAGTCAGAGTATTGTTCTCTCTTCTCTTTATACTCTCTGCTGCCTGAGGGGATCAGATAGTTGGGTACTGCCATCAGAAATGCAATGGCTGTACAAAACTCCTGGACGTTCAAGTGTATGAACTTGTAACGGTCTTTATGAGTGTTGCTCGGCAAAAGAATATTCGCGGCCTGCAACACAGAGACATCAGCCTCAGTAAACCCAACACATCTGAGGTCTTCACCACTGAAATTCAGGGTGCTCAGAAACAGTCCTCCTGCAGCCAGCAAACACAGACGTTTTAGGAGACCTAGGTGATACTGATTGGCAGTAAGTCCAGCCTCTGATGTCAACGCATCAGCAAGAAAGTGGGCATGTAGATCAGTGGGTGTTTGGCAGCAGAGCTGGAAGTCACGCCCCTTGTCCATCTGCCGCTTCAGGACAGTACACGTGATCCAGCATAAGATGGCGACTCGGCACAGACCCACGAGTATTTCATCCTCATGTACAAGCTGGAGGGCTGCCGACGCCCTCTGGCGGTCTTTAAAGAAAGAGTTAAAATATATCTCCCTCTTCCCATTCGACAGCTGCAAGGTCGTGCAGCAATCTACCTCTTTCAAGAACGTTTTTACATTATTCCCACGTGTGGGCCTTGAGGAGATGAGGAACCAGCAGCCTGGAGCCATTTTTCTCTTCAGCAAACTGACCAGGAGAACTGGAATGGGAACTTTCTGGGTGCTGTTACTACACAAAGCACTTTCATTGACATTTAACTCGAATCTTATGTTGTCCAAGTCCTCGAGGATGAAAAGGAGTTTCTTGGGATCAGACAGGATGTCTGCAATGGGAGCCTGGCCGTCAGGCCAGTCCTTGGCGATTAGCTCAGCCAAGCTGCTGTTGGTCATCTGGTTTATTTCGTGAGCAGTGAGGTGAACGACGTACGAGATCATGTTCTGCCACATCTCACCCTTGATCCACCTCAACACAGCCAGATTTATAACAATAGTTTTTCCAGATGCTCTCTCTCCCATCAGGAACACATTGAGATTGTTTGCTGAATAATAGCTGGTAGAATCATAGGCTAATTGAAGTATGTAGAACACATCTGACGAAACGTCACGAAAAAATTTATAATGAAATTTTCCAAAAGTGTGACTTTCCCATTGCAGCATGAATTTTCTCCTCATGACAGCTTTGCATGCCTCCTGATTGCCTAATCCAGCGAGTACAGGGCAGAAAATACAGAACAAAGATGAAAGTTCAAGATGTAAAAACAGTTTTAGCTTCTTTTCATGTTTACAGTAAAAATATAGTAGAAATTTTTACTTACTACTGCTTATCACAAAGATATAGGTACAAAGATATTTACCATCATGTTGCTTGTTTTTGAGATGGAGTTTTGCTCTTATTGCACAGGCTGGAGTGCAGTGGCACGAACTGGGCTCACTACAGCCTCCACCTCCCAGGTTCAAGCGATTCTCCTGCCTCAGCCTCCCAAGTAGCTAGGATTACAGGCGTGCACCACCACACCTGGCTAATTTTTTGTATTTTTAGTAGAGACAGGGTTTTGCCATGTTAGCCAGGCTGGTTTCGAACTCCTGGCCTCAGGTGATCCACCTGCCTTGGCTTCCCAATGTGCTGGGATTACAGGCATGAGCCACTGCGCCCGGCCCATATTGCTTTAAAGGAAAAAGGTTGAATAAAACCTATTCAACTCATACAGTGGAGTCGACAGATCTGTTTTAGCTTTGTTCTTTATCCTTCAAGGGCTTCCCTCTCATGTCTTGGCATCAAGAACATATTTCTTTCCTTTTTGGGGGTTCCTTAGCGTTTTAGGTAGCCTTCAATTATGTTTCATTTCATACCCAGTTTTTCCTTTGAGGCAATAACTCGAGTTCAGGGACTGTTTCCTGGTACGTATTCAGCTCAAAGTATCTATTACATCTTGGCCCATCAGTCATGAGTTACACGTTCATCTTCCCTTCTATTTTTTTGTTTATGCATATCATTACTGAAATCCTGATCATTTAATGAACTACTTAAGATAAATGAAATTGTATGGAATAAAGTTAAAATTTATCGTAAAGGGAGTCTTATTTCTTGAGAATACACAAGATTGCACTCCCACTGCAAAAACAAACAAAAATGTTAAGACATAAGTATAAAGCTGTCATAGAGGTATGATACAGAAATGATCCAAATAAGTGAATTCCTAGAGGGGGATGACTCCTTCCTTAGTGAGCAGATACTTGAAAATGTTTTTATCCCTGGGTAAGGGCAGGCAAAAGAGGGAGCCTGGCAGCATGGAAGAACTTTGATGGGATAAATAAAAGCCAATGATGAACAGCTGCAGCAGGGCTGGTGTGGTGGACCTGAATGTACTGGAATGTGGCACACTGGCTCCCCCCCAGTGGAGATGAGCCTGATGGATCAACGGGCCTGATCCCACCCTCTAGACTACCAGGGCTGCCTAGTTCCGACCTAGCACATCTCAACAGCCTGGCAGAGACAGGACTTTCTCCTTACTGTTTTTATCTATGACGTTTAGTATACAATAAAAAAATTGAGATTCAAAGAAGCAGAAAGCCATGGTGATGAGTATGGTTCATGATTATAAACCATGATTCATAATCAAGAAAAAAAAATCTTTGGAAGATGTCTATTTAGGTGTTTTTCTTTTTGCCAATTTATTGATTAGGTTATCTGTTTTCTTGTTATGCAGTTCCTTATATACTTTGGATATTAGTTCCGTATCATACATAGTTTACAAATATATTCTCCCAATCCAGGAGTCTCTTCACTCATTTCCCTTTGCCATTCAGAAGCTGTCCAGTTTCACACATGTACACACACACACACACACACACACACACGTAAGAGAATAAATATGTGAGATAATAGATTTGTTAGCTTCATGTCAACATTCCACAATGGAAGCATATCAAAACATCACATTGTCCCATATAAGTATGCATAACTATTTGTCAAAAGTAAAATTAAAAAAAAATGAATAGAAGCATATGTACGGATAACCCAGCTTTTGGAATTAGGAGGTAATTTTATAATAAGTTTCATATTATGCATATATCCCCATATATTAGGTATATAGAGTATAAGAATCAGATGGATGCTCTGTAACTTAAAATATACACTATGCAAAACAAAGAATTCATTGGAATGGCTGAATGGCAGATGGCACACACAGAAGAAAGGATGAGGGGGCACCAGCACAGATCAATAGAATTGGCCTAACAAGCACAGAGGAAAAACAATCACAAAACCAATCAGACCATCAGGGAACTGTGATACAATATCAAAGGACCAGTATAAAATACGTGTAATTACAGTCCCAAAAGGAGAGGGGATGAAAAGGTATTCAACATCACGAATCAGAAATGCAAATAAAAATCACGATGAGCTATTCCCTTCACACCTGTTAGAATGGATATTATCAAGAAGACAAACGGTAAGTGTGGGTGAAGATGTGGAGAAAAGGGAAGCCTTGTGCACGGTGTGTGGGGCTGTCAATTAGAGGAGTCATTACGAAAAATGATGTGGAGGTTCCTCAAAAAATGAAAAATAGAACTACCCTAGGACCCTGAAGCTCTTTCTTGAGAATCCTTTGTGGTCAGAAAAGCCTGTCAAGGACGTTTTTATTTTCTATAAACTTAGTTCAAAACCTTAAGTTTATTCTTCAGTCCATTTCTCCCTTGTCACCTTTTATGATGAGCAAAACCACCACCACCAGGCTGCATCTTTATTGTCCCCCTAAATCTCCTTATCTTCAAGTTAATAATGTGCATTTTCCACTGTTATTTCAGGAACAACCTTGCTAAACTTTCCACCAGTTCAGGTTCCCACCTGATAAAGTCCACTGAAGGTCAAAGGCATGTTGAAAACTTATTAAAATGGTAGAGGGTGGCCAGGCACAGCGACTCACACCTGTAATCACAGCACTTTGGGAGGCGAAGGCGGGCAGATCACCTGAGGTCAGGAGTTCGAGACCAGCCTGGCCAACATGCTGAAACCCCATCTCTACTAAAAATACAAAAATTAGCCCGGCATGGTGGCAGGCGCCTGTAATCCCAGCTACTCGGGAGGCTGAGACAGGAGAATCACTTGAACCAAGGAAGCAGAGGTTGCAGTGAGCCAAGATTGCACCACTGCACTCCAGCCTGGGAAAAAAAATTTTTTAAAGCAGAGGAAAGTTACAGGTCAAGTAGTTTCTTGACCTGTAGTTTCCTCTACCCTTTAATTACTTGACTTGTAGTTTCTTTCCCCACTGAAAATTTCAAGGCCCATCAGGCATCTACCAATTTCCTGTCCCAAATTCCAAAGCTCCATTTGAGTTTTGTTTTCCACTGGGAGCAGTCTATGTAAGTACTAAGACCTTTTGCAATTACTACTGCGATATGTCGAGCCATCCCAGAAGAGGTACTGGGTGAAGAAAGTGAAGAAAAGAAATCATATCTGATATTCTCTTAAATATCTGCAATTTGGAGAGAAGTAAACAGAGCAGGTGAGCATGTACCTCATGAGGAAGGGACAGCACAACAGTCTTGAGAATAAGATGATCAAGAGAAGCAGGAAGGATTTCTATTTTCTCAGGGCCCTGGGCAGAGGAGGAGGGGAAAGACATTGCAATGTCCATGGAAGTGAGAAACTCACTGAGTGGACTCAGCCCTGCTACTGACATTTAAAGGGTCACCATGGAGGACACAGCCATGGTCTCCAGGAAAGCCTTCTCTCAAACTTGGGTTCACTTCCCCCTCATTGAAACCCTCAGTAGATAGTGGTAAAAATGTAAAGGGTAATAAGAGATTACAACATGGCCTAGGAGGCATGTTCAGTAGACTTTACGCCAGACTGATATCAGTCTGTGGCCTGTTAGGGACTGGGCCCCACAGCCGATGGTGAGTGGTGAGTGACTGAGCACTCCTCTGTATTTACAGCCGCTCCCCATCGCTCACATTACCACCTGGGTTCTGCCTCCTGTCAGATCAGTGGGAGCATTGGATTCTCACAGAAGCGTGAACCCTATTGTGAACTGCACATAGGAGGGATATAGGTTGCACCCTCCTTATGAGAATCTAATGCCTGATGATCTGTCACTGCTTCCCATCACCCCCCAATGGGACTGTCTAGTGGCAGGAAAATGAGCTCAGGGCTCCCAGTGATTCTACATCATGGCGAGTTGTAGAATTATTTCATTATATATTACAATGTAATAGAAATAAAGTACATAATAAATGTAATACATTTGAATTATCCCCAAACCATCCATCTCCACCCCTTCTAGTCCATGGAAAAATTGTCTTCCGTGAAACTGGTGCCAAAAAGGTGCGGGACCACTGCTTTACACTATACCAGGACAAGCTATACATTTTGGACACAGTTGTCCATAAGCTTGAGCTAGATAAGAAAAGAGAAGTGAATGACAGGATAACCATGCAACTAAAAAAAAAATTACTAATTCTGGAAGAAAACACTCAAGGAAGGAAAACAAGTTTACCACCATGTCAAGGTACTTAAAGTGTAATTTTTAAAATATCTAAAATATGAAGTGAGGCATGGTTAGAGAAGATGGTAGACCAGAAGCTGGTAGTGTGCACCGCTCTCATGGAGAGAGAACAGAGCAGCAACACCAGCTTTTCAACTGGATTATCTAGGACACACGGGATTCATCAAGGAAGCCACACAACCCACGGAGAACAGAAGAGTGAGACAGGACAGCCACCAGCCCAGGACTGGCACACGGCCCAGGAAGGCTCCTGACCACAGGGAGATGGTGAGTGAGCAAGAGTCCCCACGGATTGTTATTTTACAGTGTATATCAAAACATCAAGTTGTACACCTTAAGTATACATAATTTGTATCTGTCAATTACATCACAATAAAGCCAGAAGCATGTAGGTATGGAAGGAAAAGGTCTAAGAAAAATGTATGGCCTCAAAATAGAGAACATAGACAGAAAGATCAAATTCAGGTTACAAAAAAAAATCCTTGTAATTATGGAGTATGTAAATATGGGTGACAAATGTTTTAAAAAGAACATTCATATGCACCCCTATTAAGCTTTTAAACTTTAAGGATAAAGAAATTATTCAGGAATTTAGCAAGAGGCTGGGCACGGTGGCTTATGCCTGTAGCCCCAGCACTTTGGGAGGCCGAGGCGGGCGGATCACCTGAGGTCAGGAGTTCAAGACCAGCCTGGCCAACATAGTGAAACCCCATCTCTACTAAAAACACAAAAATGAGCCGGGTGTGGTGGTGGGCACCCTTAATCCCAGCTACTCAGGAGGCTAAGTCAGGAGAATCACTCGAACCTAGGAGGTGGAGGTTGCAGTGAGCCGAGATTGTTCCATTGCATTCCAGCCTGGACAATGGAACAAGACTCCATCTCAAAAAAAAAAAAAAAAAGAATTTAGCAATAAACATGAAAAAGGAAAACAAATCTTAACAGGTTAACATTTCTCCAAACATATTCAGTGCCAGAAGACACAGAAGGAATTTATACAATATTAAAAAGGAGTGGCTGGAGAGTATTACGTCCAGTAAAGTTCCCATTTGTGTATAAAGACATGCAAAGAGTTTTAGACATAAAATTAAGGAGTTCACTAAGGAATTCACTCATGAATCCTTCTCAGAGGCAGAGATGGAGGAAGCAACAATGAAGTCCAGTTAACTAAGGCAATGAAATGAATTATTCATCACATCAGGGACAGGGGTATGTGATAAGCCAGGTATAGCTTTAAATATAGAAGAAGCCTAAACAAAAAGATACTTGTGATTGCCATCAATAGTCGAGGTTATGAGCCTTGACTCCATAAAGTATATATAAGCCATGGGTTGGAGGAGAATAGCAAAGGAAGGCCAGAAGCCTGTGAGTCATAACGATGAGTGAAGACATGCTATACTATTTAATTGGGAAGATACGAGTTTAACCAAGTAAATATTGTATAAAAGTTGTCTTCAATATTAGAGGAATTTGAGGACCAAACTACTTCTTCATTCTAAAGAAGATCTACTGTTCACCTATAAGACACATAGACTGAAAATAAGAGGGAGATATTCCATGCCATTGGAAGCCAAAGAAGAGGAGTAGCTATGCTTATATCAGACAAAACAGATTCCATGACAAAAACTATAATGAGACACAAAGAAGGTCATTATGTAATACAGGGGTTGATCTAGCAAGAGGATGTGACAACTGTAAATATATATGCATCCAACACTGGAGTCCTCAGTTTAGCTCTAATAATTGCTTTATGTAAGAGAGACTCTAACACAATTACAGCTGTAGACTTCAACATCCCATTTTAGTGTGGTATTCATGATCTTGGTAAGTTCTCTTAACCCCTCAGGTATTCAGGTTTTCAATTGGAATACATGATTTTATCTATTTTAGAGATGTTCGGGAGGGACTAAATGAGCCAATGATGACGACCTGCATAGGAGTGTACCCAAAATGTTAACCCTCCATGACGCTTACACAGAGTCCCCTACATTTCTGTAGCTGGGTCTTATGGTAGGAGCGTACCCGGTTGTTAACCCTCCATGATCTTTACACAGAGCCCCTACTTTTCTGTAGCTGGATCTTATGGTTCTAGGACAGAGCTCTCTGCTGGGAAATCTGCTCTAGCTCAAGTACTTTCTTTGAGTCTAATCCTTTGGCTGGCTACTTTCATATAAGCTGGTTTGCATAATAACAGAAAATAAAGGTAGGATCATAAAGCCACAAAATAGAACATGACCCATATCCAATCTATCCCTGGTCCTCATGTGATGTCCAGTTCTGAAGACTGGTTCTTTGGGGATGGAAAAGTCATGTATCAAAACCACCAAGCTAAACAATTCCATCAACAAGTGGACTAAGGACACAAATAGATGCTTCTCAAAAGAAGATACACAAATGGCCAGTATCTGATAGTCCTTGAAAAAATGAATATGAAAAAAATGCTCAACATCGCTAATGACCAGGGAAATGCAAATCAAAACCACAATGCAATCCCACCTTACTCCTGCAAGAATGGCCATGATAAAAAAAAATTTAAAAAATAGATGTTGGTATGGATGTGGTAAAAAGGGAACACTTTTACACTGCTGGTGGGAATGTAAACCACTATGAAAACCAGTGTGACTATTCCTTAAAGAACTAAAAGTAGAACGACCATTTGATCCAGCAATCCCACTACTGTGTATCTACCCAGAGGAAAACAAGTCATTATACAAAAACACATGCACACACATTTATAGTGGCACAATTCGCAATTGCAAAAATATGGAACCAGCCCAAATGCCCATCAATCAACAAGTGGATAAAGAAATTATGAACACACACACACACACACACAAATACTACTCAGTCATAAAGAGAAGCGAAATAATAGCATTTGCAGCAAGCTGGATGGGATTAGAGACCATTATTCTAAGTGAAGTAACTCGGGAGTGGAAAACCAAACATTGTATTTTCTCTTAAGTGGGAGCTAAGCTATGAGGATGCAAAGGCATAAGAATGATACATTGGACTACAGGGACTCGGCGGGAAGTGTGAGAGGGAGGTGAGGGATAAACGACTACACACTGGGTACAGTGTGCACTGCTCAGACGGTGGGGATGCCAAAGTTTTAGAAATCACCACTAAAGAACTTACTCATGTACTCAAATACCACCTGCTTCCCAGAAACCTATTTAGAAAAAAAAAAAAAAAAAGGCCCAACACCCAGCTTCCTGTGAAGTGCCCTGATTTCTGCCCACCCTTCTCGTGACCCCACTCACGGTTTCGTCTGCCAATGATCTTCCTACAAAGATCTTCCTTACGCATCATTGAAAATATGCTGAAGAGCATATTCCATATATACTGTCCCTCATAAGAGATTGGCAACACGTTAGCCAGTTCTTCTTTTGTCATCTGTATCAGTGGAAACTGTGGCAGTTTGAAATCAAGAATCTTGCGTGCCAGATACTTCTTAAAACTCTGAAATTCCTTGTCACTGAGATTCTCTAGATACCACAGCAGGTCAAAGTCAGTAGAATCCGATTCTGCCATCTTGCTTCTCCAGGGAAGGCAGACTTCAGAGAAGGGATTTTGAGGCACAAGAAATATGAGATCTAAAAATAGATGTGGAATCAGACAATCAAACCACACAGTAATGCCAATTCATCCAAAGCTAACATCCTAGACAATTCCTGTGGTGTGATAGAAGCTCCTTTCTGATAGGCCATCAACGATAAGTCTGAACTCTTTCTGTCTGGGTCAATGGCCTTGTCGACTGATCTTGGCAAATTTCTAGGTTCTGTTAAGGTGGAACATCAGTTGTGTTAAAAGGCAACATTCTTATGGTAAAAGTTATCCCTGATTAGCAAATAGCATATAGGTTGAGAATTGAGTATCATACAGAAACTTTGGAGGGGAGTGTTTCTTTTGAAATTGTCAACCCTATGCAGATTGGAAATCTAGACTTGTGGTCTCTTACAAGATATGCTGTTGTATATGAAACTCCTCTATGTTAGAATAATCTGTATAGCAATTGGCTGTATTTACAATGATTATACTCCTTGGAGGTATGTCATTGATACGTATAAGGACTCCTAATGAAGAGGCAACTGTTATAATAAGCAAACAGGCTGTTTGTGGTCTTGTATGCTGCTGAAAAGAAATCTAAGTTATGATGTACTCTGTTCTGTCTTGTTAGTATATAAATGAGCCAAAGACAGCCCCTAGGTTATTTTTTCACTCTAGGCTGAAATCTGTTAGCGCATAAAGCCCACTGGCTTCAGACTCAAGTTTTTTATACAACCAATTGTTTTAAACACAGCCCAAATAAGCAGATGTTTAGCCATGTAGAGCCTGCCCGCTTTGCATACCTCGCAGAACTGCTCCCAACATCTGCCAGCAATAGGTAAGTCCCCAGGGTCAAGATGACTGCAAGGTGCTACTGCCCTTTGGAGCTCTCGGACCCAGGAGATCTTCCTCCCCACTGTACTGAGTGGTATCGCCTACACACACACACACACACACACACACACACACACACACACACACACACACACACACACACACAGGTTGCCTCTTCAATTCTACCCCACCTCTGCAGGGGTTCCCCATCTTCCTGTCCTCCTGAGTAGGGACCCACACACTGTAGCCCCTGGCCAGGCTCCTGCTGTAAGAGACATGCCCCACACACAAACCTGTGAAAATGCCACCCAAAAAAGCATGTGTGCAACTGCCACCCCTTGGTTATCTTTTCCCTTGACCAATTTCTAAACCCCGTGAGCCTCCCACACCTGTCAGTTTCAATGTCAGTCTAATCCTGGTATCATTACACTCCGTCACGAGAAGTTGAGATTGCCGAGTTGTGACTAAAGAATCCATTCCAGAGCCTTGACCCAACACAGTCAAGGCTCTCAGAGTTTATGACAAAGGTAGAGAAAGAAGATCTGATCAGATATGAGTGGATGTGGATTGGCTAACATCTCCATGGTTTTACAGCAAATGCTTCGACACAGAGAACAAGGGATAAATAGTCCCTTTGGGGGCGAAAAAGAAAGTTGGAGAATGGCAGGTATCTGCTTGAGGCTAGACTGCTCGATCTCTAACCATGAAATAAACCTAACTAGATACTCAACCGTAACTAGGTTGTTGGGCGTAAAGAAACCGCCAGTGAAGCTGATAAGATGCACCAAATACAAGACAGAGTCACTGGTATTGTAGACACACTCAACAGTGATGCCTACCTGAAGGGAAGAAGTAGGCATATTAAGCTTGCAGACCTCATATACCAGGTACTATGTTAGAAGATAGAGCCACTGGGTTGGATCTGACTCCATCGTGGCCATGAAGTACATGGAAAGATACTCATGATCCCCCAATAAAGGGGTAAAAAAATGGGCATACTGACATGCACCTATGGTACCTGAGTTTTGCAGCATTGCTATGCCAATCCCCAGTGCCCAACAAGGTAAGAACTATGACACCCTCTTCCAGAACATTTTCATTTGCCCTAAAGGAGGACCTGCAACTAGTAAGCAGTCACTCCCTGTTTCCCTCTCCTCCCCTAAAGGAGCCTTTAAATGCATGGTTGAGCTGGCAGAAAAAACAATAAGGAAGTCACTGAGTTTCAGAAGGCACGCATGCACCCAGGGAGTCGCTTTCATGTTAGGTCAGGTGAAGTCGAGCAAACTTTGGCAGCCTAGAGCTCAGTTTTAGGAAATCATATACAATTTTAGGGCAAAGGAGAAGACAAACCCTGGGGCACATTGAGGTGGGAGGACAGATGAAAGGCCACCAGTCAGTGGCAGGGGATAGACAAATGAGAAGGTTAACTAGAAAATCCCACTGAACAGAGGGTGGTGGAATTCTTACTCTGCTCAGTATCGGGTCTGAGGAGGAAAGGGGAAGCAATCGCACCCTTTGAGTTCCTAAACCTAAGCTGGACTTCGGAGAGTAATCATCCCACAGCTTTTCGTCTCATGTATATTTTTGTATTCTGGACCTAAATGCACAAACATGCTAAGAAATCTTTCGAAAACTTAGTTTTTCAAAAATGTCTTAATCTCTCTTAACTCAGAAAAAAAGTCATTACCTGAATAAAATGGAATGTGAAGCCATAAAGATTGGTTTCTAGGTCTATATTTGCTGGACCTACAAAGATATTTATAATATACTATTGAGATAAAAAGCAGTGAATGGGACTGGTACCCTGACATATGTACATACAGGTGTCGTGTTGGCTGAAGCCAGGATTTCAGGGTGTACAGAAGAGAGTTAACATGACACGTCCGAAACTGCCATCTTTAGGATCTGCCTGCTACATTGGCCGTTGGCTAGCATCTGGAACCTGGATGTGGAAGGCACCCCCCACCCACATTCCCAGAGCTGATAAGAGTGGCTCACATGCCTTTATGGCTTGTACAGACAACATGGCTTATGCTGAAGCTTTGCTGTCCTTCTGGGAGCCTGGAAGCTTGCAATTTCCTTCCATCTAAGCAGTGAGCCAATTTTCTCGGCACTGTTTAATGCATATTTTGGAATATGCTAGGGAGAGGATGCCTATGTGACCAGCTCTCTCTCTCTCTCTCACACACACACACACACACACACACACACACACACACACACACACCCCAAGCACTGAGTTTGTAATGATCTTCCACAGCAGCCAATACCTCGTGTGTGTTTTTTATCACTTGCTGCTGGGGGAATTCCACATGTCCTGGGTGACTCTGCCGGGAGAGGACACTCGGGAGCCTGGTTTCCTCTGGATTTTGTCCCATGTGCCTCTTTGCTTTGCCGATTCTGCTTTGTAGCCCTCACTGTAATAAGTCACAGCTGTGAACAGGACTGTGCCCAGTCCCAAGTCATCCCACCTAACCCAACTAGGGGATGGCATTCAACACCTGACACACAGGGTAACAGGAAATAGCCTCACAACATTGAATGACGTCCTCCTAAACTCACCATCTCTTACCTTGCAGCAGGCAAACCCATTAACATTGTTAGTGATGGGAGAACCCATTAACATTGTTAGTGATGGGAGAACCCATTAACATTGTTAGTGATGGGAGAACCCATTAACATTGTTAGTGATGGGAGAACCCATTAACATTGTTAGTGATGGGAGAACCCATTAACATTGTTAGTGATGGGAGAACCCATTAACATTGTTAGTGATGGGAGAACTGCTTTCAGGTCTAATTACTCCCTTAAATGGAAGTCTCCATCAGGGCAGGACCACTGTTTCTCTTTCTCCCCAGTGTTCTCAGCCTCTGTATCCATAATTGACACTTAGCATATTTGCCAAGAGGTCAGTTCTTTTCGTGCTCATATGGTTAACAAGATTGCCTTAGTCAGCTGGGCACAGTGGCTCACGCCTGTAATCCCAGCACTTTGGGAGGCCGAGGTGGGTGGATCACCTGAGGTCAGGAGTCCGAGACTAGCCGGGCCATCATGATGAAACCCCATCTCTACTAAAAATACAAAAAAATTAGGCAAGCATGGTGGTGGTGGCTACCTGTAATCCCAGCTATTTGGAAGGCTGAGACAGGAGAATCACTTGAACCTGGGAGGCAGAGATTGCTGTGAGCTGAGATAGTGCCACTGCACCCCAGCCTGGGAAACAGAGCAAGACTCTGTCTCAAAAAGAAATAAAAAAAGATTGCCTTAGTCTCATTGGAATTTCTCTTCTCTCTCACCCTAAAATGATATCTTTACGTCATGACTGAAGATGTCAAAGAAAAATTTTAGAACTGAGGCTTAGAATTTTATCAGACTGCAGGGAGGAGCCAAGATGGCCGAATAGGAACAGCTCCGGTCTACAGCTCCCAGCGTGAGCAACGCAGAAGACGGGTGATTTCCGCATTTCCATCTGAGGTACCGGGTTCATCTCACTAGGGAGTGCCAGACAGTGGGCGCAGGTCAGTGGATGCGCGCACCGTGCGCGAGCCGAAGCAGGGCGAGGCATTGCCTCACCTGGGAAGCGCGAGGGGTCAGGGAGTTCCCTTTCCGAGTCAAAGAAAGGGGTGACGGACGCACCTGGAAAATCGGGTCACTCCCACCCGAATACTGCGCTTTTCTGACTGGCTTAAAAAACGGCGCACCATGAGACTATATCCCACACCTGGCTCGGAGGGTCCTATGCCCACGGAGTCTCGCTGATTGCTAGCACAGCAGTCTGAGATCAAACTGCAAGGCGGCAGCTAGGCTGGGGGAGGGGCGCCCGCCATTGCCCAGGCTTGATTAGGTAAACAAAGCAGCCAGGAAGCTGGAACTGGGGGGAGCCCACCACAGCTCAAGGAGGCCTGCCTGCCTCTATAGGCTCCACCTCTGGGGGCAGGGCACAGACAAACAAAAAGACAGCAGTAACCTCTGCAGACTTAAATGTCCCTGTCTGACAGCTTTGAAGAGAGCAGTGGTTCTCCCAGCACGCAGCTGGAGATCTGAGAACCAGCAGACTGCCTCCTCAAGTGGGTCCCTGACCCCTGACCCCCAAGCAGCCTAACTGGGAGGCACCCCCCAGCAGGAGCACACTGACACCTCACACGGCAGGGTATTCCAACAGACCTGCAGCTGAGGGTCCTGTCTGTTAGAAGGAAAACTAACAAACAGAAAGGACATCCACACCGAAAACCCATCTGTACATCACCATCATCAAAGACCAAAAGTAGATAAAACCACAAAGATGGGGAAAAAACAGAACAGAAAAACTGGAAACTCTAAAACGCAGAGTGTCTCTCCTCCTCCAAAGGAACGCAGTTCCTCCCCAGAAACGGAACAAAGCTGGATGGAGAATGACTTTGAGGAGCTGAGAGAAGAAGGCTTCAGACGATCAAATTACTCTGAGCTACGGGAGGACATTCAAACCAAAGGCAAAGAAGTTGAAAACTTTGAAAAAAATTTAGAAGAATGTATAACTAGAATAACCAATACAGAGAAGTGCTTAAAGGAGCTGATGGAGCTGAAAACCAAGGCTCGAGAACTACGTGAAGAATGCAGAAGCCTCAGGAGCCGATACGATCAACTGGAAGAAAGGGTATCAGCAATGGAAGACGAAATGAATGAAATGAAGCGAGAAGGGAAGTTTAGAGAAAAACAAATAAAAAGAAATGAGCAAAGCCTCCAAGAAATATGGGACTATGTGAAAAGACCAAATCTACGTCTGATTGGTGTACCTGAAAGTGATGGGGAGAATGGAACCAAGTTGGAAAACGCTCTGCAGGATATTATCCAGGAGAACTTCCCCAATCTAGCAAGGCAGGCCAACGTTCAGATTCAGGAAATACAGAGAACACCACAAAGATACTCCTCGAGAAGAGCAACTCCAAGACACATAATTGTCAGATTCACCAAAGTTGAAATGAAGGAAAAAATGTTAAGGGCAGCCAGAGAGAAAGGTCGGGTTACCCTCAAAGGGAAGCCCATCAGACTAACAGCAGATCTCTCGGCAGAAACCCTACAAGCCAGAAGAGAGTGGGGGCCAATATTCAACATTCTTAAAGAAAAGAATTTTCAACCCAGAATTTCATATCCACCCAAACTAAGCTTCATAAGTGAAGGAGAAATAAAACACTTTACAGACAAGCAAATGCTGAGAGATTTTGTCACCACCAGGCCTGCCCTAAAAGAGCTCCTGAAGGAAGCGCTAAACATGGAAAGGAACAACTGGTACCAGCCGCTGCAAAATCATGCCAAAATGTAAAGACCATCGAGACCAGGAAGAAACTGCATCAACTAATGAGCAAAATCACCAGCTAACATCATAATGACAGGATCAAATTCACACATAACAATATTAACTTTAAATGTAAATGGACTAAATTCTCCAATTAAAAGACACAGACTGGCAAATTGGATAAAGAGTCAAGACCCATCAGTGTGCTGTATTCAGGAAACCCATCTCATGTGCAGAGACACACATAGGCTCAAAATAAAAGGATGGAGGAAGATCTACCAAGCAAATGGAAAACAAAAAAAGGAAGGGGTTGCAATCCTAGTCTCTGATAAAACAGACTTTAAACCAACAAAGATCAAGAGACAAAGAAGGCCATTACATAATGGTAAAGGGATCAATTCAACAAGAAGAGCTAACTATCCTAAATATATATGCACCCAATACAGGAGCACCCAGATTCATAAAGCAAGTCCTGAGTGACCTACAAAGAGACTTACACTCCCACGCATTAATAATGGGAGACGTTAACACCCCACTGTCAACATTAGACAGATCAACGAGACAGAAAGTCAACAAGGATACCCAGGAATTGAACTCAGCTCTGCACCAAGCGGACCTAATAGACATCTACAGAACTCTCCACCCCAAATCAACAGAATATACATTTTTTTCAGCACCACACCACACCTATTCCAAAATTGACCACATAGTTGGAAGTAAAGCTCTCCTCAGCAAATGTAAAAGAACAGAAATTATAACAAACTATCTCTCAGACCACAGTGCAATCAAACTAGAACTCAGGATTAAGAATCTCACTCAAAGCCACTCAACTACATGGAAACTGAACAACCTGCTCCTGAATGACTACTGGGTACATAACGAAATGAAGGCAGAAATAAAGATGTTCTTTGAAACCAACGAGAACAAAGACACAACATACCAGAATCTCTGGGACGCATTCAAAGCAGTGTGTAGAGGGAAATTTATAGCACTAAATGCCCACAAGAGAAAGCAGGAAAGATCCAAAATTGACACCCTAACATCACAATTAAAAGAACTAGAAAAGCAAGAGCAAACACATTCAAAAGCTAGCAGAAGGCAAGAAATAACTAAAATCAGAGCAGAACTGAAGGAAATAGAGACACAAAAAACCCTTCAAAAAATCAATGAATCCAGGAGCTGGTTTTTTGAAAGGATCAACAAAATTGATAGACTGCTAGCAAGACTAATAAAGAAAAAAAGAGAGAAGAATCAAATAGACACAATAAAAAATGATAAAGGGGATATCACCACCGATCCCACAGAAATACAAACTACCATCAGAGAATACTACAAACACCTCTACGCAAATAAACTAGAAAATCTAGAAGAAATGGATAAATTCCTCGACACATACACTCTCCCAAGACTAAACCAGGAAGAAGTTGAATCTCTGAATAGACCAATAACAGGAGCTGAAATTGTGGCAATAATCAATAGTTTACCAACCAAAAAGAGTCCAGGACCAGATGGATTCACAGCCGAATTCTACCAGAGGTACAAGGAAGAACTGGTACCATTCCTTCTGAAACTATTCCAATCAATAGAAAAAGAGGGAATCCTCCCTAACTCATTTTATGAGGCCAGCATCATTCTGATACCAAAGCCGGGCAGAGACACAACCAAAAAAGAGAATTTTAGACCAATATCCTTGATCAACATTGATGCAAAAATCCTCAATAAAATACTGGCAAACCGAATCCAGCAGCACATCAAAAAGCTTATCCACCATGATCAAGTGGGCTTCATCCCTGGGATGCAAGGCTGGTTCAATATACGCAAATCAATAAATGTAATCCAGCATATAAACAGAGCCAAAGACAAAAACCACATGATTATCTCAATAGATGCAGAAAAAGCCTTTGACAAAATTCAACAACCCTTCATGCTAAAAACTCTCAATAAATTAGGTATTGATGGGACGTATTTCAAAATAATAAGAGCTATCTATGACAAACCCACAGCCAATATCATACTGAATGGGCAAAAACTGGAAGCATTCCCTTTGAAAACTGGCAAAAGACAGGGATGCCCTCTCTCACCACTCCTATTCAACATAGTGTTGGAAGTTCTGGCCAGGGCAATTAGGCAAGAGAAGGAAATAAAGGGTATCCAATTAGGAAAAGAGGAAGTCAAATTGTCCCTGTTTGCAGACGACATGATTGTATATCTAGAAAACCCCATTGTCTCAGCCCAAAAGCTCCTTAAGCTGATAAGCAACTTCAGCAAAGTCTCAGGATACAAAATCAATGTACAAAAATCACAAGCATTCTTATACACCAACAACAGACAAACAGAGAGCCAAATCATGAGTGAACTCCCATTCACAATTGCTTCAAAGAGAATAAAATACCTAGGAATCCAACTTACAAGGGATGTGAAGGACCTCTTCAAGGAGAACTACAAACCACTGCTCAAGGAAATAAAAGAGGATACAAACAAATGGAAGAACATTTCATGCTCATGGGTAGGAAGAATCAATATCGTGAAAATGGCCATACTGCCCAAGGTAATTTACAGATTCAATGCCATCCCCATCAAGCTACCAATGACTTTCTTCACAGAATTGGAAAAAACTACTTTAAAGTTCATATGGAACCAAAAAAGAGCCCGCATTGCCAAGTCAATCCTAAGCCAAAAGAACAAAGCTGGAGGCATCACACTACCTGATTTCAAACTATACTACAAGGCTACAGTAACCAAAACAGCATGGTACTGGTACCAAAACAGAGATATAGATCAATGGAACAGAACAGAGCCCTCAGAAATAATGCCGCATACCTACAACTATCTGGTATTTGACAAACCTGAGAAAAACAAGCAATGGGGAAAGGATTCCCTATTTAATAAATGGTGCTGGGAAAACTGGCTAGCCATATGTAGGAAGCTGAAACTGGATCCCTTCCTTACACCTTATACAAAAATCAATTCAAGATGGATTAAAGATTTAAACGTTAGACCTAAAACCATAAAAACCCTAGAAGAAAACCTAGGCATGACCATTCAGGACATAGGCATGGCCAAGGACTTCATGTCTAAAACACCAAAAGCAATGGCAACAAAAGCCAAAATTGACAAATGGGATCTAATTAAACTAAAGAGCTTCTGCACAGCAAAAGAAACTACCATCAGAGTCAACAGGCAACCTACAAAATGGGAGAAAATTTTCGCAACCTACTCATCTGACAAAGGGCTAATATCCAGAATCTACAATGAACTCAAACAAATTTACAAGAAAAAAACAAACAACCCCATCAAAAAGTGGGCAAAGGATATAAACAGACACTTCTCAAAAGAAGACATTTATGCAGCCAAAAAAAACATGAAAAAATGCTCATCATCACTGGCCATCAGAGAAATGCAAATCAAAACCACAATGAGATACCATCTCACACCAGTTAGAATGGTGATCATTAAAAAGTCAGGAAACAACAGGTGCTGGAGAGGATGTGGAGAAATAGGAACACTTTTACACTGTTGGTGGGACTGTAAAGTAGTTCATCCATTGTGGAAGTCAGTGTGGCGATTCCTCAGGGATCTAGAACTAGAAATACCATTTGACCCAGCCATCCCATTACTGGGTATATACCCAAATGACTATAAATCATGCTGCTATAAAGACACATGCACAAGTATGTTTACTGCGGCATTATTCACAATAGCAAAGACTTGGAACCAACCCAAATGTCCAACAATGATAGACTGGATTAAGAAAATGTGGCACATATACACCATGGAATACTATGCAGCCATAAAAAATGATGAGTTCATGTCCTTTGTAGGGACATGGATGAAATTGGAAATCATCATTCTCAGTAAACTATCACAAGAACAAAAAACCAAACACTGCATGTTCTCACTCATAGGTGGGAATTGAACAATGAGATCACATGGACACAGGAAAGGGAATATCACACTCTGGGGACTGTGGTGGGGTGGGGGGAAGGGGGAGGGAGAGCATTGGGAGATATACCTAATGCTAGATGACAAGTTAGTGGGTGCAGCGCACCAGCATGGCACATGTATACATATGTAACTAACCTGCACAATGTGCACATGTACCCTAAAACTTAAAGTATAATAATAAAAAAAAGAATTTTATCAGACTGCAAAGTTAGTAATGATGTCAATTAAAGTAGATCTGTACTTCTCATGGAGAATACTCATTGCAACAAATTTTAAATCCCAGGAGAGCTGCTATGTGTGCACATGTGTAAGGCCACTGCAGCCCCAATTAAGTATATCATAATTATGGTATCACAAATCCACACTGATACGAAATATGCATTAAATGGTGCTGAGAAATTTGGCTCATCACCTAGATGGAAGGAAAATGCAAGCTTTCCATCACTATACAAACAAAATTCAGTAAATAAGATTGGGTTGTATTTTTTAAGGAATGATTGGGACTTAATATTTAATTAAGAAATATTTAATCATGCCCTTGTTTCTGATTTTATACTTATAGAATAAGGAATGTTCCATAAGCTTTACGTGTCGTGACTCTGGGGCTTAATAAAAACAGATGTATATCTGACCTTTGAAGAAAAATATGTAGACAGGAGAGATGAAGATAACATAGAGAAGATTTTAAAGTTATTAAGAATTCTATTCACAATCATTGAGGAAATATCAATTAGATATAGAACTTGAAGAGACAAGAAGTTACAAATGGCTAACACACGTATATACAAAATTAGCACCTTGTAGTTCAGTCAACAGCAACTTCCAGCAATCAATTTAAGAAGCATTGCACTGTGGTCAGATGAGGGTATGAAATGTTGGTGTAAAACAGTGTTTTGCCTTTTGAGAAAAGTAAGTAATAAGAGCTTTTAATATACATACACACGCTGACACAATATTGCATTTTTTTTTTTTTTGAGGAACCTATGAAGCAGAGTCACTAGGCATAAAGCTTATGGAATACTCTTTAAATCATCCTATACAATAGTATAAAATCAGAAACACCTGAAGTCTGACAAGGACATGATTAGATATTTCCGGTGCATTATTATGTATTATCAACCCACTTAAAAAATCATACTTTAGGCTGGGCAGGGTGGCTCATGCCTGTAATCCCAGCACTTTGGGAGGCCGAGGAGGGCAGATCACGAGGTCAGGAGATCGAGACCCCTATCCTGGCTAACACAGTGAAGCCTTGTCTCTACTAAAAGTACAAAAAATTAGCCGGGCGTGGTGGCACGCGCCTGTAGTCCCAGCTACTCAGAAGGCTGAGGCAGGAGAATCGCTTGAACCTCAGAAGTGGAGGTTGCAGTGAGCCGAGATGGCGCCACTGCACTCCAGCCTGGGCGAGACTCCGTCTCAAAAAAAAAAAAAAAAAAAAAAAAAAATCGTACTTTAAAGAACACAAGAAAAAGCTCATAAAACAGCGTTTACAGAAGTATGAACTGTTTGAGTCTAAAGGTAACTCCACTTTCTTAAACATATTAGAGGGAAATACAGTTGACTCCTGAACTCAAAAGTCAATGCTGCCAGCCCCTAGGCAGTCAAAAACCCACGTATAACTTTTGACTTCCAACACTCATAGCCTACTATTGACCAGAAGCCTTATCAACAGTCAATTAACACATAAGTAGACTCACATCTATATTGATTGCATTCATGACATATCTGACTTTAATTTTTTAAGTATTTCTAGGCTGCCTGGTTCATCTACAAGTTGTCATACATCTCCCCCAAAATTCTCCAATATATTTATTTTTGAAACTTCATGTATAAGTGGACACATGCAGCTCAAACCTGTATTGTTCAAGGGTCCACTGTAAATCTGTTTAACACAAGTGTTTTCTTCTTTTAAATCTTGTATCTAGGTGTTTTTCCCCCCTAAGTGAACACAAGTAGATTAGGGATTAGTAAGTTAAGCCTCACCAAGTCCAACCCTTCCCCAAATTCCCAAACTCTTCCCTCCTTTGACTTCTATTTCACCATTGCCTTTGAGCCCCATCCTTGTAACTGAGAGACTTCCGAGTTCAGGAGTCAACTGTATTTCTTTCTAGTGATATGTTTGTCTAATAAAGTAGTTACCTTTAGACTCAAACAGTCCATATTTCCCTAAACACTGTTGTATGAGCTTTGCTTGTGTTCTTTAAGGTATGATTTTTAAGTGGTTTGGTAATAATGCACCAGAAATATTTAATCATGACCCTCTCAGTCTTTAGGTGTTTCTGATTTCATACTGTGACATAGGATCATTCAAGGAAAATTCCATAAGCTTTTTGCCTAGTGATGGCTTCTTAGCTTCCTAAAAAAAAAAAAAAAAATGCAACGTTGAGTGTGTGTTAAAAGCTCTTATTACTTTTCCCAAAGGGCAAAATACTTTTTTTACACCAACCTTTTGTACACTCATCTGACCACACTGCAATGCTTTTTAAGTTGGTTGCTGGAATTTGCTGTTGACTGAACTATAAGGTGCCAACTGAACTATGAGGTGATCTCCAACACCTGCAAAAAAGCTGACACTACAGCATTGCACGTCCCAAGTCGGCGTTGCATCAGATTAGCTGATCACCGCACAGTTGGGCACTTCAAGCACCTGTGACCAGACTTTCTCAAGCACTGAGACACAGGGGAATCACCTGGGGAGTTATCAAAAACCCCAGTGTCCCGAAATACAGACACTGATTAGAGACTTTGGAGGTTGGGCCCAGGAACCAGTATATTGTTCCAATCCCCCCTGTAAATTCAGCACTCAAAGTTAAGAATCAATTTGTAAACTAAAAATAACATGTTAAGACCCACCGCCCCACCCCCCCCATCCCCCCCACCCCCCCGCCCACAACCAACTGAGCGGACCCCCTCCTGGCCAAGATACTTGAAAAACAGAATCATTGACTATGGCAGGAAGGGAGGTCAAACCTCCTCCTATCTCCTTCCTTTCGGAGCCTAGGCACAACTGACGGGCATTAACATTAAAATAGAGCTCAGGACCGGGTGCAGGAGCTCACGCCTGTAATCCCAGCACTTTGGGAGGTCAAGGTGGGCACATTACTTGAGGTCAGGAGTTCGAGACCAGCCTAGACAACATGGCGAAACCCCATCTCTACTAAAAATACAAAAATTAGCTACGTATGCTGGCGTGTGCCTGTCATTCCTGCTACTTGGGAGTCTGAGGTGGGAGAGTCACTTGAACCCAGGAGACAGAGGTTGCAGTGCGCTGAGATCACACCACTGCACGCCAGCCTTGGCGACAGAGCGAGACTCCGTCTCAAAATAAATAAATAAATAAAAATATTCTTTTCATCTCTAACACTTTATACATCACATAGAAGAATAGCATCCATAAGGCTATGATGACGAGTTAGTTAGGTTTAAACACTCCACCCACAGTGCACATACACTTCAAAACATCATGCTGCACACACTACATGCAATTTTATCTGTCAACTTAAATAAGTTTATCAAAAAAAAAAAAAGCATGACCCAAATTTACTCATGTGAACTTGAAAAAGGTAACAGAGCTTGGCCTGCCCTTAGGAACTTTAGTCATTTTATTCCCCAATCATATTATTTCCAGCTCCTAACCAAAGAGAAAGCTAAAGAACCAATGTAACATAATAAAAAAAGACCTTAAAATCCAAACAAACAAATCGGCCAGAAAGGTAACTCACCAACCCTGCCACCAGGTCTCCTTGGCTGGTCGAAAGCAAACAAGCTAGGCAGCGGGAAGAAAAAGGCGGTGCCTGCCCGGTGATTAGCCAGCTGACTCCTCTCTTGATTGGCCAAGGTGGGTTCTTGATGACCTTCGCGATGGAGGGGAAATACTGCTGCACCTGCGTGTTTCTGCCCAGATGCCCCAATTGTCTTTCTTCACCCAGGACTAAACAGGGTCTGCTGATTAGGAGACGGTCCACACCCCGTTTATGATGTTGGAGCTCATGGGGCATCTGACCAAGAACCTCCAAAACAATTGACTTAGGCAGTGCCGGGGGAAAGAAGTTTTCCACCAATAATCTCAATTTCGGATAACCATCTATACAGTAAGCTCCATGAGGGGAATACGCTGTCTAGTCTACATAACCACCTGGCAAGGATCCTTTCAAATCTGAGGGAGGCCATAAATATTTGTGGAACAAATGCAACCAAAGGCATGTTTAACAGGTGATAGAATTTGCGGAGGCACGTCCTAGATCCTCCACCCGGGGGGCCCGTCTTGGCTGCCTATTGGAATCACCTGGAGACCTCTAGTGAAGACTGATAGCTCAGTCCTATGCGCAGGTATCTGCTTTAGTCAGGAGGGAGTATGCTCTGGGTATGACTGATAGAGCTCCTCATATTGAACAGATTACAGAAGAATAGGGGCATCTTCATAGGTGCAAAAGGGGAAATATAAAAGAGTCTATATCTATTCATGGTTTTAGATGTATCTTTGTAAGTTAGGAAATAAAAGAATTTCCTTCACCCAGTAAAGGGTTCCAAAAAAGCAAGAGCAAACAAAAATCTCATAATGGACGGGAAAGTGATGAAAGAATACCTTTTACAATAAGATACAAGATAAACAAGGCCTCCGTCACCACTCTTATTTCAACATAGTGCACCTGTTCACTGGGACAAGAAAACGGATCTGAAAGAAAGAGGCGAAATTATCATATTGGAGATAATTTGAATATCCATGCAAACTCTCTCCCCTTAAATCTATTGATAAATTGTTAGGATTCAAAGCAGCTTTGGTGAATATAAATCAACATACAAATCTGATTGTGTTTCTCTAAAAAAAAACTAATTGGAATTTAAAATTTTAAAGGATGCCACATGCAGTTCCAAGAAAAATATAAACTAGAAATAATTCTTATAAGAGATTGTAAATCTTATTGAATGATATACAATGTTATTGCCATATACAAAATCCTTAAAAATGAAGGATAACATTACATTCTTGTACAGGAATTATTATTATGAAGATGTTAATATGCTCCCAAATAGACCTTTATATTCAGTAAAACAATAAAATCCCAATAGAAATTTTCATATCAAAATATAATTCTGAAATGTATGTGGAAAATAGAAGGGACTAGTACAAGCCAAGAGACGCCTGAAGCACATAGGTGGGTGGGAGGTGGGAATGATGATTGAGTTGGACCTACCCTATAAAGATTTAATTTAAAAACTATGGTAATTAAGACTTATTGGTTGGCCGGGGGCGGTGGCTCATGCCTGTAATCCCAGCACTTTGGGAGGCTGAAGCGGGCAGATCAGAAGGTCAGAAGATCGAGACCATCCTGGCTAACACGGTGAAACCCCCGTCTCTACCAAAAATATAAAAAAATTTAGCCAGGTGTGGTGGCGGGCGCCTGTAGTCCCAGCTACTCGGGAGGCTGAGGCAGGAGAATTACTTGAGCCCGGGAGGAGGAGCTTGCAGTGAGCCGAGATCAGGCCACCGCACTCCAGCCTGGGCGACAGAGCGACTCCGTCTCAAAAAAAAAAAAAAAAAAAAAAAAAAGACTTATTGGCACACGGATGAACAAATAATAGTGAAAAAAACATAGAACCCAGAAACCAATGTAGGCAAATACGAAAAGCTGGTTTATAACAGATTTCTGGGCAGTGGCGTAGGTGAACTATTCATTAAATGGAGCTGGTGCCATTTGTATTTAAATGAAAAAAAAAAAATGGATCCCTTCTCCCTACCTTAGAGAAAAATAATTACAAGTGACTTAATACTTCTGTGTGAAATTCAAAACTCTATCATATTTTAAAAGGCAATATTAGATATCTTCATGAGTTGGAGTAGGGAATGATTTTTGTCAACAAGACCTCACATTTATAAAACATAAAGTACATTTTGATCAATTTGATTTCATTTAAAATAAAAACTCTTCAGTGAATGGTTCTTATATAACAAAAGCTACAAACCACAAACTAGGAGGAGATATATGAAAATACGTGCATCACACATAACTGACCAAACCACTTTTTCAGAAAAGGTAAAGCACTTCTTCATGCAAATAAAAACAGAACACAACCAATAGAAATACAAGGAAAACAATGAAAAGGTATTTCACAAAAGAGGCAACAAATGGCTCACAAACATGAGAACAATGTTCAAGTATATTAATAATCAGATAAAAGCAAATGAAAACAACAAAATACTTTTTCCAACTAATATTTGGTGACTACTTTAAAATGTCAACAACATCAGGAGTAGGCAGTAAGGTGCAGCTATGGGGATATTCAACTGTGCATGATGCTAATGTAATTAGTGAAACCACTTCTGAAGAGGCAACTGAAGTCACCTGTGCCTCAGGGACTCAGTCATTCCACTCAGGTAATCCAAAAGTCCTGTGGGCTCACTGATGTGTGCAAGAAGGTTCAAAACAGCATTGTTCATATTGGCAAAAACTGAGAAACCACCCAACCACCTATCACTGACAGAATGGATCATTAAATGGTGACCTAGTCATACATTTAAATACCGTGAGGCAAGACCTAGAAATGAACCGCAGCTATAACAAACTCGCATTGATTAATCTCAAAAACATAATAAGTGAAAAGAATCAAGTCACAGAATGATACACTATAATTCGAAAATGAGGAAAACAAAACATATCTCTTAGGGGAACATGTATCACCAGGAAAAATAAAAAGAAAATCGAAGGGAATGAAGTTCACTTCACAACTGGAAATTTATTTTGGTGGGAACCCCTGAGGATGCAACGGGCATGCTCTTATGGGTACATGAGTCTGCAAAGGTCCCCATCATGTCTGCTTCCCAATCTAGGTTCTGGACCACAGAGACTTGTGTTATGGTTACAGTAATTCCTTAAAGTTCTCATTATGTTTCTCTGCACTCCTTGATGTGTATATTTCAAAACCAGGATCATCACCATCGTAACACTGAACTCAGGATTCTTATAAGGAGGAACTAAAATGGTGATTGTAAAAGGATAGCTCCTAGGACACTGAGGTTTGGCGTGAACCCAGAAGATGACTGTAACGATTGTAGGGAAGCTGGAATAGCAGGAAAACCATGCCCAATGATGAAATCTCGACCTTGCGTCTAAAAAACTTAGCGCCTGTTCTGCCTACGCAGAAAGACAGTAGCCGATATCCATTAAGTTCTTCTTGCAGGCCAGGCACAGTGGCTCATGCCTGTAATCCCAGCACTTTGGGAGGCCGAGGCGGGCAGATCACTTGAGGTCAAGGGTTCGAGACCAGCCTGGCCAACATGGTGAAACCCTGTCTCTACTGAAAATACAAAAATTAGCCGAGGCCAGGCACAGTGGCTCATGCCTGTAATCCCGGCACTTTGGGAGGCCGAGGCGGGCAGATCACTTGAGGTCAAGGGTTCGAGACCAGCCTGGCCAACATGGTGAAACCCTGTCTCTACTGAAAATACAAAAATTAGCCGAGGCCAGGCACAGTGGCTCATGCCTGTAATTCCGGCACTTTGGGAGGCCGAGGCGGTCAGAACACTTGAGGTCAAGGGTTCGAGACCAGCCTGGCCAACATGGTGAAACCCTGTCTCTACTGAAAATACAAAAATTAGCCGAGGCCAGGCACAGTGGCTCATGCCTGTAATCCCAGCACTTCGGGAGGCCGAGGCGGGCAGATCACTTGAGGTCAAGGGTTCGAGACCAGCCTGGCCAACATGGCGAAAGCCCGTCTCTACTGAAAATACAAAAATTAGCCGGGCATGGTGGTGTGCATCTGTAATCCCAGCTACTCAGCAGGCTGAGGCAGGAGAATCTCTTGAACCCGGGAGGTGGAGGTTACAGTGGGCCGAGATGACGCCACTGCACTCCAGCCTGGGTGACCGAGTGAGACCGTATCTAATAATAATTAATAATTTCTTCTTGCACGACAGGTTTAGTTACGGCAGAAAGATGTTGTGCCACACGAACATTCTTCAAGGAGTTTAGCATGTAGGAAGGAATTAGACATTTAAATTATAAACAGAGTCACCCCAACTCTCCAAATGAACCATTTTGGAGAGACTGGAGGAGCATCCCTGCAGCCGTGAGCCCTGGGAATTCTCAATAGGAACCTCCAGCTTGAAATATCCCCCGCTCTATACGACACCAGGAGCAAAGGTCTAGAACAGCCCCTCAAGGGGCGGTGGGCGTTTCGCTTCACATATTTTCTGGATCTGTTCATCAAAAGCCCTCTGAGCCAATGGCAAGGGAGCAATTCGTTGGCCAATCAAATGGCACCACGGATCTTTTCTTCCCGCTTCCAGCCGCCAATCATTAAGGACCAGGAAGGCGTGGAGCGGTGAGTCAGCGCTTCGTGCTGGGCTGTTCGTCTCTTCTATGTGCTGATTTCCTGGGTTACTTTGGGTCTTCCTTTTCTTTCTCCCTTTTACCCTGTCTCCTTTCTTGAGGCTGATCGATCACAGCCAGGCCTCTCCATTCTATTTACCCAGCGTTTTCCTTCTCTCCAGTTAGTGGGGTAGATGAACGCCCTGTGTTTATAAGGTGCCTCCCAGGAGCCTGAGACCTGTGAGAAGAATGGGGGGTGGAGGTGGGGGAGACTCGTCACGAAGGGAGACCTTGGAGCTTCGAGGGTGGGAATGTTCTTATTAGATTCTTCATCTCTGTTGACACAAACATGTAGGAGAAGCTGGAGAACATAGACAGGGATGAGGTAAGGGGGGGGACTTCCCATGAAAGGTGGGACCCAAGCCCTCTCTGCTCTTGTGAGCTTGCTCTCTGACCTAGGGCAGAAACGTCTTTGATACTGTAATTCCAGAATGTGATTTAAAAAGAAAATCACACTTCTAGTTGACTCATACTAATTATGTATATTAGCTGCAGAGAGATGTGTTGGTACATGTATACGTATCATTAAATCAGGGTAATGAGCATATCCATCTCCTCATACCTGTATCATTTCTTTGTGTTAGGAACATTCAGAATCCTCTCCTTAGGTGGGAGGAGGGAGAGGGTCAGGAAAAGATAGCTATGGGGTCCTATTCTTAATACCTGGGAGATGAAAAACTGTACACCAAACCCCTGTGACACGAGTTTACCTGTATAACCAGTGTATATGTACCCCTGAACCTAACATAAAAGTTAGAAAAACCCTCGAAAATAATAAGATATTAAGTATATTCAACCTATAGTGCTACTGAACACCAGCACCTATTCCTACCTACAGGTGTAACTTGGTATCCATTAGCCAACCTCTTTTCATCCCCCTTCTCCAATTATGCCATTTGTTTAGACTATGAAACGTATATAGAAAGAATATTTATCTTTCTATATCAATAAAAGTTGGTTTTTACTGTTAAGGGTTGAATTGTGTCCCAACCCTAAAAACACACACACACACACAAAGTCCTAACCCCTTTATAGGGTGACAAAATAAGGTTGTTGCAGATGTAATTAGTTAAGGCGAGGTCATACTGGAGTGAGTGGCCCCCCTAACTTAATGACGGGTGTCCTTATGAAAACGGCCACATGCGGCTGGGTGTGGTGGCTCATGCCTGTAACACCAGCACTTTGGGAGGTTGAGGTGGGTGGATCATCTGAGCTCAGGAGTTTAAGACAAGCCTGGAAAACATGGCAAAACCCTGTCTCTACTAAAAATACAAAAATCAGCTGGGTATGGTGGCAGGTGCCTGTAATCCCAGCTACTCAGGAGGCTGAGGCAGGAGAATTGCCTGAACCCAGGAGGTGGAGATTGCAGTGTGCCGAGATTGCACCATTGCACTCCAGCCTGGGTGACAGAATGAGACTCGGTCTCAAGCTGGATGCAGTGGCTCACACCTATAATCCCAGCACTTTGGGAGGCCGAGGCGGGTGGATCACCCGAGGTTGGGGGTTCGAGACCAGCCTGACCAACATGGTGAAATACAAAAAATTAGCCAACTGTGGTGGCGCATGCCTGTAATCCCAGCTACTCAGGAGGCTGAGGCAGGAGGATTGCTTGAACCTGGGAGGCAGAGGTTGCAGTGAGCCAAGATTGCGCCATTGCATTCCAGCCTGGGCAACAAGAGTGAAACTCCATCTTAGAAAAAATGGCCACATGAAGGTAGAGACAAGCAGAATGGCATGTGACAAAGTCAGAGTGAAATTACATAGCTGCAAACCAAAGAGTGACACAGGTTGCCAGCAAACCACAGAAGCCAGTAAGAGGCAAGGAAGGGCTCCCCTGGGTTTCAGAGAGAGCAGCACCCTGCCAACACTTTGATTTTGGACATCTAGGCTCCAGAACCATGAGACAGTAGGTTTCTGTTTTAAGTTACCTAGTTTGTGGTACGTTGTCATGCCAGCCCAAGGAAGCTAGTACGCTATTAAAAGAAAAAAATGATGTGATTTTACACTTAGAGAACAGCTTCAAGAATATATCCTTAGGATCACCAAATGTTAAAAGTTTACCTTATATGGTGTCCCTCTACTCTTATATAAGTATTTTTCCTGATCTGTTCAAGATTTGTACACATTGTACAAATTTACATCTAATAATTTACCCTAAATGCTTCAGGGTTTATCTTCTAAAAATAAAAATAAAAGTAAGCTCTTTTGATAACCACACTATATAAAAAACAGGAAATTAATAGAATGATATTATCTAATGTACAGATCTTACACTTAATGGACTTTTTAATTTTTGCATTTGTTTTCACAAGTAGACCGAACATGGAAATTCTTACACTAAGCCTGTTTTTTTTTTTTCTTTTTTTAAATTTAAGTTTTGGGATACATGTGCTGAATGTGCAGGTTTGTTACATAGGTGTACACGTGGCATGGTGGTTTGCTGCACCTGTCAACTGGTCATCTAGGTTTTAAGCCCCACATGCATTAGGTATTTGTCCTAATGCTCTCCCTCCCCTTTCCCACCCCTCACCCACGGGCCTCAGTGTGTGAATGTTCCCCTCCCTGTGTCCGTTTGTGTTCTTATTGTTCAACTCACACTTCTGTGTGAGAACATGCAGTGTTTGGTTTTCTGTTCCAGTGTTAATTTGCTGAGGATGATGTAAACCTGTTTTCATTATCTAACCTATGCCTCAGTTTGAGTGTGTGTGTGTGCTCTTTCACACACATATACACACATGCTTATGCTCTCACACACACATACCCACACACATGCTCTCTCTTAGATTCTGGAAAAATAATTTTTATTTAAATTTTGACATAATTTGCTGATGAAGATGTTTGAGCCTGAAGTCTTCTGTGGGGGAAGAGTTAAAAAAAAAAAAAAAAGCTTTCAAAACTTCACACACACAAAATAGATGAAAGTTGTCATTTTCTAAGAATTTATATATTTGAACAAAATTATCAGTTTTATTGGCATAAAAATGGTAATAGTCTCAATTTTTGATATCTGTAGGGTATGTAGTGGTGTCTTCTGTTTCTGGTATTAATTGCTCATGTCTTCTTATTCATCAGACTTGTTGGGGGTTATCCAGTTTGTATTTTCAAAGAATCTACTTTTGACAGAGTCTTGTATTTTAATTTTTATTTCATTGATTATTTTTTCTACTTTCTTTTGGTGTGTTTTGCTTTTTATCTAAATGTATAATTAGTTTATGAATTTTCAACCTTCCTTATGCCTTTGAAGTAGCACATTTTTCCAGCTCCTGATTTAGCTGTATTTCACTCACTTCATATGCAACATTAAATATTCAGTTCAAAATCTTATATCCGATATTTTCTCTTTATTCATAGATTACTTAGAAGTATGTTTCTTAATTTTGGAATGTCCTTCATTTCATTGTCAAATTCTGACTTAAATTATGATCAGAATATTCTGTGTAACTTATATTATTTGAAATATGTTGAAGCTTGCCCTGAGGATCAGTATATAGCTGACATTGGTAGCTGATTCGTCTATCTTATAGTGTTTTTTCCATTTATTGAATGAAAAGGTCTGTGTCCACAAGGTAAAATTTTTCCATTGTTTTTAAGCCCTTTATTTTCTTTTTAACTTGTTTGTTTAATTGCTGGAACAAATTGATAAAATATCCTGCTATGATTAGGGACTTACCTAATTCTCCTTATGGTGCTGACCATTGTCGGGGGTGTGTGTGTATAGACATATGTGTATGTGTATGTGTGTGTGTGTGTGTGTGTGTGTGTGTGTGTATACATATTTTCTTTTTTCTTTTTGAGACAGAGTCTTGCTCTGTTGCCCAGGCTGGAATGCAGTGGTGCCATCTCAGCTCACTGCAAGCTTTGCCTCCCGGGTTCAAGCAATTCTCCTGCCTCAGCCTCCCGAGTAGCTGGGATTACAGGTGCCTGCCACCACGCCCAGCTAATTTATTATTTTTTATTTTTTGGTATTTTTAGTAGAGACGGGGTTTTACCATGTTAGCCAGGCTGGTCTAGATCTCCTGACCTCGTGATCCGCCCACCTCGGCCTCCCAAAGTGCTGGGATTATAGGCGTGAGCCACAGCACCCGGCTGATCATTCGTATATTTTAAGGCTGTGTTATTGTTGCATGTATGATTATAATTGTTCTCTCTTCCTGGTAATTTGAGCCCTGTGGTTATGCAGCATCTAGATTTCTCACCAATGTTTTGGCTTGGGGTCTGCTTTTCTGGTATCAATATTATGACAACAGATTTTTTTAAAAGCCTGGAATAATTCAATATCTTTTCCTTCTAATTCAAGTCGTGCAATAAATGGAATGGATGAAGAGTTTGGTGAGTAAGATGGGTTATCATACCTTACGTATGCATGACATGCTATTTTGTTCAGATTTCCCATTTAAAAATTTCTTAAATTGACATATAATTGTACATATTTATGGGATACAGTGTGATGTTTGGACACATATATCCATTGTATAATGATCCAATCAGGGTAATTATCATATCTGTTTGTTTAGACACATTTCTTTGTAGTGATACTCAAAATCTTCTAGCTATTTTGAAATATCCGCCACACTGTTATTTGCTTTAGTTACCCTAATTTGTAAGAGAACACTAGAACTTGCGCTTTCTAACTGTAAGCGTGCCTGTTGACCAATCGCTCCTGGTCTCCCGTTACTCTCCCATCCCTTCCCCAGCCTCTAGTAACCACTGTTCTACTCTCTACTTCTATAAGTTCATCTTTTTAGATTCCCCATATAAATGAGATCATATGGTAGTTTTCTTTCTGTGCCTGCCTTATTTTACCTCGTGTCCTCCACGTTCATCCAGGTTGCCACAAATGGCAAGATTTCATTATTTTTTATGGCTAAATAATATTCCATTGAGTATATATACCACATTTTCTTTATGCATTCATTTATTGATAGGCACTTAGTTTGTTTCTATATCTTGGTTATTAGTAATAGTGCTGCAGGCCGGGTGCGGTGGCTCATGCCTGTAATCCCAGCACTTTGGGAGGCCGAGGCAGGCAGATCACGAGGTCAGGAGATTGAGACCATCCTGGCTAACATGGTGAAACCCCATCTCTATTAAAAATACAAAAAAAAGTTAGCCGGGCATGGTGGCAGGCACCTGTAGTACCAGATACTTGGGAAGCTGAGGCAGGAGAATGGTGTGAACCTGGGAGGCAGAGGTTGCAGTGAGCCGAGATCGTACCACTGCACTCCAGCCTGGGTGATAGTGCGAGACTCTGTCTCAAGAAAAAAAAGGTGCTGCAATAGACATGGAAGTAAGGATATCTCTTTGACATACGAATTTCCTTTTTTAAAGAGGTATATACCCAGCAGTAGAATTACTGGGTTATATGGTAGGTTCTATTCTTAATTGTTTTAGAAACCTCCATACTGTTTTCCATAGTGGTTCTGCTAACTTACATTCCTACCAATGGTGTGTAAGAGTTGCCTTTTCTCTGCATCCTTGCCAACATTTGTTATTTTCTTTAGCCATTCTAACGGGGTGAGTTACCCCAGATTTTTTAGGTTCAAATTTGCATGTTTAGTCTTTCAACTTTCGTTTTTCCGTTCTTAGTTACCTCTTTAAAGAGCAAGTATTTGGTTTTTGTATTTAGTCTCACCATCTTTGCCTCTGTACCATTGAGGCAATTATTCTGTGTAATTACTAATAAGAGTTCGAGTTGACCATCACTTTTTTATTTACCTTATCTGTTCTAGGTTCCTATTTCTGTCCTTCTTTATTTTTTAGGTTAGTTTGTCATTTTTCCTCTTCTCTATTTACTTTGGCAGACAAACTTTTTTATGGTTATATCAGAATTCTATCAGTGGGCTTATCAGAATTTCTTATCAAATTTTTACTTCTGTCATCTTCCCAGAGAAGAACATTAGAGCACTTGATGTCCTTTTTCTTTTTTTTTTAGATTTACGTGCCAGCTGTGATAAATTTTAATTCTATTTTCTGTCTCACAAGACTGACTCTATAAAGCAACTTGTCTTCTAATTGACTGTGGCATCTCTTAATTTTCACCTGCAATAATTTTCCTTCTCTCCAATGGTCAATTTTCAAAATTTCCTATAGTGTAAGTCTTCTGTTGGAAAATTTGTCATTTATCTGCAAATGTCTACTTTTATTTCTTTTTATTTTATTTTTATTTTTGAGATGGAGTGTTGCTCTGTCACCCAGGCTGGAGTGGAGAGGTGCGATCTCAGCTCACTGCAAGCTCTGCCTCCCGGGTTCACGCCGTTCTCCTGCCTCAGCCTCCCCAGTAGCTGAGACTACAGGTGCCCGCCACCACGCCCGGCTAATTTTTTGTGTATTTAGTAGAGATGGGGTTTCACCGTGTTAGCCAGGATGGTCTTGATCTCCTGACCTCGTGATCCGCCCACCTCGGCCTCCCAAAGTGCTGGGATTACAGGCGTCAGCCACCGTGCCTGGCCTTATTTCTTAAAGATTATTTTATTCTGGTTAGACTTGAGTCAGCAGCTATTTGTTTTGAGCACCTTGCATGGTTGCTTCTTTAGTTTCTTCTTTCTGTAGCACCTGATCAGGTCAGCTGTCAACATAATGGCACAACCGTTCAAATAAATTATTGTCCTCCCCTTGCCTTACCCCCACTCTGGAATGCTTTCAAGATTTTCCCTTTTGTGTAACTTCTTTATGTTCTAATGTCATTATGTTTCCCTATAATGTGTCTAGACATGGGTTTGTTATTTATACTCTTGGACTTTATTGGGCTTCTTAATTAGTAGATTGATTTTTTTTTCATTGGTTAATAGAAACATCCAGGCCAGGCACAGTGGCTCACACACCTGTAATCCTAGCAGTTTGGGAGGCAGAGGCGGGTGGATCTCCTGAGGTCAGGAGTTCGAGACCAGCCTGGCCAACATGGTGAAACCCTGTCTCTACTAAAAATACAAAAAATTAGCCAGGCGTGGTGATGGGCACCTGTGATCCCAGCTGCTCAGGAGGCTGAGGCAGGAGAATCACTTGAACCTGGGAGGTGGAGTTTGCAGTGAGCTAAGATTGTGCCACTGCACTCCAGCCTGGGCAACAAGAGTGAAACTGTCTCAATTAAAAAAATTATAAAAAGAAACATCCTAGTAGCAATCTTATATTAGGTTGGTACAAAAGTAATTGCGGTTTTTGCATTTTTTTCATGGCAAAAACCACAATTACTTTTGCACCAACCTAATAAAACATACTACATCTGGTCCACAGTCTCTTTTCTCCTTTTGGGGAGCCAGTAACAAGTGTTAGCCCTTTTCATCCTTAGTCTCTTGTCCTCTCTTCTGTGCTTTTCATCTTTTTATCTCTCTCTTCTTGGATGACTTCTCTTTACGTGTCTTCTAGACCACTAATTATCTCTGTCAAATCTGATACTAACACATTGTATTAGCTTCCTGGGGCTGCTGTAACAACATACCACAAAACAGACAGCTTAAGCAACAGAAACTTACTGTCTCACAGTTCTGAAGGCTAATAAGTCCAAAATCAAGGTGCTGGCAGGCGTAATTTCTTCTGAAGACTGTGAGGGAGAATCAGTTTATTCCTCTCTATTAACTTCTACTTGCTTTAGGTGTGCTTTGGTTAGTAAGTGGCATTTTCCCTGTGGCATGGTATCCTCTTCCCTCTATTCATATGTGTCCAGATTTTCCCCTTTCTTTTTTCTTTTTATTTTTCGAGATGGAGTCTCACTTTATTGCCCAGGCTGGAGTGCAGTGGCATGATCTCAGCTCACTGTAACCTCCCGGGTTCAAGCAATTCTCCTGCCTCAGCCTCCTGAGTAGCTGGGAAGACAGGCACATACCACCACTTGGCTAAGTTTTGTATTTTTGGTAGAGATGGGATTTTACCATGTTGGCCAGGCTGGTCTTGATCTCCTGACCTCAGGTGATCCGCCCACCTTGGCCTCCCAAAGTGCTGGGATTACAGGTGTGAGCTACTGTGCCCGGCCAGATTTTCCTCTTTCAATAAGGTCACCAATTATATTGGATCGGGGGCCCACCCTGCTTTAGTATGACCTCATCTTACATGTTCCAGTACAGCTAATTGCATCTGCAAGGATGCTATTTCCAAACAAGCCCAGACTTCAGTTGCACTTTGTGACCTCCAGTGTAACTCATTGTATCTACGAGTATGCTATTTTCAAAAACTTCATACTTCAGCATGTAACTTTTGCAGGGGGACATACATTGGATGCAGAAAAGAGTCCCTGGTGATTTTTGTGGTGGTAGTGGTGGTAGAGGAGTGTGTGTGCGTGTGTGTATGCATGTGTGTGTGTGTTTGGGGGAATATTTAAAGTTCCATCTGTAGCCAATCTGAATGCAGTCTTTCCCCTCACTTTCAGAGGATCTCTTCCCAGAGCCGGAGGTATTAATATTTCAGCCTGTGGCAAGAGGCTACACTTTTTTTTAATTATTATACTTTAAGTTTTAGGGTACATGTGCACAACGTGCAGGTTTGTTACATATGTATACATGTGCCATGTTGGTGTGCTGCACCCATTAACTCGTCATTTAGCATTAGGTACATCTCCTAATGCTATCCCTCCCCCCTCCCCCCACCCCATAACAGTCCCCAGTGTGTGATGTTCCCCTTCCTGTGTCCATGTGTTCTCATTGTTCAATTCCCACCTATGAGTGAGAACATGCAGTGTTTGGTTTTTTGTCCTTGCAATAGTTTGCTGAGAATGATGGTTTCCAGCTTCATCCATGTCCCCACAAAGGACATGAACTCATCATTTTTTATGGCCGCATAGTATTCCATGGTGTATATGTGCCACATTTTCTTAATCCAGTCTATCATTGTTGGACATTTGGGTTGGTTCCAAGTCTTTGCTATTGTGAATAGTGCTGCAATAAACATACGTGTGCATGTGTCTTTATAGCAGCATGATTTATAATCCTTTGGGTATATACCTAATAATGGGATGGCTGGGTCAAATGGTATTTCTAGTTCTAGATCCCTGAGGAATCACCACACCGACTTCCACAATGGTTGAACTAGTTTACAGTCCCACCAACAGTGTAAAAGTGTTCCTATTTCTCCACATCCTCTCCAGCACCTGTTGTTTCCTGACTTTTTAATGATCACCATTCTAACTGGTGTGAGATGGTATCTCATTGTGGTTTTGATTTGCATTTCTCTGATGGCCAGTGATGATGAGCATTTTTTCATGTGTTTTTTGGCTGCATAAATGTCTTCTTTTGAGAAGTGTCTGTTTATATCCTTTGCCCACTTTTTGATGGGGTTGTTTTTTTCTTGTAAATTTGTTTGAGTTCATTGTAGATTCTGGATATTAGCCCTTTGTCAGATGAGTAGGTTGCGAAAATTTTCTCCCATTCTGTAGGTTGCCTGATCACTCTGATGGTGGTTTCTTTTGCTGTGCAGAAGCTCTTTAGTTTAATTAGATCCCATTTGTCAATTTTGTCTTTTGTTGCCATTGCTTGGTGTTTTAGACATGAAGTCCTTGGCCATGCCTATGTCCTGAATGGTAATGCCTAGGTTTTCTTCTAGGGTTTTTCTGGTTTTAGGTCTAACATGTAAGTCTCTAATCCATCTTGAATTAATTTTTGTATAAGGTATAAGGAAGGGATCCAGTTTCAGCTTTCTACTTACGGCTAGCCAGTTTTCCCAGCACCATTTATTAAATAGGGAATCCTTTCCCCATTGCTTGTTTTTGTCAGGTCTGTCAAAGATCAGATAGTTGTAGATATGCGGCATTATTTCCGAGGGCTCTGTTCTGTTCCATTAGTCTATATCTCTGTTTTGGTACACTCTGATCTTGACACTGTCTCCACATCAAGAAAAGTCCAACTCTAGTTGCCTGCTTCTCCAAGATGGTCTCAGAGCAAAGCACCAGCAATGTTCTTGCCCAAAGTCATTCTTTAAGTCAGTGGTTTTCAAATCTGGGCATGCGTCAAAATTAACTGACATTATATATAACTGATGTTATATAACAGATATATAACTGATATTATATATCTAATATCATCACTAACTATTTGCCCAAAATTAACAGATGGCTGTGCCCTACCCTCAGCATTTAGTGTGTCTAGGGAAGGACCTGGGGATTTGCATAGCAAGTTACCAGTTGGTGCTGATGTTCCTTGGAGAAGTATTGCCTTAGGTGCTCAGTGGTGGCCTCAGGACTCAGATACATGTTCCTATAATTAAGATTTTACTAAAAGTAGGCTTTTTAAGACTATTGGCAAAAGCACGCAGGGGAGAAGCCATGAAGGTCACCTTTCCATCATCATATTCTCATTCCGAATACTGCTTAATAATTTTCCCTAATTTTTGTGGGTTTTATTTATTTATTTTGAGACAGTCTTGTTCTGTCACCCAGGCTGGAGTGCAGTGGCACAATCTTGGCTCACTGTAACCCCCACCTCCCAGGTTCAAGAGATTCTCATGCCTCAGCCTCCTGAGTAGCTGGGGCTATAGGCGCCTGGCTACTTTCCCCTAATTTTTGGATCTTAGATGCTATTAAATTTTTTTTAAATTTTTCTCCAAATTACCTATTTTATTTGAGGGGGGGGCAGCAACATTCTGCCTAATGGCCACCCATGAATAAAACAGCTTTATTTTTATTTTCCACTGTATAACTTAACCCTTTTATTGACTTTGCTATTGATCTCTAATTTCATTGCCCTTAAGACAAAGAAGATGACTTTGCTACTGTTGGCTTTTTGTTTTTGAATTATGATTTCCTTTAAAGCTCAGAGCATAATTGATTATCATGAGCATAATTACAAGCTAATTGATTATCATGAATGTTCCACGTATGCTTGAAAAGAATGTTCTCTTGTGTGTAGGATTCCATAAATATTCATAAAATGTGTTGATTTTTATATATCTAATATGAATAACTATTTGCCCTATGTTTTTAGTATCTTTTAAAATTTTAGACTTGTTTTAGACACAGAAAAGTTTGCAAAAATAGTGCAGAGAGTTCCCATAAATCCTGTGCCACATTTCTCTAGTAACGACTTTCGTTACCATGGTACATTTGTCATAACTAATAAACCAGTATTAATAGATTATTAACTAAGATTATTCTTTCTTCAGATTCCCCCCTTTTTACCTAATATCCTTTTTTTTTTTTTTTTGAGATGGAGTCTCGCTCTGTTGCCCAGGCTGGAGTGCAATGGTGCGATCTCAGCTCACTGCAACCTCTGCCTCCCGGGTTCAAGTGACTCTCCTGCCTCAGCCTCCTGAGTAGCTGAGACTACAGACACCTGCCACCACGCCCGGCTAATTTTTTAATATTTTTAGTAGAGATGGGGTTTCACCATCTTGGTCAGGCTGGTCTCAAACTCCTGACCTCGTGATCTGCCTGCCTTAGCCTCCCAAAGTGCTGGGATGACAGGCGTGAGCCACTGCACCTGGCCCCTAATATCCTTTTTATGTGCCTGGACCTCATCTAGGATCCCCCACTGGGTTTCATTGCTGTGTCTCCATTGAGTTCTCTAAACTAGGACCACTCTCAGGATTTCCTTGTTTTCAGTGATCTTGAACGTTTTGAGAAGCACTGGTCAGGTATTTGTGGGACATCATTCATGTTGGGTTTGTGTGACGTTTATCTCATTGCGAGACTGGGGCTTTGAGGAGGAAGACCACGAAGGAAAGGTGCCCTTCCCATCATATCATATGCTACCACTTGCTACCCATGTTGGCCTTGATCTCCTAGCTTAGGTGTCTGGCTGGTTTCTCCACTCTGAAGTTAATCCCTACCCCTTTTTATACTATAGTATTGTATACTATACTATACGATACTATAGCATACTATACTATACATTGAGATGGAGTCTCGCTCTGTCGCCAGGCTAGAGTGCAGTGGCACGATCTCGGCTCACTGCAACCTCCACCTCCTGGGTTCAAGTGATTCCCCTGCCTCAGCCTCCAGAGTAGCTGGGATTACAGGTACCCACCACCACATCCGGCTAATTTTTTGTATTTTAGTAGAGATGGGGTTTCACCATGTTGGCCAAGATGGTCTGGATCTCCTGACCTTGAGATCCACCCACCTCGGCTTCCCAAAGTGCTAGGATTACAGGCGTGAGCCACCATGCCCGGCTGTACTATATTCTTTAAAAAGAAGTCTCTATGTACAACCCACATGATACGGTTTGGCTGTGTCCCCACCCAAATCTCATCTTGAATTGTGGCTCCCATAATTCCCACATGTGGTGGGAGGGACCCGGTGGGAGATACTTGAATCATGGGGATGGTTTCCCCCATACTGTTCTCCTAGTAGTGAATAAGTCTCGTGAGACCTGATGGTTCTATAAGGGGAAACCCCTGTCGTTTGGTCCTCTCTTGTCTGCCGCCATGTAAGATGTGCCTTTTGCCTTCCCCCATGATTGTGAGGCCTCCCCAGCCACATGGAACTGTGGGTCCATTAAACCACTTTTTTCTTTATAAATTACCCAGTCTTGGGTAATGTCTCTATCAGCAGCATGAGAACAGACTAATACACCACACTTAAGAGGTGGGGAGTTATGCCGCATCTCCTTAAAGGGGAAGAATCCATCCATCTAAGCTACTTGGAATTCTTCTTCTTGCTAAAGTTGTTACAGTTTTAGCTATTGGAGGCTCTTTCAGCCTGCCCTGGGTTTCTTTGGTTAGGAAGTGGTCTTAGAAACCAAGAGCTGATCTGGACACTGGGTGTATCGATTGCCACTAGGGTATCTGTTATGCTTCCAGGCCCTTGCATGAGTGTGACTGTAACAGTACCGTAGACTAAGACTATACTTCCAGGGATCATTTCTATAGTTCACTGCAAAATGCTGCAGACTGGATGGCTTACCAACAGAAATGTACTTCCTCTAGTTCTGGAGGCTGGAAGTTCAAATCAAGGTCCAGCAGAGTCCCTTCCTGATGAAGACTTTCTGGATTGTACACAGCTGCCTTCTGTGTCCCCACATAATAGAGTCAGAGGAAGAGATGGGGAGAAAGAGAGCCAGGGAGGGACTTCCAGTTGTTCCAGCACCATTTATGGAAGAGACGATCTGCCTCCATTGTGCCTTTGTCAAAATGAGTTGGCTACATTTGTGGGGCATGCCTTCTCTATTGTTTACTGAGAAAAATGTAATTTCTATATTTACAGTGTAATTTCTATATTTAAAAGTAAAAATGTAATTTCTGTAGCTGCGGTGTAATTTCCAAAGCTGCGGTGTAATTTCCAAAGCTGCGGTGTAATTTCCGAAGCTGCGGTGTAATTTCCGAGACTGCGGTGTAATTTCCGTGGCCGCGGTGTAATTTCCGTGGCCGGCGGTGTAATTTCCGTAGCCGCGGTGTAATTTCCGTAGCCGCGGTGTAATTTCCGAGACTGCGGTGTAATTTCCGTAGCTGCGGTGTAATTTCCGAGACTGCGGTGTGATTTCCGAGACTGCGGTGTGATTTCCGAGACTGCGGTGTGATTTCCGTAGCTGCGGTGGAATTTCCGAGACTGCGGTGTAATTTCCGTGGCTGCGGTGTAATTACCGTAGCTGCGGTGTAATTTCCGTGGCTGCGGTGTAATTTCCGAGGCTGCGGTGTAATTTCCGTGGCTGCGGTGTAATTTCCGTGGCTGCGGTGTAATTTCCGTGGCTGCGGTGTAATTTCCGTGGCTGCGGTGTAATTTCCGAGGCTGCGGTGTAATTTCCGAGGCTGCGGTGTAATGTCCGTGGCTGCGGTGTAATGTCCGTGGCTGCGGTGTAATTTCCGAGGCTGCGGTGTAATTTCCGAGGCTGCGGTGTAATTTCCGAGGCTGCGGTGTAATGTCCGTGGCTGCGGTGTAATGTCCGTGGCTGCGGTGTAATGTCCGTGGCTGCGGTGTAATTTCCGTGGCTGCGGTGTAATTTCCGAGGCTGCGGTGTAATTTCCGAGGCTGCGGTGTAATGTCCGTGGCTGCGGTGTAATGTCCGTGGCTGCGGTGTAATGTCCGTGGCTGCGGTGTAATGTCCGTGGCTGCGGTGTAATTTCCGTGGCTGCGGTGTAATTTACGAGGCTGCGGTGTAATGTCCGAGGCTGCGGTGTAATGTCCGAGGCTGCGGTGTAATGTCCGTGGCTGCGGTGTAATGTCCGTGGCTGCGGTGTACTTCCCGAGGCTGCGGTGTACTTTCCGAGGCTGCGGTGTACTTCCCGAGGCTGCGGTGTAATTTCCGAGGCTGCGGTGTAATTCCCGAGGCTGCGGTGTAATTTCCGAGGCTGCGGTGTAATGTCCGAGGCTGCGGTGTAATTTACGAGGCTGCGGTGTAATTTACGAGGCTGCGGTGTAATGTCCGTGGCTGCGGTGTAATGTCCGAGGCTGCGGTGTAATGTCCGTGGCTGCGGTGTAATGTCCGAGGCTGCGGTGTAATGTCCGTGGCTGCGGTGTAATTTACGAGGCTGCGGTGTAATGTCCGTGGCTGCGGTGTAATGTCCGAGGCTGCGGTGTAATGTCCGAGGCTGCGGTGTAATGTCCGAGGCTGCGGTGTAATGTCCGTGGCTGCGGTGTAATGTCCGTGGCTGCGGTGTAATGTCCGAGGCTGCGGTGTAATTTACGAGGCTGCGGTGTAATGTCCGTGGCTGCGGTGTAATGTCCGAGGCTGCGGTGTAATGTCCGTGGCTGCGGTGTAATGTCCGAGGCTGCGGTGTAATTTACGAGGCTGCGGTGTAATTTACGAGGCTGCGGTGTAATGTCCGTGGCTGCGGTGTAATGTCCGAGGCTGCGGTGTAATGTCCGTGGCTGCGGTGTAATGTCCGTGGCTGCGGTGTAATGTCCGAGGCTGCGGTGTAATGTCCGAGGCTGCGGTGTAATTTACGAGGCTGCGGTGTAATTTACGAGGCTGCGGTGTAATGTCCGTGGCTGCGGTGTAATGTCCGAGGCTGCGGTGTAATGTCCGTGGCTGCGGTGTAATGTCCGTGGCTGCGGTGTAATTTACCGAGGCTGCGGTGTAATGTCCGTGGCTGCGGTGTAATGTCCGAGGCTGCGGTGTAATGTCCGAGGCTGCGGTGTAATGTCCGTGGCTGCGGTGTAATGTCCGAGGCTGCGGTGTAATGTCCGAGGCTGCGGTGTAATGTCCGAGGCTGCGGTGTAATGTCCGAGGCTGCGGTGTAATGTCCGAGGCTGCGGTGTAATTTCCGAAGCTGCGGTGTAATTTCCAAAAATGTAAAGTCTATATTTGCCTGGATATTGAGGCTATGTCAGGTGACTATAGGATTCTTGTATCTTCTGGATTATTGTATCTCTGATTCCCCCATCCATTATTGAGACTTTCATGACCATTTGAATGAGAAGGTGAGATGAATGTAATTAAATAACTTTCCGCCTTCATTGCCATCCCCCCAGTACTAGCAAGATACTATATAATGGTAATCTTGATCCATTTATTTGTAATAACTTGGCACTGTCCTGAATTTTCTACAGGTTTTATTTATTTATTGTTCCTGGTCACTGTCTCTTTGAGGATTGGTATCTCTGCTCCAGAAAAGATGGCAGCCTCTTTCTTCTCTGATTTTGGTCTTATGTGGTATCTGGAGGAGCTCAAAAAGGAGGAGTTCAGGAAATTTAAAGAACATCTCAAGCAAATGACTTTGCAGCTTGAACTCAAGCAGATTCCCTGGACTGAGGTCAAAAAAGCATCCCGGGAAGAACTTGCAAACCTCTTGATCAAGCACTATGAAGAACAACAAGCTTGGAACATAACCTTAAGAATCTTTCAAAAGATGGATAGAAAGGATCTCTGCATGAAGGTCATGAGGGAGAGAACAGGTGAGGGAGTCTGGGAAGGGGGAAGCCTTCTTATAATGAGGACTATGTCCTAATTTTGGTGAGTGGTCTCTGCCTGTCTACAACAGGACCTGAATGTGCTATGGGAAAATATTAGGTTTTTTTTTTTTTTTTTTTGGTAGACGGAGTCGCACTTTGTTGCCCAGACAGTGCAGTAGTGTGATCTTGGCTCACCGCAACCTCCACCTCCCAGGTTCAAGTGATTCTCCTGCCTCAGCCTCCTGAGTAGCTGGAATTACAGGCGCCTGCCACCATGCCTGGCTAATTTTTGTATTTTTAGTAGAGATGGGGTTTCACCATGTTGGCCAGGCTGGTCTTGAACTCCCAACCTCAGGTGATCCACCCATCTTGGCCTCCCAAAGTGCTGGGATTATAGGCATGATCCACCATGCCCAGCCTGAAAATATTGTCCTTGTAGGCAGGAAATGGTCTCTTAGACGTGGTGGTTACATGTGGGTAAAATGTCAGTGGCTATTATGTCCTAACCTGTATTGTACCTTTATCTGGGTCACCAATGATTTTTACCCTAAGCTGAGAACTTGCAGTCAAGCCAGAAACTCTGTGAGGTGAAGTCGTTGCATAAGAACTATGCACCTGACTTATTTGCAAGAGCAATTAACACCTGCGGTAGAGGATACAGTGAACTGAGGTTGACTGGTGTAATCATGTATTTAGCCAAAGTTCACATCAGACAAGCAATGATCTATAAGCAATATGGCTTTTAGAGTCACATTTGTATTTATCCTGGCATAAGGTGTTAACTGTTACTTTGCACATTTGCGTTATCAATGGCAGGATATAGCTCTTTCAACTTTACTGCCAAATTGTTTTTCTTTGTTGTTGTTCAGTGTCTTACTGTGATGTGCCTGGATGTGGCTTTGTTTTCATCCTGATTGGGATTCTTTAATATTCTTGCATCTGAGGTTCAGTAACTTTCTTCAGTTCTCAATTTTAGCCATTGTCTGTGTATTCCATTCTTCTGTTTATTCTTCTGGGACTCCAGTTACACCTACTGGACTTTCTTGTTTGTTTGACACAGGGTCTGGCTCTGTCACCCAGGGTGGAGTGCCGTGGCATCATCACGGCTCACTGCAGCCTCAACTTCCTGGGCTAAATGATCTGCCACCTCAGCCTCCCAAGTAGCTGGGACTACAGGTGTGTGCCACCACGCTTGGCTAATTGCACACCTGGCTAACCTTTTAAAAAAAAATTGTAGAGATGAGCTCTCACTATATTGCCCAGGCTGGTCTCAAACTCCTGGGCTCAAGTGATCCTCCTGCCTTGGCCTCCCAAAGTGCTGGGATTACAGGCCTGAGCCACCATACTGGCCTAGACTCACTCTTTCTTTCTCTTTCTCTTTTCCTTTTTCTTTCTCTTTCTCTTTCTCTCTCTCTCTCTCTTTCTGTCTCTCTTTCTCTCTCTCTCTCTTTCTCTTTCTTTCTTGCTGTCTCTTTCTCTCTCTCGTTCTGTCTTTCTCTCTCTTCCTCTCTCTTTCTCTCTTGCTATCTCTTTCTCTCTCTCTCTCTCTTTCTCTTTCTTTCTCTTTCTCTTTCTCTCTCTCTTTCTGTCTTTCTCTCTATTTCTCTCTTTCCTTCTTTCTTTCTTCTTTGATACAGAGTCACGCTCTGTCGCCCAGGCTGGAGTGCAGTGGTGCAATCTCGGCCCACTGCAGCTTCCACCTCCTGGGTTCAAGTGATTCTCCTGCCTCAGCCTCCTGAGCAGCTGGGATTTCAGATGCCCGCCACCACACCCGGCTAATTTTTTTGTATTTTTAGTAGAAACAGGGTTTCCCCATGTTGGCCAGGCTGGTCTCGAACTCCTGACCTCAGGTGATCTGCACACCTCAGCCTCTCTAAGTATTGGGATTACAGGCATGAGCCACCATGCCTGGCCTTGATTTCTTAAATTTAGTTCACATGTTTTATTTATGCAGTTTGCCTTTTTCACAGACTTCCATTTTTTCTCAATATTTATTCCATCTTCTATTTTATTGAGCATTTTAAATTATTTTAAAATTTGCCTGAAGATTTTAACATTTATAGGTCTGTTTCTACTGTTTCTTTTTCTCTTTATCTGGTCATACAGTCTCCTAGTATGTCCGGTAATTTTGAGTGCCAGATTTTGAATATGAGACATTGAAAATGTTAAGAATCTGTAATATCTTGTTCCAGTGAAATTGGAATTGATTCTGGTAGTAGTTACAGGGAAATTTCCTTAATATTGAGGATTAAAATAATTGGTTTGAAATAAAATAATTTGAGAGTTTCCATTTTTGGCGATGCTAGCCTTTCTTGCTCATTTTCTTGATTTGGAACATCACTTGGAAAAAACCCCTCCCAGTCCAATTTTTTTTTCTTTGAGACGGAGTTTCACTCTTTCACCCAGGCTGGAGTAAAGTAGCATGATTTTGGCTCACTGCAACCTCACTGAACCCCCCAGGTTCATGCGGTTCTCCTGCCTCAGCCTCCGGAGTAGCTGGGATTATAAGGCGCTCACCACCACGCCCAGCTAGTTTTTATATTTTTAGTAGAGACGGGATTTTGCCATGTTGGCCAGGCTGGTGTTGAACTGCTGACCTCCGGTGATCCGCCCGCCTTGGCTTCCCAAAGGGCTAGGATTACAGGTGTGAACCACCACACCTGGCCACCCAGTCCAAATTTTTAAACAAATTCCCCCATGTTTCCTGGAGTGTTTTGGTGTCACACGCTGAGGTCTCAGCTACCCTGGAAGCTGAGGCAGGAGGATCACTTCAGCCCAGGAGGATGAGGCTGCAGTGAGCTGTGTTTGTGCCACTGCACTCCAGCCTGGGTAACAGAGTGAGACCCTGTCTCAAAAAAGTAATTTATATAAAGAAGAACATTCTTTGCACATGGAACCATTTTAGAATATTGCTAAAATAAAATGTAAGCAGGTCTAAAGTTAGATCTTCCACTGGGTACTTACACTTCTCTCTTTTCACAGTTGGTTTGAGGTTGTACCCACTTAATTCCCCTTATGAGCAACCAAACATGTCACCGAAATCTCCAGAACAGCTGAGAAGACCAGGAAAGCAGGAAGCCATTGGGGAATGGGCAAACAACTTAGCTTAAGATGCTAATAGGATCTTCACCAATGTCAGATGGCATTTTCACCAGTTAGGGACTTCAGGGGACTGAAAGATTGGGGGAATCCCTTGTTCTCCCCAAAAACTTAAGGTAGCATTACCTACTGTCAGCAGTCTGTGGGCACTGGATTATATCTTTCACCTGCATCCAATCAAATCCAGTAACTATTATGCGGGGCATAGGGAAAATTTCCCATCTACAACTGCCCCCTACATCTCCAGTCCATCAGCAGCTACTCACTTGCAGAATATAAACATCGTACTAGTTATTTAAGGAACAGATAACTGTAAAGGAGTTTTCGGCCTGGCTGAAGGATCAGCCTCTAGGCTGGTGCTCCAGAGATGACTGTAAGAACTATAGTATCAGGGAGCTGCTGCCTCTCCTGCAAAGAGGAAAGTGGGAGATGGGAAGCTCACTGTTAGAACTGTGGCTTTAGAAATACACCACGACAGCTATGATTCAGAAATCGGGAAGCTCACCAGTGTAGCAGCTGCTTAAAATCAATGACCACAGCAACTGGTTTTAGTTTTCGAGACAGTCTCGCTCTATTGCCAGGGCTAGATTACAGTGGTGCAATCTCTGCTCACTGCAACCTCCACCTCCCAGGTTCAAGCGATTCTTCTGCCCTGGCCTCCCGAGTAGCTGGGATTATAGGCCTGTACCACCACGCCCAGCTAATTTTTGTATTTTTAGTAGAGATGGGGTTTCACCATGTTGACCAGGCTGGTCTCGATCTCCTAGCCTGAAGTGATCTGCCTGCCTCAGCCTCCCAAAGTGCTGGGATTATAGGCGTGAGCCACTGCGCCCAGCCAACTACAGCAACTGGAGACAAGCCTTCTGTTACAGAAGAGTCCAGCGTCTGTGTGTTCATGGAAGCTGGCAGCAAAACAGGCAGAAGATAGACTCCACTCCCCTTCCCCTTCCAGTGTCATGAGAGTGAGGGCCAATCGCAGAACTTAATCTGTACCTTGATCTTAGCTACGAGGGGTTGTGGGATGCGTAGGGCTTGGTCATCACTGTTGCTGGATCTTTTTTTTTTTTTTTTTTTTTTGAGACGGAGCCTCCTTCTGTTGCCCACGTTAGAGTACAGCAGTGCCATCTCAGCTCACTGCAACCTCTGCCTCCCGGGTTCAAGCGATTCTCCTGCCTCAGCCTCCCAAGTAGCTGGGACTACAGGCACACACCACCACGCCCGGCTAATTTTTGTATTTTTAGTAGAGACAGGGTTTCACCATGTTGGCCAGGATGGTCTTGATCTCTTGACTTCATGATCTGCCCACCTTGGCCTCCCAAAGTTCTGGGATTACAGGCATGAACCACTGCCCCGGCCTGTTGTTGGATTTTTTGATTGGCTTTTCTTTTGAGAATTCTGCCATTGAAAGAAAGCTCACTGGCATAAAGTTGGAATGGATGCGAGGTGCCATTCTATCCTCTCTACTGCATCTCCTCTCTCTTCTGGAGGCAACTGCCTAGGTCAGGTCCTTTTTAGGTGGACTTTCAGATCTAGTCCCTATATGTGAAACCTATATGTGTATATAAATCCCTTGTTTATGCAAATTGAGTACATGCTATAGACACCGTCCTGTTGCTTATCCATATGAAGAGATTATTCCATACTTTTAATATTTGTATAATAGCTTGTGTCTCATAAATTATTTAACTGGTCTTGATAGTCATATAGCTATTTTCCATTTATTTTGCTATCATCGTAGCAATGAATACCTGTGTATGTGTCTATTGAAAGCAGAAGTTGTCAAACTTTACATAGTAGCAATGAATGTATATGTGTGTGTGTGTGTCTATTGAAAGCAGAAGTTGTCAAACTTTACGTAGTAGCAATGAATGTGTGTGTGTGTGTGTGTGTGTGTGTGTGTGTCTATTGAAAGCAGAAGTTGTCAACCTTTTTGTGTAGAGGACCATATGGTTTCCATTTTAGGCTTTGTGAGTCATACGGTCTCTCATAGCTGTTCAGCTCTGCTATTCAATCAGGAAGGCTCCTGTAGACAATATACCCGTGAATGGTGTAGTGAGTTCTAATGAAACTTTATTTACAAGAGGAGACTGACCAGGTTTGGCCTGGGGGCCACAGTGTGTAGACCCCTGGAAAGATACATCCTGAGAAGAAAAAAAGAATATATGCAGGAATGCTTAACTTTGTGGGTTTTCTCTCCTCTTGCCCTCACTGACTCAGGATACACAAAGACCTATCAAGCTCACGCAAAGCAGAAATTCAGCCGCTTATGGTCCAGCAAGTCTGTCACTGAGATTCACCTATACTTTGAGGAGGAAGTCAAGCAAGAAGAATGTGACCATTTGGACCGCCTTTTTGCTCCCAAGGAAGCTGGGAAACAGCCACGTACAGTGATCATTCAAGGACCACAAGGAATTGGAAAAACGACACTCCTGATGAAGCTGATGATGGCCTGGTCGGACAACAAGATCTTTCGGGATAGGTTCCTGTACACGTTCTATTTCTGCTGCAGAGAACTGAGGGAGTTGCCGCCAACGAGTTTGGCTGACTTGATTTCCAGAGAGTGGCCTGACCCCGCTGCTCCTATAACAGAGATCGTGTCTCAACCGGAGAGACTCTTGTTCGTCATCGACAGCTTCGAAGAGCTGCAGGGCGGCTTGAACGAACCCGATTCGGATCTGTGTGGTGACTTGATGGAGAAACGGCCGGTGCAGGTGCTTCTGAGCAGTTTGCTGAGGAAGAAGATGCTCCCGGAGGCCTCCCTGCTCATCGCTATCAAACCCGTGTGCCCGAAGGAGCTCCGGGATCAGGTGACGATCTCAGAAATCTACCAGCCCCGGGGATTCAACGAGAGTGATAGGTTAGTGTATTTCTGCTGTTTCTTCAAAGACCCGAAAAGAGCCATGGAAGCCTTCAATCTTGTAAGAGAAAGTGAACAGCTGTTTTCCATATGCCAAATCCCGCTCCTCTGCTGGATCCTGTGTACCAGTCTGAAGCAAGAGATGCAGAAAGGAAAAGACCTGGCCCTGACCTGCCAGAGCACTACCTCTGTGTACTCCTCTTTCGTCTTTAACCTGTTCACACCTGAGGGTGCCGAGGGCCCGACTCCGCAAACCCAGCACCAGCTGAAGGCCCTGTGCTCCCTGGCTGCAGAGGGTATGTGGACAGACACATTTGAGTTTTGTGAAGACGACCTCCGGAGAAATGGGGTTGTTGACGCTGACATCCCTGCGCTGCTGGGCACCAAGATACTTCTGAAGTACGGGGAGCGTGAGAGCTCCTACGTGTTCCTCCACGTGTGTATCCAGGAGTTCTGTGCCGCCTTGTTCTATTTGCTCAAGAGCCACCTTGATCATCCTCACCCAGCTGTGAGATGTGTACAGGAATTGCTAGTTGCCAATTTTGAAAAAGCAAGGAGAGCACATTGGATTTTTTTGGGGTGTTTTCTAACTGGCCTTTTAAATAAAAAGGAACAAGAAAAACTGGATGCGTTTTTTGGCTTCCAACTGTCCCAAGAGATAAAGCAGCAAATTCACCAGTGCCTGAAGAGCTTAGGGGAGCGTGGCAATCCTCAGGGACAGGTGGATTCCTTGGCGATATTTTACTGTCTCTTTGAAATGCAGGATCCTGCCTTTGTGAAGCAGGCAGTGAACCTCCTCCAAGAAGCTAACTTTCATATTATTGACAACGTGGACTTGGTGGTTTCTGCCTACTGCTTAAAATACTGCTCCAGCTTGAGGAAACTCTGTTTTTCCGTTCAAAATGTCTTTAAGAAAGAGGATGAACACAGCTCTACGTGAGTCCATCCTATGACTTTTTCTCTCTTCTCAGAATCTGTCTGTATTCCCAAGTGGGTTTTGCTGAGGGAGTGTTTAATATAGGATCATGGTTAGAAACTCATTTTTTCTGCCACAAAACCTCAGCTCACATCCTGGCCCAACATTTTAGGAGCTCTTAGACTTTGTCTGTGAGCCTTGCCCTTTTGTGGCTGCAGTGGCCCCATTACAGAAGGGGGAATAATAATTGTATTGTGAGGAGTGAATATGAGGACCTGTGTGAAGAGTGTTTCCTACTTTCTCAAGTATTAGCTGATCAGTACTATAATCGATATTTTTCCATAGCACCACACTCCCTGTGTCTTGACCTCTCAGCTGCAAGTTACCTTTGAAAACTTAGTCTAAAAAATCATACAGCCCGGGTGTGGTGGCTCATGCCTGTAACCCTACCACTGTGGGAGGCTGAGGCAGGTGGATCACTTAAGGTCAGGAGTTCGAGACTAGCCTGACCAACATGGTGACACCTCGTCTCCACTAAAAATACAAAAATTAGCCGGGTGTGTAGCGCACACCTGTAATCCCAGCTACTTGGGAGGCTGAGGCCGGAGAATCACTTGAGCCCGGGAGGCAGAGGTTGCAGTGAGCTGAGATCGCACCACTGCCCTCCAGGCTGGGTGACAGTGAGACTCTCATCTCCAAAAAAAAAAAAAAAAAAAAAAAAAACAAAACACAAATCATACAAATTTTCTTCTTGTTCTTTTTTTTTTTTTTTCTGAAATGGAGTTTTGCTTTGTCACCCAGGCTGGAGTGCAGTGGCGAGATCTTGGCTCACTGCAAGCTCCGCCTCCCAGGTTCACGCCATTCTCCTGCCTCGGCCTCCCGAATAGCTGGGACTAGAGGGGCCCGCCACCACACCCAGCTAATTTTTTGTGTTTTTAGTAGAGACAGGGTTTCACCGTGTTGGCCAGGATGGTCTCGATCTCCTGACCTCGTGATCTGCCCACCTCGGCCTCTCAAAGTGCTGGGATTACAGGCGTGAGCCACCGTGCCCGGCCAAATCATATACATTTTAACTTACAGCTCATGCCTATAACCCCAACACTTTGAGAAGCTGAGCAGGAGGATGCTTGAAGCCAGGGGGCTAAGACCAGCCTGGGAAAAATAGCAGGACCCCACTTCTACAAAATTTTTTTTTTAATTAGCCAGGTGTGGTGGCATGTGCCTGTAGCACAGCTACTTGAGGGAGGCTGAAGCAGGAGGATTGCTTGCTTGAGCCCAGAAGTAAGAGACTGCGGTGAGCCATGATCGTGCCACTGTATAACCCAGCCTGGGCAATAGAGCAAGACCCCATCTCAAAAACCAAAAGAATCATATGAGGTGGATCCTATTATCCTGTTACAGGTGAGGAAACTGGGGCAAAGAAGTCAAGTGAGCTGGATCCTATCCAGTCAAGGATCCTGTATTTAGGACATGGAGAGTTTTAGGGCTGAGCCTAGGCTGAAGATGTCGACTTAATGGCTGGGCTGTGCTGCCTCATCTTTTACTGTAAACCAGCCTGACCAACATGGCGAAACCCCGTCTCTACTAAAAATACAAAAATTAGCCAGGCATGGTGGCACGCACCTATTATCCCAGCTACTCAGGAGGCTGAGGCAGGAGAATCGCTTGAACCTGGGAGGTAGAGGTTGCAGTGAGCCAAGATTGTGCCATTGCACTCCAGCCTGGGCAACAAGAGTGAAACTCCATCTCAAAAAATAAACCTATTTTGGATGTGAGACAGGGTTTCTCAGCCTTGGCACTGGTGATGTTTTGGGGGCTGGCTCTCCTGTTACAGTGGGGGGCTCTCCTGTGCATTGTAGGATGTTCAGAAACATCCCTGGTCTGTACTCACTAGATGCCAGAAGCACCCCTCCCTTAAGCTCTAACATCCAAAAAGGCCTCTAGACATCCCCAAATGTCCCCTGGGGGGAAACGTCACCCCAGGTTGAGAACCACTAACATAAGGTGACTTACCTGAAGGGTCCCGTTCCTTCTGACTGAGGGAGGCTCTGCCTCAGACATCTTCTGTTTGAGAAGACAGCGTAGTGCGTATATGTGTTACAAGTGGCTCGTGTTGACCGCCTGCCTGTGGAAAGCTCGTCCTTTCTTGACCACAGGTCGGATTACAGCCTCATCTGTTGGCATCACATCTGCTCTGTGCTCACCACCAGCGGGCACCTCAGAGAGCTCCAGGTGCAGGACAGCACCCTCAGCGAGTCGACCTTTGTGACCTGGTGTAACCAGCTGAGGCATCCCAGCTGTCGCCTTCAGAAGCTTGGGTGAGTTGAGAATCGACTTCGACTCGAGTATGTCACGGAGATGACCTATTCATCTCACCTCTAGCTTTCAGTCGAGGCTAACTGCACAAGCAAAGAATTAACATCCAGAGCAGTTGCTCAACCTCAGCACTTACAGACATCTCATGCAGATCATTCTTCATCATAGGGGTTGTTCTGTGCGTTGTAGGGTGTTAAGATGCATCCCTGGTCTCTACCCTCTAGATCCTAATAGCATCCCCTTGTCCAGATAACCAAAATAGTGTCCAGACACTGCCAGCTGTCCCTTGTGGGGGCAAAATCTCTCAAGTTGAGAACTACTGAGCTGTGTCATTGGGCTGTGAAATCAGAGAATGAGTTCATGATGGATGATGAGAGACAAACACAGGTGTGCAGGCTGTGCTCCCATTAGATGAAACTCATCCAAAATTTTCTTTGTTTTTGCAGAATAAATAACGTTTCCTTTTCTGGCCAGAGTGTTCTGCTCTTTGAGGTGCTCTTTTATCAGCCAGACTTGAAATACCTGAGCTTCACCCTCACGAAACTCTCTCGTGATGACATCAGGTCCCTCTGTGATGCCTTGAACTACCCAGCAGGCAACGTCAAAGAGCTAGCGTAAGTCTCCGTTTATTGAGACCACTGATTGGGTTTCAGAGAAGACTATAGCCTAAGTCTCCGTTTATTGAGACCACTGATTAGGTTTCAGAGAAAACTATAGCATAAGTCTCCGTTTATTGAGACCACTGATTGGGTTTCAGAGAAGACTATAGCGTAAGTCTCCGTTTATTGAGACCACTGATTGGGTTTCAGAGAAGACTATAGCGTAAGTCTCCGTTTATTGAGACCACTGATTGGGTTTCAGAGAAGACTATAGCGTAAGTCTCCGTTTATTGAGACCACTGATTGGGTTTCAGAGAAGACTATAGCGTAAGTCTCCGTTATTGAGACCACTGATTGGGTTTCAGAGAAGACTATAGCGTAAGTCTCTGTTTATTGAGACCACTGATTGGGTTTCAGAGAAGACTATAGCGTAAGTCTCTGTTTATTGAGACCACTGATTGGGTTTCAGAGAAGACTATAGCGTAAGTCTCTGTTTATTGAGACCACTGATTGGGTTTCAGAGAAGACTATAGCGTAAGTCTCCGTTTATTGAGACCACTGATTGGGTTTCAGAGAAGACTATAGCGTAAGTCTCTGTTTATTGAGACCACTGATTGGGTTTCAGAGAAGACTATGTATTTCTTTTTGTGTTGGGGGAGGGGGCTGCATATTTGAAGACATCCACTTTTTCCTTCTATGATTTGTATGCAAACTTAGTTTCCTGAGAACTTGGATAGGGAAGTTAAAGTTTCCCAATTGATGTAGCCATTTCGGAAAACTGTGTGTATTCAGCCTTCATGGATTCTGGCAGATTATGTAACCCAATAATTCCACCTGGAGGTGCACATTCGACAGAGGGACCTGTCTCAGTTTGCTGAAAGACAGGCACTAAAGCATTCCCAGCAGGTGTTCATAATCTCTGAGAAGTGGAAATACCACTGACAGTAAGTTGGATAAGAAACCTGTGGTTACATGCTCCTGTTCCATGAGAAAGAACACTCTCGGTCGTATGCAAAAACCTGGACAAATCTCAGACATTGTTGATGGCAATGAGCCAGACTCAAGAGTACATCCTATGGCTTTATTCCTGTGAAGTTCAAAGATGGACAAGGCTCTGGTGTTGGAGGTTCGGGCAGTGTATTCACACGTTCTCGCGCTGCTATAAAGACATACCTGAGACTGGGAATTTATAAATAAAAGAGGTGTAATTGGCTTATGGTTCTGAAGGATGTACAGGCTTCTGCTTCTGGGGAGGCCTCAGGAAACTTACAATGGTGGCAGAAGGCAAAGGGAAAGCAGGCACGTCTTACATGGGGGAGCAGGAAGAAGAGAGAAGAGGGAGGCGCTACACAGTTCCAAGCAACCAGGTCGCGTGAGGACTCTGTCACAGGAACAGCTCTAGGGGATGGTGGTAAATCACTAGAAACCACCCCCATGATTCCGTCACCCCCCAGGCCCCTCCTCCAACACTGGGATTACAGTTCGACGTGAGGGTTGGGTGGGGACACAGCCGAACCATATCAGACAGCGGTTACTTTTGTTAAGATAGTGAAGGAGAGGGGTACAGGAGAATGATGAACCTGCTCTGTTTCTTGACCTGGATACTGGTAACTCAAGTGCCTTAAATTCATGACAGTGCGTTGGCTGGCACTTAACCATTGTGTGTACTTTCCAGTATGTATGTTTTAATTCAAGCATTTTTATTTTTGCAATTAAATAAGGGTTTCCTGTAAATACTTACCCTCTACTTACCTTCATTGGTACCCACACATTCAAATACTTCTCTATACTAGTCTTTGTTGGCCATTTTTCTGAGCTTGCATCAACCGAACACAAAAAGACCCAAACCCTTTTTTAAAAAATAACAACTTTATTGTGATATCCACATACCACAAAACATATACTTTTAAAGTATGTACTTCATATATTTTAAGAAATACTTTTAAAGTATAACTATGCTTTAAAATGTACAGTTTAGTGATCCTCATATATATTCATGAGGAAGTACAACCATCATGACTGATTTTAGAATGTTCTCATTACCTCAGAAAGAAACCCCATACCCATTAGCATTCACTCCTCACTCCCTTATCTCTCTGGTCCCTGGGAATTACTAACATACTTTCAGTCCTATTGGATTTTCCTATCCCAGGCGTCTCATGTAAGTTGAATCACATGTGGTCTTTTGCGAATGGCTTACTTTCACTTAGCAAAATGTTTTCAAGGTTTATCCAAATTGTACCATGTATCAGTACTTCATTCCTTTTCTTGGCTAAATAGTATTCCACTGTGTAGATATTCCCCATTTTGTTCTTCTAGTCCTCTAGTGATGAACACTTGGGTTGTTACCACCTTTTAGCTATTCTGAATAGTGCTCTATGAACACTCATGTGTGAACACCTGCTTTCAATCCTTTTGGACTTGTAACCAGGAGTAGACTTGCTAGGTCATATAGTAAATCCATATTTAACTGTTAGAGAAACCACCAAGTTATTTTCCTCAGTGACTGCACAATTCTGTATTCCTACCAGCAATGTATGAGAGTTCTAATTTCTCCACATCTTTGCTTATTTTTTACTTATTTACTTATATTTTATTATTACTTATATTTACTTATTTTTTATTATACCCATCCTAGTAGATGTGAAGGAGCATCTCATTGTGGTTTTGATTTGCTTTTCCTGAATGACTAATGATGAGCATCTTTTCCTGTGCTTTTTGATCATTTCTATATCTTCTTTGGAGAAATATATATTCAAGTCCTTCACACATTTTTAAAAACTTTTATTTTACATTCAGGGGTACAGGTTTTTAAACATTTAAAAATTTTAACATTTAAACAACATTTTAAAAAACTTTTATTTTACATTCAGGGGTACAGGTTTATTATAAAAGTAAATGGCACGTCATGGAAGTTTGGTGTACAAATTATTTCGTCACCCGTTAATAAGCATAGTACCTGATAGGTAGATTTTTCTTCCCCACCTTCTTCCCACCCTCTGCTCTCAAGTAGGCCCTGGTGTCTGTTGTCCTTTTCTTCATGTCTATATGTACTCAGTGTTTAGCGTCCACTTATAAGTGAGAACATGTGATATTTGGATTTATGTTCCTGTGTTAGTTTGCTAAGGATAATGGCCTCCAGCTCCATCCATGTTGCTACAAAGGACATCATCTTACTCTTTTTTATGGCTGCATAGTATTCCATGGTGTATATGTATCACATTTTCTTTATCTAGCCCACTGTTGATGGGTATTTAGGTGAATAGTGCTGTGATGAGCATACAAGTGCAGGTGTCTTTATAGTACAATGATTTATATTCCTTTGGGTATATACCCAATAATGGGATTGCTGGGTTTGATGGTAGTTGTGTTTGAAGTTCTTTCAGAAATTGCCAAACTGCTTTCCATAATGGCTGAACTAATTTACATTCCTACAAAAATGTGTAAGTGTACACTTTTCTCTGCAACCTCACCAGCATATATTATTTCTTGACTTTTTTTAATAATAGCCATTCTGACCTGTGTGAGATGGTATCTCATTGCAGTTTTGATATGCATTTTTCTAATGATTAATGAGCATTTCTTCATATGGTTGTTGGCAACACCTTTGCACATTTTTAATTGGATTTTTTGCCTTTTTGTCAAGTTGTAAGTGTTCTTTATGTTTTCTGATTACAAGTTATATACGAGACGTACTTTGTGAATATTTTTTGCCATTCTGTGAGTTGTCGTTTCACTTTCTTAATGGTGTCCTTTGAAGCACAAAAGCTTCTAATCTGATGAGATGCACTTTATTTTTTTCTTTTGTCTCATGTGCTTTTGGTGCAATTGCTACGAAACCATTGCCTAACCCAAATTCATTAAGATTAACTTCTTTGTTTTCTTTTCTTTTTTTTTCCCCCAAATTTGAGATGAGTCTCACTCTGTCACCCAGGCTGGAGTGCAGTGGTACAATCTCAGTTCACTAAAACCTCCGCCTCCTGGGTTCAAGTGATTCTTCTGCCTCAGCCTCCTGAGTAGCTGGGACTACAGGTGCCCACCACCATGCCCAGCTAATTTTTGTATTTTTAGTAGAGATGGGGTTTCACCATGCTGGTCAGGATGGCCTTGATCTCTTGACCTCATGTTCCGCCCTCCTTGGCCTCCCAAAGTGCTGGAATTACAGGCTTGAGCCACCACGCCCGGCCGCACCAACCTATATCTTAAATCTAGAAAGAACATTAAAAGCATGCATGGCCTCAGAGCCCTGCTGCAGAGGCGTGAGGAGCCATGGACTCGGTGACTTGCCAATTCCACATTTATTTCTGGACAACTCCCATAATGGCTTTCATCTTTATTCTGTTGTCTCTGAGCTTATTTTTTGTGGCAACCAGAGGTAAGGAGAGTGGTTGAGGTAATAGAAAACCACACAGTTAAACCACACAGTTGTGAGGCAACACAAATCAACTCAAGCCACCAAAAAAGGAGTCCTAGGGGACTCGGGTTCAAGGCTTCTTCCATGTTCTTTGAGGAGATATTACTTGAGCAGAGACCTGAATGATAAAGATGCATCTAACCACAGGCCAGAAAAAGAGCATTCCACTTGGCGGGCACACATGCAAAATAGCCCAAGTTGAGTAAAGGAGCCACTAGACACGAGTTTGGGGAGGATCAAACATGAATAATATCTTAGAGAATGAAACCTGTGTTGTCAAGCAACTGAAAAAGAACCAGGGTGGCTGGGACATGGGGACTTGGGAATGGGTAGGACCCTTGTGGATCATGTTGTATATTTTGGGATTTTCTCCAAGTGCAGTGAGATAAGTTACTGGGGGAGGCTAAGCCAAGCATGCATATAACTGACACTGTGCGTCTCAGGTTGGCTGTCTCTGTACCCCAGAGACCGTAAGCCAAGCATGCATATAACTGAGACGGTGCATCTCAGGTTGGCTGTCTCTGTACCCCAGAGACCATAAGCCAAGCATGCATATAACTGAGACGGTGCATCTCAGGTTGGCTGTCTCTGTACCCCAGAGACCATAAGCCAAGCATGCATATAACTGAGACAGTGCATATCAGGTTGGCTGTCTCTGTACCCCGGAGGCCATAAGTCAAGCATGCATATAACAGATGGTGCGTCTCAGGTTGGCTGTCTCTGTACCCCAGAGACCGTAAGCCAAGTGTGCATGTAACTGAGACTGTGTCTCAGGTTGGCTGTCTCTGTACCCTAGAGACTGTAAGCCAAGCATGCATATAACTGAGACTGTGTGTCTCAGGTTGGCTGTCTCTGTACCCCAGAGACCGTAAGCCAAGCATACGTATAACTGAGATGGTGCATCTCAGGTTGGCTGTCTCTGTACCCCAGAGACCGTAAGCCAAGCATGCATATAACTGAGACTGTGCATCTCAGGTTGGCTGTCTCTGTACCCCAGAGACTGGGTTGACAGGGATCAAGAACAGGGTTGGGAGGCAGTGAGCCTCTCAAGGACAGCAAATGTGGGCTTCCCGACTCTGACAGGATTGGCAAGAGGAATGAGTCCAGGAACTAGAAACCAACAGAATGTGACATTTTCCCTTTCCTGCAGGCTGGTAAATTGTCACCTCTCACCCATTGATTGTGAAGTCCTTGCTGGCCTTCTAACCAACAACAAGAAGCTGACGTATCTGAATGTATCCTGCAACCAGTTAGACACAGGCGTGCCCCTTTTGTGTGAAGCCCTGTGCAGCCCAGACACGGTCCTGGTATACCTGATGTGAGTGGATGTTGGGGGTGCCTACTGTGGAGGGCCATGGCGGCAGTTCAAACCTGGGCCTATTGATGACAGTCTGCTCATTGATGGAGGCCACATAGCGGAGGTTTAAAAGCTCACGCTTAAGAATCAGAAAAGACTTGAGTTCTAGTTCAGGATTTATCACGTATATACTGTCTTCTTAAGCAAAATATTTAACTTAGAAGCAGAGGAAAATCCTGTCTTAGAGGTCTTATGGCTATCAAGTGAGACTGTCTATACAGAACACGTACTGTGTTTCAAAGCTGTTAGGTTGGGTTAATGCACCTGCAACACACATGGTACTTCCCGTGTTGATAACGGTTATTTCGAGCATGTAGAATAGACTTGGTGGGTACTCAGGACAGTAGCGGGGAAAAATGTCTATGGGCCTCTTGACCCCAGTTAATACTATAATACATGTGATGTTCTTGCAGTAATAGGATGAGAAGAGGCTATTCAAGCCAGTTTTAGGGTACGTAAAACACAGAAGGAAGACAGATGAGTAAGTGTTAAAGGCCAATTGATTTACCTATTAATGGAATTCTAATACCTTTAGGTGATACTTATACAAAAGGGGAGAGGACAGGAGAATATATATGCATTTGTGTCTTTTTTTTTTTTTTTGAGTTTTGAGTTTTGCTCTTGTTGCCCAGGCTAGAGTGCAGTGGCATGATCTTGGCTTATCGCAACCTCTGCCTCCTGGGTTCAAGCAATTCCCCTGCCTCAGTCTCCCAAGTAGCTGAGATTACAGGCATGCGCCACCATGCCTGGCTAATTTTGTATTTTTAGTAGAGATGGGGTTTCTCCACGTTGGTCAGGCTGGTCTCGAGTGTGTCTATTTTTTAAATACACAAATATCACTGGAAGAAATAGTATTATAATATAGGCTGCCTGTGAGAAATAGAACTGAGAAGCTGGGAGATAGGGGAGGATGGAGATTTTTCCCTCTTTATACTTTTGGGCATTTTGAAATATGAACAACATGAAAGTAAGAGTATTCTGAAAATGTCAAGAAAATGAGAGGATTTATACCTCGAGCTAAAATAGAGGGACAGGGACAGGACTTAACCTCCCACCTAAAACAACCAAAAATAACCAACTAAATAAAACAACTGTTTAAGACTTCAGACATCAGGCAATGAAGGACAGTGGTGCCTGAGTGATAAGGGACAAACAGGTGAGTCCTAGAATTGTCCCAGGTAACTATCTGGAGAGAGATTTCAGGATGCAGTTCAGGAAGGGGAACCCAGATGGAAGTTGGTAGACTCTGTGAGTTGGTGAAACCCCGTCTCTACTAAAAATACAAAATACAAAAATTAGCTGGGTTTGGTGGTGCATACCTGTAGTCCCAGCTACTCTCGAGGGAAGCTGAGGCTGGAGAATCGCTTGAACCTGGGAGGCAGAGGTTGCAGTGAGCCGAGATCGCACCACCACACTTCAGCCTGGGTGAAAGAGCAAGACTGTCTCAAAAAAAAACAAAAAATAAACCAAAAAAAAAACAAAAAACAACAAAGTCCACAAATGCCTGGATATGCCAGAAAATTGAGATCCGTGAGAGAAGCAAGCTGGGTGAGGCCTCCGTGGAAATGCAGATCTTGTGTCTGTCAACAGGAAGCAGTTGCCCGTTCTGTCCTAGCCTGTTGGATTTCCATGTGGGAATGCGGCTCATTATTGCCAGATATCCCAGTTTTCAACAGAGGTTGAAATCTAGATTTTACATACAATTTTACTGATGGTTATATATTGCCAACTGATTTTGTTAAACATAAAAATGCCAGGAAATCTAAATATCCGTAGGCCATATGTGGTTCGTTCATCACTAGCTTGCACCGTCTGCTTTTTTGTTTTTCTCTACTCCACACTTTTTTTTCAAAGTCAACATGGATCCTTAAAAAAAAAAAATTCATAAACTGGCTGGGATTGGAGGCTCACACCTATATTCCCAACACTTTGGGACGTCAAGGCAGGTGAATTGTTTGAGCCCAGGAGTTCAAGACCAGCCTGGGCACCATGATGAAACCCTTTCTTGACAAAAAAATACAAAAATTAGCTTGGTGTGGTGGCACGCACCTGTAGTCTCAGCTACTCAGAAGACTGAGGTGCTGAGGTGGGAGGATCCCTTGAGCCAGGGAGGTAGAGGCTGCAGTGAGCTGTGATCATGCCACTGCACTCCAGCCTAGGTGACAGAGCCATACCCTGTCTCCAAAAAAAAAAAAGTTTTGAACCTACTGTGATTTTAAAGAATAATGAAATTGAAAAAGTTGGGGATTCTACACATGAGGTAATCAATACACTTTACCAGTCCCTGAGGGAGCGGTCTCAGAAGGTCCATGTCTTGTCCAAGGACATCATCAGATGAAGAATTAGAACCAAAATTAAAGCCCTGTTAGAGTATTAGCTATGCCATATTACACGATACTTTTTCCTTCTGCATTACCCTCTTATTTTCTAATTCTTCTATCATGCAACTAAGAAGAAATGAGAGGGCCGGACGCGGTGGCTCACGCCTTGTAATCCCAGCACTTTGGGAGGCCGAGGTGGGCAGATCACCTGAGGTCCGGAGTTCGAGACTAGCCTGGCTAACATGGTGAAACCCCGTCTCTACTAAAAATGCAAAAATTAGCGAGATGTGGTTGTGGGTGCCTGTAATCTCAGCTACTTGGGAGGCTAAGGCAAGAGAATCACTTGAACCTGGGAGGTGGAGGTTGCAGTGAGCCAAGATCGCGCCGTTGCATTCCAGCCCGGGCGACGACAGCAAAACTCCATCTCAAAAGAATAAATGAGAGGAGGTGTTTTCAGATAATCCAGAACTTCATCTCAGCTGGGGAGTTTGTAAGATTATAGAAATATTACCCTGAATGTGAAATTAAGCAAATCTCCCTGAGACACCACGTCCCTCTTCACTCTCCTTCTCGTGTTTTTGTCCCCATAGGTTGGCTTTCTGCCACCTCAGCGAGCAGTGCTGCGAATACATCTCTGAAATGCTTCTGCGTAACAAGAGCGTGCGCTATCTAGACCTCAGTGCCAATGTCCTGAAGGACGAAGGACTGAAAACTCTCTGCGAGGCCTTGAAACATCCGGACTGCTGCCTGGATTCACTGTGGTAGGCTTTTTGCTGTTTCTTTGAAGACCAAGCCGTCTTTTCAAGGGCATGCACTGCTGAGAATGGGGCATCTGGAATTGAGGAAGGCTGTAGTGTCTGTGCCTGGGCATGTGAAGGTTTAAAAAATACTTGCTTCAGATTCTTGTCGAGACGTTCATGTAAACAAATCAGCACCCTGACTTCTGTGGCATGGATTTAATATGTTGCAAAGAGTTCTCCAGTGGCATATAGGTAGAGGACTGAGAGAGCCGGAATTAGGTCGGGACCTGAGGGGCAATTTCATGGCGAAGATGATATTTGGTGTGTGTTCTACAAAATGAATGCACTTCATCAGGTGCAAAAATAAAGCCAAAATTCCAGGTAGAAGGGTAAAACGTGAAGGTGGGAGATCCAAAAATACACGTGAGAATTAATGTGTGTAACAGAGAATGCTTTAGAAGAAGACAAAGGGTAGCATGAGATGAGCCAGAAAGGAGATGGTGAAAAGACTTAATTTCATGTTATCAAATAGAGAAATATCTGGGTAACCCCTGTAGCGGCGGTGGCAGTGTTTTTAGAATTACCAGTTAGGATAACATGTTGTTATGTATTTTCCCTGAAAAATACAGAGGCTTCTGAAATCTGGCAGCGTGATTTTTACCTAATCCATTAGGAAATCAGTTTAGGATTTTGTATTCCTCACTTGAAGAGTATGTTAAATAACATAACAAAAACACCAGATGCATTCTTTCTCTCCCAGTAGTGCGTTAGGCTATCTGGGCCAATCGTTGGCACTGAAAGACACCAAAAACATCAGATACAATATTAAGAAAAAATTTAAAAGCATCTAGAAGCTAAACAGAAATAATCTTTTTTTTTTTTTTTTGGAGACAGAAGAGTCTCGCTCTGTCAGCCCACGCTGAAGTACAGTGGCACAATCTCGGCTCACTGCAAGTGCTGCCTCCCGGGTTCACGCCATTCTCGTCTCAGCCTCCCAAGTAGCTGGGACTACAGGTGCCCGCCACCACGCCTGGCTAATTTTTTTGTATTTTTAGTAGAGACGGGGTTTCACTGTGCTAGCCAGGATGGTCTCAATCTCCTGATCTCGTGATCCGCCCGCCTCGGCCTCCCAAAGTGCTGGGATTACAGGCATGAGCCACCGTGCCCAGCCCAAACAGAAATATTCTTAAGTAGCAGGCTAAGTAGATAGCACTTAAGGCTATCCAAAACTCCTTAAGACGTATTAAAAAAACACAACATAACCTTAAACTAGTACTGAACAGATGCCTGAAAGAAACAAGAGCAAATTGTCTCAGGAGGTAGGTAATAGGATGACATGATCCTTGACCTCAGCTTATTCCTAAAAGGATTTTTTAAGGTCAGTAAATACCACACAGTTAAAATAACCCAACCCACAAGGAAATAAAGCTCATTGAGCCAAGGACAAGTCAAAATACAAACAGCTACCAAACTATCTAATTATCTATAAAGCTATTATACTTACTATGTTTACAGAAAAATAACAAGTTTGAATCTTAGGGAAAAGGAGATGAAATGAGCAAATAATACAACTAGAAATTATAAATATAATAACTGACTATATGGGGTGAATAGTAGATTAGACATAATTAAAGAAAAAATTAGTAAAATGGAAGATAGGTTACAATTACCTAGAAAGCAGCATGAAAACAGAAAAATAGGTAAATCATAGAAGAGGGTATAAGACTTAGATGATTAAGATGTTCTAACACACTTACTGGGAATCGCGGAAAGAGAAAATATTTTAAGAAGACTGAAATTTTTCTGTAACCAATGAAAGATTCCAATTCAGATTCAAGCATCCAAATAAGCGCTTAACAGGATAAATAGTGGAGAAACTGCAGAACACCAGATATAAAGATGTTGGTCTGTAAAGATTTAACAAGGGGCTGGGAGCTTGGGGCGGGGGAAAGTGATATCTACAAGAAAGGAGACAGACTTGGGTGAAGAGTAATAGTGGAAACCAGAGGGCAGTACAGTGAGATATTCAGTATGGCGGGGAGACGGGAGGGTGGATTGTCAACCTAGAATTCTATAGCCACCAAAAACTATCAAGAATGAGGATAAAAACACATTTTCAAATAAATACCAAGTTTCTTACCACCAGATCCTTCCTAAAAGTAATTCTAAAGACTGTTCCTTAGACAGAAGTAAATCATTCCAGATGGAAGAGAGATAGAGCAAAGAGAGGGGTAGATCTCTGGATAAATCTAAACAAAATGTGGATTGTGTATAAAAATAATACCATCTTGAAGATTTAATGGAAAAAATATACAACAGCCATAACAAAATATAAAGGGGTAAATTAAGGTGAATACTCAAATTAGCAGAAAAGAGGAGACAGAATGATTAAAAAATTCCCGATCCAAAAAAGAACAAGGAAACAAAAATTGAACAGGTAAGAAAATATGAAACAAGATATATATTTGAATTCAAATATGCTAGTAATTAAACGAACAGATTAAATGTTTCAGCTAAAAGATTGCCATATTAAAACGTAACTAATGTTTATAAGTTACTTATTAAAACGTGAGGTTGTGGTTGTACAACATTGTGAACTGTAGTAAGTGCCACTGAACTGTTCACTTTAATATAGTTAATCTTAAGTAAATTTTACCTCAATAAAATGATGAAAATGAAAGGATAGAAAAAAAGACCACGCAAATATTAAAAGGAAGCTTACGCAACTGTATGAATCAGACAAAATAGAATTTAAGACAAAGTATTATTCGGTTCATGCTAATTTTTAAATTATCTTCCTACTCAGTTGAACTTTAAATCTTACAAGGTGAACATAATTACTTCCCATATAGAGTCCAGGAATCTAAGAGAAATCATAATGGAAATTAGAACATATGTTGAAATGAAAAAGGAATATACTTTGCAACAAACTCAGATGGAGCTGTAGTGCATGTATATATTTTAAAAGGAATCTAAAGAATAATGAACTTAAGGATTTTTTTAATGGTAAAATAAACCCCCTAAAGGATGGAAGGAAATAAAAATAAGGACAGAAACTAATGAAACAAAAATCACAATGGAAAAGATCAGAAACCTGCAGGGTGGTTCTTGGAAAAAACAGTTTTTGTTAATGCCATCCTATAGAATATAATGCAAGCCACACATGTAATATTAAATTTTCAAGTAGCCATATTAAAAGTGATGTAATATTTGAAAGTAATTTTATAAGTAAATATTTGAAACTAATTTTAATAATATAGTTTATTTAGCCATATATCAAACATCACTTCAATATGTAATCAGTACAAAAAATTACTAATGAGAGATTTTACTTTTTTGTATTAACTCTCTAAGGTTCACTATGTATTTTATACTATGGCACATCTAGATTCAGACAAGCTACATTCCAAGTGCTCAGTGGTCACACGTGGCTGGCTATCACACTGAAGAGTGCAGGTCTATGTCAAGAATGGGAAAAGAAACATTACTACAGATGCTACAGATATTAAAAAGATTACATATGAGCAACTTTACACAATAAACTTGAAAATTTAGATATTTTCAAGACTCAATAAGCTTCTAAAATGATAGAACCTAAATGTACTCAAGACAAAAGAAAAATGAATCAGTCAAATCTTTTTATATAGAAAATTCCAGGCTTAGAAGCCTTCATTGGTGATTCTTACCAGACATTCAAAGAATAAATAATTCCACTCTTACATCAGCTTTTTCAGGATCAGAAGAGGAGAAACTCCCCACCATTTTTTGTGGCTAGCATAATCTTGATGCCAGAAACCAATAAGAATTTTATTGGTTGTAATATAATCCTTACAATTTTTGTAAGAAAGCAGAATTAAAGGCTAGTGTCATTCATGAAATGCAAAAACACTGAACAGAATATTAGCAAGCAGAATCCATAAATGTATTAAAAGAATAAACATAATGACTAAGTTGGGCTTATCCCCAAAATGTAAAGTTGCTTTAACATTAAAAAGATTAGTAAAAAAATCAATGTAAATCACTTTACTGGTTAAAAATAAAAATCATGATCTAAAATGCAGAAAAGTTTGAATTAAGACATACAATTCTTGAAAAACTATTTGGGAACTTCCTTGATGATCTAAAGAATATGTTCAAAAAAATCTAAAGCAAACATTTGTCTAATGATGAGAGAAAAGCTTTCTCTTCAATATCATGAAAAAGATAAGAACGGTGGCTATAATCACTTCTAGTCAACAGTGTCCTGAAAATCTTAGCAAATGCTTCAAGGTAAGAAAAACACTAAACCTGTAATCTTTGAAGAAACACCTAATTCTATACAGATGATTTGAATGTACATAGAAAAATCCAAGAAAATCTGTAGCTAAGTTATCAGAATTAGTCTAACAAGCTTGCTTGAAACAATATATCAAAAACAGTTACTGATATACCAACAAGAAGTAATAAGCTAGTGGAATTAAATAAAAGTACCTTTTACAGTAACATAAAAAAGAAATTACCTAGAAATAGCTACTGTGATATATGTGAGACTTTTATAGAGAATATGATCAAATTATGGTATAAAACAATGTTATATTCAAAGATTGAAATATTCAGTATCTAAAAAGTCAGTTTTCTGTAAGTTGAATTCATTTGCTTTCATGAAATCCCAGTGAAAATGCGATGTTTTTGTTTGGTGATTGAGTTGAACTTGAAAAGTAAATTTTAAAATGTGTATGGAACTTGCAAGAGGCCAAGAATACCTAAGAAACACCTAAAATATAAAAAGTGGGCCAGGCGCGGTGGCTCACGCCTGTAATCTCAGCACTTTGGGAGGCTCAGGTGGGTGGATCACCTGAGGTCAGGAGTTCAAGACCAGCTTGACCAACATAGTGAAACCCCGTCTCTACTGAAAAAAAAAAAAATACAGAATTAGCTGGGTATGATGGTGGATGCCTGTAATACCAGCTACTCAGGAGGCTGAGGCAGGAGAATCACCTGAACCCGTGAGGCAGAGGTTGCAGTGAGCTGAGATTGTGCCGTTGCATTCCAGCCTGGACAACAGGAGTGAAACTCCGTCTCAAATAAAAATAATGTAGGAACTCTTGCTCTAAATGTGTCATCTAAAGTTTTAGAAATTAAAAAAGCATGAGATTCACACAGGGATAAGCAGACAGACCAGAGACACAGAATAGAGATCTCAGAAACAGACTGATCCACGTGTGTTCAGATGTCGCATCATGGAATAGCGTATCACTGGTGCAGAGAGAGGATAGACCTCCAACAAACGATGCTGAGACAATTCAGTTGTCCCTCCATATCCATAGGAGGTTGGCTACAGATTTCCCCTGAGGAGTCCAAAATCTGTAGATGCTCAAGTTCCTAATGTAAAATGGCATAGTGTGTGTTTTGAGACAGTCTCTCACTTTGTCGCCCAGGCTGGAGTGCAGTGGTGCGATCTCAGCTCACTGCAATCTCTGCTTCCCGAGTTCAAGTGATTCTTGTGCCTCAACCTCCTGGGTAGCTGGGACTACAGGCACGCATCGCCATGCCCGGCTAATTTTTTGTATTTTTTGTGTTTTTTTTAGTAGAGATGAGGGTTTCACCATTTTGGCCAGGCTGGTCTGGAACTTCTGACCTCAGGTGATCCACCCACCTCAGCCTCCCGAACTGCTGGGATTACACGCATGAGCCACCGCATCTGGCCTATATAGTGTTTGCATATAATGTACAGGCATCTTCCCATAATACTGTAAATCATCTCTAAGTTACTGTGATATGTAATACAATGTAAATGTTGTGTGAACAGTTGTTATACTCTATTGGTTTTTTCGTTTGTATTTTTTAGTGTTGCGTGTTATGTGTTATTGTTTTAATTCTTCAATAATTTCAATCTGCCACTAGTTGAATCTGTGGATATGGAGGACTGACGGTGCCTATCCACATGAATGACAAAGGCTGTCGTGCTTTGGTGTCTCTTTTCCTGATATTAGACTGAGGTGTAATAGCCTTTAAGCATGGTACCCTTACTCCTTTGCAGTTTGGTAAAATGTTTTATCACTGCTGCTGGCTGTGAAGACCTCGCCTCTGCTCTCATCAGCAATCAAAACCTGAAGATTCTGCAAATTGGGTGCAATGAAATCGGAGATGTGGGTGTGCAGCTGTTGTGTCGGGCTCTGACGCATACGGATTGCCGCTTAGAGATTCTTGGGTGGGTATCGCCAAGCTCCTGGTTATGTTTTCATGAGTGGCAAAGACGGAAAATGGATGGGAAGAAAGAGAAAGATGAAAACTCCAACAGGACCACATAGCAGCTAGCTGTGGTTGCATCATGAACCAGTGTAAAACTTCAGGGCTTAAGGCAATGAGAAGTTAGATTGCTGCTGGCTCTGCTTGTCTGGGCAGGCGTCACTGACCTCAGCCAGGTGTGCTTAGGAAGCTGTGGTTAACTGAGGGATTGGCTGGTTTGGGTTGACCTTGCTATATGGTATGGAGGTTGGCTGGCTGGGTTGGCTGTCCCCTTGGGGATGACAGGTGTAACTGGGCCACGTCTCATTATCTAACTGGTTGGCCTGGGCTCATTGACATGGCATCTGTATCAGTTTGCCAGGGTTTAAAAAGTAGCATGGACTGGGTGGCTTAGGTAATGAATTTATCACTTCACGGTTATGGAGGCTGAAAGTCTGAGATCAAAGTGTCAGCAGAGTTGGCTCCTTCTGAAGGCCATGAGGGAGAATCTGCTTCAGGCCCTTCTTGTCTTGTCGATAACCATCTGTCTTCTCCCTGTGTCTTCATGTTCTCTTCCCTCTGTGTGTGTGTGTCTAAATTTCCTCTTATAAGAACACCAGTCATATGATTAGAATCCCCCCAGTGTCCTCATTTTAGCTTAATTGCCTCTATAAAGACCTTGTATCCAAATATGATCACATTTTGGGGTACTGGGGTTTAGGACTTCAACGTATAAATTTTGGCAGGGACAGAAATGAGCCCATAGCAGCATCTCAGGAGTTCAAGAGATGAAGTATAGAAAACATCCAAGATCACCAGGTGTGATAGCTTAGTCCTGCAGTCCCAGCACTAAAGGAGCCTGAGGCAAGCCAATAGCTTGAGGCTAGGAGTTCAAGAACAGGCTGGGCAACATGGTAAAACCCCATCTCCATAAAAATTAGCCAGGCGTGGTGCATGCCTGTAGCCCCAGTTACTCAGGAGGCTGAGGAAGGAAAATTGCTAGAACCCAGGAGGTCAAGGCTGCAATGAGCCATGATCATGCCACTGCACTTCAGCCGGGATGACAGAAACCCCATCTCCACAAAAATTAGCCCGCAGGCGTGGTGCATGCCTGTAGTCCCAGCTACTCAGGAGGCTGAGGCAGGAAAATTGCTAGAACCCAGCAGGTCAAGGCTGCAGTGAGCCATGGTCATGCTGCTGCACTTCAGCCAGGATGACAGAGACCCCATCTCCAAAGAAGAAAAACACCCAAAATGGTGGCTCAGAACTCTCCTAATCTTGCTTCCATTGTTATCTGAGACGGCTTCATACCTTTTTTTGGATAATATGTTATATTATCCAAAGCAAGGTATGAAGCCGGAAATAGACTCTGTTAGTGGAATGAGCTGCAAAGTCACATTGCTGTGGGCAGGGATACAGAGAAGAATGGACACTTATGGCTACTTTTACCACCTACCCACAGACGCGTGATCTGAGGTCGTAAACACTGGACTGTGAGAGATTGCACTTGAGGCAATGGGGTGTGCCTCAACTAGACGTCTAGCTCACATCCCATCCTACCTCCACCCTGAGGCTGGGGCCGCATCTTACCATGTGTCTTTTTATTGCAGGTTGGAAGAATGTGGGTTAACGAGCACCTGCTGTAAGGATCTCGCGTCTGTTCTCACCTGCAGTAAGACCCTGCAGCAGCTCAACCTGACCTTGAACACCTTGGACCACACAGGGGTGGTTGTACTCTGTGAGGCCCTGAGACACCCAGAGTGTGCCCTGCAGGTGCTCGGGTGAGCTGGGGTCTGTTGTGCTCTATGGGCAGAGTGCTCCGGGCTAAGAAGGGATTGGCTGGGACCTGCAGTGTAATCACGTTGCATTTAAAATGCAAATGATGTTCCTTGTCTCAGGGTTGTTGCAGGAGTAAGAACCAAGCAGGTGAGTATAAAACTCTTACCACAGTAAGTGGTGAACAGTGAATGTCCAACAAATGGAAACACTTGTGAAGTGGCCTCATTGTCTGGGGTAACACCCGAGGTTCATTGTCCCAGGGCCGTGGAGATCCAAGGACGCAGAGATCCAAGGACGCAGATACACAAAGAGTGAGGTTAAGAGCAGAAGTTTAATAGGCAAAAGAAAGAAGAGCTGTCTGCTACAGAGAGGGGTCTCGGAAAAATGGATTGCCCGATCCATGGTGAAATGCAGAGGGTTTTATAGACGAGCTGGTGGGAGGTGTGGTGTCTGATCTACATAGGGCATGAAAAACTGGTTAGGACCAGGTGTGCCGTTTGCATAGGGTGTGAATTTCTGGCAGCCCCCACCCCAGTCTTTTATTAAGCAGGCAGGTTCTCTGCCTGAGCTGCACTATGTTGCCCATTTCTTTCTTACTGTACCCATGCTAATAAAAAAGGGAAGATGGTGCTTCCATGGTGAACAGGCCTGGCCCCCAGGTAGCTCTTTTCACTGGCGCAGCTGCTGGCATTCCCCCCATGCAATCTTCGCGCTCCCTTATTTATGTTTGCAGCTCAGTTTTTCAGGATGCTCTTTGTTAGAAAAGAAATGATTTCTTGGGCTGGTTTTTGTTAGAAGGGAAGCTCTGCTGAGGACTTTTGCCCTCACTATCTGCCTAAATAATTTTTTACCTCCTATATCACTTATTATTATAATACAAATTATGATACATGTTTATATTTTAAATATTTATGTGTAAATACAAGTTATATGTATATTCATAAGTATAACATTTATAAATAGAAACTTATATAAACATAATTTATATTTTAATTTGTTATATTTATAATTACATATAATCCCACAAACATTATTTTACTAGATAACTATAGAGTCCTTAACATTTTTCTCATTCATTTTCCCCTACTGTTTTCAAACCAATATGAGATGAAGGTAATCATAGGCAGTTATTAGGCTGTTCATTTCCAGAAAAGGGAAATATAATGGGTTAAAACTGTTATAACTCTAACGCTAAAGAACATTCACTGATTTTTTTTTTTCCATTTTGTGAAGATACAGGTTTGTTTTCTTGAAGTCCATCCTTATAAATCTCCACCTGGAAAGGCTGAGTGCTTGGCATTGTTTCTTTCTCATTTTAATGTTTGCTAAAGATTCAGAATGTAGACTACCAAAGTAGACACGTGATTAAGGGGAAGGACTCAAATTGTCTGCATTCTGAGTCACGGAGGTCTGTGTTTGTCTCCTAGCCTTGCCATGTTTGGCCCTGTAAGCCAGGGTAAGGCATTTGTCCTCTTTGATTATCAGCCTCCTATCTACAAAATAGGGATGATTATTTGGCATGGTAATTATGAAAGTATGCATCAGATAATGTGATAACTATGGCAGAACTAAATAAGTGAGTTTTCATCTTCCTCCAGCCCCTACCATAGATAGTCTCACAAAGATGTGTATTAAGATACATAGTTGTGCTAAAGAACATAGCTTACCCCAACAGTGTGGGACAGTTGCACGCAAACAGATGCCAAATGGAGATGAGAGATATTATACGTAAAAGGAAGGACCAAGACACGGTGATACTTAATCCTTCTGATTCAAAGCAATGATACAACGTATGGGGGCTCCAGAAACAAATTGCTTGAATTTGTATCCAGACTACCACTTTCTGGTTTTGTGACCTTAACATTGTTCTCATTGTCTTCATCACAAGTCGGGACAATTATGCTACCTCATAAGGCAGTTGTGAACATTTAATGAGATAGGCATGTAAAAAGCCTTAGCAGAGGGCCAGGGCCCAGGTACTCGGATAATGGAAACTATTAACTTTATCTTTGAAAAAGTAAAAATAGCTTCAGTCTTTCTCCCTAACTCCCACTGACTTCTTGTTGCAAATCCAAATGTTTGTGTGGAGTTCATGCCTTCTATTACCAATTCTGGACATTTATTTATGTCCAGTGACATATTGGAGCCAGCTCCTACAAGCTGGTGAGAGCCACGTGTGTGTGTGTGTGTGTGTGTGTGTGTGTACCTGTCTTTGTAACTCTGTTTAGTGACAGCAAGTGGGCAGCTCAAAATTGGCCATGATTGCCTTGGAGAATTTACACCACAGAAATTGGCAAAGCTATAAATTGGGACTTTATTTATTTTCTGGGGATCCAGGGGTAACATTTATCAGCATACCGCTGCATTTGATGTGTATGTCTTTCCTCTTGGAGGTAACACCAGGGTTTCCTAGGCTTGTCCTGGGATGAATTAGGGAGAAAGATGAGCTGCAGAAAAGGGAAAAAGTATGTGAATTAAAAATAGAACCTCTTAAAATATTTTACCAGGCTGAGAAAAACTGATTTTGATGAGGAAACCCAGGCACTTCTGACGGCTGAGGAAGAGAGAAATCCTAACCTGACCATCACAGACGACTGTGACACAATCACAAGGGTAGAGATCTGATTGCGAGGAACCTGGGCTCTGACTCGAACACCTGCAAAGGACAGGGACTGGGACCGTTACTTACATGACACTGCACCCAGGAGATACAAATCATTGATACTCTGAGTTGTGAGATTTCTGGCACCCCATTCATAGATTTGATATGATACACGTGGTTTTTATGTGCTCTGTGGCCTTGGATGAGTCACTGAAAGGCCTTCATGGTCTCTCGGTCTCACAAGGACCTCTTAACCCCTCAATAAAGTGTTACATTTCTAAACATTGGAAATTCTTTTTTTGCCTTTTTTTATTTGTATAAATTTAAGGGGTACGAGTATGGTTTTGTTACATGTATATATTGTGTGGGAAAATCTGGGCTTTTAGTATACCTATCACACAGATAGTGTACATTGTACCCATTAGGTCAGTTCTCACCCTGCACCTCCCTCTCACCCTCCTGAGCCTCCAATGTCTACTATTCCACACTTTTTTTTTTTTTTTGAGATAGATTTTCGCTCTTGTTGCCCAGGCTGGAGTGCAATGGTGCAATCGCGGCTCACCACAACCTCCGCCTCCTGGGTTCAAGCGATTTCTCCTGCCTCAGCCTCCTGAGTAGCTGGGATTACAGGCATGCACCACCACGCCTGGCTAATTTTGTATTTTTTTTTTTTTTTTTTTAAGTAGAGATGGGGTTTCTCCATGTTGGTCAGGCTGGTCTTGAACTCCCGACCTCAGGTGATCCACCTGCCTCAGCCTTTCACAGTGGTGGGATTACAGGCGTGAGCCACTGCATCCAGCCACTCTTTATATATTATTTAGCTCTCACATACAAGTAAGAACATGCATTATTTGACTTAGTTTCTGAGTTATCTCACTTAAGATCATGGCTTGAGTTCCATCCATGTTGCTGCAAAAGACATGATTTTATTCTTTTTATGGCTGAATAGGATTCCACTGTCTATAAATCATGTTTTCTTGATCCACTCATCTGCTGGTGGACACTTATGTTGATCCCATGACTTTGCTATTGTGGAGAGTGCTCCAGTAAACACATGGATGCAGGTATCTTTTTAGTATGATTTCTCTTGCTTTGGATAGAACTCGGTAGTGAGGTTGCCGGACAAAATGGTAGCTCTATGTTTAGTTCTTTGGGAAATCTCCATACTGCCTGGAAAATCTTGAAACAGTGTTTGCTACTGATGAATGACTGGAATAGGAGTGCAGGTTGAAGAAACTGTGGCCCCCTCCCCGTGTTGACTTGGAAAGACGCTGGCCACACTGAAAGCACTAGAAAGGCTGGTCTGACTTGGGCACCCTTCTTTCTGCCAGTCCTACTAGGATTCCAGGTTGGGCTCCTGATCTGTTCTTGCCTGATGAAAGCACCTTTTTTATTGGTACATAATAGTGGTATATATTTTGGGGTTCATGTGAATGTTTGGGTAATTTCCATGGCATTGCTAATATTACCTCTCCTCACGGTCTTTGCCTCTCATATTCTTCCCCAAACTCCCCTCTGGCTCTCCTTTCCTCATTGGGCCTCTTGAGTTCTGAGGCTACCCTGTCTCCCCTACCTTTGAATAAAGATCTCTTGGGAGTGGGAGCTGAAAGGAAATTTTAGGAATGGGGGTATTTCACTTCTGAATTTTTTTTTTTTTTTTTTTGGAGACAGATCCTCGCTCTGTCACCCAGGCTAGATTGCAGTGGTGCGATCTTTGCCCACTGCACCCTCCACCTCCCGGGTTCAAGCAATTCTCCTGCCTCAGCCTCCCGAGTAGCTGGGATTACAGGCGCGTGCCACCACACATGGCTAATTTTACTATTTTTAGTAGAGACGGGGTTTCACCATGTTGGTCAGGCTGGTCTAGAACTCCTGACCTCATGATCTGTCCTCCTTGGCCTCCCAAAGTGCTGCAATTACAGGCGTGAGCCACCGTGCCCGGCCTCACTTCTGAACTTCTGTGCCACTGATTTAGGAGTGAAGATTGAGAAAATCAGCAACCTGAATGTCCATCAATGGGTGAATGGATAAACAAAATGTGGCATATAAATAAAATGAAATACTGAGTCTTCAAAAGGAAGGACATGCTGATATATGACACAACATAGATGAACCTTGAGGATATTATGCTAAATGAAATAAGCCAGTCACAAAAGAGCAAATACCGTACATTCTCCTTCTATGAGGTACTTACAGTAGCCAAATTCATAGAGGCAAAAAGTAAAATGTTGGCTACCAGAGGCCAGGGGAAGGAGGAGAAGATGGAGTTATTTAATGAGCATAGAGTTTGTTTTGCAAGATGGAAAAGTTCTGGAGATGGATGGTGGTGATGGTTGTAAAATGTGAGTGTGCTCAAGGCCACAGGGATGTACACTTTAAATGGGTTAAAATGGTAAAATTTTGTTACGCATGTTTTACCACAATAAAAAGAAAGTGGGGAGGCTGGGTGCAGTGGCTCATGCCTGTATTCCCAGCACTTTGGGAGGCCGAGGCAGGTGGATCACCTGAGGTCAGGAGTTTGAGACCAGCCTGACCAACGTGGAAAAATCCTGTCTTTATTAAAAATACAAAAAATTAGCCGGGCGTGGTGGTGGTGCATGCCTGGAATCCCAGCTACTCGGGAGGCTGAGGCAGGAGAATCGCTTGAACCCAGGAGGCAGAGGTTGCAGCAGGCAGAGATCATACCATTGCACTCCAGCCTGGGCAACAGGAGTGAAACTCCATCTCAAAAAAAGTGTGGAAAGAAAAATAACAAACAGGAAAATCTGGGAAGTCATTTAGTCTGTCATCTGTAAAGTGGTAATGATTAAGGACTATCTATTGCACCTGGGTGCAATAGACGTGATAAAATATAAAAGCAGCTTGAGGAACCAAAGAACCTATTCTCCAGCTACCTTAATTATGTTCATGAGATGTCCATTTCCACCCCCAGCAGGAACATTAACATTTTTCTCCTAACGGTTTTCCCTCCACTAAAAATACAGGTCAGTAGAAAAGAGGGAGAAGGAAGTGCTGATAGAGAACGGGTACTGAGCTGCCCAGCACAGTGGTTTACGCCTGTAATCCCAGCACCTCGGGAGGCCAAGTCAGGAGGATCGCTTGAGCCCAGGAGTTAGAGACCAGCTTGGGCAACATAGAGAGACCCTACCTCTACTATCTATCTATCTATCTATCTATCTATCTATCTATCTATCTATCTATCTATCTATATCTATCTAGAATTATTATTATTATTATTTTTTAATTATCTGGGCGTGGCGACTCATGCCTGTGGTCCCAGCTACTCAGGAGGCTGGGGAAGGAAGACCACTTGATCCTGGGAGGTTGAGGCCGCAGTGAGCCGCGATCACACCACTACACTCTAGTCTGGGTGACACAGCAAGGCACTGTCTGAAAAACTTTTTTTTTTTAATCACAAAAAAAGAGGTACTAAGCTATAAAAAGTCTAAGTTACAAGTAAAGAATCTTAATGACAGAATTGAAGGAGATTATTCACCCAAGAGCTATTAATACATTGACAGGTGCTTACCACAAGCTGAATATTTTATATGTTATTTCAATTCTTGCAAAATCTGAGGTTGATGCTATAAGACCCTTCTTGTAATGGGAAAATTGGCCTAAAGGGTACAAGTAACTGCTTCCAAGCTAAGAAGCTGTCACTCTGGCTGCCTTCACCCTGGGAATCCTTTTCCACCCAAGTTCATTATTCCTGGAATTCCATCTGTCTCTTCTTCAGTCCAAGGATCTCCTGGGCTGTTTCAGCACTCTACCACCTCTGTCTCTCATAACCTGAGCTGTGCACCAAGCTTGACTCACCTCAGCCACACATTAGTCCTGGGCACATCTAGCCAAGCTTTTAAGATTGCATGGTTGGCCGGGTGCAGTGGCTCACGCCTGTAATCCCAGCATTTTGGGAGGCTGAGGCAGGTGGATCATGAGGTCAGGAGTTCGAGACCAGCCTGGCCAACATGGTGAAACCCCGTCTCTACTAAAAATACAAAAATTAGCCGGACACGGTGGAACACACCTGTAGTCCCAGCTACTGAGGAGGCTGAGGCAGGAGAATCACTGGAACCCAGGAGGTGGAGGTTGCAGTGAGCTGAGATTGCACCATTGTGCTCCAGCCTGGGCAACAGAGCGAGACTGTCTTAAAAAAAAATTGCAAGGTGGTGGGTGAGGAAGTGAGTGTCAAAAAAGACAGCAAGCAGGGTGGGTAAAAGGAGAGGGAGGAAAGGTAAATGAAGCTGGAGACACAAATAATCCGTCTACCTTCCTCATAAGTATAGGCTTGAAGTTAGACAATTGGTCACAAGCTAATTGGTCTGTCTTGGTTCACGGGCTTCATAATTTGGAGGCAGCCTAGAAAAAAGTTCAGCAGTCAAGGTACACTGGAATCCCTTCTATCTCATCTCTTCTCTTTTCCTGAATCACCAATTACCCCTTCCAAACCCCCTCCAAGACCTATTATGGGCCCCCCCAGTCCTACAAAGTAACATTGGCCTGACTGTACAGTGGATTTGAAATCATCTGTCTACTCTAAAAAAATGTTGCTTTAAGATACTTTGATGTAATTGAATTCTAGGACAAACTTAGAAATTGTAGAATAACAACAAAAAAAATTCCTAAATTAGTAATTGAGTAGACTAAATATGATTGACTTGAGTATTGATTAGTAAATTGAAAATTTAGTAATTGAGAATTTGTGGATCAAGCATTAAACAGAGGATATCCCTGTGTTTTTGTCTGTTTTTTGAGATGAAGTCTCGCTCTGTCACCAGTCTGGAGTACAGTGGCGCGATCTCAGCTCACTGCAGCCTCTGCCTCCTGGGTTCAAGCAATTCTCCTGCCTCAGCCTCCTGAGTAGCTGGGACTACAGGTGCCTGCCACCATGCCCAGCTAATTTTTATATTTTTAGTAGAGACAGGGTTTCACCATGTTGGCCAGGATGGTCTCAATCTCTTGACCTTGTGATCTGCCCACCTCGGCCTCCTGAAGTGCTGGGATTACAGGTGTGAGCCACCATGCCAGGCCATCCCTGGTTTTTTGTTTGTTGTTGTTGTTTTTTTTCTCTGAGACAGAGTCTCGCTCTGTCACCAGGCTGGAATGCAGTGGCATGATCTCTGCTCACTGCAACCTCCACCTCCCGGGTTCAAGCAATTCCTCTGACTCAGCCTTCTGAGTAAGTGGGACTACAGGTGCGCACCACCACACCTGGCTAATTTTTTTTTTGTATTTTAGTAGAGACGGGGTTTCACCATGTTGGCCAGGATGGTCTCAATCTCCTGACCTCGTGATCTGCCTACCTCGGCCTCCCAGAGTGCTGGGATTACAGGTGTGAGCCACCGTGCCCAGCCCATCTCTGTTATTTTTAAAGAAACAATGGAGAAATCTTGGGATAGTCTTTATTTATCTTGTCAGATTATCAGAAATAACATGGTTGGCCAGGTTTGGTGGCTCACGCCTGTAATCCCAGCACTCTGGGAGGCCAAGGCTGGAGGATCGGTTGAGCTCAGAAGTTTGAGACCAGCCTGGGCAACATGGCAAAACCTCATCTCTACTAAAAAAAGTTACATGGTGGCACACACCTGTAGTCCCAGCTACTCGGGAGGCTGAAGTGGCAGGATCCCTTGAGCCTGGGAGGCAGAGGTTGCAGTGAGCCGAGATGGTGCCACTGCACTCCAGCCTGGGTGACAGAGTGAGACCCTGTCTCAAAATAAAATATGGCCCATTTTAATAGCTGGTAACTGAATATGAATCAATGAGATGAAGATTAAGGCAATTAACCTTTGATTTTATTTTTAACCTTTATTGCCCTGACAATATTTTCTAAATTAGTTCACATACGTCTCCCACTCTTTCTATCCCAGATTTCATCTACAAAGGGCAGTAAAGATATAGAAAAAGGAAGAGAATGAAGTATTTATTTCAAGGACTCTGGGTTTTACTATGTCTAATAGTGAGAACATGGATGGATAGAAGGATTATAGCCTTCAACTTATTGAAAGATCCCATCAGGTGTTGTAAAGTGGGTCAGATCTTAAAATAGAAAAGTTGGATTTATAGGCCAGTTTGACTTACTATCTCTGTAATCTGTTGTAAAGCATTTTCTTTTGGTATCTTTGCTTTTAAATCAGTAAAGTAAGGCTATCCTATCTTACAGGGCTTTGATGGGGATTTAGACCCTCTAGGAAGGTGTTTTATAAGCTATGAAATGCTAAATGGATCTCCAGCTATTCTGTAAGACTGCTTCTGATAGCGTCTGCTTATTGAATAATAAAATAGTACAAGAAAGACTCTTGGTGTTAGAGCGGGGGAGAGAAAATTACAACTTAATAAGATCTTATTCTTCATAGAGATTTCCATCCATGACACATCGATTTCACATATCCTGTGCGGGATACAGTTTTATATTTTCAGGTGAGTAAAGTACATTTTAGAAGTGTTACACAGCCACAGAGCTAACAAAGGCAGAAGTGAAAGCCAAAATTGGGTCTAATTTAATTACAAATTATTTCTGTCCTCATCATTTTGAAGATGAGGTAATTAGGTCCAGAGAGGGGAAGTGACTGACCCAAAAGTAACAAAATAAGGAATTATCCTGGGGTGTAAAGACAGAGTCTGTGGCCGGAGGCAGACCATATTTCTGTGCAAATGGATAGGACAGAGTGGTGGTGAGTTCATGGAGGAAGGACGGAAGACCACATCATTGGCATCTAACAACCAAACTGATTAAGAAAAACTTTATTTTGGCCGGGCGTGGTGGCTCACGCCTGTAATCCCAGCACTTTGGGAGGCCAAGGTGGGTGGATCAGAAAGTCAAGAGATCGAGACTATCCTGGCCAACATGGTGAAGCCCCATCTCTACTAAAAATAATACAAAAATCAGCTGGGCATAGTGGTGTGTGCCTGTAATCCCAGCTACTCGGGAGGCTGAGGAAGGAGAATCACTTGAACCCGGGAGGTGGAGGTTGCAGTGAGCCAAGATTGCACCACTGCACTCCAGCCTGGCAACAGAGCGAGACTCTGTCTCAAAAAAGAAAACAACAAAACTATTTCAGATGGATAAAATAAGCGAAAGGGAGGTGGTCCTTACGATGGTTTTGTATTAACCTGAATATTATTCCTGTAAACAGGGTCCCATTCTACCTCCATGTCCTGCACATCTGCAGAATAGAGAAGGAAGACTTTTACTTTCTGGAGAAAATTTATTTCAAGTCTCCTTGAGCAGCAATCTTAAGTCTCAACCCATAGCATCCAATCCTTTGTGTATTAGAGGGTTTACCTCTCTTGTCCTGCAGCTAACTCAGGTTGACACTTTCTATGCCTCAGAGCCTTTATTTTTGTCTTATCAGGGTACAGGTGCTGGTAGATGTGGCAGTGGGTACTTGTGGAAGATCTGGATTCTTATTTCTTCAAGAAATATGTAAAATCAACTGAGCATGAAAATGGAGAACTGTTGAGGACAATGGAAGTTGAGTAGAACGGGTTAAAGCAGTATGTTACAGTATCATGTGCAACAGTACCATAAGCAACGGTAAGAAAACTCTTAGGATTAGCCATAAATTTAAGCAGGGTTGAACATCCTTCAGCATGTTCAGCTATCTGGATACAAGTGTGGAATACGTAGAACATTGGAAAAAGGCTTGTGGTTTTAAGTGCATAGGACAAAGTGAGAGGGGCAGGCAGAGCATGGAAGATGTTTAGACAAATTTGAGGGGCTGTTTGGAGTACCGTCAGCTAAATAGATAAACTCTAAGCAGGGTGAAGTATAGCAAAAAGGCAGCTGTCTTCAGGAACTGAGAAGGGTTTGGGGTGTTATTCTACTTATGAGCCAAAAAGCCTGTTCCTGTTTCATGGAAGCTAGCAGAAGATATGAGACTCCTGGCCCAGAAACAAATAATTTTATCATCCATGACAAAAGCATGAGTCAGTATTTCTTGTTGCTTTTAATCAGTTCCTCATACTTCCCAAGTCTCACAGCTTTGGGTGCCATAAAGGGTCCATGATAGATGACTGTACCTGCTGTAGACTGGATTAAGAGAAGCATGCTGAGCTTAGGGAATCTGCCGATTTTCAATAAGCAGAACAAGCCTGCTTTTTGTCTGGGGTAGAAAGTTACCTTATCCCTCAAGTTTGCTCAGTGCAAACACAACCTGGCAAAAGTCCTTGGCAAAAAAACAAAAATTAAAAAAAAGAAATTTAAAAGTCAGGGTCCAACATTTTATGCATACCCATAAAGAATGTACAGGGGTGCTTAGGGCCCATGATAAACAGCCTCTTGCTATAGTATATCAGTGAGAATGGAATCTACAGATTAATCTCTGGTTAGAGTCAGTCAGGAAGATATGAAGTGGTTGTTGAAGAGGCAAATGCCAATTAAAAGTGAAACTACTAGGCCAGGCATGGTGGCTCACGCCTGTAAACCCAGCAGTTTGGGAAGCCGAGGCGGGTAGATCACAAGGTCAAGAGATCGAGACCATTTTGGCCAACAGGGTGAAACCCCATCTCTACTAAAAATACAAAAAGTAGCCGGGTGTGGTGGCGCATGCCTGTAGTCCCAGCTACTCGGGAGGCTGAGGCAGGAGAATTGCTTGAACTCAGGAGGCGGAGGTTGCAGTGAGCCGAGATCGCACCACTGCACTCCAGCCTGAGCGACAGAGCGAGAGTGTCTTAAAAAAAAAAAAAAAAAAAAAAAAAAACTACAAAATAGTTGGAATTTCTGGAGTTTGAGCATGAAGGAGGCTTAGATACGGCAGAAGATACTGTCGTTGAAGATGCAGTCACACAGGGATGTCCGATCTTTTGGTTTCCCTGGGCCACGTTGGAAGAATTGTCTTGGGCCACACACTAATGCTGGCTGATGAGCTAAAAAAAAAAAAAAAAACAAAAACAAAACAAACAAAAAAAAAGTCTATGCATACGAAAGTTTATGAATTTGTGTTGGGACCTCATTAAAAGTGGGCCCAGGCTGTGGGTTGGACAAGCATGGAGATTAAAATTAGGTGTAAGGAATATAGGCTGAACATCCCAAATCCAAAAATCCAGAATCTAGAATGTTCCTTTTGAACGCTGAGACGATGCTCATAGGAAATGTTTACTGGAACGTTTCCGAATTCAGAATTTTAGATTTTGTGTGTCCAGCCAGTAAGTATAATGCAAATATTCCAAAGTCTGAAAAAAATGCAAAGTCCATGCATTTCGGATAAGGGATACTCAACTTGTACCACCGGAGGGGCTGACGGGGGGCCAGGAGCTAAAGTCTTTTAACTGAAGTCTAATTTGGCAGTCCGGAAGTGGCTCGAAGAACAAGGGGTCTAAATCTAAAGACACGAGGATAGAGGCTGAGAGGGAGACAGAGGGGTGAAGAGAATGGTCGCAGAGCAGAAGGTGAGGAAGAGACCACCCACCCGATTAACTGCTAGGCTCCCGAGACAAGACAACCACGCCCGAAAGAGCTGCAAGAGAAGCAATGTCCTCAGAGGAGATGCAGGTTTCAGAGAGAGGGAGATTAAAGGGACCGTTTCAACCTATTCTCTAAATATAGGTTTGCTGGTTTCCAAAGAGCACAGTGAGAAGGTTTCGGGTGAAGAAGGGCAGGAGATGGAATAAACTCAGAAAAGTACATCGTAATGAAGAGTGGGAGATAGGAATCAATCCAGGCCAGGTGCGGTGGCTCACACCTGTAATCCCAACACTTCGGGAGGCCGAGGCAGGTGGATCACTTGAGGCCAGGAGTTCAAAACCGGCCTGGAAAACATGGTGAAACCCCATGTCTACTAAAAATACAAAAGTTAGCCAGGCCTGGTGGTACATGCCTGTAATCCCAGCTACTTGGGAGGCTGAGGCAGAAGAACCACTTGAACTCGAGAGGTGGAGGTTGCAGTGAGCTGAGATGGTGCCACTACGCTCCAGCCTGGGTGACAGAGTGAGACCCTGTCTCAAAAAAAAAAAAAATCAATGCAGAGTCTAATATTTCTTGGGGGAGTCAATATAAGTGAAGATAAAGGCATATTAGGAGTTCTGGATGTCTATGTGGTTTAATCACAGTATAATAATTATGGAATTATAAACACATCGATCCCACTTCTCAATCCATGAGAAATGAGGCTTTGGACTTTCCTGAGGTATTTTTATATGCTTTGCTTTATTGAATTCTCTCAACACCTCCAAGAATTAAAAACATTACACCAAGGAGGACATAGACAAGACTGAAGGCACAGCCAACTTATGATCTTGGTACCAGACACAGTATTACACTAGGATTCCAGACCTGGGCGTGCAATGGGCGGCCTCCAACAACCGTGACAAAGCCTCCTGCAGGGAACAGCTCATTTGTCCCCACAAATGGTGACATTGGAGCGACACACAGGCCAGGATGTCCTGGTGGCTTTCCCCCAAGATCCATGGTCAAGCCACGTGGCATCTAATCCGTGGGATCACCACCACCACTTGTCTTCAAGGTCATTAAAATCCCACGCACACTTGAGTTTCAGACAGAGCTCCTTCTGTGAGGTCTGTATCTCCTCTCTCACTACATTGTGCAGGTCTTTTTGAAGCCTGCAAAATAAGAAGTACTGAAGTTTAGAAGCAGTGAAGAAGTTTAGAAGTAATTTTTAATTTTTAAGGTTCAGGGGAACACGTACAGGTTTGTTACATGGGTCTACTGTGTGGCATGAAGTTTGGTGTGTGAATGATCCCATCACCCAGGTAGTGAGTATAGCACCTGAAAGTACTTTAACCCTTGCCTCCTTCCTACTCTCCTCCTCCTAGTAGTCCCGTGTCTTGTCAACAAATATATGTGTATATATGTATATACACACACATACACACACACATATTCATATACATACACACATACACATATACGTATTGTTTGAGACGCAGTGTCACTTTGTCACCCAGGCTGGAGTGCAGTGGCGTGATCTCGGCTCACTGCACCCTCCACCTCCTGGGCCCCAGCGATTCTCCTGCCTTAGGCTCCTGAATAGCTGGGATTATAGGCGCACACCACCACGCCGGCTAATTTTTGTATTTTTAGTAGAGATGGGGTTTCACCATGTTGGCCAGGCTGGTCTCGAACTCCTGACCTCAGGTGATCTGCCCACCTCGGCCTCCCAAAGTGCTGGAATTAGAGGCATGAGCCACCATGCCTGGCCTACTGTCACCATCTTTAAATCCACATGTACTGATTGTTTAGCTCCAACTTGTGAGAACATGTGGTATGTGGTTTTCTGTTCCTGCATTAGTTCACTTAGGCTAATAGCCCTCAGCTGCGTCCATGTTGCCACAAAGGACATGGTTTCATTCCTTTTTAGAGCAGTGTAGTACTCCATGGTGTATGTGGACCACATGCATGTGTGTGTTCCTCACAGCACTGTTCACAATAGCATTGACATGGAACCAACCTAGGTGCTCATCAACAGCAGACTGGATGGAAGCAGTGAAGTACAGGCAGGGTGCAGTGTAAAGTGGCAAACTGATATAAAGCATAATAAAGGTTTAGACAAAAGTAATTGCCATTTTTGCCATTAAAAGTAATGGCGGCCAGGCATGGTGGCTCACACCTGTAATCCCAGCACTTTGGGAGGCTGAGGCAGGTGAATTACCTGAGGTCGGCAGTTCTAGACCAGCCTGACCAACATGGAGAAACCCCATCTCTACTAAAAATACCAAGTTAGCTGGGTGTGGTGGCACGTGCCTGTAATCCAGGCTACTCGGGAGGCTGAGGCAAGAGAATCGCTTGAACCTGGGAGGCGGAGGGTGCGGTGAGCCGAGATCACGCCATTGCACTCCTGTGTGGGCAACAAGAGTGAAACTCCATCTCAAAAAAAAAGTAATGGCAAAAACCATTACTTTAAAACCACTGCATTAAAAGTAATAGCAAACACAATTACTTTGGCACCTACCTACAGAAAGACTAACAAATGAAGGGTAACTTTTGTTTACCCTTCGACTGGGACCTCCCACCACCCTAGCCTTACCCACAGATGTCAGGGAGAAGATTTGATGGCACGGGAACCCCTTTCCATAGAGAAAAGGCACAACCACAAAGGTAGAGGATGAGAAAACCATGGCGCAGATGACACAAGGGACCTTGTGGGCAGGCCAGAGTAACTCAGGCCATTTTCACTGTGTATGAATAAATCCAAGTACTTCTCATTAATCTGCATCTAGCAATTTTTGAAAAATAAAATCTGAGCGTTCTACAAGAGGAGGCGAGGGTCTGGGCACCCAGTCAGAAGCCCCTTCTGCACACATGCATGATAGACAGCAGAGAAGCTTCATCTTTAACGGTTGCTGTCCCAGAACCCTTTTTAAAATGCACCACTGAAGTGTGAAGTTGGCAACATCAAATCTTTAAAAGGTGCAGATCGTGACTCACTTCCTAAAGTAGGCAAGGTTCCTTGGCATCTGGGATGACTTCTGCTGAGATGTACCAGTAACAGCTGTTAACTGCTTACCTTTCTCCATGCCCCAACTTTTTTTTTTTTTTTTTTTTTGAGACAGGGTCTTGCTCTGTTACCCAGGCTGGAGTGCATGATCATGGCTCACTACAGCCTCAAACTCCTGGGTTCAGGCAGTCTTCCCACCTCAGCCTCCCAAGTTGCTGGGAACACAGGTGTGTGCCACCATGCCAAGCCAATTTTTTAAAATTTTTGTAGAGACAGGATCTGCCTATGTTGCCCATGCTGGTCTTGAACTCCTGGCCTCAAGTGATCCTCCTGCCTTGGCCTCTCAAAGTGCTGGAATTATAGGCATGAGCAACTGCAGCCAACCTGCTTACCTTTCTGATTTCCTCTCAGAATACTGAATGGGGTGGAAAGTGTTCTAATTAAATGCTCTTCTCTCAGTGCCTCAAAGGGGCAACATAAAGCTTGGTGCAACCTCAGGGCCTTTGCACATGCTACTGAAACATCCTCAGTACATTCCACCCTTCATCTCTAGTCACCTCTCATGTTCCCTTCCTGATATAGGGACTCCTCCTTCCAGCCTCCTTGGGACTCAGGATCAATGGTACCGCCTCTGGCAAGCCCCTTGCTATTCTGGTCACCCTCCTGTCTTATCTCAACCCAGAGTTTCTTTCACAGCATTCATGACAACAGAGATTGCTTTTATGTCTCAGACCTGTTATCTCCTGGAGGAGAACTCAAGACTCTCAAGGACAAGGCTCATGTCCGTTTGTTTCCCCCCTGTCTACCATGCCATGGTGCTTGGCCCAGAGTCGGTATTGAAAAAGAAGCCACAAGTTAATGGCTATGGAGTGACACGTACAGTAGGTACAAGAATGATAAACAGAAGCAGGCTCTCAAAATACCCAAAAGTCTCCAGGACTGCACCATCCAGTACGGTAGTCATTAGCGACATGTGGCTGTTAAGATTTAATTAGTAGGTTGATGCAAAAGTAATTGCCATTTTTGCCACTAAAAGTGACAGCAAAAACCATTACTTTAAAACCACTGCATTAAAAGTAATAGCAAACACCAAAATTACTTTGTACCAACCTAATAAAATTAAAAATTTATATTTATATTAAAATAGGCTGGTGGCCAGGAGCAGTGGCTCACGCCTGTAATCGCAGCACTTTGGGAGGCGGGCCAACATGGTGAAACCCCCGTGTCTACTAAAAGTATGTTAAAAAAAAAAAAAAGAAAGAAAAGAAAAAGAAAATTAGCCAGGCGTAGTGGCATGCACCTGTAGTCCCAGCTACTGGGAAGGCTGAGCCAAGAGAATCACTTGAACCAGGATGGGGAGGTTGTAGTGAACTGAGATTGCGCCACTGCACTCCAGCCTGGGTGACAGAGCAAGACTCCATCTCAAAAAAGAAAAGAAAAAACAGTCCGGGCATGGTGGCTCATGCCTGTAATCCCAGCACTTTGAGACGCCGAGGTGGGTGGATCACCTGAGGTCAGGAGTTCAAGACCAGCCTGGCCACTACGGTGAAACCCCCATCTCTACAAAAATACAAAAATTAGCTGGGCGTGGTGGTGGGTGCCTGTAGCTCCAGCTACTCGGGAGGCTGAGGCAGGAAAATTGCTTAAACCCGGGAGGTGGAGGTTGCAGTGAATCAAGATGACACAACTGCACTCTAGCCTGGGTGACAGAGCGAGACACTGTCTCAAAAAAGGTGAAAGAAAAAAGAAAACTACTAATTCAGTTCCCAGTCACACTAACCATGTTTCAAGTGCCCAATGATGAGATGCCGCTCGTGGCTACACAGCAGGTGCACAGCACAGAGATCACTCCCACCCTTACTGGAAGTTCCGTTGGCCTGCATGGCCTGAGGAAGCCGAGTGCAATGGAAACCTGACACATGCTCTAGAAGCCTAGTCAATCTAGCCTTGTCCCTGTATGTTCTCCCCTGCAGAAAAGTCAGTGAGGTTTACCCGAGTTTCTGCAGCCTGCATGTCGACTTTTTCAAAGCCTTACATAGCATCTTGACACCATCAGTATCCAATTCATTGCCTAGAAGGTTCAGATTGACCAGGCTCTTACTGCTGCTGAGAACAGAGAAGAGATGCTGGCAGCAAGCAGTTGTCAGATTGCATTTCGCCAACCTAGGGGCGGGTGGGAAGAAAGCACAACAGATAGTCCTCTGAGACTGGGAAGTTAGAAAAGAGATACCACATCTGCAGGAAAAAAACTATTACTAAAGCAGACTGCTTAAGAGTGGAGCACTTGGCCAGGCACAGTGGCTCACGCCTGTAATCCCAGCACTTTGGGAGGCCGAGGTGGGTAGATCATGAGGTCAAGAGACAGAGACCATCCTGGGCAACATGGTGAAACCCCATTTCTATTAAAATACAAAAATTAGCCAGGCATGTTGGCATGCATCTGTAGTTCCAGGTACTCAGGAGGCTGAGGCAGGAGAATCGCTTGAACCCGGGAGGTGGAGGTTGCAGTGAGCCGAGATCACACCACTGCACTCCAGCCTGGCGACAGCAAGATTCTGTCTCAAAAAAAAAAAAAAAAAGGGCTGGGCGCGGTGGCTCACACCTGTAATCCCAGCACTTAGGGAGGCTGAGGTGGGTGGATCACAAGGTCAGGAGTTCAACACCAGCCTCGACAAGATGGTGAAACCCTGTCTCTACTACAAAAAATACAAAAATTAGCCAGGCGTGGTGGTGGGTGTCTGTAATCCCAGCTGCTTGGGAGGCTGAGGCAGGGAATTGCTTGAGCCCACGGGGTGGAAGTAGCAGTGAGTCAAGATTGCGCCACTGCACTCCAGCCTGGGCGACAGAGCAAGACTCCATCTCACAAAAAAAAAAAAAAAAAAAAAAAAATGGAAAAGAGTGGAGTACTTACTGCATGCCGGGCACCTTTTAAATACTGACATATAACTCATCTAACCCATCTATCAATCTTATCAAAGGTACATACTATTTTAAACTGTATTTGATGGAGGAGGAAACAAAAACTTAACCTGCCAGAATGTGAAACAAACCATTTTAGTATACAAGGGATATGAGTTTATTAGATCTTTGAAAGAACTGAAATAGCACTATTATTCCTTATTTACACTTTTTTCCATCTTATTCTAAATTCAACAATACAAAATTTGAACATAGGGTTGGCTAGCTACTAGAAACACAAAGACAAAAGTGAGAAAATACATTAGATCAGTTTAACACATCAGAGATCTCCACCTGAGTTCATAAATAACTATTACACGCTGGCCAGGCGCAGTGGCTCATGTCAGTAATCCCAACACTTTGGGAGACTGAGGCAGGCAGATCACTTGAGCTTAGGAGTTTGAGACCAGACTGGGCAACATGGTGAAACCTCATTTCCATAATAAATACAAAAAAACAGATGGGTGTGGTAGCGTGCACCTGTTGTCCCAGCTACTCAGGAGGCTGAGGAGGAAGGATTGCTTGAGGTTGCACTGAGCTGAGATCGCACCACTGCACTCCAGCCTGGGTGACAGAGTGAGACCCCATCAAAACAAACAAAAAACCATAAAGCCCTTCTTTTAGAAAGAAAAAAGTCAGAATGAGTCTCTCTAAGGAAATAGTTCAGTAAGTTGCTTCGTTAACTGATTTTTTTGAAGATAAACTTGATTCAGAATGCATTTATGCCAAACTATCTTAAATTTGGCACTGCAGATAACGTTAACCTATTCATGTTTCTTTCAGGCCTATGAGAGAACAAGTCTAGTTTATGTTTAAACCAATAATTTAATGTGTGGTGTCTATATAGTAGATTTAACAATCTCTGAATAGAGGTTTGAGGTGGCTGGTAAACCCCAACAATGCTGGAGGTGGTTTACAATTTGAGTCGGTTCATTTGATACTAACAAATCCTAACACTGTTTCTGAAAACATCACTGAGCTAATGGAACCATTCCCTACATGAGAAATTGCTATCATGTAAGCCACATTTAGCAAAAAATCCTACGGTTCAGAGCAACTCATCTTAGTCTGCTTAGTACACGTTGCATGATGGTTAACAACGGTGAAGTGAAGATTCACAGTGGGGAGCAGGCTGCGCTCCCCTCAACTTCCCAGCACCTGGCACCCACCATGGGCAGATTGGGAGAGACAATATTTTCAATGTACCAAGGATGGTGGTAACAAGAGTAAAACACTTCTCTAAACGTGAAAAACTTCAAGCTTATCATCTAGCAGGAGAGTTTTTGTTTTTGTTTTTGTTTTTTTTTTTTTTGAGATGGAGTTTCGCTCTTGTCTCCCAGGCTGGAGTGCAATGGCACAATCTCAGCTCACTGCAACCTCTACCTCCCGGGTTCAAGCGATTCTCCTGCCTCAGCCTCCTGAGTAGCTGGGACTACAGATGCCCACCTATACACCCAGCTAATTTTCGTATTTTTAGTAGAGATGGGGTTTCCCCATGTTGGCCAGGCTTGTCTTGAGCTCCTGACCTCAGGTGATCCGCCCACCTCGACCTCCCCAAATGCTGGGATTACAGGTGTGAGCCACTGCTCCCAGCTAATTTTTGTATTTTTAGTAGAGACGGGGTTTCCCCATGTTGGTCAGGCTGCTCTCGAACTCCTGACCTCAGGTGATCCACCCACCTTGGCCTCCCAAAGTGCTGGGGTTACGGGCGTGAGCCACCACACCTGGGTGAGATTTCTTAGATGGCTTGTCCTTACTTTGCCTCACTTTCTAACCCCCGATGGGATCCGATCATATCTCCCCACCCGCAAGAGTAGAGAAGGAAGACTCTGCAAGGAGAACAGCATCAACTCACCCAAGTGTGTGCAATGCACGATGTGGTTTCAGAGCCTCACACAGTAGCTTCACTCCATCATCCTGAAGATCATTTTCTCCCAAATCCAAGATTTTCACATTATGATTATGGCTGAGGGCATTAGCCAGCTCTCCACAGCCCTCTCTTGTGAAAGAACAACCTGACAAACTGCAAAATAAAAACATACAAAAGGGGGGAAAGTAATTGCGTCCCGAAGCTGTGCTGTGTTTACAACTGCCCATCTCACGTCCAAGGAAAGGAGACACCCTGAAGCCAGACTTTTGTCCCAAGCCTCGAAGGAGGAGGGTGCGAGTCAGGAGGGCCGAGACACCTCCAGGTGCTCTATTTACCTGAGATAGAAAGCCGAGGGCACAGCAACACAGCCCTCTCCCTCCCACGCCCCCCGCAGGTGCATGAACGTGAAGGGCCTCTCTGTGGTGGTTACCCCCCAGCACCCAGAGTTGGCTTGGCTATCACAGTGCACGATTCTCAGCCTTCAAGCTCGACAGTTGAGCTGAAGATACCAGGAATCTCCCATAACGGCAGGTCTGAATTTCCCAGAATAAATTACTATACCATAATAAGTTCAAAATAGTTAATCCAGGTGACTATTTGGAGAAAATATGGGTTGAGGTGGGGAGGGATGAGGAGAGGAAAGACAAGGAAGCGACAGGAGGAGAAAGAGTCATCCAAAATCCTTAAACCCACCCCCCCCATCCCAAAAAGGTTTGGCCGGGCACGGTGGCTCACGCCTGTAATCCCAGCACTTTGGGAGGCTGAGGCGGGTGGATCATGAGGTCAGGAGTTCGAGACCAGCCTGCCCAACATGGTGAAACCCCATCTCTACTAAAAATACAAGAATTATCCAGGCGTGGTGGCGGGTGCCTGCAATCCCAGCTACTTGGGAGGCTGAGGCAGGAGAATAGCTTAAACCCGGGAGGTGGAGGTTGCAGTGAGCCGAGATTGCACCATTGTACTCCAGCCTGGGCGACAGAGCAAGAGTCTGTTTAAAAAAAATTTTGACTACGTGAAGAACGTCCATATGGCTAACCCATCAAAGGCCAAGTGTAAGAGAACTGCCAGGCTGATAAATGATACATGCAAATCAAAGACAGTCAGATTTCCCTAGAGTTTAGACATGGTGGTCAAAGGGTACAAAAATCTCAGCAGGAATATAATTGTTGTTTTTTTTTTTTTTTGAGATCTATTCCATGGCATGGCAAACATACTTAATAGAACATTGTACCTTTCAAAATTGCTAACATAATAAATTTCAAATATTGTCACCACAAAAAATTGTTAAGTATTTGAGGTGATGGACACATTAACTAACTTAATTATTCCACATTGTATTCATAAAGTTTGTACCCCCAAAACATATACAGATGGTAAATTTACAATAAAACGATTAAAGTTTTAAAAACAAGAAAGAATTCCCTACAAGTGACGAGGGGAAAAACAAAATGAAACAGGTTAAAAAAAAAATCAGCAAATTTTATCAACAGGTTTTTTTAATCTGGAAGTTTTTATCAATGGTTGTCAGCATTTGAAAACATACTCAACTTCATTCTTATAAATGCAGATGCAAATATAAAACTACTTTGTGTTTACAAAGGAAGAGGTATGACCCACGGGATGGGCCTCAAAATAATCTTAGAGGGAGAAATTAGTTCAACCATTGTGGAAGACAGTGTGACGATTCCTCGAGAATCTAGAACCAGGCCAGGCGCGGTGGCTCACGCCTGTAATCCCAGCACTTTGGGAGGCCAAGGCGGGTGGATCACGAGGTCAGGAGATTGAGACCATCCTGGCTAACATGGTGAAACCCCATCTGTACTAAAAAAAAAATACAAAAAATTAGCCGGGCATGGTGGCGGGCACCCGTAGTCCCAGCTACACGGGAGGCTGAGACAGGAGAATGACGTGAACCCAGGAGGCTGAGCTTGCAGTGAGCTGAGATCACACCACTGCACTCCAGCCTGAGTGACAGAACAAGACTCCATCTTAAAAAAAAAAAAAAAATCTAGAACCAGGAATCCCATTTGACCCAGCAATCCCATTACTGAGTGTTGGTGAAGCTTTAGATGAAAGGAGATAGGCCATAAATCAATAATTGTTGAAGTTCGAGCATGGATTGTAATATATGCTCTTCTCTCTAAAGTTTCAAAATCCCCTGGAAGAATAACAAATCCCTTGACCGGCCAGGCACAGTGGCTCACGTCTTGGTACATGCTAGACCGCACATAACCAGCACTCAGTAAAAACTCTGGGCTCAGGGTCTCTAATGGGCTGCCCTGGTAGACCACACTTGGCATGATTGCCACAGCTGGTGGCTGGAGGAATTGTGTGTCCTGTGTGATGTTGGAGAGCAAGCTTGGAGTCTTAAGGAAAAGACGAGCACTCAGACAAAAGATTTCTCAGCAAAGCAAATTTACCTCTGCACAGAGGAGTGCTTCTCTTTGGCCCGTCGCCACGAGAGCACATAGAACAAAGGAGAATGAAAGTTTTTATCCCTGATGCAAATCCTGACCCCGTGCCCTTTCCCCATTGGCTGGGGTCGGACCACACAATCTCAACTAGACCTGATTGGCTAAACGTTTGAACTTTTTCTTAGATAATGTGGGCACTTAAGGGAGAGAAGGGAGAGTAAGGGAGAGAGGGGAGAGGGGGAAAAGTCGTCTGCGATGAGCTGGAGAGCTAGTTTTCTTCCCAAATAAGGAAAGGAAGGTGAGCTAATACTGATAAGCCACTGGTGCTGTTAGCATGCCTGGGCACGTAGTAAAGGCAGAAAGAAAGAGAAGGAAAGGGAAGGGGAGCGGTACTGTGGATTGAAGAAGAAAGGATTGATCAGGCTATTTGAAGAGAAACCTTGTCATATCCCACATGTGATTGCACGGGGAGAGGGCTCCTGGGAGCTTATGTCTGGTTTCCTCTGGACTCTGTCCCAAGCCCCTTTCCCTTTGCTGATCTGCCTTGTGTCCTTTCACCCTGATGAAGTGTAGCATGAATACGACTATGGGCTGGATCCCGAGTCCTCCCAGTGAAACATCAAACCCGGGGGCTGGTCTCGAGGTCCCCCAGACACACACACATTCACGGTCCTCCCACTTTCCCCATCCCACACCCCCGACAAAACCAGAAGCTCCTCCATGGCAAAGAGCTTGTCCACGCCTCATTCAAACCCCATCAGGAACTCAGGCATTGGTGGGTCAATTCCCATGGCTCTCCTCCATCTGCCAACTCAGAGGGAGCCAAGAAAACTTACTTCAGGCTCTGCAGGTTACCATCTGGGCGACCCAAGGCCTCACACAGGAACTTGACTCCCTCGTCTCTCAGGCTGTTCTTGCTCAGATTCAGGTGTGTCAGGCTCCTGTTCTGCAGGAGAGCATCTGACAAGTGCTTGCAAGCGGGTGCTGCCAGCTGGCAAAACCAGAGCCTGCAGGGTGAAAGCCACAGAGATGGACACTCAGGGAAGCAGCCCAGACCCAGGCTCCTGGAACAGAGCCTCAGGGCCCCCTCCGAGCCTACACATGCAGCAGCTCCCTGGACGACAAGGTCTTTCTTTTTAGCTGGACACCGACCCAGGCTATGGCAGTATCTTGCATACCATAACCCTCCCTCGATCCAGATTTCTACAGTGAGTACACCAAGTCTGTGGTTCTCATTAGTGACTGGTTTAGGAAAAAATAAAGAAAAAAAAAACTTTCAAGGCTCCAAGGCTCTGGAGCCAGTTGGGCGTGGGTCCAAATGGGCTTGTCTGTCAGCAGCTGGGTGACCCTCAACAAGCTCCCGCACTCCTTTCAGCCTTCATTGCCTTCCATTCTGAAGTGCAGTAGGATGGTCTGGCAGAGAGCTGCCAGTGAGCCCACGAGCAGTGCATGTGCTTGGGACAGCACTTGGCAAACAGGCAGTGTACAGGTTATAGAAGATTATTATATCACAAATAGAGATGGCATATATTAGATATGCATGTATTGCATAATATGTGTTAACATATAAGTTTTATGAAAATATATGTAGTTACATAATAGTATATCGTTAATATATTAAATATTAACTATATATTACATACATATATTGCATAATACATATATCATAATGTAAATATATAATGAAATATATGTTACAATTATACATGTATATATGTATAATTACAATCAATTACATTATAAATTATAACAACTAATTGTTATAATATATAAATAACTGTAATATTAGTCATAATTATATAATTACAATTATAATTGGTTAAAATTACAACCTATATGTATATGATGTTACAATGTGTAGAATTATAACAGTTATAATTATACTAATTATTAGGGCTATAATAGAGTTGTAATAATATATTAGGGTTGTAATACTAATTATAATTAGTTATAATGGTGTTACAATTCTACACATTGTATCATGATCATACACGTATAATTACACACGTATGATTAACTCACATTATGTGTGTGAATCACCTATCGATAATCCCATTCTTGGAGACTCAGTGCCGAATGAGCAGTGAACTGGCAAAGGAGCAGAGGGCCAGAGTCTGTGGTTCTCCGGGATAATCAACTTGGTGACACCTAAAGGTCCTTGGCCTTTTCTGTGCTTTTTATACTCACCTGACAATTGTCCAGTCTCAGGAAAACCCACCTTTCCCTCTATTCCACACCTGCACCAGAGCAGCACGATGCAGCTAGAGAAGAGGAGACCTAAAGAATCTCTTTGTGCGTCCACCACTGTACGGGGTCTCTCATTCCCACAAGGCAATCTTCTAGATTCCCGCAGTCCTGCCTACAACGGCTCACGTAACATCTCTGAATGGCATCTCAAGCTCCTATACCCCCAACCCAAACTCTTCTTACCCAGACCCTGCTCTGCCCCCAATCTTCCCTGCATTGGAGAATGGTCCCACCCTTTACCTAGCTGCCAACCTCACCCTCTGGGAGGTGTTCTTGGTACCCTCCCTCCTAAACCACCTCGAATCCATTGGCAAACCCCATTGGCTCTACCTTCCGATCTATCCTGAAATCCTATAACCTCCCCATGGGCCACTCCCTCCTGGTCAATAGGAGCCCTATCTCTTGCTCATACTGGTATTTTTGTCCGGACTGTAGTCCACCTGTCCACAGCAGCCTGCATGATCTTTCAAAGTACGTCAGATTAAGGTAACATCCCACTTCCAATCCAAGGATGACTTTCCATCTCACTCAAGACAAAACAGATTCCTACACAGCCCAGCATATCCCAGGCACTGCCATCTCCTACCACTATCACCCTCACTCTACTCCAACCATGCTAGCTTCCTCATTGTTCCTCCAACATGCTGTGCTTATTCCAACCTTTTGAGATGGAGTCTCACTCTGTCATCCGGGCTGGAGTGTAGTGGCACGATCTCAGCTCACTGAAACCTTCACCTCCTGGGTTCTAGCGATTCTCCTGCCTCTGCCTCCTGAGTGGCTGGGATTATAGGCACCATGCCCGACTAATTTTTTGTGTATCTTTAGTAGAGATGGGGTTTTGCCATGTTGGTCAGGCTGGTCTCAAAATTCCTGACCTCGTGATCTGCCCGCCTCAGCCTCCCAAAGTGCTGGGATTACAGGTGTGAGCCACCTTGCCCAGCCCAACCTCAGGCCTTTCACTCTGCTGTTCCTTCTCCGCATACGGCTGCCTCCCCCTTGCTTCATCTGAGTCTCTATTTAAGTATCACCTGTTCAAATAGGTTAGTGAGAGAAGACCCTGCTGGGAAATCAACCCCATCCCTGTCATTCTACTCTCGTTCTACTTTGTTTTTCTTCATATCTATTGTTTTGTTTTTATATGTCACTCATAAAACTATACCTTCCACATGGGCAGGAAGTAAATCTGTCATATCTACCACCCCAGCCTTGAGGCCTTGTTCTATCTCTGCTAGAAGCTCACATATGAGTTGACCAAAAAATTCATTACTTCCTGGGGTCCTCGTGGAAATTAAGTTTCTTGGCAAAAGCTCCAGAGACGGGATCAACAAATCCAGGATGCTACTCTGAATCTGTTTTAGAGCAATTCCTGGCACATAGTAATTACTCAATGAATGTTACTTTTTAATAATATAAATAGATATCAAATGAAGAAACCATTGTTCTAGATATCTGTGCCCATAGAGTCATATCTAGAAATGGAAGTAGGGAAAACTTACTCCAGTCTCTCTAAGGCACACTTGGGGTGAGTCAGGGCCGCACACAATAGCTTTATGCCATCATCTTGGAGCCGATTAAATCCCAGGCACAATCGAGTTACGTGTTGGATGCTGGTGAGAAACAAGGCTAGGTCCTGACAGCTGGCTGCCGACAAGTTGCATTTCTCCAGGCTGTGGAAGGTGCAGGTGCAAGGTGAGCCTCAGCCATGATGCCCAGGTTCCTCTACCTTTCTCTCTCAACCCCTTAACCCCCGAGACCCAAACATTATGGGAAGATTAAATTGGAGAAAGAACAAAAGCTTAAAGAAGGAGAAAAAGGGCCAGGCGCAGTGGCTGACGCCTGTAATCCCAGCAGTTTGGGAGGCCAAGGCGGGTGGATCACCTGAGGTCAAGAGTTCGAGAGCAGCCTGGCCAACATGGAGAAACCTCATCTCCACTAAAGAAAATACATATATATATACATACATATATATACACGTATATATACACACACATATATATGTATATATATACATATATACACACATATATACATATATATATACACACATATATACATATATATCTGGGCATGGTGGTGTGCACCTGTAGTCCCAGCTACTCAGAAAGGCTGAGGCAGGAGAATTGCTTGAACCCAAGAGGCAGAGGTTGTGGTGAGCCAAGAGTGCGCCACTGTACTCCAGCCTGGGTGACAGAGGGAGACTCCATCTCAAAGAGAAAAAGGTGAGGCAAGGTAGGGTTTTCTCAGCCCTATTGAGGTGTGGGCTGGATTGCACTTAGTTGCAGAATGAGAGGACTGCCCTGTGCATTACAGGATGTCAATAATAACTGACCTTTACCCACTAGGTGTTACCCACTAGTAGCAACCCCTACACCATCAGGACAACCAAATATGTTGTCCAGGCATTGCCAAATGTCCCCTGGGGGACAAAAATCAAATCATCCCCAGTTTCAACTAATTTAATAGAATCCAGTTGAAAACCCCTGGATTTGGGGAGAATCAAAGAAGCCTAAGGAAATTATGCAAAGAAAGGCTGCCGTGTGAGATAGCCATGATCAAAGTGAGGGGAAAACTGGCTGGAACTGAGACCTAAGGTGGTAGGAAGAAAGAAGAGGCCAGGCGTGGTGGCTCACGCCTGGAATCCCAGCACCTTGGGAGGCCAAGGCGAGTGGATCACCTGAGTTCAGGAGTTCGAGACCAGCCTGTCCAACATGGTGAAACCCCATCTGTACTAAAATTACAAAAATTAGCTAGGGATGGTGGTGTGTGACTGTAATTCCAGCTATTCTGGAGGCTGAGGCAGGAGAATTGCTTGAACCCAGGAGGTGGAGGTTACAGTGAGCCGAGATCGTGCCACCATACTCCAGCCTGGGTGACAGAGTGAGACTCCATCTCAAAAAAAAAAAAAAAAAGACAGATGATAGACAGACAGACAGAAAGAAAGACAGAAAGATAGAAAATAAGTATGTCAATGTGATAAGTAAATGCAGTAGGGGGATCCCTAAGGTTCCCCAAAACCTACCCACTGCCACCCCCACTGTGCCACTCCAGCTTGCAAAGAAGATGCTTTGAGAAGGCCGCAAGACTTACGACAGCTCCTTCAGGGGACACGTTGGTAGCGTGGAGGACTCCCTCAGGCTTCTCACATCAGAGAGATCATTGTCTCCCAGGCTGAGGAAGTTGAGACTTGTGTTCTCAGTGAGTTTGAGAAAGAGCTGACAAATCTGGTAGGTAAGGCCACAGGACTCCAACCTATCACAGAGGCCCCGAGACAGACCGTTACTCTTTGAAAGAGTGATCTGTGTTTACAGACCCCCCCCTGCTCCATGAATGAAAGCTGACTTTCTCCCTCTTCCCCATCCCTTTCAGAGGTTGGATGGCCCGCATGTCAACGCTACTCAAAGCATGGTCCATGATCCAGCAAGAGCAGCATGACGTGGTAGCCTGTTAGAAGTGCTCATTCTTAGGTCCCACCCCAAATGTGCAGGATCTCTGCAGTTGAGTTCCTGGGATCTGTATTATTATTTTTTTTTTTGAGTTAGAGTCTTGCTCTGTTGCCCAGGCTGGAGTGCAGTGTCACAATCTTGGCTCACTGCAACCTCCGCTCCCGGGTTCAAGCGAGTCTCCTGCCTCAACCTCCTGAGTAGCTGAGATTACAGGCATGTGCCACCACACCCGGCTAATTTTTGTATTTTTTAGTAGAGACGGGGTTTCACCGTGTTGGTCAGGCTGGTCTCGAACTCCTGACCTCATGATTTGCCCCACTCCACCACCCAAAGTGCCGGGATTACAGGCATGAGCCACCACACCTGGCCTGGAATCTGTATTTTAAAACACCCACTAGGTTGGGCCGGGCACATTGACTCACGCCTGTAATCCCAGCACTCAAGAGGCCGAGGCAAGCAGATTGCTTGAGTCCAGGAGTTCAAGACCAGCCTGGGAAACATGGCAAAACCCCATTTCTACAAAAAGTACAAAAATTCACTGGGTGTGGTGGCACACACCTGTGGGTACCAGCCACTCGGGGGCTGCAGTGGGAGGACTGCTTGAGCCAAGGAGGCAGTGGTTGCAGCAAGCAGAGATCACGTCATTGCACTCCAGCCCGGGGAACAGAGTGAGACCCTGTCTCAAAAACAAAACAAAATAAAAAATAACCTCCCCCAAGGTGAGGCTAATATACATTAAAATTTGAGAACCACGGCTCTACACATAGGAACATTCTCCTTTGCTCATCCTTCTCTGTCTCCTTTTGCTACAAGGCTGAGTGCTGTCAGCCCTCCCAGTGGATCGTGGAAGCTACTGGTGGTCTTGCAACCCCCCTTGACAGATCTAGGGAGCCAAAGACTTACCACAGATACTTGAGGTTGCAAGCTGAGTGTCTCAAAGCTTTAAGAATCAGGGGGACAGTCATTCCCAGCTTGTTAGAGCTGAAGTTCAGATGGGTCAGCTTGCTGTTACCCTGAAGGGCAATAATGAGGTCCTGCAGAACCCACTCAGGAGTTACCGATTTGCACCTGAGGAAGGGAAGGGACATGAAAGCTGGATTGGGGGAGAAGACTGGTTTCCAGGATCCCGTCTGCCTCCTCACCCTGCCTTCTACTACACTCACTGCCAAGGTTATACACGGTACACAAGGAATTAAAAACAAGGGCTGAGCCATGGTACTGGACCTTGAAAATAAAAACTAAAATATACTCCCCCCAAAAAAATCAGTAAACTCAGTTGCAGGTACGAAGTCAGGGATCCCTCCTTCCCTCTCCACCTCTCCTAGAGACCTGCCATGAAGAGGTCCTGGGGCCACCTATTCTTCTAGGAAATGACCCCCCCATATACACATACAATCCAACCTAGAAAAGCCCAGCAATAACTCTCTTGCATTTTCTGAACTTCTTTCTCCTTATCTTGAGAACTAAGTACGACCAAAAGTTTAATATTAAAAGAAAAATTTAAAAAGAAGACTGCCCAATCCCATTACTGGGTATATGCCCAAAGGAACGTAAATCGTTCTATTATAAAGACATATGCACACGTACGTTCATTGCAGCACTATTCACAATAGCAAAGACAGGAAATCAACCTAAATTCTCATCAATGATGGACCAAACAAAGAAAATGTGGCACCTATACACCATGGAATACTATGCAGCCATAAAAAAAGAATGAGATCATGTCCTTTACAAGAACATGGATGGAGCTGGAGGCCATCATCCTTAGGAAGCTAATGCAGGAACAGAAAACAAAATACCACATGTCCTCACTTATAAGTGGGAGCTAAATGATGAGAACACATGGACACATAGTGAGGAACACTGGGGCCTGTTGGAAGGTGAAGAGTGGGAAAAGGCAGAGGATCAGGAAAAATAACTAATGGGTACTGGGATTAATATCTGGGTGATGAAATAATCTGTACAACAAACCCCATGACACACATTTACCTAGTGACATACACTTGTACCCCTGAACTTAAATGTATTTTAAAAAAATAAATGAAGGCCACAGCCCCCTCTGCCTGCCTCTCATGAGTTTGGTCCAGCTCACCCAATACACTGAGGTTTGAGGAAAGTTACGATCAAACCTTTCACTCTTAACTGGTTGAATCAATGCACACATCTAGGCTTTAGACCTTGAAAAGTAAGACCTAATGGTGGGGGAAAAGCAAGGTAGAATTCATTGGCCTAGACACCAGATCATTCAAACAAATCCCACCTCAGATTCAAAGCTACGCATTACTCTCTCCTCTATAGTTCCCCCCCGGCTTAATTGTTATACAAGGTCCACCTCCATTTGCTAATTCCTTCCTATCTTCAAGCCAGATCTGAGACACTGTCATTCATTCCTCCTTGGATCATATTAGCAGGGGACCAATACGCTTTAGTCCACAGCTGTGCTCCAGCTCCAGAGAGGACCCTCCCCCTGCTCACCTTTATTTTAAGAGGTTCTATTTTTAATTCACATACTTTTTCCCTTTTCTGCAGCTCATGTTTCTCCCTAATTCATCCCAGGACAAGCCTAGGAAACCCTGGTGTTGCCTCCAAGAGGAAAGACATACACATCAAATGCAGCAGTATGCTGATAAATATTACCACTGGATCTCCAGGAAAAAAAAAAAAAGTCCTAATTTATAGCTTTGCCAATTTCTGTGGTGTAAATTCTCCAAGCCAATCATGGCCAATTTCGATCTGCCCACTTGCTGTCACTAAATGGAGTTACAAAGATAGGTACACACACACAAGTGGCTCTCACCAGGTTGTAGCAGCTGGCTCCAACATGTCACTGGACAGAAATACATGTCCAGAATTGGTAATAGAAGGCCTGATGGCTTTGTTGATATCATTTGAATATACTAAGTACATTCTCCTCATGGTGCCTTCTATCTCGTTTTCTTGGCTTGGAATGCTCTTTTTCCCCAGGTATCCATGGGCACAGTCCCTCCTCCTTCCCTACACTGAGTCAAGTCGGTCTTTACCCAAATACCTTTTCAGTGAGGCCCTTCTGCCTTTCCTACCTAAAAAATGCAAGCCACCTTCCTCCTCATACATCCTTTCTGAGCCCCCAGTTTTCTTTGGGAGATGCCACCCTCTTGGGTCCTATTTTGATGATTTTGTTTGCTTCCCTGACACAATGTAAGATCCCTGATGGCAGGAGTTATCTGTGGGCTTCACTGCTAGAACCTCAGAACTGAGAACAGAACCTGGCACACAGGAGATGTCCAATACTCACTGAATGCAGGAGTACCCATCAAACACTACCTACTTTTGCTTAAGACACGAAGCAGTCTCAGACTACACGTGTCTGTAGCTCTTCTTGAGTGCTTTGAGTCCACCATACCCTCGAAGTTTTCTACTCCTTCAAATCCAGCTCAAAACAGGACTGAGGCCCTAGGGAAAAATTACTTTGTCCACAGGTGCCTCTAATGCGAGATCATTCTTGATAGATCGGCATTTTAAAATTTCAGCCTACTTTGCCCAAGTAGCAGTTTCATAAATACAAGCACAGTTTATTTTATCCTCCTGAGCACGTAGCTTGCCTTCTGGCAAATAGTCAACCACACTCATCAAAAGAGAGAAGTTGGGAGATTCTCCTAGGGTATCTTCTTGAGCTGCTGGCGTCTCACACTTACGTCAGTTTCTGGACTTTGCATCTTGGATTTTTCAGTGCAAGACAGAGACCCTTCACAGAGGAAGCATGAAGTTTGCTGTTACTCAGGTCTAGCTCATGCAGATTCTCATTTGTGACCAACGTAGAGCAAATGCTGTTCCATGCGTGCATCCTGGAATCAAACTTGCTTGTCCTTCATGAGGGAGAGACAGAACACGGATAAGAGCAAATTAGCCTCAAGCAATACCCAGAATACAACCTACGGGACACAGAAAGAAACCCTAACAAAATTATTATAATTTTCCTAATGTGGCTGGGTGCAGTGGCTCACGCCTGTAATCCCACCACTTTGGGAGACCGTCGGGAGTTTGAGACCACCATGGCCAACATGGTGAAGCCCCGTCTGTACTAAAAATACAAAATTAGCCAGGTGTAGTGGTGCATGCCTGTAATCCCAGCTACTCAGGAGGCTGAGGCAGGAGAATAGCTTCAACCTGGGAACCTACATCTGTCAGGGTGTGGGGGTTGCAAGACCACCCCTAGCTTCCATGATCCACTGGGAGGGCTGACAGCTCTCAGCATTGTAGCAGATGGAGACAGAGAAAGATGAGCAAAGGAAAATGTCCCTATGTTAGAGCCATGGTTCCCAAATATTAATGTATATCAGCCTCACCTTGGGGGAGGTTATTTTTTATTTTGTTTTGTTTTTGAGACAGGGTCTTACTCTGTTGCCCAGGCTGGAGTGCAGTGATGTGATCTCTGCTTGCTGCAACTTCTGCCTCCTTGGCTCAAGCAATCCTCCCACCGCAGCCCCCCAGTAGCTGGGACCACAGGTGTGTGCCACCACACCCAGCTAATAACCACTCAGTCATGGACATTCAGTTAGATACAAGTAGATGTCTTAGCACAATGCCTGGTACTTAAACCCTCCATATTCAATGCCTAAGATATAAAGATGTCTTTAAGTTGATCAATTAGATTAGCTAGGAAACTAGGTGATGCCTAAAGGACAACATTCTTTCAAGTTAGAGCTGCTCCAGACCATTTGGTCGGAAATAAGCACGAATACATAACGACAACACATCCCTGGTTTTGCATGAAAGAATTTGCACAGAGCCTGAGAAAACAGGAGAAAGCTGAGAAAGAAATGGTTTGTAATACTCACTCCAGAATTTCCAAGTCCCTTTCAAGGATGTGACTGCTAACAGAAAGCCTTAGCTTATTTAACCTTTTACAGTGCTTTAGGCAAAATGAAGAAGCTTGGAGTTCTTCGTCCTCCAAAATATTAAGGTCAACTTCAAAGATACGACCCAACATCTTCTTTGTGAAGTCTTCCTCCTGGGACTCGTGTAGGCAGTGAAAAAGTCGTAGAATGTGAAATTGGAGAGAGGCACTTTCAGCCTTACCTAACTCTTCTCCCCACTTTAATAATTCCTCCATTACCCTGGGAGATATTTTACAATGCAAAGTATCTTCCAGTTCTCTTGCTATGTTTTTATTTAAAAGACCAAAGAAGAACAGAACCACTGGAGTCCAGTAGGCTTCTTTGTCAAGCAAGACGTGTTGCAGTAACATCTTCATCTCTTGTGGCTTTGTGGAATGGGGAGGGAATTCTCTAGGTTCCTCTAGCACAAAGGACATGGCTGCAAAAAACTCCTGGAAACTTAGGTGGGTGAAAGTAGTGCAACCCCCACAGTCATTGATCTTTTGAAGAATATTGAACTCGTAGAGAGAATCAATGAAAGGCACTTCCAGGCCCTCGATCTCAGTGTCTTCTTTGTTAAACGTGAAGTTCATAGACCACAGCCCTTCTATGGCCAGACTGCAGAGGGCCCTCCATTGTCCTGGCCAGCTGTCATCTGCCAAATCTACCTCTGCTGTGGAGAACAAGTTGGAGAAAAAATAGGCATACAGACTGGTGGTAGTCTGAGTGATTGACTGGAGATCGTAATACCTCACCTTCGGCTGCTTCAGACAGGAACATACGGTCCAACACACCATGGGGGCACTGCAGGAATGAAAGAGAGTTTCGTTTTTTCTTAGCTGCTGCAGGATTTTCTCAACTTCACTTGAGTCATCAAAGTGTCTCATGAAATATACCCGTAGGTCGTCCCCTGTGAACCCTGTAATTTGTACAAAGCATGGATTCACTAATGAGGCCTTAAGATCTCTCACAAACCAGGTCTTGATCGTGATCAGTAAGGTAGCCAGGGGAACCAATTCTTTCTTCAACAAGCTGTGTAGGATTTTGGTCACTGGGAGCTCCTGGTACCAGTCTGTACATGGCGAGCCATCATCCAAGCTCTCAGAGCGTGACTCAGATATGATTATTTCCTCAAAGCCATCAATAATAAACAGGAGCTTCTCTGGTTGAGACATGAACTCTTCAATGGGGGCATCAAAATCGGGCCAATCCAAAGAAATCAATTCAGCAAAGGTAGTTTCCTTCATGTACCTTATTTTATGGCAGCTGAGATAGAAAACATAGGAGAACCTTTGCTGAAAGAGAACTCCATTTGCCCAGTGCAGCATAGCCTGCATTGCCAAGGTGGTCTTCCCAACCCCTGCCCTCCCCACCAAGACTATCGTCTGGGCCTGGGCTCTAGTCCTATTAGGATCCAGTAGGCGCTGCAGTTCCTCATGTTCGTCCTTTGATGTATTACGGATATATACGTGGTCTTTAGGCCAACTGATGTTGTCCCATGTCTCCAGTAGTTCAGCCTTCATGTTCTCTCTGTATTTTCTTCTGTGGTCTAGAGAGGGCGGAGTGGGGAGAAGAATGGTAAGAATAAATTTCAGAGTTAGGAATGATTCAGTTACAAAGTTCCTACCCCAAAGACTTGAATAAGAGAAACTCTGCCTTCCAGGATTTTGTGGGAATGCAGTGGTAGAAAGTTGCAAAAGGAGGCTGAGGTAGGAGAATGGCGTGAACCCGGGAGGCGGAGGTTGCAGTGAGCCGAGAGGCACCACTGCACTCCAGCCTGGGTGACAGAGTGAGACTCCGTCTCAAAAAAAAAAAAAAAAAAAAAAAGTTGCAAAATATGAAGACAGTTAAATAATTTGATGATATATACAAATGAAAAATACAGAATAACATAAGAGCGATCAAGAACACCTTTAAGAGAGGGCAGAGAAGGGATCATAGCGAGAAGCCTCTCACTAGAGGATTCTACACTGAGAATGGAGAAGAATCATCAGAAGAGAAGTCAGTCTGGGGTACTTTCAGGCGGGGGGAAGGCCAAGGTGAATGCCCACCCAGAATTTTTTTCTGCAAGCCTCGTGAGTGTGCCCACTCCATTGCCTGACCAGCTCAGCACCCCAAAGACACCTTCTAGCCAGTAGAGGGGGCCCATGAGCCCTCTTCCCTCACCAGCTATCAGGTTTTCCTCACTTCCTCGAAACACTTCAGAGCAACAAGGGATTTGGGCAGGTCAGAGTCCCCCACTCACAGAAGGCTGACCCGACTCGACTCACAAGGGAATCAGTAACTGTAGAGCCTGCCAGTTTTCCTGGTCCCTGTGCCCAGACAGCTTCAGCTGGTGAGGGCTTAGACTCTAGGTTGCCCTGAAGATCAAGGCTTTGTCTCTCCCATTCTCCCCATTCCTGGGTTTCTTCCCAAAATGACTACTGTGGGGCCAGTCACAGCACAAGGGCCAGGACCTCTACAGAGGCTGGGGTGAGGAGTGATTGAGCTAGCGATTCTTAGAGGCCTTCTGGGGCCTACTACGTATGCTGAGACAGAAATGAGCATTCTAGAGTATAGTGACCAAGGCACATGGTAGGAGGCTGGATCGTGATTATCTTTGCTTTGAAAACCAAGGAATGAGATGCCGTAATTTATATTTTTAGAACTCCAGGTTTTATAAAGAATAGATTATGATGCATCAGTGTAGGAAAGGAGGTAGAGAAAACAAGTAGAAAGCTACTACTATCTTCATCTAAGTGAAAATGGGCACCTGGCAGACTAGAATGTATTTGTAGAATATACCCCATCAGTATATGTAACTATTACATATCTGCAAAAAATTTAGGAATGAATGGTAATCACCATTCTACTTTCTACTTCTATGAGTTCAAGATTCTTAGATCCCATATATTAGTGAGATGGGGCAGTAATTGCCTTTTTGTGCCTGACTTATCTCACTTACCATAATATCACAAATGATAGAATTTGTGTTGTCACAAATGATAGAATTTCACAAATGATAGAATTTCCTTCTCTTTAAAGGCTGAATAGTATTCTATTGCATCTATAGGCCATATTTTCTTTATCCATTCATCTGTTGATGGATACCTAGGTTGATTTCATATCTTGGCTATTGTGAATAGTGCTGCAATGAACATGGGAGTGAAAATCTCTTTGACATACTGATTTCTTCTTGCCAAGTGAAATAAGCCAGACACAGAAAGACAAATGCCAGATGATTTCACTTATATGTAGAATCTAAAAAAGTAAAACTCAGAAGAAGAGAATAAAGTGGTGATTACTAGAAGCTGGGGAATGGCACGGGGAAAAGAGAGGGAAAGGAGAAATTTTGAGCAAAGGGTACAAAGTTTCAGGTAGACAAGAGGAACGAGTTCTGTGATGTACTGCATAGCAATGTAACTGTAGTTAATAACAGTGTGTTATATAGTTCAACACTTCAGAAAAAGTAGATTTTAAGTGTTCTTACCACAAAGAAAAAGTAAGTGTTGTGGATTAAGGAGGTTCGAGATGGCTGACTGGAGACATTGGGTGCCAGTTCTTAGAACCAAAATTACAAATAGGTAATTACAGCCATGTGCGGTGGCTCATGCCTGTAATCCCAGCACTTTGGGAGGCCGAAGCAGGTGGATCACCTGAGGTCAGGAGTTCGAGACCAGCCTGACCAACATGGTAAAACCCCATCTCTACTAAAAATACAAAGATTAGCCAGGCATGGTGGCACGCGCCTGTAATCCCAGCTACTCGGGAGGCTGAGGCAGGAGAATCACTTGAACCCGGGAGGCAGAGGTTGCAGCAGGCCAAGATCGCACCACTGTACTCCAGCCTGGGCAACGGGGCAAGACTCTGTCTCAAAAACAAACAAAACAAATAGATAATCACAATTCAAACAGAGTATCAGGAGAGAATATTCGAGCCCAACAGAGAACTCATAGGAAGAAGCTGGGGCACAGAAAAAGGAAGAGAAGCCAACTCAGCCAGCAGAGATCAGCTAGGATAGGCTTGCCTTGTCCAGCCCCACCCAACTTCACTCCCACCCCTCCATGGCTGATCATGGAGCCCAAGCTCCTATGCATTTCACAGACCAGCCCATTGCCTGATGCACAAGAAAGTTTCTCCTGGTAAACAACAATCAAGCATAAAAGCTACTGCAACTGCTGCAGCTGGCTCTAACCTGCACGTGTCATCTACTGGACTAGATGTCAAACTACACAACCCAATACAAAAGCTGCTAACACAAGTAAACAGTGCTTGGGAACCAGATAAGCTTTAAGACCTCACTAACCTGGCCCCACAGGAGACCAAGAGCCTACTCACACACCTAGTAAACCACTACTAAAACCACATTTAGAAAGCCACTGCACTAATACTGTCTATAACCAAGGAATTTATAGAGTCTTTGTCAATGAAAGCACTCAGAAAAGCCAAATGACCCTACTAAACACACATTATAGTCACATCCTCAAGGGAAAAAATAGTCCCATCTAAACAGCAGTAAATGCAAAAATAAGAAGTGATAGTTTCTTCAGATAAGAAACTAATGCACAATTCTTGGCATATTAAAAAAACTCAGGTGTTATGATACCCCCAAAGGATTGTACTAACTCTCTAGCAATGGATCCTAACCAAAATGAAAATGTAAAAATGCCAGATAAATAATTTAAAATATTGATTTTAAAGAAGCTCAGTGAGATCCAAGAGAAATCATAAAACCTGTACAAAGAAATCAGAAAATAAATTCAGGATATGAATGAGAAATTTATCAAAGAGATATTTTTGAGAGAAAAATCAAATAAAACTTCTGCAAGTGAAAAATTCATTGAAGTTACAAAATATAGCTGAAAGTTTCAACAACAGATTAGACAAAGAAGAGGAAAGAATCTCAGAACTTGAAGGTCTTTTGAATTAATTTAGTCTGACAAAAATAAACAGGATTTTAAGAAAATGAACAAAGACTTCAAAAGGCGTGGGACTACATACAATGTTGGAACCTATGAATCATAGGCATTCCTGAGGGAGAAGAAAGAGCAAAAAGTTTTAAAAACCTGTTGTGGAAATAATTGAGAAAAACTTCCCTACTCTGGCAAGAGATCCAGGCATCCAAATATAAGAGGATTAATGAACTCCAAAAAAAATGCATTGCAAGAAGGGCCTCACTATGATATTTATTCATCAGACTAAGTTTAATGTGAAGGAAAAAACGTCCTAAAAAAAATCAGTAAGAGAAAATAATCTAGTCACCTATGAAGCAAAACCCATCAGACTAACAGCAGACTTCTCAGCAGAAATCTTACAAGCTAGAAGGAATTGGAATTTCAAAGGTTTTTTGTTTAAAGAAATAAACTGTTAACCCCAAGTTTTGTATCCTTCTACAATAAGCTTTATAAATGAAGAAATAAAGTCTTTTTCAGACAAGCAAACACTGAGGGAATTTGTCACTACTAGACTTGTACTACAGGAAATACTTGAAGGAGTTCTAAACATGGAACTAAAAAGGTTGATACTTGCCATCACAAAAACACACAAAACTATAAAATACACCAGTCTTATAAAGCAATTACACAAAGGAGAAAGAAATCAAATGATAGCATGACACAATTCCATCAAATCACAAAGAAAAAGAACAAAAAAATCTGCAAAGCAAATGGAAATCAACATTGTAACTGGAAAAAAGGTCATATATCAATATTAACCTTCAATATACATGGATTAAATGCGCTTCTTAAAAGATATAAATTGGAGGAATAGATTTTAAAACATAAGCCAAATATATGCTGCTTAAAAAAAAACTCATCTTACTTCACTATAGACTGAAGGTAAAGGTGTAGAAAAAGATTCCACTTTTCCCCCTTTGCTTCACAAAAAGCAAACTGGAGTAGCTATACTTATATTAGTTGAAAGACTTTCAACCAGCAACAGTTTAAAAAAAGGCAAAGAAGATTTTTATATAATGATAAAGGGATCAATTCAAGAAGATATAATAATCCTAAACATATATACATCCATACCAGAGTACCTAGATTCATAAAACAAATATTATTAGACCTAAAGACAGCAAAATAATAATAGTGGGAGACTTCAACACCCCACTGACAGCACTAGACAGATCATCAAGACAGAAAATCAACAAAGGAAGTCTGAACTTAAATTGGACTTTAGACCAAATGAAACTGACACACATTTACAGAACCTTCTACTCAACTGCAGAATATATATTCTTCTCATCAGTGCATGGAACATTCCTTGAAATAGACCGTATGTTAGGCTACAAAACAAGGCTCAATAAATTTTTTAAAAATGGAAATTATATCAAGTATTTTTCTCAGACTACAGTGAAATAAAACTAGAAATCAATCTCAAGAGAAACTCCTGAAACTATGCAAATGCACAGAAATTAAACAACTGCTCCTAAACAATCTTTAGGTCAATGACAAAATTAAGACAGAAATTAAGTTTTTTGAAACTAATGAAAATGGAGACACAACATATCAAAACCTCTGTGATACAGCAAAAAAAAAAAAAAAGTTTATAGCATTAAATGCTTACATTTAAAAAAAAATCACAAATTAACAACCTAACAATGCAACTCAAGGAAAAAGAATAAGAACAAATCAAACCCAAAGCTAGAAGAAAAATAACAAATCAGAGCAGAAATAGAGACCAAAATAACAATACAAAGAATCAGTAAAACCAAAGCTTGGTTACTTTAAAAAATAAACAAGATTGATAGATGGCTAGCTATACTAACTAATGAAAGAAGAGAAGATTCAAACAAACAATCAGAAATGAAAAAGGAAACATTACAACTGAGCCAACAGAAATACAGATGATCAGAGACTACTATGGACAACTCTATACTCACAAACTAAAAACCCAAGAAGAAATAGATAAATTTCTGGGAACATACAACCTACCAAGATTGAATCAGGAATAAATATAAATCCTGAACAGATCAACAACAAGGAGTGAGTGAATCAGTAATTTAAAAAATTAATAACAAAAAAATCCCAGTACCAGATGTATTTCACAACCAAATTCTACAAGACATACAAAGAAGAACTGGTACCAATCCTACTGAAACTGTTGCAGAAAAAGATGTTGGAGAGGAGGGAGTGCTCTCTAATTCCTTTTATTAAGCCAGTATCATCCTGATGCCAAAGCTCAACAAGGACACAAAAAGACAACTGCAGACCACTATCCCTGATGAACATAAGTGCAAAAATCTTCAACAAAATACCAGAAAACTGATCCAACAACACATAAAAAAGATAATACACCATGACCAAGTGGGTTTTAACCCAGGAATACAAGGACGGTTCAACACTCACAAATCAATAAATGTGATTCGCCACATAAACAGAATTAAAAACAAAAACTATATGATCATCTCTACAGATGCATAGAAGCATTTGGTAAAATTCAGCATCCCTTCATGATAAAAACCCTCAACAAACTAAGCTTCAAAGGAACATATGTCAAACTAATAAAAGCCATATATGACAAATCCACAGCCCACATTATACTGAATGGGAAACAGTTGAAAGCATTCTCCCCAAGAACTGGAACAAGACAAGGATGCCCACTTTCACCACTCCTATTCAACACAAAACTGGCTAGTCATAGCCAGAGCAATCAGGCAAGAGAAAGAAATAAAAAGGTATCTAAATTGTAAAGAAGAAGCCAAATTATCTGTTGATATGATCTTATATCTAGAAAACTCTAAAGACTTCTCTAAAAGACTCCTAGATTTGATAAATGAATTCATAAAATCTTAGTATTAAAATAAAGCAATGTACAAATATCAGTAGCCTTTCTATACTCCATAATGATCAAGCTGAGAACCAAATTAAGAAGGCAATCTATTTACAATAGCTTAAAAAAAAACACCTAAGGAATATATTCAACCAAAGAGGTGAAAGATCTCCACAAGGAAAACTACAAAAAGCTTAAGAAATTATGGATGACACAAGTAATGCTCGTGGATAAGAATAAATGTCATTAAGATGACCATATTTTCCAATATATCAATTCAATGCAATTCCTATCAAACTCCCAGTGACATATTTCACAGAATTAGAGAAAACAATCCTAAAATTCATATGGAACCAAGAAAGAGCCCTAATAGCCAAAACAATCAGAAGCAAAAAGGACAAATCTGTATGCATCACCTTACCTGACTTCAAATTATACTACCAGGATATAGTAAACAAAACAGCATGGTACTAGTACAAAAATAAACATAGATCAATGTAACAGAATAGAGAGGCCAGAAATAAAGCTATATACCTACAGCTAGCTGATCTTCCGCAAAGTCAATAAAAACACGCACTAGGGAAAGGGCACTCTATTCAATAAACGGTGCTGGGAAAACTGGCTAGCCATATGTAGAAGAATAAAACTGGACCATATCTCTCACTATATTCAAAAGCTCACTCAAGATGGAATAGAGATTTAAATGTAAGACCTGAAACTGTAAAAATCCTAGAAGAAAATGTAGGGAAAAGTTTTCTGGACATTGCCTTGGCAAAGAATTCATGACTAAGACCTCAAAAACAAATGCAAGAAAAACAAAAATAAACTGATATGCCTTAATTAAGAAGTTTCTACACAGCAAAAGAAGTAATCAAGTGAACAGATAACCTGCAGGATAGGAAAAAATATTTGCAAAGTATACATTCAAAGGGCTAATATCCAGAACCTACAAGGAACTCAATTTAAATAAAATCCCATTAGAAAATGGAGAAAGGACATAAGCAGACATTTTTTAAAAGAAGACATAGAAGTAGTCAAGAAACATGTAAAAAAAAAATGCTCATTATCACTAGGCAGAGAAATGCAAATTAAAGCCACAGTCAAAAAACCCAAATGTTGGCAAGGATTCAGAAAATGGAACACTTGTACACTGTTGGTGTGAAAGTAAATTAGTACAATATCTATGAAAATATTAGGATATTTCTCAAAGAACTAAAAATAGAACTACCATTTGATCAAACAGTATCACTATTGGGTATCTATTCTAAGAAAAAAAAATCATATCATAAAGATACCTGCACTCCTGTGTTTATTGCAGCAGTATTCACAGTAGCAAAGATACGCAATCAACCTAAATGTCCATTAATGGATGACTGGATAAAGAAAATGTGGTGTATGTATGTATGTATGTATACACATATATACACACCCAGGAATACTACTCATAAAAGATAATATATCTTACAGCAATATGGATAGAACTGGAGGCCATTATCTTAAGTGAAGTAAGTCTGACACAGAATAACAAATACCGCAAGTTCTTACTTATAAGTTGGAACTAAATCATGTGTACATATGTACATATAGAATGGAATAATAGACGTTGAAGACTCAGAAGGGTGGAAAGGTAGGAGGGGGTTGAGGGACGAGAAATTCCTTTAATAGGTACAATGTAGACTATTCAGGTGATGGCTCCACCAAAAGCTCAGACTTTACCACTACACGATATATCCATGTAACAAAATGGAATGCAAACCACATATTGAGTCAAGACAGTATTTCTGTTAATTTGGCAAATATTTGGAAGAATTTTTATTGATACTTGGAAGGAAAAAGACACCCACAATATCATAACGGATGATATTTTGTTACAGCCTTTTAGAGGATCAATTTGACTATAAGCTTTAGATTATATATATATGTTTTTGTCTAGGAGTCCTACTTTAAGAATGTCTTCTACAGAAATATTTGTGGATATGCACATATGATATGGACATTTATCAAAGTATTGCTTAATGTTTTTTAAAAAGCTGGAAGCCTAGATTTCTGTCAACAGGAAAAGGTTAAATACAAACCATGACACATCCATACAAAGGTATATGGCAAAAGAATAATAAATATTACCTGTTATGATCCCAGAAAAAGAGATTAAGTTAAGGATCTGGAGAAGAGGAACTTATCCTGGATTATCTGGGGGGCTAATACAATTGCACATATCATCCTAAAGTAGGAGCAGAGGGAGATGAGGCACAGACACTCAGAGGAAAAGACATAGCAGGTGGCAATGAGGCCACAGAGTTGGAGATGAGAGTCATGAGGCCACAACCCAAGAAATACTGGAAGCCACCAGAGCTGGAAGAGACCAGAACAGATCTTCCCCAGAGCCTTTCTACTGACATGTTGATTTCAGTTAATTGGTATATTAGTCTGTTCTCACACTGCTAGTAAAGACATACCCAAGAGTAGGTAATTTATAAAGAAAAATAAGTTTGATGGACTCACAGTTCCACATGGCTGGGGAGGCCTCGCAATCATGGCAGAAGGCAAAGCAGGAGCAAAGACACAACTTACCTAGTGGGAGGTGAGGGGGCATGTGCAGGGGAACTCCCCTTTATAAAACCATCAGATCTCAGGAGACTTACTCACTGTCATGAGAACAGCGAGGGAAAGATCCACCCCATGAATCAGTTACCTCCCACCAGGTCCCTCCCATGACACATGGGAATTATGGGAGCTACAATTCAAGATGAGATTTCGGTGGAGACACAGCCAAACCGTATCATTTGGCCTGTCTCTCAAAGAGGTTTTTTTTTTATTGTTGTTTTTTGTTTTTTTGTTTGTTTGTTTTTTCAGATGGAGTCTTGCTCTGTCACTAGGCTTGAGTGCAGTGGCATGATCTTGGCTCACTGCAACCTCTGCCTCCCAGGTTCAAGCAATTCTCCTGCCTCAGCCTCCCAAGTAGCTGGAGCTACAGGCACACACCACCATGCCCGGCTAATTTTTGTATTTTTAGTATAGATGGGGTTTCACCATGTTGGCCAGGATGGTCTTGATCTCTTGACCTCGTGATCTGCCTACCTCAACCTCCCCAAGTGCTGGGATTACCGGCGTGAGCCATCATGCCCAGCAGAGTTGTTTTAAGCTATCCAGTTTGTCATACAATTGGTTAACAGAGGCCCTAGGAAACTACTGTAGCATACAACCTTCATTCCAAGACTCAGCATCAATTTATATGCCCAGGATACTGAACACTGATGCTGCTACACCCAGGAGAAATGATAATGTTATGGGAGGATAGAAGGGAAGACAGATACCTAACACCATGACAAGAAGTCAGTAGATAACCGATTGGAAAACTAAGAAATAGCAGGAAATATTAATCACTTATGACCATAGAAACAAATATCAGAAGTAGCCCCAAAGAGTAGTGGGTGGATGTCTCTGTAGAGCAGACCTCAAGAGCTGGCTGGGAGGATTGATGCTTTGCATTACAAGCTCTATGTCCCTGTGATTCTTTGGGGCTTGTATACATGCACATGTACTTCTTTGATAAAACTAAACTTAGAACTAGAATGTATGTTTTACTTTCTCAGAGTGACAATCTCCATAGGGCCACTGGTACAAAAACTACAGATGCCTATTAATTCACCTGTTAAAAGGTAATCTCAATATCAGTTATTTAACAAAAGCACCAAGTCCAGAAGCAGACACCAGTGTGTGAGAACCTACAGGAAAAACAGAGAATCCCGTTTATAGTAACCTATTTTTCTGTAGGAGATCAGTCAGGGTGGTGGGAGAAGTTGTAGGAAAAATGCAAACTTTCTTGGAAGGCTGGGGGAGAGGGGGTTGCAAAGCTTTGGGGAAGAATGAGCTGAAGGCATGGTTCTTACCCTGGGGCAAAGGCCAAGTAGTAGGTACAGAAGAATGCAGGGAAGTTTATCTGAATAGCTTGTTTATCATGCCTCCAGAAACCTGGCCTTTCATCACCCACGCGCAGGAGTAGGGGGTGGAAGGGGCACCACCATGTGAATTGCCCACAAGTGTGTTGACTCAAGGCCTTTGTCATTAAATCTGTTCTAAATAAATGCCCGCAGTGCCAGCTTGTCAGGGCAGCAGCTGCTGACTCTTTATAGCACCCTCCTCAGTATCTGTGGGCAGCCCAGTCCCCTAGCCTGCTCTTTCACTGGATATCTGTGTCTGAGTGCATTTTTTCATTCGTTGTTCGGCCAGGGTCTGCGGGTTGGACCTGGCATTTTTCAACAAATTGTACTGGAAGAACCAGTTGGGAAGAGCTTTTAATTTATTGCATACCATAAACTGAAGAAAATGTCAGTATGAGGCAACTCTACTATGGACCTAGTGAAACCAATGCTCGTCAAGCAACCTGTCCATTATCAACATAAAGTAGTATACACACCTGCTTCCTCTAGCATCTCTGGTTCTTCTTGGTTTGGATCTTGGCATCCCTGGGCCTGTACATTCCCTGAAATAAACAGTGATGATGAGATATGAAAATACCCCAGACTGAAAATGGGCCACAATGATAAAGACTCTCAGTAGAACCAACTCTTTCTATGGCAAACTTGAGAGTGAAGAGACTGGAGAAATCAGCATGCCCAGTTTATATTTTTTATTTATTTTTAAGAAATGGAGTCTCACTCTGTTGCCCACGCTAGAGTGCAGTGGTACCATCTTGGCTCACTGCAACATCTGCCTCCTGGGTTCAAGAGATTCTCCTGCCTCAGCCTCCTGAGTAGCTGGGATTACAGGCACACACCACCAGGCCTGGCTGATTTTTGTATTTTTAGTAGAGATGGAGTTTCATCATGTTGGCAAGGCTGGTCTCAAACTCTTGACTTCAAGTGATCTGCCCACCTTGGCCTCCCAAAGTGCTGGAATTGCAGATATGAGCCGTTCTACTCAGCCGTAAGTTATTATTTAATAAGAAATACTGGAAGAACTAGATGGAAAGAGTTTTTAATTTTTTATGTACCATAAATTCAAGAAATTTCAGCATAGGCAGCAAATGTGGACCAATGAAACGAGTGTTCCATCAAGCAACCTGTCAATTATCAACCAAGTAATGTACACACCTGTTTCTTCTTCTAGCTCGTCTAGTTCTTCTTGGTTTGGATCTTGGCATCCCTGGGTCTGCATATTCCCTGAAATAAACATTGACGATGAGATATGAAAATACCCCAGAGTGAAAATGGGCCAGCAATAATGGAAGCCCCCAGTAGAACCAACTTTTTCTATGGCAAACGGGATTGAAGAGACTGGAGGAATCAGTATGCCCAGTTTACAGTAAGTTATCATTTAATAAGCAATACTGAAAGAATTAGTTGGAAAGTTTTTAATTTTTTATGCACTATAAATTCAAGAAATTTCAGAGTAGGCAGCGGATGTGGACCAGTGAATGAGTGCTCCATCAAGCAACCTGTCCATTATCAACTTAAAGTAGTGTACACACCTGCTGCTGCTTCTAGCATCTCTAGATCTTCCTGGGTTGGATCTTGCAGCTCTTGGGTCTGCACATTCTCTGAAACAAACAGTGATGATGACATATGAGAATACCCAGACTGAAAATGGACCAGCAATAATGGAGTCTCTCAGTAGAACCAACTCCTTCTATGACAAACTGGAGTTTGAAGGTCTGATTCCTCCAGTTTTCTCAAGCTCCATTAGCCCAACTGAAGATGCAGTGTGCACTCTGGAAAGTCCACAGCACACGCTAAGCACATTCCTGCCTCAGGGCCTTGGCTCCAGCCCTCCCCGCTGCCTGGATTCCCAGACATCTGCTTAGCTCACTCTCAAGGCTCTGCTGAAATCTTACCTCCACAATGGTGCCTGATAATCCTAATCATGACTACCACCTATATCTTTAATAACATACCTTAGCCTCTCCCCATCTGCCTTATCCTCCGTTTGCACTTGTCACCTTTTAACACACCATGTGATTTATGCGTTATGTCTATTGCCTGTCTAGGGAGATGGCTAGTCTGTTTACGGATTCATCCCAAGTGTGTAGAACAGTACCCCACACAGAGAAGCCACTCTAATATCTTTGGAGTAGAATACTGTAGGAATAAAAGCACCAAGAATTGGGTTCAAACCAAGTCCCTCAATTTGCTGCACATCACCACTCTGAATGTCCCCTTCCTCATGAGCTAGAAGACCTCTTCTATAACTCACAGTGGCCAAACTCACTTTACTGTGTAGTACATAGCTGCTACAGGACAATACCTTGTAAGGGATTTGCATCTAGAGATATGGCTCTAATATTTACAACTCCATTGCTTGTCACTGTTTACATGGCTTGTTCTGGTTAGCAAGCTGTGTCCTGCACTTCCTCCAGATGTTCCATGTTCCTTCAAAGAACAAGAATCCATCATTCTACACCCATGTTAGCCTAGGCCAAATAATCCCAGCTCTCTGAAGCTCCACAGACCCTACCTGTGGAGTCTGAGCCCTACGTCCACATATTTCAAGCTGAAGTCTGTCCTGAATTCTAACTCTCCTGGAAGCAGGGAGCCCGAGTGGGAACCTTTTCCTAGCCATAGCCCAAGCAGAGGAAAAGTAGACGATTTTCCCCTCTTCACTGGCTCTGTTTATCCAAAAGCCAACTGTTTGACATGTGGCATTCCTCTGTTGCAAACGAATCCAACGATGTGAGCCTTCCAGGTTATAGCTTTACTGTCAAGTATCAGGCATCACCATCTGGATCTTCATAGATTAAATTTAAGACTCCAATTTAGCTGGGACCACCTGTCAGAAAAGCCAGGCTATTCCAGATGAACAGCCTAGCAGGACTAGTACATGGCTGCAAAGAGAAAACAAAGGTTAAAAATTAGTAAGTTTTCACTTATTCTCCCTCATGCTTAGGGAACTTTGCAAGGACATGAAGGAATAGCGAAGAGCGGGCATATGGAAGTTCCACTGGTCACTCACCAGGCCTAGGCATTCCTCCATTCTCTGGTGAGGCGCACTTATCTGAGTATGTTTTAAATGCCAGAGGAGCATGTTTTAGGTAACCAGCCTACCCTTCCTACACCCAACATTACTCCCCCCAGGCTCCATAGGTTTACTTAGTGGTGTCTTTATCCTAATCCTAGCAACCCCTCAATGTAGGGAAGCACCGGTGATTTACACATAATTATGCACTTAAGTCAATGTGGTCCCTGTTCCCATTGCATGTTAAACCTCACTGCCCATGCGGAGGGTGGTGGGGGAAATCTTGGCCTTGTCTTAAAGGTCCCCCCAAAAAAATGCTTTACTGGGAAATGATTCCTACATAATTTAAAATGCAATGCATGAAGAATATAGAGTAATTTTAAACTTTTATGTATATAATGAAATAACTTTGAAAAGTATGAATTCCACCCAAGCATAGCCAAATGATTTTTGACAAAGATGCAGAAGCAATTCAATAGATAAAGAGCTCTTTTCAACAAATGGTGCTGGAGCCAATGGATATCTATAGGTGGAAAAAATAAGAAGAAAAGGGGTAGCAACCTAAACTTTACACCTTATACAGGAGAAAAAAAAAACCAACCCAAAAGAGAGAATAGATTTAAGTATAAAAGGTAAAAACCAGCCCAGCACATTGGCTCACACCTGTACTCCTAGCACTTTGGGAGGCTGAGGCAGGCAGATCACCAGGTCAGGAGTTTGGGACCAGCCTGGCCAGCGTGGGGAAACCCCATCTCTAATAACAACACAAAAATTAGCTGGGTGTGGTGGTGGGCGCCTGTACTCCCAGCTATTTGGGAGGCTGAGGCAGGAGAATCGCTTGAACCCGGAGGCAGAGGTTGCAGTGAGCCGAGATCATGCCACTGCACTCCAGCCTGGGTGGCAGAGCGAGGCTCCATCTAGGAAAAAAAAAAAAAAAAAGAGTGAAAACTATATGACACATTTGCCTTCGATTATTCTCCTTTGCCTGTGAAATAAAGTCTAATTCCTTAAAAAAAAAAAAAAATCCCAGTTCTGGACTTCCATTTGTACACCTGTGGAAGCCTGAAATAGATTCTTCCACTGCAAATTCACAGACATATCCTTGGGTGGGGTAGAGGGTGTGTGTGTAGTGAGGTGACACTCTCCCAGCTCTGATACTGCTGGCCAGGCACCATGCTTAAACAATCATCCATAAACCACCAGGGCAAGTGACGCTTTCAGATAAAAAAAACTACCCCAAAGATCAACTAACATGCAAGTTCCTACTCTGTGCCCAGTGCCTTCTAAGCATTTCACTCTAGAAATGTAGAGGTTGGAACAGTGACCCCAGTTTAAGAAAGAATTGTGGCCCCGTGGTAAAAATCACTTGTCCAAGGTTACCGTTGGTCAAATGGAACTAGCCTTTGAATCCAGACATCCTGACTCCAGAACCTGAGCCCTTAAGCCAATAGTCCCCAAAAGACAGTACGTGGGTCCCTGTATACACAGTTGTGTCCGCAAACTCACTCTCAGATGCATATCCCACAACACTGGTCAAGTACAGAAATACTCATGGTACAGTTTCCTAGATGATGGGGCTAACAGGGCACTAAGAACCACCTGATCCAACTGCTGAGCTTTTATCGTCCCCTGCATGGCTGGTGAGGTGGATGTGGCCCAGGGCTTTCTCCTACTTGAGAGGTATCTTCCCCATGACCCACGCCTTTAGAAGGCCAAGTAGGAACAAGACAAGGACCAGGGAAACGGGGCTCCTGTGATGTGCCCCGCCTGGCCCTGCAGCCTTCAGGCAGGAAGTTTATGCCGCCATTCGAAATCAGCAACAAGAAACAAAGGATAAATGCTTGACGGGAGGGACACCCCATCTACCCTGATGTGGTTATGACGCATCACTTGCCTGTATCCAAATATCTCATGTACCCCATAAATATATACACCTACTAAGTATCCAGAATTTTTTAAATTTAAGTTTAAATTTTAAAAACATCAGTGACAAGAAACAGGATAAATGCTTGAGGTGATGGACACACTCCATTTACCCCTGTGACTATTACCCAATGCATGCCAGTATCAAAATATCTCATGTACCCCATAAATATAGACACCTACTATGTATCCAAAAACTTTTAAGTTTATATTTTTAAAAATCAGCAACAAGAAAGTAAGTTCTTCCTTTGAGAGCATTCTCCTCTGTGCTAATTCCTCTCTCCAGGTCTCTATAAAGAGAGATATTCAGTTGGAAACAGAATTTAAGAGTTCTAAATCTCTATTTTCAATCTCTGATATCCTTTCTTCATGACTAAAACACCAAAAGCATGGCAACAAAAGCCAAAATTGACAAATGGGATCTAATTGAACTAAAGAGCTTCTGCACAGCAGAAGAAACTGTCACCAGAGTGTACAGGCAACCTGCAGAATGGGAGAAAATTTTTGTAATCTACTCATCTGACAAAGGGCTAATATCCAGAATCTACAAACAACTTAAATTTACAAGAAAAAAAAATCTCATCAAAAAGTGGGCGAAGTATATGAACAGACACTTCTCAAAAGAAGACATTTATGCAGCCAACAAACATGAAAAAAAGCTCATCGTCACTGGTTATTAGAGAAATGCAAATCAAAACCACAATGAGATACCATCTCACGCCAGTTAGGATGGCGATCATTGAAAAGTCAGGAAACAGATGCTGGAGAGGATGTGGAGAAATAGGAACACTTTTACACTGTTGGTGGGAGTGTAAATTAGTTCAACCATTGTGGAAGACAGTGTGGCGATTCCTCAAGGATCTAGAACTAGAAATACCATTTGACCCAGCAATCCCATTACTGGGTATATACCCAAAGGATTATAAATCATTCTACTATAAAGACTCTTGCACACATATGGTTATTGCAGCACTGTTCACAATAGCAAAGACTTGGAACCAACCGAAATGCCCATCAATGATAGATTGGATGAAGAAAATGTGGCACATATACACCATGGAATACTATGCAGCCGTAAAAAAGGATGAGTTCATGTCCTTCGCAGGGACATAGATGAAGCTGGAAACCATCATTCTCAGCAAACTAACACAGGAACGGAAAACCAAACACCGCATGTTCTCATTCATAAGTGGGAGCTGGACAATGAGAACACATGGACACAGGGAGGGGAACATCACCCACTGGGCCTGTCAGTGGGTGGGGGGCTAGGGGAGGGATAGTATTAGAAGAAATACCTAATGTACATGATGGGTTGATCGGTGCAGCAAACCACAATGGCATGTGTCTACCTATGTAACAAACCTGCACGTTGTGCACATGTACCCTAAAACTTGAAGTATAATAAAAAAATGAAAGTAGAAAGAGGAAAATAATAAAGATAAAATCAGAAATCAATGCAATACAAAGCATGCAATAGAGAAATCAATAAAGCCTAAAGTTGGTTCTTTGAAAAAAAAGAAAAGAAAAGAAATTAAGACAGTAAAAAAAAGAATTCTAAATCTCATTCCCTAGTTTTCTGCTTTACATCTGCCTATTCCAAACAAGAGTATCTGAGGGCTTTAAAAATGAGAGAGGGACAGGGAAAAAGGGTGGAGTGGTGTTCTAGTCTCCATCTCATCCTCCTTTCCACCAGAAGATACACAAAGCCCGAACTTGTATGACTCCGCATGCCCCGTGTCCAGGGTTCTGATATGGAAGACTCAGTATTGCCCACTCTCCTTCCTTAGAACTCACTCATTTGAGGGTAGGAGAAGCTGTACAAGGTCAAGCACAGAGCCTTTGGAGACACACTGCCTGGGCTCATGTCCCAGCTCTCCTGGTCACCAGCTCTGTGACTTTGGGAAATTTACTTAAGCTGTCTGTGCCTCAGTTTCCTTCTCTGTAAGATACAAGTAATAGGACCTCCTTCTTATAAATATAGTGAAGAGTCAGTACAAATGTATAGACAGCATTAAGATAAATGCCTGGTTTATAGCCAGGCATGGTGGCTCACGCCTGTAATCCCAGAATTTTGGGAGGCTGAGGCAGGCAAATCACCTGAGGTCAGAAGTTTGAGACCAGCCTGGCCAACATGGCAAAACCCCGTCTCTACTACAAATACAAAAATTAGCCGGGCATGGTGGCAGGTGCCTGTAGTCCCAGCTACTCGGGAGGCTGAGGCAGGAGAATCCCTTGAACCCAGGAGGCGGAGAGTGCAGTAAGCCAAGATCACACCATTGTACTCCAGCTTGGGTGACAAGAAGGAAACTCCATCTCAAAAAAAAAAAAAAAAAAAAAGAGTCAATGTCTGGTTTATAACAGGCACCAGGAAACATGATTATTTTCAACAGCTCTCATAGGCAGTCAGTTCTTTTATAAAGTGATGTGTGCATTCTGAAAACTCACCACAGCAGATTACATGGTGCACTAAGACCAGACGGCTTACAGGAGATAGAATCAGTGATTATATATATATATATATATATATAAAATTTTAACCAGAAGCTTAAACAGCATGGTTTTATACTTGCTGATTAATTACAAAACACTTTATTACCACAATAAACACTGCACGATCCTACAACACCACAATCAGCCCTGTAACACCTCAGCAGGTCTTGCAATGCCACAGAAGATGTGGCATGAAACTTTACCCTGAGTAAAACATGAACTTTGCTTGTGAATATGGGAAGTGTCGCAGCTTGTGAGTTTTTGTGAAGTGAAAGAACAATGATCTGAAATCAGACAGAAAGTGTAGAATGGGCAAGGCTCGTACTGAGGAAGCGGGTAGATGTTTGAGGTACATGCCTGTGTGCATTGTGTACAATCCTACATGGCTCTGCTCGGCTGAGTGCAGGGTCGGTGGGTTGCGGGGGCAGGGCGGGGGTTGTTGTGGTTTCTTAGTGTTTCTCTTGGGCAAAACCATGCATAAGCTAACATGAAATCTGTGCTGCACTCAAATTGTTCCCAGTACGACAATCACACTGGGACAAATTTGCATGTTTAAAAGAAGCCTGGGCTGGGCGCGGTGGCTCACGCCTGTAATCCCAGTGCTTTGGGAGGTCGAGGCGAGCAGATCACGAGGTCAGGAGATTGAGACCATCCTGGCTAACACAGTGAAACCCCGTCTCTACTAAAAATACAAAAAAATTAGCCGGGTGTGGTGGCGGGCGCCTGTAGTCCCAGCTACTTGGGAGGCTGAGGCAGGAGAATCGCTTCAACCTGGGAGGCAGAGGTTACAGTGACCTCAGATCGCACCACTGCACTCCAGCCTGGGCGACAGAGTGGAGACTCAGGCTCAAAAAAAAAAAAAAAAGAAAGAAAGAAAGAAAGAAAAAGGCTTATAACATAACTGAATGTGCCTCTTCCGATTCCCTTTCTTGCCTTTGCTACTCCTTCCCAGGCTAGAGCACTAAATCTTTATAGCCTTTATGCCTTTAAACATCATACTGTCATAGATTATCAAGGAGGATTTGTAGGGGGAGATCGGCAGTGTGGAATGACCCCACAAAAACCCAGCGGCTACCTCCTTGCCTCAGGAGTACCAAGCAGCCCTCCCGCCTTCCTTCTTGAGGACTCTCACCTTTCATCTCGGCTCTAACTTTCTCACACAGTGAGGTCAGATTCATTGTCTGGAAGATGCCGAGGACCACTTTCCATGCCTGACCTTTTGGGAAGTGTTCATCCAAAAGAAAGGACAGATTCAAAGGGTCGGCAGCTCTCAAGTTTGCCCAGGGGATACGCGGGAAGTGCCCCTGGGGGGCCGACCAGAAGTCCATCAGCTGCTGGGGTTCCAAGCAAAGCTTGAATTCCTCCAGCTGATACTGATCCAGGGCCATCAGGTAAGGCAGAAGCCCTTGGTTGGTACCACCGTTGGGGCAGGTGATTACAGAAAAGTTCATCTTGCCCAACACATGCAGTTTCTCACTTCAGCAAAGGACTCCTATATCCACAGGACACTTGTGACCTGCAGAAAAGGAGAGAGTTGAAATCATAAGCCATAAATATCACCTCCTCTCACTGTCTTGCCTACACATTTGAGTATTTTCGCTTCACAGTACTTCCTGCTACTTGTGTTAGTACACTTTTTTGTTGTTGTTTTGTTTTTTGAGATGGAGTCTCGCTCTGTCCCCCAAGCTGAAGTGCAATGGTGCGATCTCGGCTCACTGCAAGCTCCGCCTCCCGGGTTCACGCCATTCTCCTGCCTCAGCCTCTTGAGTAGCTGGGACTACAGGTGCCCGCCACCACGCCCAGCTAGTTTTTTTTGTATTTTTAGTACAGATGGGGTTTCACCGTGTTAGCCAGGATGGTCTCGATCTCCTGACCTTGTGATCCGCCCGCCTCGGCCTCCCAAAGTGTTGGGATTACAGGCGTGAGCCACCGGGCCCGGCCTCAACTGGGTATTTTCTCTAGCAACCTTACCTAGACTCGAGATCACTGGCTTTCATCCCATCCCAGAAGGAACAATGCCATCAGCACCTGATTTATCTGCCTTACTAACAGTGACAGCTGTCCTAGAAAAGTTACAGGTGCATGATGGTACTTACCAACTCACATTCAGAGGGTTCACCTGAAATGTGAATAAGAAGAACATTGAAGTTAATTAGTCACAGTAAAGATCAAAGACATTTGAGAGATGGGAACGGGGGAAACTAATCAGGGAGAAGGGGTAACAAAGAGAGAAAATAGAAGTTTCCGCCCATCACGATTTTGGCCACCAGGCAGCTAATGGTGATTGAGACAGATCTGCCACTATTCCCCCATAGAACCTGGTCCGGCATGTATGCTGGGTCATGTCAAAATACCAGGTAGTATTGAAGGCAACAGATAGACAGCAGAACAAAAGACTTTTTTTTTTGTGATGGAGTTTCGCTCTCGTTGCCCAGGCTGGAGTGCAATGGCTGGATCTCGGCTCACTGGAGTCTTTGCCTCCCAGGTTCAAGTGATTCTCTTGCCTCAGCGTCCGAGTAGCTGGGACTACAGGTGCATACTGGCCTTGGCCTCCCAAAATGCTGGGATTACAGGCATGAGCCACCATGCCTGGCCCAAAACACTATGCTTGAAGCTACTGGTGTGTGACCCCCGAATGTCTCCCAAAGAGAAATCTCCAGAAGAGATGTATGTTAGGACCTACCCTGGCAGCCCAAATTCATTGGACTACTCCAGAAATTGTTGGAGAAAAGATGGGGAAAGACACACAGAGGAAAACTTGAAACATCATGAAGAAAAGCCCTTTCAGGTATAAGCAGGGAGGATAAAGACTAGGGGAAAAGCTTATTTGAGAATCAAATGACATTAAGCTATCATTGAACACCCAGTAGAAGCTGAGCAAGGGGGCTGGGCGCGGTGGCTCACACCTGTAATCCTAGTTTTAGGAGGCCAAGGTGGGCAGATCACATGAGGTCAGGAGCTTGAGACCAGCCTGGCCAACATGGTGAAACCCCGTCTCTACCAAAAATACAAAAATTAGGTGGGCATGGTGGTGGGTGCCTGTAATCCCAGCTACTCAGGAGGCTGAGGCAGGAGAATAGCTTGAACCTGGGAGGCAGAGGTTACAGTGAGCCGAGATAGCACCACTGCACTCTAGCCTGAGCGACAAGAGCAAGACTGTCTCGAAACAATAAAAAAAAAATTACTCCATGCTGCACTTTTGTTGTATGTCTCTTGTTTAAATTTTTAAACCGAGAAGAACTGAGGTATCACATCAGCCACCAACAAACTCCTCCAAGATTATAGGGTTAGGTTCCCGTGAGCCTCTCGTCACATTTTCATCCACTAGTCAATACATAACCTTGTTTTATATGTGTCTCTGTTTAAGGAAACCTAATTTAATACATATCGTTGATTCATTAACATTGAGCCCACCGCCAGCAACACTATAGCTCATGCCTGAAAGAAGCTCAGCTAACGCATGCATTTTCTTCAGAACTCACATCCCAGCCTTCTTGTGTGTCGAGCACCAGACAGAACTTCCACACTACACAAGGGGACGTTTAGACAGCAAAGTCACCGACGAAAAGCCCAGAAATGCAAAAACAGGGCACTAAGTAGACCCACCAGCACTGCCTTATCTGACCTCAGCTCGAATTTTTCCTGGCTCTGTGCATGTCTGGATGACTTTGAAAGCTCTGCAAATATTGATTTGGGGGTTGCCAGCAGATCTTAGCGTGTAGATGAATTCACACACATGGAATCCACAAATAAAGAGGATGAACTATAATTAGGATGAAGCATGTTGGGTATGAGACCCACATGGTGCCATGAAGTTATACAGCAAGTAGGCCAAGTACATAGGACTCGAAAGGAAATTCCTCCAAACTTGATGCATGCATCGGATTGAGCCAAGGAGGGTGGGAAGAGGATTAGGGGGTAGAGCGGTCAGTGAAAACAGCAAGTGCAAAAGCCCTGGAGGGAAAAAAAATACAAGAACAGAGAAATTCAGCTAGAAAATCTCACACAACTGCGGAATCCCCTTGGTTGAGGAGATGGAAAGCTCCTAATCGAAGAAGGAAGTGTGTGCGATCAACTTTTGCTCCTAAGAAAACACCAGCAGGATACAGTGGAGTAAAAGGTCCCAGAGAAAGGTGAAACCTTAGAGCAGAGAGAGGAGACGTCTCTTACCAACCAGACTTTGAATCTCACATGAGTTTCCAGAGGCTGATTCGGGAAACCCCATAGAAGTAGTCACCGCCACCCCCTCCTCACCTGTGAGCAGCCCTCGGGTCCGTCTGCCTCCTCTTAGCTGTGTCTCGGGGCCTCCTGTTTATAGCTCTCTTCCCGCTCCCTTTCCCCAGCACAACTCGGGGTCAGTTGAGAAGCTGACAAGACTCAGCTGAGACGTACGATATCTGGTTTTTCTCCTCCAGATCTAGATAATCACAGGATTCTTCAGGCTGGGAGGCCAAACTGGGTTTAAAGACCATACTATCCTGAAGTAAATGGAGCCATCCACGCCAGCAAAGAGCCACAGATGGGAGTAATGCCTGTGATTACCCCTCCTACCATCTGGGCGACCTCAGGGGACAATGAAAGAGGAGAGGGAGACAGAGGTCGTGAGACACTAAAATCACGGTTGCCGCCACTTACAGGACTGTGTCTTCTTCCAACTGCAGGAGAAATGCTCCTTCCACCATTCCATCATGAATACAAAGGATTTTCCACCGAAGTCAGGAACAAGATGAGGATAGTCATAACTCCGCTGCTATTCAACATTCTGCTGGAGATGTCAACCAATTCTATCAACAATGTTAGCTAGTTTTAAACTCGGGTTACAGGCTTTAAACTAGCAATTGGAAAGCAATTAGAGAGAGGTATAATAATTGGAAAGCAACAGGTAAAACTACATTTGCAAACTTGATTATGTACCCGGACAATGCAAAAGACTGCATGGGAGAACTATCAACAACAAGAGAAATTGGTATTACAGCAGGTAATAAAATAAGTATTCAAAAATCAATAGACTTCAAATATGGAAACTCAAAACACTGGAAAAGAATACCCCTATTTACTATAGCAAAAAAAAAAAAAATGGAAATAAAATGCTTACTTAAAAACTTCAGAAATATCCAAAACTTATGTAAGAAAAACTATAAAATACATTTCTGCAAGATCCAAAAGTGGACTTAAGCCTTAAAGAAATAAATACCACGTTTTTGCATGGAAAGCTCAACCTCATAAATATATCACTTCTCTCTAATACAAATACATCAAGGTTTTACCTGGAGGTGCGGAAGTGGATTATAAAATTCAACTGAACAAATCGAATTTGTAGGAATGGCCTGGAAAATCCTGAAAAGGAGGAATGAGGAGGGACTAAACCTAGCAGATATTAAAATATACCATGAGGCCTTTATGATTAAAATATAGTATTGGCACATGTGCAAACAGACTGGGCAAAGGAACAGACTAGAAAATCCAGAAATAGGGCTGGGCGCGGTGGCTTACGCCGGTAATCCCAGCACTTTGGGAGGCTGAGGAGGGCAGATCACAAGGTCAGGAGATCGAGACCATCCTGGCTAATACAGTGAAACCCCGTCTCTACTAAAAATACAAAAAATTAGCTGGGCATGGTGGCGGGCACCCATAGTCCCAGCTACTTGGGAGGCTGAGGCAGGAGAATGGTGTGAACCTGGGAGGCGGAGCTTGCAGTGAGTCGAGATGGCGCCACTGCACTCCAGCCTGGGTGACAGAGGGAGACTCTGTCTCAAAAAAAAATTAAAAAAAAAAGAAAAGGAAAAAAGAAAATCCAGAAATAAAATTATTAACATATATAAATTTGATAAATATTGCATCACTCATAAGTGAGGGAAATTGACTTTTAATAAGCATGGTGATGCTAGATCTGTTTCCTATACAACAGAATAATTTTCAAGCACGTCAGAGATTTAAATGCATAAATAAAACTTTAGAAGCACCAGAAGAAAACAATTGAATTCCTCTCAAACCTGATGGTGGGGAAAGCTTTCTTAGCTAAGATTTAAAATTCAAAAGCAATTAGAGAAAAAATAAACAAATTTTATTACAAATGTTTTTTAAGCATTCATAACAAAAGATGTGTGAAGCAAGGTAAAAAGACAAACTATAAAATGGTAAATATATTTGCAACTTATATCAGAAAGAGTTTATATGCCTAATATTTATTTATCTATTTATTTTTGAGATGGAGTCTCACTCTGTCACCCAGGCTGGAGTGCAGTGGCGACATCTCCACTCACTGCAACCTCCGCCTCCCAGGTTCAAGTGATTCTCCTGCCTCAGCCTCCCAAGTAGCTGAGATTACAGGCATGTGCACCCATGCCCAACTAATTTTTTTTTTTTTGTATTTTTAATAGAGACAGGGTTTCACCATGTTGGTCAGGCTGGTCTCGAACTCCTGACCTCAAATAGTCTGCCTGCCTCAGCCTCCTAAAGTGCTGGGATTACTGGCGTGAGCCGCCATGCCCAGCCTATATGTCTAATCTATAAAGAGCTTTGAAAAATTACCAAAATGAAATGGAGAAATTAACAATTGTTTGTAAGCAAAGAAATGCCAATGACTCTTAACCATCTGAAAACATGCTGAATCTCCTATACAATAAGAGAAATGCAAGTTCAAAATTATACACATTCTTGGCTATTTCCTGTAAACCTAATGAAACTATTTTACCTTTGATTTTCTCTCTGCTGTTGTCTGAAGACACATCATCATAACCTTTGTGAATATAAAACTCATACATAGCCCGGGCATGATGGCACGTGCCTATAATCCCAGCACTTTGGGAGGCTGAGGCAGGAGATCCCTTGAGGCCAGAAGTTCAAGACCAGGCCAGGCTGTTTAACCTGTGATACCCCCGTCTCTACAAAAAATTAGCCATGAGTGCTGTCATGCACCTATGGTCCCTGTCGTCAGAGGCATGTGAACCAGAGCAACTCCATCTTGAAAATGAGCTGGGTAAACTGAGGCTGAGACCTACTGGGCTGCATTCCCAGATGTCTAAGGCATTCTAAGTCACAGGATGAGATAGGAGGACAGCAAAAAATACAGGTCATAAAGACCTTGCTGATACAATGGGTTGCAGTAATGAAGCCGCCAAATCCCACCAAAATCAAGATGGCCACGATAGTGACCTCTGGTTGTCCTCACTGCTACACTCCCACCAGAACCATGACAGTTTACAAATGCTGTGGCAACGTCAGGAAGTTACCCTATATGGTCTAAAAATGGGAGGCATGAATAATCCACCTGTTGTTTAGCATATCATCAAGAAATAACCATAAAAATGGCAACCAGCAGCCCGAGGGCTGCTCTATGGAGTAGTCATTCTTTATTCCCTTATTTTCCTAATAAACTTGATTTCACTTTACGAACTCACTCTGAATTCTTTCTTGCAAGAGATCCAAGAACCCTCTCTGGGGATCTGGACCGGGACCCCTTTCCTGTAATGCCGTTTACTCCAGAGGCTAAGGCAGAAGATTACTTGAGCCCAGGAAGCCGAGGCTGTGGGGTGAGTTATGATTGCACCACTGCACTTCGTCCGGAGTCATGGAACGAGACCCTGTCTCAAAAATATACAAATAAAATAAAATTGAAAAAAATTAAAACTCCTATGTAAAAACCGCTGATATTCTATCCTGAGTTGATGCAAACTTGGTAAAGTTGGTTATCTTGTGGGGTTTCTCCCCTTCAACTATAGGTGATTATTACTATTATTATTATTATTATTATTATTATTATTATTATTATTTGAGACGGAGTCTCGCTCTGTCACCCGGGCTGGAGTGCAGTGGCGCGATCTCAGCTCACTGCAAGCTCCGCCTCCCGGGTTCACGCCATTCTCCTGCCTCAGCCTTCCGAGTAGCTGGGACTACAGGTGCCCGCCACCACGCCCAGCTAATTTTTTGTATTTTTTTTAGTAGAGACGGGGTTTCACCGCATTAGCCAGGATGGTCTCGATCTCCTGACCTCCTGATTCGCCCGCCTCAGCCTCCCAAAGTGCTGGGATTACAGGTGTGAGCCACCGCGCCCAGCCAACTAGTGGTAATTTTTTTAAAAGAAAATTCCTCAAGCCAGTCCTTCCCAACGCCCCCTCCCTTGTACTCTCTGCTGGTGAGTTTTCCTTCTCCCACAAGCTCTGTCTCTGGGTCTCCCTGAGACTGGGCCCGTTGTATGTGGGACCTAGACTGGGCCCTGATGATCTTGAGACCCTCCTTTTGCTCGATACAATTATATCCCAAGTAGAAGAGATGAACATGTAAACAAGATGAGCCCGTGAATGACTGGATGTTTCCAAATGGGAAGTGGCACTTTCGGACTGAACACGGTGTTAGCCTTCTAAGGAGACTGGGAAGCTCTCCAAACATGTAATTTTCTGTTGCTTGTTCTTCTAGACCTAAGAAGCAAGGGAAGAGTTTCCTTTACAAATCGGAAGCACCTGTAGGATCAAGACCTGCAGCTCATTCATTCTGAATCAAGGGAGCTAAATGCCTTCCAATCGGTGCAATGCAGAGGAATTCTAGTGAGCCAGCCCCCGCCAATGGGAAGAGAAGGTGCCAATTGTCTGAATTCCCCGGCACCTATAAGGGTTGGGGGGTGGGGCAGGCCAGGCGATCTCCGTTTTGGGAGATGCTTTTGACAGGAAGGAGCAGGAAGAATAATTCTCTGCAGAGGTGAGCTTTGTTTTGTTTTGTTTTGTTCTTTTCTCTTTTCTACCTACTCTTTTCCTCATCATCCACTTCCTTGCAGTTACAATGGCTAGACCCTTGAGTTGGGCGCACCCAGTGGGCCCATACTGAAAATCAAAAGTGAGAGCTAGAGATTCAACTGCAAACATAACCAGCTCTCATTCATAAAATCCTTGCCCATCTCTGAAACTCAGCTTTCCTGACCCCGAAGTGGAGTCCTAAATTCCCAAGTTTTCTTTCAGCTCTGAGGGTCTGAGAGCCAGGAGACTCATAGCACTAGCAAAATTCTAAGACCTGAAAGAGATGTCGTGGGGTCTCCAGGTGTCCAGAGGTCTAGGGTAGCCACTGACAGATGTAGTTAGAAAAAAATCAAAATAGCTGTAGACGCGAAGAAGAAATCGCGAGGCACAGAGAAAGAAAGCCGCAAGGATTAAGCAGCACTGACTTTGACACTGCCCCTCTGCAAATATTCCTTCTCAATAAACGCAGATGTGTCACCCACACGGCTCGGCTCGTGGGCTTAGGAATTTGGTCAGGTTCCACCTGCTGGTTTCCAACACTCACAGCTTGGGCTGAATTTACTTAACTTAGTTCAATTTCCGTTTTCTCCTTTGTAAATTGGACGGAAAGGGATTCATGGGATATAATTCTTACCAAAACGTAGAGTTATATGGACTCTAGGGTGATCAAGACGTGACCACAGAACCAAATGGAGATGACAGACTTTTATCTTTTAAAAATGTTTACCCGCTAGAATAGCTATGTTTAAAATGGAAAATAATCAGCGTTGGCAAGAATGTGGAGAAAATGAAACTTTAGTGCATTGTTGATGGGGATGGGAAATGGAAAATAGTATGGCGATTCCTCCTGCTGACCTCAGGTGAACCGCCCGCCTCGGCCTCCCAAAGGGCTGGGATTACAGGCATGAGCCACCGCACCCGGCCTGCTTTTTAATTTTTAATTTTTCTGGGTACATAGTAGAGGTATATATTTATGGGGTACACGAGATGCTTTGATACGGGTATGCAATGTGTAATTACCACATGATGGAGAATGGGGTATCCGTCCCCTCAAACATTTATCCTTTGTGTTACAATCCAATTATACTATTTTAGTTATTTTTAATGTATAATTAAATTGCCATAGACTATAGTCACCATGTTGTGCTATCAAATACAAGGTCTTATTCAGTCCTTCTAATTTTTTGGGCACATTAACCATCCCCCACTTTCCTCCCCACACCCCACAACCCTCCCCAGCCTCTGAACACCACCCTTCTACTCTCTATATCCATGAGTTCAATTGTTGTGATATTTATTTATTTAGAGACAGGTTCTCGCTCTGTCACCCAGGCTGGAGCGCAGTGGTGCGATTTCGGCTCACTGCAACCTCCACCTCCCGGGTTCAAGCAATTCTCGTTTCTCAGCCTCCCAAGTAGCTGGGATTACAGGCACCCGCCATCACAGCTGGCTTATTTTTGTATTTTTTGTAGAGACAGGGTTTCGCCATGTTGGGCAGTCTGGTCTCGAACTCCTGAACTCAAGTGATCTGCCCACCTCAGCCTCCCAAAGTGCTGGAATTACAGGCTTGAGCTACCGTGCCCAACCTGTTTTAATTTTTAGATCCCAAAAATATGTGAGAACATGCAATGTTTGTCTTTCTGTGCCTGGCTTATTTCATGTGTAGATGATCCTGATATACTTCTGTAGGGAAGGAAATACTTTTCCCTCTCTCTCTCTTTATTGATCTTAGATTCCATGGCTCTCTCTTTATTGATCTTAGATTCCTTGGCTGGAGTCTGTGCATTAGGCTCATGAAAGACAGATTAACAAAAGCACAGCAAACAGAAGTTTATGTGTGCATACCCATGGGAGCACTCCATGATGAGAACACTCAGGGGTGGTTAGAACTTAGGCTTATATGTCATGCTAACAAAAGAACAATACATTCTCTTTTTTTTGAGACGGAGTTTCACTCTGTCGCCCAGGCTCACTGTAACCCCCGCCTCCCAGGTTCAAGCAATTCTCCCGTCTCAGCCTCCCGAGTAGCTTGGATTACAGGTGCCCGCCACCACTCCCAGCTAATTTTTGTACTTTTAGTGGAGACAGGGTTTTGCCATGTTGGCCAGGCTGGTTTCGAACTCCTGACCTCAGGTGATCCGCCCACCTCGGCCTCCCAAAGTGCTGGGATTACAGGCGTGAGCCACTGTGCCTGGCCAGAACAGTACATTCTCAGAGAAGTGAAAAGACAAATGAGAAAGACCTCGAATTCCTGGGGGGGTAAATTGTGAGAAGGTAAATGTATGGGGGAGAAAATGGAGGATGAGGGCTAGTTCATAAGGTTTCTTGTGTAGATTTTTCTGGCGCCCTCGCACTGCTGTACGCATCTGGAGCTTGTCTCCGGTGATTAACTTCTGTGTTTCCTGGTAGAGAAGGGGAAAAGGGGCACCTTTACAAACTGATGTCTTGCATTTAGGCAAATCAAGGGAAGACAGATTTTTTCTTGTGTCTGCTCCTTCTCAAGTATCTTCAGCTCAAAATAGTCCGTTTGAAATACACAACAAATTATTATGAACTATAGTCACACTACTGTGCTATCAAATGCTAGAGCTTACTCCTTCTATCCATTGTATTTTTGTACCTATTAACCAACCGCTCTTCATCCAACCCCTCCCACCTGCCTTTCCCATCAATATGTACAATTATCACGTACCAATTTTTAAGAATGAGTACAACAAACTGGAATATTTGGGGGTGGCGTATTCTGCCGTCCCTCATTTCTCTGAAAGGCCAGGAACTCCTTGCTCAGACCCATCAACCACCTGCATCTGGACGTGTGCTCTCCACCCTCTTCCTGCCAAGATCACTTCAGACCCAGCCTGTGTCCTCAATTATACCCCTTCTCCTGCTGTTATTTCCTCACTTGCCAACACTACTTTTCTCTTCTCTACTCCCTTGAATGTACAGACATCCCACAGCATTTCCATCTTTAGGAAAAAAAAATTTTTTTTTGAGACGGAGTCTCTCTCTGTCACCCAGGCTGGAGTGCAGTGGTGTGATCTCGGCTCACTGCAACCTCCACCTCACAGGTTCAAGCAATTCTCTGCCTCAGCCTCATGAGTAGCTGGGATTATAGACGCCCATCACCATGTCTGGCTAATTTTTGTATTTTTAGCGGAGATGGGGTTTCAACATCTTGGCCAGGCTGGTCTCGAACTCCTGACCTCAGGTGATCCACCCACCTCGGCCTCCCAAAGTGCTGGGATTACAGGCGTGAGCCACTGCACCTGGCCTGATTTTTTTTTTTTGATGCATAATAACTGTATGTATTTATGGAAAGCGGAGCAGGGAGGAGGGATAAAGAGAGGTTGGTTCGTAGGTATTAGAAAGGGAAGAGGGAATGAGATAGAAGATGCCCCACTGCTGCCTTTGAAGAAGGAGGAAGGAGCAAAAATCCAAGGATGGCATGTGGCTTCTAGAAGCTGGAGAAGGCCAGGAAACAGATTCTCCCCCTAGAGTCTCCAGAAGGAAACAGCCCTGCCAACACCTCAATTTTAGTCCAGTGATCTTAGCCCATTTCAGGCTTCTAGCCTCCCTAACTGAATGTTTTATCTTAAAAATACTGTGCTGTCGGCCAGGTGCGGTGACTCCCACCTGAAGTCCCAACACTTTGGGAGGCTGAGGCAGGTGGATCACGAGGTCAAGAGATCGAGACCATCCTGGCTAACATGGTGAAACCCCGTCTCTACTAAAAATACAAAAATTAGCCGGGCGTGGTGGCAGGTGCCTGTAGTCCCAGCTACTCGGGAGGCTGAGGCAGGAGAATTGCTTGAACCTGGGAGGTGGAGGTTGCAATGAGCCGAGATCGTGCCACTGCACTGCAGCCTGGGTGACAGGGTGAGACTCCATCTCAAAAAAAAAAAAAAAAAAAAAACTGTGTCGTCTTAAGCCACCAAATTCATGGTAAATTCGTCACACTAGTGCAACAACTCACAATTCTTCTTTCCAGGATTATGTCTATAGCTCCCTACCCTTGTTCTCAGTAGGAGAGCCAGCCAGAAGAATCCTTCTAAAAATTATAGACGTCCCACGCCAGTCCAATCAGGTCCTGTGTGACCTCTTGAGATCACCTCCACTGTCTTCCCCTTGCCCATTCACCTCCACTCACCCTGGTCCTGCTGTTTCTCAACAGCTCCAGGCACGTCCTGGCCATAGGGTGGTGGTCCTTGCCCTTCTGTCTGGAACTCATCTGATAGCCACACAGCCCATTCCGTGACCTCTTACCTCCTCCTCTCCTCCAAGCTTTTGCTCAGACATCCCTGCTTCAGTGAGCCCTTTCGTCAGCCTTTTACAAATCGCAGCAGGCTATTTCTCACTTCCTGTTCTCTCTCGCCTCTCCTTTTTCCCATGGTGTGTATAGTCTTCCATCGCATCAGTGTGCTCCCATGGGCATGCACACATAAATAAACTTCTGTTTGCTGTGATTTTGTGAATCTGTCTTTCATGACCCCAATGTACAAGCCTCCAGCCAATGAATCTAAGATCAATAAAGGGACAGAGAAAAGCTTTTCCTCCCCTACACTTTATTTTCATTCACTGAAATCTTAGCCACATGAGGACAACAATTTTTTGTGTATCTTTTGCTCACCAACGTATCCCCAGTGCCAAAAATAGAGAGTTTGGCGTAATATTTGACACTGGGATATTTCAGTGAGTAAATCCAGAAGGACTGTGTTATGAACTGAATGTCTGCGTCCCCCCAAAATCCACAGGCTGAAACTCTAACCACCAAGGTAACGGTAGAAGAAGGCAGGGACTTTGGGAGGTGATTAACTCATGGGGCCAGAGCCCTCATGATTGGGACTCCAGCCCTTATGAAAGAGCCTCCAGAGAGTTCCCACACCCCTTCCTCCATGTGAGGAGGACACAGCAAGAAGGTGCTCTCTATGAACCAGGAAGCTGCCCTCACCAGACACTAAATCTGCCAACCCCTTGATCTTGGACTTCCAGCCCCCAGAGCAGTGAGAAATCAATGTCTGTTGTTACTAAGCCACCCAGTGTATGGTATTTGTTATGGCAGTCCAAACAGACTAAGACAGACTGGCTTGTGCACACACCATCTCACATGTGCAAGTGTATCTGTAAGGTGCAGTTTTTTTGTTGTTTTTGTTTTGTTTTGTTTTGTTTTGTTTTGTTTTTTGAGACAGAGTCTCACTCTGTCGCCCAGGCTGGAGTGCAGTGGCGCAATCTTGGCTCACTGCAAGCTCTGCCTCCCAGGCTCATGCCATTCTCCTGCCTCAGCCTCCCAAGCAGCTGGGACCACAGGCATCTGCCACCATGCCCGGCTAAGTTTTTGTATTTTTAGTAGAGACGGGGTTTCACCGTGTTAGCCAGGATGGTCTCAATCTCCTGATCTTGTGATCTGCCCACCTCAGCCTCCCAAATTGCTGAGATTACATGCGTGAGCCACCACGCCTGGCCTTTTTTGTTTTTGTTTTTTTTGAGATGGAGTCTCGCTCTGTTGCCCAGGCTGGAGTGCAGTGGCGGGATCTTGGCTCACTCACTGCAAACTCCCCCTCTTGGTTTCAAGTGATTCTCCTGCCTCAGCTTCCCAAGTAGCTGGGACTACAGGTGCATGCCACCACGCCCAGCCAATATTTGTTTTTTTTTTTTTTTTTTTTAAGTAGAGACGGGTTTTCACCATGTTGGCCAGGATGGTCTCAATCTCTTGACCTCGTGATCCTCCCACCTCAGCCTCCCAAAGTGCTGAAATTACAGGCATGAGCCACCACACCTGGCCTCAGGTTGCAGTTTTAGGAGTAGAACTACTGAATTCCATGGCAGTGCACACGATTGGTAGTATTGTGAAAAGGCCTTTCAGATAGGTTCCCCCTGCTTATGTTCCCTTCAGCAGTGAATGAAAGTAAAGCAAAACGATGATGTAACTGCCAACATCCTCCCTTGCCCTGCAAATTTCTTTTCTTTTCCTTTCTTTCTTTCTTTTCTTTTTTTTTTTTTTTTTTTTTTTTTTGAGACAGGGTCTTGCTCTATCACCCTGGCTGGAGTGCAGTGGCATGATATCCACTCATTGCAACCTCTGCCTCCTGGGTTCAAGCAATTCTCCTGCCTCAGCCTCCCGAGTAGCTGGGATTACAGGCACCCACCACCACGCCCAGCTACTTTTTGTGTTTTTAATAGAGGCAGGGTTTCACCATGTTGGCCAGGCTGGTCTGGAACTCCTGGCCTGAAGTGATCCACCTGTCTTGGCCTCCCAAAGTGCTGGGATTACAGGCGTGAGCCACCGCACCCAGCCAGTCCTGCAAATTTCTTAAAGCTGCAGCTCACTGTGGCTGGAACGTGGTCAGCAATGGTCATGGAATAAGTAGAGGTAGAAAATGTGTGACTGTGTTAGGCTCCTCCATGCAGCGCCACCCACTGGACGGAAGGAGCACTAGCAAGAGTCAGCCACCCAGGAGCATATCACCTTTGTCCTGGGACCAAGCCCAGCTACTCTGGACCCAAGGGAGGACTGAGTCAATTAAACAAGTTTATCCAGATGTTTGGGTGTCACATAAGTTATAAGAGGGAGAAGTGTTAAAGAAGAAGCTATTGGCCAGGTGCAGTGGCTCACACCTGTAATCCCAGCACTTTGGGAGGCTGAGGTGGGTGGATCACTTGAGGTCAGGAGTTTGAGACCAGCCTGGCCAACATAGTGAAACCCCATCTATACTAAAAATACAAAAAAATTAGCCAGGCATGGTGGCAGGTGCCTGTAATCCCAGCTACTCAGGGGGCTGAGGCAAGGGAATTGCTTGAACCAGGGAAGTGGAGGTTGCAGTGAGCCGAGATCACACCACTGCACTCCAGCCTGGGAAACAGAGTGAGACTCTGTCTCTAAGTAAATAAATAAATAATAAATAAATAAACTATTATTGGAAGTTGGGGCAGGGGGGACAAAAATACACCCATGATCCTTTTTATTTTATTTCTTTTTTACATTTCTTTTAGATACAGGGGTACATGTGCAGGTTTGTTATATAGGCAAACGTGTTATGGGGGTGGGTTTGTTGTACAGGTTATCTCATCACCCAGGTATTAATCCCAGTACCCATTAGTTATTTTTCCTGATCTTCTCCCTCCTCCCACCCTCCAGCCTCTAGCAGACTCCAGTGTGTGGTGTTCCCTCTATGTGTCCATGTGTTCTCATCGTTTAGCTACCACTTATAAATGAGCACATGTGGTATTTGGTTTCCTGTTCCTGTGTTAGTTTGCTAAGGAATAATGGTCTCTGGCTCCATCTATGTTCCTGCAAAGGTCATGATCTCATTCTTTTTTATGGCTGCATAGTATTCCATGGTGTTTATGTACCACATTTTTTTATCCGGTCTATCACTGATGGGCATTTAGGTTGATTCCATGACTTTGCTATTGTGAGTAGTGCTGCAATGAACATACACAGGAATGTGTCTTTATAATAGAATGATTTATATTCCTTTGGATATATATCCAGTAATGGGATTGCTGAGTTGAATGGTAGTTCTCTTTTTAGGTCTTTGAGGAGTTGCCCCACTGTCATCCAGAGTAGTTGAACTAATTTACACTCCCACACACAGAGTATAAGTGTTCCTTTTTCTCTGCGACTTCACCAGCATCTGTTATTGCTTGACTTTTTAATAATCACCATTCTGACTGGTGTGAGATGACATCTCGTTGTGGTTTTGATTTGCATCTCTCTAATACATGATCCATTTTTTAAGAATACAGCATCTGTTATTGCTTGACTTTTTAATAATCACCATTCTGACTGGTGTGAGATGACATCTCGTTGTGGTTTTGATTTGCATCTCTCTAATACATGATCCATTTTTTTAAGAATAAAAACTTTGTTGAATTTGAGATCACTTTTAATCTAATGGAGCCTTCTAACCAACCATATATTTTCTAGATTTTAGCTTCACTGAATTATTTTACCTGCTTCTAATTTTTCTTTTCGCTAAACCTTTTGTGAAGGCTTTGATATTTTGCTTGCCTCTTCCCCAAAAGAAGTCATGGAGAATAGAAACTACAAACAATCCATTAGTCTAATGGACTAATCCCAAACATTCCATGCATCTTCAGTTTTTCCATAGGGCAGAGAATCTTTGAGGAAAGGAGGTAAAGGGAGTACCCGGCACGCAGAATACCTGCCAAGTAAGCATTACACGAATCTGTTTTCTTGGGTAGTGTTTTCATCTTCTTGTTTTATTGTTTTATGTCTCTGCAGGTCTCGTGTTTCTCTCTTCCAATCGGTTGTCTTTATCGTGGACACTGAGGTGTTCTCTGCCTTGACTAAAGATGAGTGACGTGAATCCACCCTCTGACACCCCCATTCCCTTTTCATCCTCCTCCACTCACAGTTCTCATATTCCGCCCTGGACATTCTCTTGCTACCCCGGCTCCCCATGTGAAAATGGGGTCATGCTGTACATGAGAAACGTGAGCCATGAGGAGCTACAACGGTTCAAGCAGCTCTTACTGACTGAGCTCAGTACTGGCACCATGCCCATCACCTGGGACCAGGTCGAGACAGCCAGCTGGGCAGAGGTGGTTCATCTCTTGATAGAGCGTTTCCCTGGACGACGCGCTTGGGATGTGACTTCGAACATCTTTGCCATTATGAACTGTGATAAAATGTGTGTTGTAGTCCGCAGAGAGATAAATGGTGAGTGTTGATCTGGTGGATAAAGTGGGGGTGGGCTTGGCTGCTGGGCAGCTAAACTACTCTAGTCACCACCCCTATCACTTATTGGCCTTCTGAGCAAGAAAGCAAACAGTGGAGGAAGATAATGGATCTAACCCAAAGGCAAAGACTGTCATACGGGCATTTTTTTAATTTTATTTTTCTGAGATGGGGTTTCGCTCTTCTTGCCCAGGCTGAAGTGCAATGGCACAATCTCGGCTCACTGCAAACCCCGCCTCCCAGGTACAGGTGATTCTCCTGCCTCAGCCTCCTGAGTAGCTGGGATTACAGGCACCCACCACCATGCCTGGGTAATTTTTTTTTATTTTTAGTAGAGACGGGGTTTCACCATGTTGGCCAGGCTGGTCTCGAACTACTGACCTCAGGTAATCCGCCTGCCTTGGCCCCCCAAAGTGCTGGGATTGCAGGTGTGAGCCACTGTGCCCAGCCCATATGGGCCTATTTTTTAAAAACTTAACTGAATACTGCTTATATGAGGTGAACGTTAAATGAAGTCATAGAGAAGTAGGAAGTAAAATAGTGGAAAAGCATATGCTATGGAAACAGCAGAAGACAGCTGGTATAGCTATGGTGATGTCAGGAGTGCTATATTTAAAGCAAGAAGGTTAAACACTTTAAAAGGCCATTTCGCAGCAACAAAGGGTGAATCCCACTGGAGGATATTGTAATCCAAAACCTCATCTTCAATATGAATAAAGCAGAGCTGGACTACAGTCATCCCCTTATCCAAGGTTTTGCTTTCTGAAGTTTGGGTTGATCATGGCCAAAAATAGATGAGTACAGTACACTGAGATATTCTGAGACAGAGAGAGACCACATTTACATACCGTTTATGATAGTATAGTATTATAATTGTTCTATTTCATTATTATTGTTAATCTCTTACTGTACCTAATTTATAATTTAAACTTTTATCATAGATCGGTATGTATTTTTTTTCTATTTTGAGATGGAGTCTTCATTCTGTCACACAGGCTGGAGTGCAGTGGTGTGATCTCAGCTCACTGCAACCTCCACCTCCCAGGTTCAAGCAATTCTCATGCCTCAGCCTCCCCAGTAGCTGGGATTACAGGTGCGCACCACCACACCCAGCTAATTTTTGTATTTTTAGTAGAAACGGGGTTTCACCATGTTGGCCAGGCTGGTTTCAAACTCCTGACCTTAGGTGATTTGCCTGCCTCGGCCTCCCAAAGTGCTGGAATTACAGGTGTGAGCCACCACACCCGGCCTAGATATGTATTTAAAAAAATCAGTATCCACATTGTTCAGTACTATCCACAGTTTCAGATATCCACCGGGGATCTTGGAACATAGACCCTGCAGAGAAGGGGGGACTACTGTATTAAAGGAAAATACACCAATCCAGAAACATGATAGGAGCTGTGAACCCGCCTCTCCCAATAGCTGATATTACAAGTAGTCAGTCTCATTGGTAAGAATGGAGAAAACGTCAGCTCCACAGTTTTAAACATAAACACAGGAGAGTGGGTGCCTTACGTCTCCTTAGCCACTGGCACCCCAACAGCTGGCTCAGCACCTAGCATGTCATAGGTGCTCAAATATTAGATGGCTAGAGAGTAATTGATTGTGAAAAGGGACTTTCTTTTGATAAGGCAGCCTAGGAAGTCCTCTTTGAGGAAATGATGCTAAGGTTGAGACCTAACACAGGAGGAAATAGCTCATCATGTGAAAAGGAGAGAGAGTCACCGGAAAAGAAAATCAGAGGGGATGGAAACCCCGTGACCCAGTGGTAGAGAAAATCTTAGTGTTAAACAGAAAATGTTAATATTTATGAAAACCTGATGAAAAATACACAGAGAGGCCAGGCACGGTGGCTCACGCCTGTAATCCCAGCACTTTGGGAGGCAGAGGTGGGTGGATCACCCAAGGTCAGGAGTTCAAGACCAGCCCGGCCAACATGGTGAAACCCAGTCTCTACTAAAACTACAAAAAAAAAAAAAATAGCCGGGCGTGGTGACGGGTGCCTGTAATCCCAGCTATTCGGGAGGCTAAGGCAAGAGAATTGCTTGAACCCAGGAGGCAGAGGTTGCAGAGGGCTAAGATCATGCCACTGCACTCCAGCCTGGGTGACAAAAGCAGAACTCCATCTCAAGAAACACACACACACACACACACACAGAGACACACGTACGCAGTTGATCCTCATTGTTCATGGATTCTGTATTCGTGAATGTGCCTACTCATTAAAATGTATTCGTAACCCCCAAATCAATACTTACAGCGCTTTCAAGATCATTCCCAGACAGCAACGCAGCAAAAAAATCGAGCTGACCTCCTAGCCGAGGTCAAACAAGGTGACGCTCTGCCTTCTGGCTTTAGCTCTCACCCCGTAAGCCAGTGTCATTTCCACGCCTATGTGGTGCCACACTTTTGTGCTTTGAGTTGGTGGTTTTGCTGTTTAAAATAGCACCCAGGCTGGGCACGATGGCTCACGCCTATAATCCCAGCAGTCTGAAAGGCCGAGGTGGGGCCAGGCGCAGTGGCTCACGCCTATAATCCCAGCACTTTGGGAGGCCGAGGCGGGAGGATCATGAGGTCAGGAGTTTGAGACCAGCCTGGCTAACACGGTGAAACCGCATCTCTACTAAAAATACAGAAATTAGCCGGGCGTGGTGGCGCACGCCTGTAGTCCCAGCTACTTGGGAAGCTGAGGCAGAAGAATCGCTTGAACCCAGGAGGCAGAGGTTGCAGTGAGCTGAGATCACACCACTGCACTCCAGCCTGGGTGACAGAGTGAGACTTAGTCTCAAAAAAAATAAGAATAAAAATAAAAATAAAAATGGTACCCAAAACTAGTGCTGATGTGCCTTTCCATGTTCCTCAGGGCAAGAAGGCCATGCTGTGCCTTAGGGAGAAAATACGCTTGTTAGCTGAGCTTCCTTCAGGCAGGATTTATCAGTGTGGTTGACCACGAGCTCAATGTTAAATAATCAACAATATGTACTAAATAAGGTGTCTTTAAACAAAAACACATGTAAAACAAGTTTTTATATTGATCAGTCCATGAAAATGTTGTAACCAGAGACTAGCAGGAAACAAACGTTGTGTTTTCCTGGGGGCAATGGTTCAGTATTAGCGAATTTGGTGTTCACAAGAATTTTATAGACGAGAACTACCACACATAACAAGAATCAATGACTATATGTGTATGTGTATGTAGAGATATACACGTGTATGTACACATATGTGCACACATACATAGATATTAAGCTAGAAGTTCCTTGGTATCCATGGGGGATTGGTTCCAGGCTCTCCCTCAAGGGTACTGAACAAATTCATGGGTGCTCAACTCCTTCATGTAAAATGGCATAGTATTTGCATAGAACCCATACACATCCTCCCACAGACTTAAAATCACTCTAAATTACTTATAATACCCAACACAATGTAAATGCTATGTAAATAGTTGTTATCCTGTATTGGGTTTTTTATTTTTTTGAGACAAGGTCTTACTCTATTACCCAGGTTGGAGTGGAGTGGTATGATCATGGCTCCCTTCAGCCTCTGCCTCCTGAGCTCAAGCAATCCTCCTGCCTCAGCCTCCTGAGTGGTTAGGACTATAGGCATGCCACCATGCCTGGCTAATTATTTTTTATTTTTTTAGTAGAGTTGAGGTCTTGCTATGTTGCCCAAGCTGGTCTCGAACTCCTTGGCTCAAGCAATCCTCCTGCCTCAGCCTCCCAAAGTGCTGGGATTACAGGCGTGAGCCACAGTGCCCAGCCTCGTATTGGTTTTTTAATTGTATTATTTTATTGTTGTATTTTTATTGGGTTTTTAGTTTATGTTCCATCCTCAGTTGGTTGATCCCACCGATGTAGATCCCACGGTAATGAAAGGCCGACTGGACGTATAGATACACCCCTACGTAGATATTAAACTGTGTATGGATTTTACATACACTTGTGTGTGTAAGAGTATGTGTGTATTTATATTTCTCCCTCAGTGTCTGGCTGGGCTATCCATTTATAACATGTTTTTGAACACCTTACTCAATGCATTGTAGAACAACACCTTTTCTCATTTCCTAAAATTGCTGTGATAGAGATAGATCTAGGTGATTTTCTTCTCCCTGAACGGAGGTGGTGAGAGGATGAGACTCTGAAGCCATGTGGCTGCTTCTGTCCTAAAAAGGCCATTGGCTCCATGCTGTTTCCCTGCTACCAAGATCTTATCATTCCCGTGGAACAGCCTCCTTTTTTCTGTTACAGCCATTCTGCCTACCTTGGAACCAGAGGACTTGAATGTGGGAGAAACACAGGTGAATCTGGAGGAAGGAGAATCTGGTATGTGCCTGTATCACAGCAGACCCTGGTGAAAAAATGGGCTATGGACTGGGATGAGCTGCTCAGTTGCTAAGGCAAGCCAGATTTTAAGTTACCATGTCCAGTGTTTCTTCTACAATCAGAACCAACATGGCGAAACTCTGTCTCTACTAAAAACACAGAAACTAGCCGGGCGTGGTGGCAGTTGCCTGTAGTCCCAGCTACTTGGGAGGCTGAGTGAGAAGAATTGCTTGAACCCGGGAGGCGGAGGGTTGCAGTGAGGTGAGATCACGCCACTGCACTCTTGGGTGACAGATTGAGACTCCATCTCAAAAAAAATAATAAAATAAAAAAACAGACACAAACCATTGGCTCAGCGGTCCCCAACCCCCGGGCCATGGACTAGTACCAGTCTGTGGCCTGTTAGGAACTGGGCCACACAGCAGGAGGTGAGTGGCAGGGAGCAACCAAAGCTTCATCTGTATTTACAGCTGCTCCCTATTGCTCACATTACCTCCTGGGCTCTGCCTCCTGTCAGATCAGCAGTGGCATCAGATTCTCATAGGAGTGCAAACCCTCTCGTGAACTGTGCATGCGAGGGATCTAGGCTGTGCTCTCCTGAGAATCTAATGCCTGATCCGTCACCGTCTCCCATCACCCCTGGATGGGACCATCGAGTTGCGGGAAAACAAGCTCAGGGCTCCCAGTGACTCTACATTATACTGAGTTGTATAATTATTTCATTACATATTATAATGTAATAATAATAGAAATAAAGTACACAATAAACGTAATGCACTTGAATTATCCCAAAACCATCCCCCGCCACCTGGTCCATGGAAAACTTGTCTTCCACTTGGGGACCACTTCAATAGAGTGTGTCTCTATTTCTTTCTTTCTTTCTTTCTTTCTTTATTTTTTTTGAGACGGAGTCTCGCTCTGTCGCCCAGGCTGGAGTGCAGTGGCGTGATCTCTCAGCTCACTGCAACCTTCTGCCTCCCAGGTTCAAGTGATTCTCCTGCCTTAGCCTCCTGCGTAGCTGGGATTACAGGCACATGCCACCACGCCCAGCTAACTTTTGTATGTTTAGTAGAGATGGGGTTTCACCATGTTAGCCAGGCTGGTCTCAAACTCCTAACCTCGTGCCCGCCTCGGCCTCCCAAAGTGCTGGGATTACAGGCGTAAGCCACTGTGCCTGGCCTTTTTTTTTTTTTTTTTTTTTTTTTTTAAGACAGAGTCTCACTCTGTCACCCACACTGGAGTGCAGTGGCGCAATCTTGGCTCACTGGAACCTCTGCCGCCTGGATTCAAGCAATTCTCCTGCCTCCACCTCCTGAGTAGCTGGGATTACCGGCGTGTGCACCACCACGCCTGGCTAATTTTGTATTTTTAGTAGAGACAGGGTTTCACCATGTTAGCCAGGCTGGTCTTGAACTCCTGACCCCAAGTGATCCACCATCCTCAGCCTCCCAAAGTGCTGGGATTACAGGTACAAGCCGCCACACCCGGCCCTCCCAAGTATTTCTGATTTGAATGGAGATAACACGGCTAACACTACAGCAGCGATCTTCTATCTGTGAGGCAAGAAATACAAAGAAAGGGCTGAGAGAATCGTGATGCTGCTGGACCTGAAACTATGGCGCCACTGAACCTAATTTCAACAGCTTTACGCCCGCCATACTTCTCACGTAGAAAGCAGTCCTTGTTTTGTTTAAGCCACTTCAAGCTGAGTTTTCTGTTCGTTGGTGCTTCCTAGTTGACACAGCAGTATCAGGAAAGGTTATTTCATTTATGCAAGGGCATCACGGGGCTTCACGTAGACATCGAGACTGGTTTTCTTATTGCTCTATTAGTTCTTGCAATTCACTCTGATGTCATACCCTTTATTTCTCCCATCTCACAAATCTAGGTAAAATACGGCGGTATAAATCGAATGTGATGGAAAAGTTTTTCCCCATATGGGACATTACGACTTGGCCTGGAAACCAGAGGGACTTCTTCTACCAAGGTGTACACAGGCACGAGGAGTACTTACCATGTCTGCTTCTGCCCAAAAGACCCCAGGGTAGACAGCCCAAGACCGTGGCCATACAGGGAGCTCCTGGGATCGGAAAAACAATCCTGGCCAAAAAGGTGATGTTTGAGTGGGCCAGAAACAAGTTCTACGCCCACAAGCGCTGGTGTGCTTTCTACTTCCATTGCCAAGAGGTGAACCAGACGACAGACCAGAGCTTCTCCGAGCTGATTGAGCAAAAGTGGCCTGGATCTCAGGACCTCGTGTCAAAGATTATGTCCAAACCCGACCAACTTCTGCTGCTCTTGGATGGCTTTGAGGAGCTCACATCTACCCTCATTGACAGACTGGAGGACCTGAGTGAAGACTGGAGGCAGAAATTGCCTGGGTCTGTCCTACTGAGCAGTTTGCTGAGCAAAACGATGCTTCCAGAGGCCACGCTACTGATCATGATAAGATTTACCTCTTGGCAGACATGCAAGCCCTTGCTGAAATGTCCCTCTCTCGTAACCCTTCCGGGGTTTAATACGATGGAAAAAATCAAGTATTTCCAGATGTATTTTGGACACACAGAGGAGGGAGACCAAGTCTTGAGTTTCGCCATGGAAAACACCATTCTCTTCTCCATGTGCCGGGTCCCTGTGGTTTGCTGGATGGTCTGCTCTGGTCTGAAACAGCAAATGGAGAGAGGAAACAATCTCACACAGTCATGTCCAAATGCCACCTCTGTGTTCGTCCGGTATATTTCTAGCTTGTTTCCCACCAGAGCTGAGAACTTTTCCAGAAAGATCCACCAAGCACAACTGGAAGGTCTGTGTCACTTGGCCGCAGACAGCATGTGGCACAGGAAATGGGTGTTAGGTAAAGAAGATCTTGAGGAAGCCAAGCTGGATCAGACGGGAGTCACCGCCTTCCTTGGCATGAGTATTCTTCGGAGAATTGCAGGTGAGGAAGACCACTATGTCTTTACCCTCGTGACTTTTCAGGAATTTTTTGCGGCCTTGTTTTATGTTCTCTGTTTCCCACAAAGACTCAAAAATTTTCATGTGTTGAGCCACGTGAATATCCAGCGCCTGATAGCGAGTCCCAGAGGAAGCAAAAGCTATCTCTCTCACATGGGACTTTTCTTATTCGGTTTTCTGAACGAGGCCTGCGCTTCGGCCGTGGAACAGTCATTCCAATGCAAGGTGTCTTTCGGTAATAAGAGGAAACTGCTGAAAGTCATACCTCTGTTGCATAAATGTGACCCACCTTCTCCGGGCAGTGGGGTCCCGCAGTTATTCTACTGTCTGCATGAAATCCGGGAGGAAGCCTTTGTAAGCCAAGCCCTAAATGATTATCATAAAGTTGTCTTGAGAATTGGCAACAACAAAGAAGTTCAAGTGTCTGCTTTTTGCCTGAAGCGGTGTCAATATTTGCATGAGGTGGAACTGACCGTCACCCTGAACTTCATGAACGTGTGGAAGCTCAGCTCCAGCTCCCATCCTGGCTCTGAGTAAGTGCTTCGGTCCCTCCTTGGGTAGCCCGTCCTACCCGGAGGCCTTGACTATGGTGTCCCGGGTGTTTAGGGGGTCAATCTGCAAACCTTTCTGATCTCTTTCCTAGCCTAGTTTGCACAGTACTTCTGTTGCTTTGTTTTGTTTTGTTTTGTTTTTTGAGACAGAGTGTCACTCTGTTGCCCAGGCTGGAGTGCAGTGGTGCAATCTCAGCTCACTGCAACCTCTGCCTTCTGGGTTCAAGCGATTCTCCTGCCTCAGCCTCCCGAGTAGCTAGGATTACAAACGCATGCCACTGCACCCGGCTAATTTTGGCATTTTTAGTAGAGATGGGGTTTCACCATGTTGGCCAGGCTGGTCTCAAACTCCTGACCTCAGGTCATCCGCCCACCTCGGCCTCCCAAATTGCTGGGATTACAGGCATGAGCCATCGCACGCGGCCAGTACTTCTGTTTTAAAACAAACATATATCTACGGTGATACATGTTTGTTTTACAAACTGTCCCAGTTTGTTTAGGATTAAGGAGATTTCTCAGACCCAGGACTTTGTTTTACTGCCAGGACTGAAGGTGTTCCTGGGATATAGGACTTTCCGTGCTAAACCTGGGAGAATACTGGGCAAAATGAGATCCCTTGTTCACCCTCCCTCCCTCTGTGCTGCATGCCCATAAAGATGGGACCTTGCTTCATCTATCACTCCTACTTCTGTTTTTGAGATAGGGTCTCTTTCTGTCACCCAGGAAGGCAGTGGTACGATCGTGGCTCACTGCAACCTCAACCTTCTGGGCTCAAACAATTCTCCCACCTCAGCCTCCCAGGTATCTGGAATCACAGGCATGCACCACCATGCCTGGCTAATTTTTTATTTTTTTGGAGAGATGAGGTTTCCCTGTGTTACCCAGGCTAATCTTCAACTCCCGGCCTCAAGCAATCTTCCCACCTTGGCCTCCCAAAGCACTGGAATTACAGGCATGAGCCGCTGCGCCCAGCCTCACTCCTACTTTTGTGTATCAGAAGCTTTTGGTCTCAAGGAAAGTGCTGCTAATGGAACTTAACGTGATGATGAAGACATCCTGAATCTGTCTTATCCAATACAGGAGCCACTGGCCACAGGCAACCACTGAGCTCTTGGAATGTGGCTGGTGTGACCGAGTGAATGAACGTTTACATTTTATTTAACTTTACTGAATTTAAATGTAGATAGCTACATGCAGCTAGTAGCTACCATATCAGACAGCACACCTCTAGAGGGTCTTTCTTTCCGTGTAAAAATATCTTTTCCATCTTGAATTAAAAGAAACAAGCTGGGTGCCGTGGTTCATGCCTGTAATCCCAGCACTTTGGGAGGCCGAGGCAGGTGGATCACTTGAGGCCAGGAGTTCGAGACCATGCTGGCCAACATGGTAAAACCCCGTTTCTACTAAAAACACAAAAATTAGCCAGGCATGGTGGCGGGCACCTGTAATCCCAGCTACTCGGGAGGCTGAGGCAGGAGAATCACTTGAACCCAGGAGGCAGAGGCTGCAGATAGCCGAGATCGCGCCACTATCTTAAAAAAGAAAAAATAATAATTATATATATATATATATATATATATATATATATATATATATATATATATATAAAATAAGGTTGTTAAACGTGTTAAAATCTACAACACACTGAATAAGTCCAGTCCTTCATTTAGTGCTCAGTAGATACAAACTGTTACCACTCATGTAATTCCTCATCCCCTCCACTCGACCAAAACTCTTCCAGAAGATCTTTATTTTGGCAAATATAATGGATTTCTTTTTCTTAAGAAGTGGCAAAAAGCACTGACTACTCATTTCTTCATATTGGTTGATATTTATTTGGCATTTGCCATATAGCAGACACAATGTCAAGCACTTGCTTTATGTGAATTATTTCTCCCTTCAACTCCATGTTGCACTGGAGGTCAGGTGTATGGAGCACCTTGTCCAAGGTCACACATCTGGTCGAAGCTAAGACGAGCTAAAATTTGACCCCCGTGGCTATGACGAGAAGAGAGAGGCGATTTAGACTGACCCCTGGCGAGAGAGGGGACATTGTCCTTCTGCTGCATAATGGAAATGCCTTCTTGTTCCTTAACTGCTCTGCGAAAAGGAACCACAATCTCTTCCAGATTCCTGTCTTTCCATGAAAGACTGCATAAGTCTTCAGCATATGGATGTGTAGCGCTAATGCTCATCCTAGACATATACTGGGCTAGTGTGTGGATAGATAAGTAAAAGTTGGTCTCTCCTTATGGGATGAGACATTTAAATTTCAAGTAATTTAAGTTCTGTTCCATTCTTCACCATGACAAGCAGTGTGCAGGGCTTCTCAGCCATGGCTGAGTTTCTCCAGGGCAGAGGTAAGAAAGCTACAGCCAGGAGGCCAAACCTAGCTTTCTGCTTGTTTAGGTAAATACAGTTTGATTGGAGCCCGGCCATGCTTGTGACATATTGTCTGTGACTGTTAACCACACTGCCGCGGCAGGACTGAGTCATTGCCAGGAAATTTACGGCCAGCAAAGCTGAATATATTTGCTACTTGGTCAATTACAGGAAAAATTTGCCAACCCCTGCTCTAGCATATATTTTTATTTATTGTCTTATTATTTTTTGTAGAGATGGGGGTCTCACTTTGTTACCCAGCCTGGTCTTGATCTCCTGGGCTCAAGAAATGCTCTCGCCTCTGCCTGCCAAAGTGCGGGGATTACAGGTGTGAGCCACCGCGTCCAGCCAGGGCCTATTTTTTGTTTTTTGTTTGTTTGTTTGCTTGTTTGTTTTGAGACGGAGTCTCATTCTGTCGCCCAAGCTGGAGTGCAGTGGTGAGGTCTCGGATCACTGCAACCTCCACCTCCTGGGTTCACGCCATTCTCCTGCCTCAGCCTCCCGAGTAGCTGGGACTACAGGCGCCCGCCAACACGCCAAGCTAATTTTTTGTATTTTTAATAGAGACGGGGTTTCACTGTATTAGCCAGGATGGTCTCGATCTCCTGACCTCATGATCTGCCTGCCTCGGCCTCCCAAAGTGCTGGGATTACAGGTGTGAGCCACCATGCCTAGCCAGGGTGTATTTTTTTGTTTTTTTGTATGTATGTATGTTTGTTAGTTTGTTTTGAGACAGAGTCTTGCTCTGTCTCCCAGGCTGGAGTGCAGTTGCGTGATCTCGGCTCACTGCAAGCTCCGCCTCCCTGGTTCACGCCATTCTCCTGCCTCAGCCTCCCCAGTAGCTGGGACTACAGGCGCCCGCCACCACGCCTGGCTAATTTTTTGTATTTTTTAGTAGAGACGGGGTTTCACCCTGTTAGCCAGAATGGTCTTGATCTCCTGACCTCATGATCCACCCGCCTCGGCCTCCCAAAGTGCTGGGATTACAGGCGTGAGCCACCGCGCCCGGCCAGGGTGTATTTTTTTAAAAGGAATTGCTGCATCATGAGATACTCACACATCACATCTCTAACTTTATCAGCAGGGATATCACTTCATATTTCTTGGGTATGTCCCTGAACCAAACTGAGGGTCAGGCTGCTTATTCTCACAGCCCAATAACCAGATGCAGATGAACTGGGAAACAAGAGAGTCTATTTCTGTAACTGGGTACACAGGGAGAAGGCCAAGAAATATCACCAGACCAATTAAAAATTACAAAGTTTTCCAGAGCTTATATGCCTTCTAAGCTATATGTCTACGTGTAAGTGTTCATTCCTCTGAAGACGTAAGTGATTAACTTCTTCTAATCTATAAGGAAGGTCTGAGTCCTGAAGACCTTCCTCTGGAGCCTTAGTAAATTTACTTAAACTAGATGGGTCCAGGTGCTGAGGTCATTACCTTTATCTTGTCTCCTGCTAAATCATGGAGGCTTGGGGGGTTCTTTCAGACCCCAATAAAACTTGTTTGTGGAGGTCTGGGGAGTTTCTTCAGACCCCTAATAAAAACTTGTTTAATCCTGAATGGGTCCTGTTGAGAATTCCTTCATTATCCTGTCATACTTCAAGGCCCAGGAAAGGCCTGGGCAAAACTCTTGGTGGTCTTTTGTTACATTCCAGCCTTTGTGTGAGGGCACTGGCTCTGTCAGCTTTTAATATTTAACTTACCCACTCAGTCGGTGCTGAAACTGTTGTGATGGAGGCCTGCCTGTTCAGCTGCTAGCGAGACCTGGCCTGCCACAGGTAGAATGAATTCTGTTCACTCAGATATTGAATGGCTACATCAGACCATGTTTTTTTCATGTCTACTCCCAACTTATGTGGGCAATTCCAACACATTCCACAAAATCACATTCAAGGGGCCCTCCAGTCCCTGAGGACCTTTTATTAGGGAGGGGAATAAACACCAGAGCTTGTTGTTCAACTTGGGGATAACTGTTGGTCACCCGACTAAGACCTCAAGAATCTAAGCACAGTGAATCACAATGTCTTTCTATGATGCTGCGTAAAGACCTGACATCCGTAGAAATCTTAAGACACGACATATTTCTTTCATGTTGGTTAGTCCATTGATCACTTTTGTATGGGTTCCTGCAGGGAGTTGATATCATTCCTACTTATTTGCATTTCTATGTATTTGACGGATGTGAAAATGGATGAATCTATTTCATGGGATTTAAATTTTATGCAAAAATTACGCTAGTGTAAATATTCTAAAAATTGCTTTTTCATCTCATGTGTCTTGGCAATGTCTATACATGCCATTTTCAATGAAGTATTCTTTGAAAAATAGGTGTGCTAGAGATGATTAAACTATTTCCCCCTTGACATACTTTTGGGTTGCTTTCAACTATTTCTCTTTTTTTTTTTTTTTTTTTTTTGAGACAGAGTCTCACACTGTCACCCGGGCTAGAGTGCAGTGGAACAATCTTGGCTCACTGCAACCTCCGCCTCCCAGGTTCAAGCGATTCTCTTTGCCTCAGCCTCCCAAGTAGCTGGGATTACAGGTGCCCACCACCACACCTGTATAATTTTTTTGTATTTTTAGTAGAGACAGGGTTTCACTATGTTGGCCAGGCTGGTCTCGAACTCCTGGCCTGGTGATCCGCCTGCCTTGGCCTCCCAGAGTGCTGGGATTACAATGTGAGCCACCGTGCCCGGCCACTTTCAACTATTTCTTTAATGCAACCAACAGCAATCTTCACATGTGTATCTTGGTCAGCCTCTCTGAAACGATTGTATGGGGAAGAATGAAAGAGAAAGTCAGCAGGTCCTTCTACGGCCAAACTACATGCCAATCTAGCTCTGGATTTTTCTTTCTTGTACTCACTGTGTCAAAAAGATTAATTTTTCCTTTATTCTGATCCTATATTTTTTTAAAAAATAAGAATTATATATACACAGGGTAAGAATGTAGGTACAGAATATAATTCAATCTCTGCCCCCCACATAAATCTCATGTAATTAAAAAAGCAATTCCTGGTTAGGCACGGTGATTCACACCTGTAACCCTAGCACTTTGGGAGGCCAAGGCAGGAGGAGCGCTTGAGCCCAGGAATTCAAGACCAGCCTGGGTAACATGGAGAATCCCTGTTTCTACAAAAAATACAAAAATCAGTCAGGTGTGGTGGCGTGTGCCTGTAACCCCAGCTCCTCAGGCAGATGAAGTGGATTGCCTGAGCCTGGGAGTTAGAGGCTGCAGCGAGCTGTGTTCAGACCACTATACTCCAGCCTGGGCGGCAGAGTGATACCTTGTCTCAAATATAAATAAATAAAAAATAAAAGCAACTTCCTTTTTTCCAAGTCATGGGAAAATACAGGGCTCTTATTTGTGACCATGAGTCTCCCTGGAATGAAATGAGAAACCTCGTGATGGTTTTTCTGAGTGCTTTATTTAAATGAGGATGTCTTAGAGTCACTAGAGGCCTATGGCCCTAACCAGGATAGGGAACACCAGCCCTGGGGTTTCCTAGTAGATTTTCTCCAGTTTAACGAAGAGGTGTTTTCTCTCTTCTCCCTTCCATGTAGAGCGCCAGAGAGCAATGGGCTGCATCGTTGGTGGCAAGACTTATGCTCTGTGTTTGCAACGAATGATAAGCTGGAAGTCCTGACTATGACCAACAGTGTTTTGGGGCCTCCTTTTTTGAAGGCTCTCGCGGCCGCACTGAGGCACCCTCAGTGCAAACTGCAAAAGCTACTGTGAGTATAACACAAATCCCACTGGAAGGAACTTTATGGAGATGGTCTGTTTCCCATCCACTTTCTTCATTCCCTCTCCACTCACACTAGACTTCCGGAAAGCACCCATGTCCAGCCTTGGACGGAGGTGCAGGAGGAATGAGTCATGGGGTGCGTGGTGAAGGAAACCACACACGGGAGCCAGGCTGACGGCTCGATCTGTCTCTAGTTACTGTTAGCTTGGTGCAAATGCCATTGCAGTTTTTGCCATTAGTGACATTTGCACCAACTTAATAGCTCTGTGTCCTTAAGTGAATGGTGTACACAGTGGGTCACGGAATTCCTGACATCTCCCTGGTGCACTTCAATGCGCCCATCCATAAAATGTTCAGCCCGGTGCTGTGGCTCACGCCTATTTACTTCAGCTCAGGTGTTCGAGACCAGTCCCAGCTACTTGGGAGGCTGAGGTGGGAGGATCACCCGAGCCCAGGAGGCAGAGGTTGCAGTGATGTTGAGCCATGATCTGGCCACTGCACTCCAGCCTGGGTGACAGAGTGAGGCCCTGTCTCAAAACAAACTATAAATAAATAAAATTAAATGATCATCACGACAGAGAGATGAAATGCAGTCCCGCACGTGAAGCCCACAGGACCGTACCTGAAGTGGAATCAGCACACTGTGTAATCCAGGGTGTGGTGGTTACTCTCTGGAGGGACACCGCCTTACAGAAGCCACGTGCGACCTGAGCACTGAGTATGGTTCACCGCTGCATTCCTTTGAAGTATTAATATGTACTATTATCCCCCCCCTTTTTTAAAACAGAGTCTCACTTTGTTGTCCAGGCTGGAGTGCAGTGGCTGGATCTCAGCTCACTGCAACCTCCCCCTCCAGGGTTCAAGCAATTCTCCTGCCTCAGCCTCCCGAGTAGCTGGGACTACAGGAATGCACCACCATGCCTGGCTAATTTTTGTATTTTTAGTAGAGATGGGGTTTCACCATGTTGGTCAGGCTAGTTTTGAACTCCTGACCTCAAGTGATCTGCCCTCCTCGGCCTCCCAAGGTGCTGGGATTACAGATGTGACCCACCATGCCCAGCCCCCATTTTTTAGCAAAGTGAGAGCTGGAGAGGTTAAGTGATTTATCTAAGATCCTGTGGCTGACAAGCCTTAGGTAAATCACTCCAAGGCAGACAGCCTTAAGCTCGTCTTCCCCAACACTCTGTGCTTCTCTAACACACCACTGTTAGCAGGTGCCTGCGTGGGGTAAGCCTCACCAAAGAGGGCACATTTGAACTGGGTTGGGAAGGATGAGATTTACATGGAAGAGGAGAAACACTACTTCATTTTTTTTCCAGGTGGGGTCTTGCTCTCTTGCCCAGGCTGGAGTACAGTGGCATGATCATGGCTTACTGCAACCTTGACCTCCTGAGCTCAAGCAATCCTCCCACCTCAGCCTCTCGAGTAGCTGGGGCCACAGGCATATCCCACCATTGCCCGGCTAATTTTTTTTTTAATTTTTTGTAGAGACAAGGTCTCCCTAGGTTGCCCAGGCTGGCTTTGAACTGCTGATCTTAAGTGATCCACCTGTCTCAGCCTCCCAAAATGCTGGGATTATAGGTGTGAGCCATTGCAACCAGCCACTATTTTTTATAATGTAAGAGTGAGCGTGTATGCGTTGCCCACCGTCTGCTAGGCTATCTTAGGTTCTTTGCACATGAATGCTCTTAAAACTCATCCCAAGCAGTAGGTGTCCCTATTTCACAGATGAGAAACTGAGGCATGAGTTTACATCATTACTAAGCAGTCAAATCTGGCTCTAGAATCAGTTCTCTTAGCCACCACTCCATACGCTATCTCTCCAGAGTTTTTAAGATCCAAAAACCCGATAATTCACCATGTGAACCACTGGCCCCTTCCTTGAAATAAGCCACCAGGCATCACATGGCCCCTGGCCATTATCAGATATATTTTCTCTCCTATTATTGTGATAGTTATTATTCGCTCCTGCTTACTGAGTGCGTACTATGTGACAAGCAATGGGCTGAGAATTTCATGGGATTAATTCTCACAGCCATTCTAAGGAGAAAATGTCGTATGCTCTCCCTTGTAGACCTGAAACTAAACTTTAGAGAGGTTACGTGATTTGTGAAAGATGGTGCGACTAGGGATGTTAAGCTGAGAACTCAGTTCTGAATTCCATGTTGCACAGAACGGGCCCCTCCTTATGGACTGACTGAATGTAGAAGAAATAGCCGGTCGGGCGTGGTGGCTCACGCCGGTAATCCCAGCGCTTTGGGAAGCCAAGGTGGGCGGATTGCCTGAGCTCAGGAGTTCGTGACCAGCCTGGGCAACACGGTGAAACCCTGTCTCTACTAAAAATATAACAATTAGCTTGGTGTGGTGGTGCACATCTGTAATCCCAGCTACTTGGGAGGCTGAGGCAGGAGAATTGCTTGAACCTGGGAAGCGGAGGTTGCAGTGAGCCGAGATTGCGCCACTGCACTCCAGCCTGGGTAACAAAGCAAGACTCTGTCTCAAAAAAAAAAAAAAGAAAAAAAGAACTAGTTAGCCACCTCCGTTGTGGTGATGGCATCACGAATATATGCATAGTCCAAACTCATCAAATTGTATATGTTAAATATATGCAGGTTTTTTAATATCAAATCGATTATACCTCAAGGAAACTGTTTTTAAACAACTAATTAGAAAGAAAGAGATTCAGCAGTGAACATAAGCATTAGAGGTGCAAGGCAAATCTGTGTCCCTGGTTTTAGAAAAGGCGTGTGATGGCCAGGAGTGGTGGCCCATGACTGTAGTCCCAACACTTTGGGAGGCTGAGCCAGTAGGATCACTTGAGGCCAGGAGTGGAAGAGCAGCCTGGACAACATAGTGAGACCCCATATCTACAAAAATTTTTCTAAAAAGAAAGTAGATCAGAAAGTTGAGCTTTGTAGGCCGGGTGTGGTGGCTTATGCCTGTAATCCCAGCACTTTGGGAGGCCAAGGCAGGCAGATGACTTGAGGTCAGGAGTTCAAGACCAGCCTGGCCAACATAATAAAATCCTGTCTCTATTAAAAATACAAAAATTAGCCAGGCATGGTAGTGGGTGCCTGTAGTTCCAGCTACTTGGGAGGCTGAGGCAGGAGAATCACTTGAACCTGGGAGGCAGAGGTTACAGTAAGCTGAGATCGCACCACTGCACTCCAGCCTGCGCAACAGAGTGAGACTCCATCTCACAAGAAAAAAAAAAAGCTAAGCTTTGTTATTAAAATAAAGAAATATAAATAAAAATTTTAAAACCAAAAGCATGATTTTAGGAGAGTGCAGGGAAAACCAGTCCTCCGAATCCTTCAGGAATAGGATGACGTTCCCTTTGCTTTAAGAAAGCCTTTGTAGACCTCAGTCCAATCGAATTCTGATCCTGTGAGTCATTTATTTTTTTAAATTTTTTTTATTATACTTTAAGTTCTGGGGTACATGTGCAGAACGTGCAGGTTTGTTACATAGGTATACATGCGCTGTGGTGGTTTGCTGCACCCATCAACTCATCATCTACGTTAGGTATTTCTCCTAATGCTATCCCTCCCCTAGCCCCCCACCCCCCCAGAGGCCCCGGTATGTGATGTTCCCCTCCCTGTGTCCATGTGTTCTCATTGTTGAACTCCCACTTATGAGTGAGAACATGCGGTGTTTGGTTTTCTGTGCTTGTGTTAGTTTGCTGAGAATGATGGTTCCAACCCAAATGCCCATCAATGATAGACTGGATAAAGAAAATGTAGCCATTCATTTTGACTTACAGTTTTCCCAGGATAGGACCTGAATAATCACAGGTTTGTGTCACTCTTTAATGTCTGCATCCTGAATTCAGTTGTAAACCCCCTGAGAGTGGGACTGCACCTGTCCCACGTGCAGCTTCCGGGAGCCTCGTTTGTGAGGCCACAGAATTCTACGACTGTGGACGGGACCCTATTCCAAGGAGACGCTCTTCCCTCTCCAGCCTAAGGCGTGTGAATAGCACCATGTTGAACCAGGACTTAATCGGTGTTTTGACGGGGAACCAGCATCTGAGATACTTGGAAATACAACATGTGGAAGTGGAGTCCAAAGCTGTGAAGCTTCTATGCAGGGTGCTGAGATCCCCCCGGTGCCGTCTGCAGTGTCTCAGGTGAGATTTGAGAGGGGGGTTAGAGTGGGAACCGGGGTACCCGGATGGTCTTTTCAAGGGCGGTGATGAGAGGCTCAGTTTCCCTCTGTCCTTTCCTTTGATCTGCTGTTGGCTTTGTTCAACTTTAAAAGTACAATTTGGGCCGGGCGCGGTGGCTCACGACTGTAATCCCAGCACTTTGGGAGGCTGAGGCGGGAGGATCACGAGGTAGAGACCAACCTGGCCAACATGGTGAAACTCCATCTCTACTAAAAATACAAAAAATTAGCCAGCGTGGTGGCAGGCTAATCTCAGCTACTGTAATTACGGGCTGTAATCTCAGCTACTCGGGAGGCTGAGGCAGGATAATTGCTTCAGCCCGGTAGGTGGTGGTTGCAGCAAGCCAAGATCGTGCCATTGCACTCCAGCCTGAGCGACAGAGGGCGACTCTGTCTAAAAACAATAAAAATAAAAAGTGCAATTTGACCATGCTCTAGATCCGTCTGATACCAGGAAATCTGAGCCCCAGCTCCTACTGGATTGCAAAAGCTGGATATTTTCTAACTTTTTATTTTAATTTTTGTGAATACATAGTAGGCATATATATTTATGGGGTACGTAAGATGTTTTGGTTCAGGCATGCAATGTAAAATAATCACATCTTGGAGAATGGGAGATCTAGCCCTTCAAACATTTATCCTTTGTATTACAAACAATTGATTTATACTTTTAGTTATTTTGGAATGTACAATTTATTATTAACTATAGTTCCTCTGTTGTGCTAGCAAATACTAGGTCTTATTCTTTTTCAACCTGTTAACCCGTTTATGCCCGAGGCTGCAATTTTTTGAATTTTTTCAATCAGAGTTTGGTGATGACCTTGAGCAGTGAGATATAAATAACTCCCAAGTGCTTAGCATTCCAATAATGGAATCCTAGGCATAAATGGTTTTAACCATCCTGACCTTCCCCTGCTCTCCACCCTCCCACTACCCTTCCCAGCCCCTGGTAACCATCCTCCTACTCTCTATGTCCATGAGTTCAATTGTTTTGGTTTTTAGATCCCACAAATAAGTGAGAACATGCTGTTTGTCTTTCTGTGCCTGGCTTATTTCACTTAACAGAATGGTCTCCAGTTCCATCCATGTCGTTGCAAATGACTGAATCTCATTCTTTTTCATGGCTGAATGGTACTCCATTGTGTATATGTACCACATTTTCTTTATCCATTTGTCTGTTGATGGACACTTAGGTTGTTTCTGAATCTTAGCTATTGAGAGCAGAGCTACAGCAAGCATGGTAGTGCAGGCATCTCTTCGATGGACTGATTTCCTTTCTTTGGGGTATATACCAGTGGTGGATGGCTGGATCACATGGCAGCCTGAAAGAGCTGATTTTTCATCATTCAGGAATTTCATGAGCCAGTTGTTAAACAACGTTTTTAAAAATTAAATCATAGGCTTACAAATATATTAAACAACAAAAGTCATAGATTATCAAAATGCATTGTTTCCTAATCATTTTATGGTTCATTATTATCACTGCTAGGGTGCAGCAAACTTTTTCTATGACAAGCCAGGTAAGAAACACTTCTGGCCTCTGGGCCCATGCCATCATCATGATGACTCCATTCTGCCACTGCAGTGCTAAGGCTGCCGGAGTTCGTAGGTAAACAAATGGATACAGCTGTGTTCCAATAAAACTTTATGAACACTGAAACATGAATTTAATATAATTTTCATATGTCACAAAATATTCGTTTAATAATTTTTTTAACCATTTAAAAATTTTTGTGGCGGCTGGACACCGTGGCTCATGCCTGTAATCCCAGCCCTTTGGGAGGCTGAGGTGGGTGGATCACCTGAAGTTGAGAGTTCGAGACCAGCCTGGCCAACATGGCAAAACCCCGTCTCTACGAAAAATACAAAAATTAGCTGGGTGTGGTGGTGCGCACCTATAATCCTAGCTACTCAGGAGGCCGAGGCAGGAGAATTGCTTGAACCCGGGAGGCGGAGGTTGCAGTGAGCCGAGATCACGCCATTGCACTCCAGCCTGGGCGACAGAGCAAAAACTCCATCTCAAAAAATAAAAATAAAATAGGCCAGGCACGGTGGCTCACGCCTGTAATCCCAACACTTTGGGAGGTCAAGGTGGGTGGATCACCTGAGGTCAGGAGTTTGAGACCAGCCTGGCCAACATGGTGAAACCCTGTCTCTACTAAAAATACAAAATTAGCCAGTTGTGGTGGCTCACACCTGTAATTCCAGCTACTCAGGAGGCTAAGGCAGGAGAATCGCTTGAATCCAGGAAGCAGAGGTTGCAGTGAGGCAAGATCATACCATTGCACTCCAGCCTGGGCAACAAGAGCAGGACTCTGTCTCAAAAAATAAATAAATAAAATAAAATAATGTTTTATTAGAAAACATTCTTGGTTGATATGCTGTAGAAAACCAAGTGGCACTCCAGAGGAGGCCCACGAGCCACTGCTTGCCAGCTCCTGACCACTGCCCTGGGGCTGCCATTGTCTACCATACCCATTTGGTGGAAACATGATGTCATGGTGCACTACTCTGCACCTCCTCCCACTCCTCGCTCAGTGACCTCCCACTCTGAGCTGAAAATCAGCCATGGCAGAGGCATTTACCCAACAGGCACTGGCAAACACTGCACACCAGGACTCCCTCTTCCAGAATGGCAGTGGTTAGACATTTACTGCCACACACCTACTCAGACTGTACTTTTTTGGTTTGTTTGTTTATATTCATAGGTTTTAGGGTACAGGTGATTTTTGGTTACATGGATAAATTCTTTAGTGGTGATTTCTAAGACTTTAGTGCACTTGTCACCCAAGCAGTGTACACTGTACCCCATGTGTAGTCTTTTATCCCTCACCTCCTTCCAACCTTCACCCCAACCACAAGTCCCCAGAGTCTATTACATCATTCTTATGCCTTTGCATCATCATAGCTTAGCTCTCACCTGTAAATGAGAACATACGACGTTTGGTTTTCCATCCCTGAGTTACTTAGAATAATGGCCTCCAGCTCCATCCAAGTTGCTGCAAAAGACATCATTTCATTCTTTTTTCATGGCTGAGTAGTATTCCATGGTGTGTCTATACCACATTTTCCTTACCCACTCTTTGGTCAATGGGTACTTAAGTGGGTTCCATATCTTTGCAATTGTGAATTGTGCTGCTATAAACATGCATGTGAAAGTGTCTTTTTCACATAAAGACTTCTTTTCCTCTGTGTAGATGCCCAGTAGTGGGATTGCTGGATCGAATGGTAGTTCCACCTTTAGTTCAGACCCCACTTTCCAGCCTTTCCATGTGCGAACCTTCTCTCAACAGAATTTGTATGACCTCTCATTTTGTTTTCATCTGCCAGCGTTGCTCCTTTACATCCAACAGAGTTGAATGTAGCTTGGATAATCTCCGCATTTCATTACCTTTCTTGCACAGAACAGAAAGCTCAGGTGGCTGGAACCTGGAGGTGGTAAGCACAATGCTTCACTGAATGTCTTTATATAAACAGCCCACCTTGAGGCCGAAATCCAGCCCGAGAAGACAGTGGCTGTGAGACTCAGGAAACCTTCTCTAACGTCACTGGATCTCAGTTCTTCACCTTGATGATGACTGGCAGATAAATGCACAAAGTGTGAGTTAGACAGGAGAAATAAGCATTGAGGTCTATTGCACAGCAGGGTGACTATAACTAATAATAACCTATTATTTCAAAGTTGCTAATGGAGTAGATTTTTAACATTCTCACTACAAAAATGATTAAATTGGTGAGATGATGGATGTATTAATTAGCTTGATTGATGCCTTCTATAATATACACATAAATGAAAATATTACATTGGACCCTATAAATATACACAATTATATTTTTCCAACTAACTTTTTTTAAAATTTGTATTTCAAGGAGCTGAATGGAAATAGTTAGAGCTCAGTCGTTATTGTATTCCAGTTGATGACAGCCCCAAGAGTGTGTTGGTTTTTGCTGATGACTTGGGAGGAAGTTCCTGAGCTTGGTGCAGGTGTGCTGGCCGGAAAGTTGGAAATAATCCCCCGAGTCTCTGCTGTGAAGACTGAGACATGAGACAGTGGAATCCAGGAGGTCCTACAGGTACCATTTTCCCCAGAACCATGGCTCAGCATTTGTATCTGGCTTCTACAGGTTGGAAGACTGCTTGGCCACCCCTAGAATTTGGACTGATCTTGGCAATAATCTTCAAGGTAACGGGCATCTAAAGACTCTCATACTAAGAAAAAACTCCCTGGAGAACTGTGGGGCGTATTACCTGTCTGTGGCCCAGCTGGAGAGGCTGTCGTAAGTCTCCTTTCTAGTGGCTGTGGTTGTGGTTGTGGTTGTGGTGGTTGTTTGGTAGATTTAGTGCTTCTGTGAGAAAAGAAGTCATAGGGAAGGTACATGTATAGGAGCAAACATAAGTCTTGTGATTGATGTAATTATATAGATAGGTCAATAAGGGTCCAGCCAAGAATGAAAGAGAAATAACATATCTACATAAAAGTACGGATTTATACCTAATATTCTATATCAAGCATAATGAGTCCTATGTATCCATCATCCCGTTTATGAAATAGAACTCATCAGTTCTGTTTTCGCCTGTCCTCACTGGTTTTATTGACCCTGCCCCCGACCCCACTGTGATGACATATTGAATCAGGTTGATCAGGCTCCTTAATTTATGTATAGTATTAATATTACTACCCGTGTATCCTTAAACAGGCATCACATCGTTTTGTGTTGCTTTGAATTTTACATAAAAGGGCCGGGCACGGTGGCTCATGCCTGTAATCCCAGCACTTTGGGAGGCCGAGGCGGGCGGATCACCTGAGGTCAGGAGTCTGAGACCAGCCTGGCCAACATGGTGAAACCCCATCTCTACTAAAAATACAAAAATTAGCCAGGTGTGGTGGCACGCACCTATAATCCCAGCTACTCGGGAGGCTGAGGTAGGAGAATCCCTTGAACCCAGGAGGCTAGAGGTTGCAGTGAGCCGAGATCGCACCACTGCACTCCAGCCTGAATGACAGAGTGAGACTCGTCTCAAAAAAAAAAAAAAAAAAAAGGATTTTACATAAAAGTATCACCTGTGATGTGTTTTTTCCCTGATCTATATCTTAGTGTTCATCTGTTTAGTTGCTTCTATAGTTAATTCCTCTTCACTACAGAATGATATTGATACGAAGATCCAAGAATTTAGTTATTCATTCTACTCACAGTTGAGATTTGGGCTGTTTCTAATTGTTGGCTACACACAGACACACACACACACGCACACACACACACTGTGATGAACATTCTAAGAAAAGAATTGCAGGGCCTTGGTGAGTGTTCATCTTCAGTTTTAGTAGGTTTGTTTCCAGAGTGTACGAATTGGCCAGAGCAATGGGTATGAAGGTGCTCCTAACTCCAGATCCCTATCCAAGTCTTACTATTATCAGTATTGTTGTTACTGTTATTGCCAATCTGTTGGGCAGGAAATGGTACCTTATGGTTTTAATTTGCATTTCCTTGATTACTAGCGACTATTTTTTTATCATCTGACTGTTCATCTTAGTTTATCTGATTTGCATGTCTTCCCATGTATTTAATGCGTCTTTCCTTTTTTATAACTTCCGAAATTATGTCTCTTCCTCAGCCGTCTCCTTGTCTGCTATTTATTCTTTGATGGTCTCTTTCTCTTCTCTCTTAATCCCATATATTTATTTTCTATGTTTTAATTTTTTTTTTTTTTTTTTGAGACAGAATCTTGCTCTGTTGCCCAGGCTGGAGTGCAGTGGTGTGATCTTGGCTCACTGCAAGCTCTGCCTCCCTGCTTCAAGTGATTCTCCTGCCTGAGCCTTCTGAGTAGCTGGGATTACAGGTGCCTGCCACCGCACTCAGCTGCTTTTTGTATTTTTAGTAGACACGGGGTTTTGCCACGTTGGCCAGGCTGGTCTTGAACTCCTGACCTCAGGTGATCCACCTGCCTCGACCTCCCAAAGTGCTGGGATTACAGATGTGAGCCACTGCACCTAGTCTTTTTTTTTTTCAGGTTTTAATTTTTATTTCAATAAGTTTTGGGGAAACAGGTGGTGTCTGGTTACATAAATAAGCTTTTTCGTGGTGATTTCTGGGATTTTTGCACGCCCAACATCCGAGCAGTGTACACTGTACCCAATGTGTAGTCTTTTATCCCTTGCCACCCCCCACCCTTTCCCCCAAGTCCCCAAAGTCCAGTCTGTCATTCTTATGCCTTTGTGTCCTCATAGCTTAGCTCCCACATATGAGTGAGAACATACGACGTTTGGTTTCCATTCCTGAGTTACTTCACTTAGAAAAATAGTCTCCAATTCTACCTGGGTTACTGCAAATGCCATTATTTTGTTCCTTTTTATGGCTGAGTAGTATTCCATGGTGTGTGTGTGTGTGTGTATGTGTGTGTGTGTGTGTGTGTGTGTGTGTGACATTTTCTTTATCCACTTGTTGTTTTATGGGCATTTGGGCTGGTTCCATATTTTCGCAACTGCAAATTGTGCTGCTATAAACATGTGTGTGTAAGTATCTTTTTCATATAATGACTTCTTTTCCTCTGGGTGAATTCCCAGTAGTGGGATCGCTGCATCAAATGGTCACTCTACTTTTAGTTCTTTAAGGAATCTCCACACTGTTTTCCACAGTGGCTGTACTAGTTTACATTTCCATCAACAGTGTAAAAGTGTTCCTTTTTCACCAACACCTTTCTTTTTATTGTTTGATTATAGCCATTCTTGCAGGAGTGAGGTGGTATTGCATTGAGGTTTCAATTTGCAGTTCCCTGATACTTAGTCATGTCAAGCATTTTTCCATTTGCTTTTTGGCCATTTGTGTATCTTTTAGGAATTGTCTATTCGTGTCCTTAGCCCACTTTTTGATGGGATTTTTTTTTCTTGCTGATTTGTTCTTTGTAGATTCTGAATATTAGTCCTTTGTCAGATGTATAGATTGTAAAGATTTTCTCCCACTCTGTGGGCTGTCTGTTAACTCTGCTGATTATTTCTTTTGCTGTGCAGAAGCTTTTTAGTCTATCAGTTTTATTGATCCACAATGCCTTCATCCCACCATTCCCACATCGAAGCTGCTGTCCTTTCCTTGAAAGCTTGGAAGTCCTGAGTGGTGATGACAGAGGTGTGAGGATGCTTCTGCATCCAGAGGGAGAGCCCTGACTGAGAAGATCACCCTTCTGTGTGAGACAAAGACCCCTCTCCATTCAGTCATCTGTGTGCTTCTCTCCCATAGGATAGAGAACTGCAACCTTACACAGCTTACTTGTGAAAGCCTTGCCTCCTGTCTCAGGCAGAGTAAGATGCTGACCCACCTGAGCTTGGCAGAAAACGCCTTGAAAGATGAAGGGGCCAAGCATATTTGGAATGCCCTGCCACACCTGAGATGTCCTCTGCAGAGGCTGGTGTAAGTCCCAGAATGTTTTCTTCTCTGAATTCCCTGGAGCAGAACAGGGTGATGAAGAGAACCTGTTATATATTCATTTATGTCACATATTTATTAAGTGCCTACTGCGTGTTAGGCATGGTGCTAGCACTGAGGGGAAAAGCACAATAAAGAGGAGGGTTATTATTTCTGATTCAGGGACAAGTGATCTAGAGGCAGAGTTCTCAAACTGTGTACCAAGACACCCAGGAGTGAACTCAGAAGGACTGCAGGGTATTTTAAATTTAAGGAATATTGAGATCTATCTGTTCATCACTGTAAGAACGACTACCTCGAGGTGTAAGAATTAAAGAAAGAGGAAAGAAACACAAAAGGTGGCTTGACAGTTAAGGACAGGTTTATTTTAGAGAAAACAGACCTGAGAGGGGCTTCTGGCCGAGTTAGGTCAGAGCTACACTCTCTTATAGACTAAGAGTTTTTAAAGATTCAGGGTGGGAATATTTATCAGAGGCTTGGACTGCTTCTGTGACTCTTGGTTGTGCTTATCTGGGAGGGAGAGTTGTGTGTCTGTTCCCATACATCCTTCTGCAGCTGCAGGCATATCCCCTGAGTCTGCTTTTAGCTTCCCTATCTTAGTGCACCTGAAGGGAAAGGAATGTGCTATTAAGGCTCACTGTTTTGGGAGGCCTGTAATCCCAGCACTTTGGGAGTCCGAGGCGGGAGGATCACGAGGTCAGGAGATCGAGACCACAGTGAAACCCCGTCTCTACTAAAAATACAAAAAATTAGCCGGGCACAGTGGCGGGCGCCTGTAGTCCCAGCTACTCAGGAGGCTGAGGCAGGAGAATGGCATGAACCCGGGAGGCAGAGCTTACAGTGAGCCAAGATCGCACCACTGCACTCCAGCCTGGGCGACAGAGTGAGACTCTGTCTCAAAAAAAAAAAAAAAGAAAGAAAAAAGGCCCATTGTTTTACTGGGGCTCGTGGCATGAATGTGAAGTTTGGCAGTTACCCGAGAGACTTTCCCCCCACCTCCCTCTGTGCCCTAGCTGTCTTATCTGTGTTTTACTGTCTGTTCTTTCTGGCTGCTTGTAATTAGGAGAGAAATGATTTCCTTGAAATGCATGAGGTTAGAAAGGGAGCTGGAACTTAAAGTGCCAGTGTCTGTCCGAGATCACGGTGCTCCTGCTCTGTCACGAGGTAGTTCATTTTCACAGCTTGAAATCAGCCATGGCAGAAGTGTTTGCACCATGGAAACTGGCAATCACTACACATGAGGGCTTTTGTTTGTTTGCTCTAGAGAGCTGGTTTACTAGGACATCACCGAACCATAACCATCGAATCCCCTCTTTATTTCTTGTCTCACATGAGAATATGAGCTGCTAAAAGGCAGGGGCTCTGCCTGCGTGAATTCCCATCCCCTAATTCAATGCCCCAAGCATAGTAACTCTCAGCAAATGTTTGTGAAAGGCAAGAGGTGGCGCAAAATACCCCCTGAAACACTGATACTGTTAGTTCTCCAAAAAGAAGCAGGGAACGGTGCCACTGCTTTGGAAAGCAGCTTTGGCAGTTCCTCAAAAGGTGAAGCACAGACTTAATCCGTGAGCCATCAGTCCTGCTAGTAGGTGTATCCACAAAAGAAATAAAAACCCACCTCCACATGAAAACCTGCACACAGTTCACAGCAGCATTATTCATAGTACTCATAATACCCAAGACCTGGAAACAACCTGTGTCTGTGCCCTGATGACGGCATAAAGGCAGTATGGTGTATTCACGCAATGGAATGTTATTTAATTGTTAAATGAAATACTGATTCATGCTACAGCATGGACGAATCTTCAAAATATTATGGTAGATAAAAGAAGCTAAACGCAAAAAGTCACATATTACATGATTCCATTTAAATGACATGCCAAAAATAGGCAAATCCAGAAAAAGAAAGCAAATTAGTGGTGTTAGGGTTGGGGTGGGTTGGGGGAGGAAGTGAGAAGTGGCTTCTAAAGTATCCAGGGTTTTCCTTAGGGGTGACAAAAATATTCCAAACCGAACTTACACAAATATTCTAAAATTGTGGTGATGATCATACAACTTTATAAATAGACTGAAAACCAATATTTGGTACACTTTAAGTGGGTGAATTGTGTGATATATTAATTGCATCTTGGTTATGCCATTATGCAAAAACAAAAAACAAACAAACAAAACAAACAAATAAAAACAGAACCCAAAAACAAAGAAGTAAAACCTAAGGGTGTTTTCGTTGTTGTTGTTGTTGTTGTTTTGTTGTAGTTGTTGTTGTTGTTGTTTTTAACCTGTGTTTCTTTGCAGACTGAGAAAGTGTGACTTGACCTTTAATTGCTGTCAGGATATGATCTCTGCGCTCTGTAAAAATAAAACCCTGAAAAGTCTTGACCTAAGTTTTAATAGCCTGAAGGATGATGGGGTGATCCTGCTGTGTGAGGCCCTGAAGAACCCTGACTGTACATTACAGATCCTGGAGTAAGTGGCCCCTCGTCTCCTCCTGTGAGACCAGGAGAATTGTATATAAGCGTCTCTCAGGATGGAATATATAACAGGAAAGGGCTGTCTTTTTAAGTTTCTGGATTGTTCCCTCCATTGAATTGGAGAACTGGGAAGCTTCTGAGCCGTGGTTCTCAAAGTGTGGATCAGCAGCAGTTTCGCCTGGGCAGGACACACACAAATTTTGGGGCCCCACTTCGGACCTAGGGAACCAGAAACTCTGAGGGTGGGATGCAGCAATCTGTGTTAACAATTGTTTTAAAAAATATTCTTCCAGTTGAATAAAAGATAACAAAGAGTTTGTCACTTTTAGACTGATATCTGAGATGACTGGTCTGAAATTGAATTTTACACTTAGGAGATATATATATACACATATATGTATATAAAGATACATATATAAATATATATGTATATAAAGATGTATCTAAAGATACATATATATGCATATATATGTATATAAAGATACATGTGGCCAGGCGCGGTGGCTCACGCCTATAATCCCAGCACTTTGGGAGGCTGAGGTGGGGCGGATCATGAGATCAGGAGATCGAGACTATCCTGGCTAACACGGTGAAACCATGTCTGTACTAAAAATACAAAAAATTAGCTGGGCGTGGTGGTGGGCGCCTCTAGTCCCAGCTAATCGGGAGGCTGAGGCAGGAGAATGGTGTGAACCTGGGAAGTGGAGCTTGCAGTGAGCCGAGATCACACCACTGTACTCCAGCCTGGGCCACAGAGTGAGACTCTGTCTCAAAAAAAAAAAAAGATACATATATACATATATATGTATATAAAGATACATAAGATACATATATACGTATATACGTATATAAAGATACATAAGATACATATATACATATATACGTATATAAAGATACATAAGATACATATATATATATATGTATATAAAGATACATAAGATATCTGCATATGTGTACACATATATGTACAGACACATATATACTTATTTTATAAATATTTATATGTAGATACTTATTTTATATATTATACATATAAGCAATATATTATTTATATATAAGTATATATAAATATATAAAATAAATACGAATATATTATATGTAAATATATGTAAATATACAATATATTATACATTATATACTTACATATTATGTTGTATATTATATATTTATATATACATAATTTATATTATATAAATATATGTATTATATATTTATATATAATATTAAAATATATATTAATTATATTAATATATTTATATATGAAAATATATAATGTATATATTTCCCTGTTTTTTGTGGTCTCTTTGCTAACATGTATACCAGCCAGTGATATAAAAGCATTCGTTCTGTTTTTAATTCTTTGGTTACCTTAAGTATTTGGAAAAGACTTGTAAACATCTCCTCTCATGATCAAAAAATGAATCTAATTTTACCTCTTTCAATCCAAATTTTTTGCTCTCCATTAGCATAGTCTTGGTATTTAATCTAGCTCATTTAAATTATTGTCTTGTAGAACATCTTTCATTTCCAGGATTAGTTTGGATAATGGTGTTCATTTTTGTTGATGATTTGCTTCTCAAATGAAATTCAGTATGAATTCACTGCCAGTCATGATTCTTTGATGCCTCAAATCTAGTTTGGGTTTTAAATGTTGATTTATCTCTTAGATTGAGTGAAATATATTTTCAGGTAGAAAAGAACTTTCTACACTTGAAAGTGTTTATGCAGTATTTTCTAAGCCTTTGCTTGTATGAGATTATTATTATTTTTTTCAGATCACAAAATTAATTTTATGTTTCCAGTATACCTGTGGGGCTAACAAGACAGTTATCTGCTTTGGGTCCTTTTCATCCACCTGTCCCCTTTGGGTTTGCTGTTTAATTTAATTTTTTTTAAATTTTTTTATTATACTTTAAGTTTTAGAGGGGGGAGGGATAGCATTTGGAGATATACGTAATGTTAAATGGCGAGTTACTGAGATTATTTTTTAATCTAGTTTTGGTCATGAGCAGTAACTTGGCTCAGTGTAAAATTCATGGACCCTATCTGTCTTAGTCTGTTTTCTGCTGCTTATAACAGAATACCTGAAATTGCATGACGTATAAAGAAAAGGACTGTGGAGGCTGAGAAGTCCAAGGTGGAGGGGCTGCATCTGGTGAGAGCCTTAGTGCTGGGGGGATTCTCTGCAGGGTCACTAGTGAGTCACTGAGCATGCTGTATACTGGCTCAGATCTCTTTCCCTCTTCTTATACAGCCACTCATCCCACTCCCATGATAACCCGTTAACCCATTAATCTAATAATCCATGAATTTTACTCTTTGTTCAAGGACTCTTATGGGCCGGCATCGTATTTATGATACACGGCACCTCTTTGAGACATGGTCACTTATTTGTAGATGTGCCTCCCCAACTTTTCAGTGAGTACTGTGTGGGAGGGCAAAGTGACTTACTTATAGAAGGATTTGAGCTGGGTGTGGTGGCATGTGCCTACAGTCCCAGCTGCTAGGGAGGCTACTAGGTAGTAGGATTGCTTGAGCCAAGGAATTTGAAGCTACAGTGAGTCAGGGTCACACCACTGCACTCCAGCCTGGGCAACAGAGTGAGACTCAGTCTCCAAAAAAAATTTTTTTTTAAAAAGATCCAAACACCTGGCCCATTAGGACAATAAAACCATGCTATTTGAATACATGTATTTTGTTACCTGTCTCCTCCCTCAATACCCTGCCCAGTCAACTGTGAGTTACAGGAAGGCAAGGATGGTGTGTGTTGCTCACTCTTGTGTCAAAAATGTCCACTAGGTAGAATCAAATATCTTTTGAATGAATGAAGATAAGTAGGTACAAGCCATTTTCGAAAGATATACTTGGCTCATAAATTCTTAGAGTGAGGAATACTATAGCCTGCTCTGAAATCACCAAAAGGACACAAAGAAACTGATTGACTATAGGTGAATAGACCATAGTTGGAACAACATTACACATTCCTGTCAGTGTGATTTCTTGGCTGTAAGCCGTCACACCGGCTGAGCTCTCAGATGAGTTGTGATGACTTCTCTGCTGTCTGCTGTCTGTTTCTGTGTCACAGGCTGGAAAACTGCCTGTTCACCTCCATCTGCTGCCAGGCCATGGCTTCCATGCTCCGCAAAAACCAACATCTGAGACATCTGGACTTGAGCAAGAATGCGATTGGAGTCTATGGTATTCTGACCTTGTGCGAGGCCTTCTCAAGCCAAAAGAAGAGAGAAGAGGTCATTTTGTAAGTCTCCACCGGGTTTCCTGTGCAAAACCTACCACACAAGAGAAGCTCCTTGTAAAACGTGAGATGCTGGGCTGGGTGTAGTGGTGCATGCCTGTAATCCCAGCACTTTGGGAGACTGAGACAGGCAGATCGCTTGAGTCTGGAGTTCAGACCAGCCTGGGCAACATTGCAAAACCCTGTCTTCTACTAAAAAATAGAAAAATTAACTAGGCATGGTGGTGCATGCCTGTAGTCCCAGCTACTCAGGAGGCTGAGGTGAGAGGATCACTTGGGCCCAGGAGGTTGAGGCTACAGTGAGCCATGATCACACCACTGCACTCCAGCCTGGGCAACAGAGTGAGACCCTGTCTCTTAAAATAGAAAGTGAGATTGTGGACCTGGAATGCTATTGTTTCAGGTGTTGCTACCATTCTGCTTTTGTTTCCTGGGGATTTATATTTCCCTTAATGTAGCTGTTCAAACCCCCAACTCCCACTTTTACCTAAAGGAACCATTAACTGGGATTCTCCTATCTGATATCTTCTTTCTTGTCTTTGTCTTCTCTTTTCTTCATTTCTTCACCTTTTCTTCCTGAACAGCTGAGTTTGTTATCACTTACCAGCTATATAGCCATGAACAAGTTAATCTTTCTAAGCCTCAATTTGCTAATCTATAAAATTGGGATGGTGTCTTCTCCCATGGAGATTTTATAATGACTGAAAGAAAAGTCGCACATACGGCACTTAACACAGTGCCTAACACATGTTCTCAACCAGTGGTGGGTTCTGGGTGAAAGATACAATTTTTCCTGGTGTATGAGTTGTCTATTGCTATGCAGTGAATTACCTCAACGCTTAGTAACTTAAAGCCACATAAAGGCGTATTGTCTTACACAATTTCTGAGGGTCAGAAATACGACAGCGATGTAACTGGGAGGTTCTAGCTCATGGTATCTCCCGAGGTCTCAGTTGAGCCACTGGCTGGGGTTTGATGAGGGCTGTTGAATCTGCTTCCAGGCTCACTTGTGTGGCTGTGGGCGGCGGGGGGGCCTCAGTTGTTCTCCAGGGAGTTGCTCATGACATTGCAGCTGGCTTCCTCCAGAACGAGAGGCTGAGAGAGGCAGAGGCAGAGGGAGATGGTGGCAGAGAGAGATGACTGACAGCTCAAAACAGAGCCACAGTCTTTTATTACTTAATCTTGAAAGTGGCGTCCCATCACGTCTGCCTTGTTTTATTGGCCATGGTCCAGCCCTGGTCCAGTGAGAGAGGGAGCCATCCAAGGGTGTGATTTGTAGGAGGAGGGATCATGGGGGCTGTCTTGGTTGAACCCCAAGGCACTTTGAATTCATTCCTGAGCTCCTAAGAGTGCTCCTATTTGTCTTGACCTACTGCATGGGGCCATGGTGGTCTCCTAGGTGGTAAATTTCTGTTCTAGAGGTTCTGTCTCTTTGTTTTGGGGCTGCAAAAGAAAACCAAATGTAAGAAAACAAAACCTTGTTTTTATCCTTCCCAGGGAGAAGAAAGACAGCAATGAAGTGGATATGCTGGCAAGACTGGAGGGCCCTGTAGTGGAAGGAGACTTCCTGAAGATAATACAGGACTGGAATTCTTAGTGCTGTGATGAAGCAATAGAGATGAATCGATCTGGACCCTCTGGTGACTGATCTGGTGGCCCTCTGGGTATTTTTTTTTTTTCCTAATGAGAAATTGGGAAACAGTTGCCTATTTTGTGGGCCGTCCTGACTCTGGAATGGCTCCATTCGTTCTGGGAACTGGTGTAGGGCATGACCTCCAAATAGCTCCATCAATGTTATGGAGTGTCATGTGTTAACACATAGATTAGTCACTGCATTGGGGGCACCAAGGTAAGGTGAGTTCCAACCCACATCTACTCCTGGCTACCAGAATGTCTTTGAATATGTCATGTAAACATCTCTTGGAGATATGTCTTCATATCTTCAAGGGTATTAGAAAAATTTAATTAAAAATATGCATGAATGCAATTTGAAATTTTTTAGAGTGTGATTTATTTACCAATAGACTGGTCCATCAACTGTTAAGGAAGAAACCTGTTCTTAACGTGTCTGGGGAAAGTGTGCACAAGGAACTTCTAAGGAAGATAATAAATGTAGCAAGTACTGGAAAAAGGAAATCACCTCATGTTTAAGGAGCTCTAAAAATGAAGTGTAACTCTTAACTTTTTAAGGTCCTAACTAACTACTACATTCTTAAATTAGTTATGGCAGCATTTAAAACTCAAAGATCTAGAAAGCAATCACAATGTTTTTTTTCCCCTTCTGAAACAGCCATCTTTTTACAATGTAATGATCAGGTATCATCCAGGTTGGTTTCTCTTGTTTTTTGTTTTTTTTTTTGAGATGGAGTCTCACTCTGTCACCACACTGGAGTGCAGTGGTGTAATCTCGGCTCACTGCAACCTCCACCTCCTAGCTTCAAGTGATTCTCCTGCCTCAGCCTCCTGAGTAACTGGGACTACAGGTGTGCACCACCACTCCCAGCTAATTTTTTTGTATTTTTAGCAGAGACAGGGTTTCACCACGTTGGCCAGGATGGTCTTGATCTCTTGACCTCGTGATTTGCCTGCCTTGGCCTCCCAAAGTGCTGGGATTACAAGTGTGAGCCACTATGCCCGGCCCAGGTTGATTTCTTAATTCTGAAGAAATTTTATTTCAAAAGCCAGAGCAGTTGGGGTCTTCAACCTCCACCCTAGCAATCCCACTGCTAGGTATATACCCCAAAGAAATCAGTAAATCAGAGAGATATCTGCACTTCCATGTTTATTGCAGCACTATTCACAATAGCCAAGATTTGGAAGCACCTAAGTGTCCATCAACAGATGAATGGATAAAGAAAATGTGGTACTTACGCACAATGGAGTACTATTCAGCCATGAAAAAGAAACTTAAGTGTAGAAACAATGGTATCATAGAAACAGCACACTGGTGCTCAGGTATTGTTTTCTAAGTACCGTTCCTCATTAAAGGAACCAAGAATCTTCAGAGAAAGAGCTGACTCCACAGTTGGTGCTGGGAATGTACAGAATGGGCTTGGAACATCTTGTGCCAGAAGTAAGACAATGCTCAGAGAACAATGGGGGCCAGGCCAGTGGCTTGCACCTGTAATCTCAGCACTGTGGGAGGTTAAGGTGGAGAGTTGCTTGAGCCCAAGAGTTAGTGACCAGCCTGGGCAACATAGGGAGTCCCCATCTACATTAAAAAATGTTTTACAAATCACCTGGGCATGATGGCGCATGCCTGTGGTCCCAGCTATTTGGGGGGCTGAAGTGGGAAGATCACTTGAGCCCAGAATCTCAAGGCTGCAGTGAGCCATGATGCATCACTGCACTCCAGCCTGGGCAACAGAGTGAGACCCTGTCTCTGAAAAATAATAATAATAATGGGGACATAGCAATAGGAACAAGGAGCCTGATTGAATGAGTTCCCACCGGCCAAATCTGGAATAATTTAATGATCAAACCAAATAATGGTAGAAATGTGGATGACAGTCGTGAGACCTTGGTTCTTGTCTTCATTTAAAAGAATTTAAACAACAGATACACAGCAAAGGAGATGCAGCATAGGGCAATTGCAAAAGAAAAAGAATATTTTGAAAGTAGGCCAGGTGCGGTGGCTCACTCCTGTAATCCCAGCATTTTGGGAAGCTGAGGCAGGTGGATCATCTGAGGTCAGGAGTTCGAGACCAGCATGGCCAACGTGGTAAAACCCCATCTCTACTAAAAATACAAAAATTAGCCGGGCGTGGTGGTGCATGCCTGTAGTCACAGGTACTTGGGAGGCTGAGGCAGGAGAATCACTTGAACCCAGGAGGTGGAGGTTGCAGTGAGCCAAGATTTTGCCACTGCACTACAGCCTGGGTGACAGAATGAGACTCCATCTCAAAAAAAAAAAAAAAAAAAAAGCAAATAAATGAAAGACGAAATGTGGTGGTAGAGAAACCATCAGAAGGTGCTGAAACCAGTAGATGGAGACTCGATGTACTCACATGAGTCTTTAAGGTTCTCCCCAGAAACTACATGTGAATTACAAAGTAAGAGTAGTGGGAAAACAGGGTAGATTGTGCCTTAGCCAAGTACTCAAAGTTAACATCACCAATAAGAAGACAAATGGATATCATGTGCCTGTGGATGGAACGTGCTGAGATAAACACAGCAGGGCCTCAGTGACATGACAGAACAAGAACACAAAGTTGGCAGGAACTATTTCAGATTCAGGAAGACCAACCTAGTAGATGCAAAAAAAAAAAAAAAAAAAAAAAAAGATAAAATTCAACATCAATTTGCAATTTTTAAAAAACACTTGGCAAACTTGGAACCGATGGTGACTTATTTAATTTGAGGAAGGGCTTCTAAAAAATTACTGCTAACATGCTTATTGTTAATTTAATCTAATATTTCACTATTTGTGAAAATTCTTTCCCTAAGATAAAAATGAGAGCAAAAAACCCAACCACTATTACAACTTTTATTTAACTTTGCACTGGAGGTCCTAGTCAGTGTAACAGGGCAACAAGAGGAATAATAAACACAACATTATAAAGATGGAAATAAAACTGTCATTTTTCACAAACAATGTGATTACATACATAGAACAAGAACTGATAATCCTGGTAAACCCTGGGGATTAAAAAATAATAATTAAAAAGTGAATTAGTAAGATCCCACACACAACAACTCGATATATGAAAATAAAATGTATTACTATGTACTATTAAGCAGTTTTTAAAAGCATAAAATTTCTTTTATACTGGTGTCAATAATCTCAAATAGGAATAAACAATAACAGTTGTGGCCGGGCGCAGTGGCTCACGCCTGTAATCACAGCACTTTGGGAGGCCGAAGCGGGGGGATCACCTGAGGTCAGGAATTTGAGACCGGCCTGGCCAACATGGAGAAACCCCGTCTCTACTAAAAATACAAAATTAGCCAGGCGTGGTGGTGCATGCCTGTGGTCCCAGCTACTTTTGAGGCTGAGGCAGGAGAATCCCTTAAACCTAGGAGGTGGAGGTTGTGTTGAGCCGAGATCGCGCCATTGCACTCCAGCCTGGGCAACAAAAGCAAAACACTGTCTCCAAAAAAAAAAAAAAAAAAACAACAGTTGTGCCATGGCCAGGCCCAGTGGCTCACGCCTGTAATCCCACCCCTTTGGGAGGCCAAGTGGGGAGGATCACTTCAGCCCAGGAGTTCGAGGCTGCAGTAAGCCGTGCTTGCACCACTGCACTCCAGCCTGGGCAACAGAGTGAGACCCTATCTCAAAAGAAAAAATTAAAGAATACCTAATAAATGGAGAAATATACAAACTTCATGAATGGGAACACTGTCTTTCAAAGATGACAATTTTCCTTGGCTGTATGCATAAAGTTATTGCAATTACCATAAAATTCCCAAAGTACTCTAGTGGAAATTTACAAGCAAATTCTAAAGTATATGAAGAAATGTGGCCAAGCGCGGTGGCTCACGCCTGTCATCCCAACACTTTGGGAGGCCCAGGTGGGCGGATCACAAGGTCAGGAGTTCGAGACCAGCCTGACCAATATGGTGAAACCCCGTCTCTACTAAAGATACAAAAAATTAGCCAGGCGTGGTGGCGGGCGCCTGTAATCCCAGCTACTAGGGAGGTTGAGGCAGGAGAATCGCTTGAACTGGGGAGGCGGAGGTTGCAGTGAGCTGAGATCATGCCATTGCACTCCAGCCCAGGTGACAGTGTGAGACTCTGTCTCAAAAAAATAAAAATGAAAAAGAAAAAAAAGAAATGCAAAGAGTTCAGGATAACTAGCACAGTATGGTATTTTCCATACATGTAATTAGAGATTGGAGAAATATACTAGGGAAACAGAATAGAGTCCAGAACAGAAGGGCATAAACATGATCACGTGACTTCTGACAAGCTGACATTACAAAAGACTAGGGAAAGGGTAGTATTGTAACAAATGGTGCTAAATTGATTGTTCCTACATAGAAGAAAAAATCTGAATTCCTACCTCATACCATATACAAAATTAATTCCAAGTATAGTATAAATCTAAATATGAAAGGAAAGACACTACACTTTCTAAAAACTAATCAGAAGACCTTCATGACCTAAGGAGAGACCATAAATTTTAAAATGCATTCACCATAAATTCTTCAAATGGAATTTTCAAACACATTTGGCCAGGCACACTGGCTCATGCCTGTAATCCCAGCACTTTGGGAGGCCGAGGCGGGTGGATCACCTGAGGTCAGGAGTTCGAGATCAGTTTGGCCAACATAGTGAAACCCCATCTCTATTAAAAATCTGAAAATTAGCCGGGCATGGTGGTACACACCTGTAGTCCCAGCTTCTCAGGAGGCTGAGGCAGGAGAATTCTTTGAACCCAGGAGGTGGAGTTTGCACTGAGTACTCCAGCCTGGGTCACAGAGCAAGACTCCACATCAAAAAAAACTAAAAATAAATACATGGGACTTTATCAAAAGTATAAACTTCTGTTTCAAGATTACTAAGAGAGTACATTTCAAGTGTTCTCACCACAAAAAAATAAGTATTCAAGGCAATGGATGTGTTTGTTAGCTTGATTTAATCATTTGACATTGTATACATAGAAGATCACACCGGACCCCAGGAAAATATACAATTATAATTTGTCAATACACAAAAAATTAAAAAATGCCAAGTGCAACTTCCAGATTATGTAAAATAAGGGCACCCAACACACACTCACACTCACACACACACTCTATCATACACAGTCTCTCACACACACACACTCTCTGTCTCACACACATTGTCTCACACCCACTCACACAGTCTCACACACATTCTCTCACACACATACACACTGTCTCTGTCTCACACATTCTCTCTCTCACACACACATGCACTCTCTCTCTCACACACACACTCTCTCACATACACACACACACACACACACACACACACACACACACTAATTGCTTCAGGACAGCCAGCTGAAGGCTGTGAGCATCCGGGCGCCCTCAGCACAGGTGTGTGGTGGTAAAGGCAGCCTCTTGCCAGCAGCAGCACCTGTAAGTGGTGCACACAGGTGCAGAAAAGTGCCTGTTCCCTGGGGCTGGTGGTTCAGAGCCGGTTGCAGCCAATGAGCAGCAGCAACATCACTGGCTCAGCGCTCCCCAGGAACTATCGCCACGTGGGCGTGGAGCTGGGCGTGGCCTTCTTTTTTCCGTGATTGCCAGCTGGCCCAGAGCTGGACCTGCTCTTGGTGGTGAGGTGTGAAGCTGGTGAGTATTCCTCCTGTCTTGCTCTCTGCCCTTCCCGCTTTTGTTCTCCACTGCTGATTAGAACCCGCGTATTGAGCTTACTAGGTGCCCCCACCCTCTCCCTTCTGGCTGCTCAAAGCCCAGGACCAAAGGATTCCTTGAAAGAACAAAGTCCAGTTACCCCATTTTGCTGAAAAGATCTTCCTCTAAAACCTCATATTTACTTGGGGTATTTAGGTAAGTCTCTCGTCCTTTTCAGACATTCGGTCTAAAATACTGTACAGAGGGCTGGGTGCAGTGGCTCACGCCTATAATCCCAGCACTTTGGGAGGCCGAGGCAGGTGGATCATCTGAGGTCAGGAGTTCAAGACCAGCCTGGCCAACATGGTGAAATCCTCATCTCTAATAAAAGTACAAAAATGAGCTGGGCGTGGTGGCATGTGCCTATAATCCCACCTTCTAGGGAGGCTGAGACGGGAGAATCGCTTTAACCCAGGAGGCAGAGGTTGCAGTGAGCCAAGGTCACGCCACTGCACTCCAGCGTGGGTGACAGAGTGAGACTTCGTCTCAAGTAAAAATTAAGTACAGAGTAGGGGGTACTGCAACTTGAATGTCAGGATTAGCTAATGTCTGGTCTGCATTTGGTAGGAGTCCAGAGGGTGTTTTGGTGCTAATTGTGCAAATACTATGGTTAACCGTAACTTAGTTATTGAAATGCCATACAATTCTGACGGTGTTGTTTGTCCTGTTTACCAAGGGAGGAAGCTGAGCCCCAGATAAGTTAAATGGCTTGCCTGGGGTAGAAAGCAGCAAATCATTCAAAGCTGGGTCTGAGACTTCAAGCCCTATAATCTTAACTGCTGCTTTCTAATCATTCAGGACACCTGGGTAGAAAGGTGAGGTGGGAGGGGTACGGTCTGTAGAAAAAGCATAGAGACAAAATGCAAGCTTAGGGAAGTCACTCATCCTCAGAAAATAACCTCAACCAGCAGCCTTCCTTTACCTCCCTCCAGCTGTATTCCTGCCTGGACTCGAATAACTAGCTTCTCCCCAACTCCTCACCCACCCGACTTCACGGGAAAAAGTGACTGCCTATCCCAGATTAATCCTTAGGCCGTCCAGTCATCTTTCTCTGGGGCTTGATTGATCAGTTCCCACTCTGACAACTGGCAAATACCAGGCGTTATCATCCTGTATGCATTAACGTACTTTCCCCTGAAACAGAGCAACCCAGTCAACACCACAGAACCTCAGCTTTGAACCCTGGAGTGAGGACGGTGATGCCCTGTGTGTATTAATATGCTATGTAAGGCTGGGCGTGGTGGCTCACGCCTGTAACCCAGCACTATGGGAGGTCGAGGTGGGCAGATTACCTGAGGTCAGGAGTTCCAGACCAGCCTGGCCAACATGGTGAAACCCCGCCTCTACTAAAAAAAAAAATACAAAAAATTAGGCGTGGTGGTGGGCTCCTGTAATCCCAGCTGCTCGGGAGGCTGAGGCAGGAGAATCACTTGAATCTAGGAGGCAGAGTTTGCAGTGAGCTGAGATCACGCCATTGCACTCCAGCCTGGGCGACAGAGCAAGACTCTGTCTCAAGAAGAAAAAAAAAATACATATACACATAAATATATATATGTGTGTGTGTATATATATATATATATATATATATGCTATATAAAGTTTAAATGAAATGCTTTGAGTCACCTAAGACAGGATATAGACAAAGTCTTCATCGTCTTCTTGCTTCTTCTACCTTTATTTATTCTCAGCTCTGAATGTATGAACCTGCTCAATCACCTCATCTTAAAAATAAAATCACTGTCCCTAGACCATACTCGTTTCCTTACCCACCCCTGAGGCTTTTGTTGGTTTTTACAGCCCTGGTTCACGTCTTGGTCCTCCAGCCCCTTTAAAGGATTGTGTAGAGCGGTAAGGGAAATGTTTAATTCAAATTACGTGTATATAGAAGTGTTTAGATATGACAGTCCGAAATTCGTTCTTTCTCAAATAACCTTCCTTCTTAATTTCATTGCCTAAGTTGAGAGTCTTTGTCTTCTGTGTTTTGCTTTCAATTTCCATGTATCCAGGTGGTTTATGTTAACTCAGAAGGGGGAGAAAAACCTAGAAAATCTTAATTGTTCTGTGGTCAGGATGTAAGCTTTTAAACATGTGCTCAGAAATAAGTATTTTTCCATTTACCAATAGTCAATATTGTCCCTAAATATTTATAGGAATGTGTAGAAAAGCTTATTTTCTTGCTATGGTTCTATTTTGAGCAATACAGCACATAAACTTCAATGTTCTATCATCAGTGTTCACGTGTACCTAGTTTTTTGGTCTTCCATGGATGGGTAATTGTAAGAATACCTCAATTGTTTTGATGAAATTCATTTATGTCTACTTATCTTCTACTAAAATGATTTTTTAATGGGAGGTACTTTTTAGTATTTGGTGATTTTTGGTGTGTATGTGTTAGACAAAGTCTCCCTCTTTTGCCCAGGCTGTAGTGCAATGGCTGGATCTCTACTCACTGCACCCTCCGCCTCCCAGGTTCAAGCAATTCTGCCTCAGCCTCCCGAGTAGCTGGGATTACAGGTGCCCGCCACCACGCCCGGCTAATTTTCATATTTTTAGTAGAGACGGGGTTTCCCCATGTTGGCCGGGCTGGTCTCGAACTCCTGACCTCAGATGATCCACCCACCTCAGCCTCCCAAAGTTCTGGGATGACAGGCGTGAGCCACTGCGCCCGGCCTTTTTCAGTATTAATTTGAAAGAGCAGCAATATGAGAAGGTGTGGCGGGAAGTGTGTCCTTCCCTGCCCCCGTAGTGTCTCTTCCCTATTTTCTGCTCATCACCCAAAGACATTCTGCGCACGTGTATGGCATTAAGAGCCTTACAGATGGGGCAACTTTCTGTGCTGATTGTTGTGCATTTTTAAGGATGCAGGGCACGTTGGTGCTCAAATTAACCCACCTGTTTTTAATCGACTCCTAAATGGTCTTCAGTCTTGCTGTTTTACACACGGCTGGGTCTAATTGCATTTAAAACGGATAAAGATTGTTAAAGTACCGTCCAAAAAGATGGCACCCATTTACACTTCACTAATGTAGGAGCACCTTTTCCTTCACCCATCACAAAGCAGCGTCCAGTCACACATTGTGGACATTGTCAGCCTCACATGTCAAACGTAGTACATCATTTTGGCTATTTACCTTATCAGTAATAACTTTTTTTTAAAGTACATTTAAAAGTCATGCCGTTTCTTTTTTTTCTTTTTTCTTTTTTTTTTTTTTTTTTTTTTTTTTTTGAGACAGTGTCTTACTCTATGCCCAGGCTGGAGTGCAATGGTGAGATCTCAGCTCACTGCAACCTCTGCCTCCCGGGTTCAAGCGATTCTCCTGCCTCAGCCTCCCGAGTAGCTGGGACTACAGGCACACGCCACGATGCCCGGCTAATTTGTGTATTTTTAGTAGAGATGCGGTTTCACCATGTTGACCAGGCTAGTCTCGAACTCCTGACCTCAGGTGATCCACCTGCCTCAGGATCCCAAAGTGCTGGGATTACAAAAGTCATATGCAGTTTTTTAACTCTTCAAAATCCTTCTAATAGGCTGGGCACAGTGGCTCATGCCTATAATCCCAGCACTTGGGGAGGCCGAGGCAGGTGGATCATTTGAGGTCAGGGGTTTGAGACCAGCCTGACTAACATGGCGAAATACCCTGTCTACTAAAAATACAAAAATTAGGCCGGGCACGGTGGCTCATGCCTGTAATCCCAGCACTTTGGGAGGCCCAGGCGGGTGGATCATGAGGTCAGGAGATCGAGACCATCCTGGCTAACACGGTGAAACCCCGTCTCTACTAAAAATACAAAAATTAGCCGGGCATGGTGGTGGGCGCCTGTAGTCCCAGCTACTCGGGAGGCTGAGGCAGGAGAATGGCAGGAACCCGGGAGGCGGAGCTGGCAGTGAGCCGAGATGGTGCCACTGCATTCCAGCCTGGGCGACGGAGCAAGACTCTGTCTCAAAAAGAAAAAAAGCTGGGCATGGTTGAGGGTGTCTGTAATCCCAGCTAC